>NC_000001.11:35803835-36428835 GCF_000001405.40 Homo sapiens
ACTGGGATTTGCACCCAGGACCATCTGATTTGAAAATCTGTGCTCTAGAGAAGCTGGCACCTCACCCAGAGTTTTTCACCTTGGCCCCTCTACTGGACCATTTGTAGCTTCCACAATTTATACATTCACTTATTCATTCATTCACTCCATAAATGTCCACAAATAGTCATTTGGTGCCTGGTAGGTTGGTGGACAACAGAGAACAAACCTGAATGCTTGAATGAGCCCTGCCCTCAAGGATTTTCACTATCATGGGAGCCAGGCCTGGAATGAAACATAAGACCAGGAGTTGAGTTAACTGTACCCCCAAAGGAGGCTCTGTGATGGTGTGGCTAGATGGCAAATGGTTTTATTTACTTATTTAGTTATTTTATTTATTTATTTTTTGAGACGGAGTCTCTCTCTGTCACCCAGGCTGGAGTGCAGTGGCGGGATCTCGGCTCACACCGCAACCTCCGCCTCCAGGATTCAAGCGATTATCCTGCTTCAGCCTCCCAAGTAGCTGGGACTACAGGCGCGTGTTACCACGCCTGGCTAATTTTTTTGTATTTTTAGTAGAGGGGGTTTCACCGTGTTAGCCAGGATGGTCTTGATCTCCTGACCTCGTGATCCGCCTGCCTCGGCCTCCCAAAGTGCTGGGATTACAGGCGTGAGCCACTGCGCCCGACCGGCAAATGGTTTTAATATGAAAATAAGAATTCAAAGTTTCGTATGATGGGGCAAATATGTTGTCAATTCTTTACTCATGCCCTACCCTGTCCTGGAGGCATGTGCGATGTGGAAGAATGAGCAACCACCATCAGAGAGAGCTGCAGGGGAAGTGACATTCTGGGTCATGGCTTCTCAGCCACAGCAGGAAGTGGAGGGAGGGCTTGCTGAGCAGGCCAAGGTTTAGAGGAGTTTATTGACTACAGAAATTTGGTTTGGGAGGGTTCTGTAGGAATAGTTTTTGGAAAAGGAACAGTGGGTGTTTGAGTGAGAGTGAGTTTTGAAATGAGAAGGTAGATGATCAGAGTAATCAAGAATCACTCTGTTGAGTGAGACATTTCGGTCCCAACTGGAACTATGGGGTGAATAAATTTCATACTTCAGCCTCTAAAGCTAGTGGAAAAACTATTTTCAGTCCAGGGAACAAGCTGTGGTCTCTGCTCAGGGTAGCAAATAGAATATAGAGAAATTTTGTTAGGAAGTGGGGTTGGGAGAGTCAGCCACAAACCAGGCTATTGGAGACACCGGCATTGTTTAAACTGTAGGTGGAACTTAGCGTGAAGTGAAAAACTTGAACTTTAGTTGGTTTTTCTTTTTTTTTTCTTTTTTTTTTTGAGACGGAGTCTCGCTCTGTCGCCCAGGCTGGAGTGCAGTGGCCTGATCTCAGCTCACTGCAAGCTCCGCCTCCCAGGTTCACGCCATTCTCCCGCCTCAGTCTCCAGAGTAGCTGGGACTACAGGCGCCCGCCACCACACCCGGCTAATTTTTTGTATTTGTAGTAGAGACGGGGTTTCACTGTGTTAGACAGGATGGTCTCGATCTCCTGACCTCATGATCCGCCTGCCTCGGCCTCCCAAAGTGCTGGGATTACAGGCGTGAGCCACCGCGCCCGGCCAACTCTAGTTGGTTTTTCTTTTCTTAGCTGTGCAGCAGTCTGATCGTTTAGTAAATACTTTCTCCCCTTTGAACATTCTGTCCCCTATTACTATTTCCAGTTACTATCTGGTTTAACAGAGAGGTAGCATGATGCTGTGAAAAGAATATAGAGTATGGTGGCCGGGCATGGTGGCTCACGCCTGTAATCCCAGCAGTTTGGAAGGCCGAGGCGGGCGGATCACGAGGTCAGGAGATCGAGACCATCCTGGCTAATATGGTGAAACCCCGTCTCTACTACAAATACAAAAAATTAGCCGGGCGTGGTGGCGGGCACCTGTAGTCCCAGCTACTCGGAAGGCTGAGGCAGGAAAATGATGTGAACCCGGGAGGCGGAGCTTGCAGTGAGCCGAGATCGCGCTGCTGCACCCAAGCCTGGGCGACAGAGCGAGACTCCGGGTCAAAAAAAATAAAAGAATATAGGGTATGGTATCAGTAGACAAGAATGTAGGCACTAGATTAAAAGTCCCAGTTCCGGCCGGGCGCGGTGGCTCAAGCTCGTAATCCCAGCACTTTGGGAGGCTGAGGCGGGCGGATCACAAGGTCAGGAGATCGAGACCATTTTGGCTAACACGGTGAAACCCCGTCTCTACTAAAAATACAAAAAAAAATTTAGCCGGGCGTGGTAGCGGGCGCCTGTAGTCCCAGCTACTTGGGAGGCTGAGGCAGGAGAATGGCGTGAACCCGGGAGGCGGAGCTTGCAGTGAGCCGAGATGGCGCCACTGCACTCCAGCCTGGGCGACAGAGCGAGACTCCGTCTCAAAAAATAAAAAATAAAAAAATAAAAGTCCTAGTTCCATAGCCAATCAGGGAGAGAATTAGCCAGGACTTAAATGCAAGATTTGAACTCCAATTTTTCCCATGCTTCACTTCAGCATCATGTAATGCAAAGCCCGACTTACTTAACTTCCCTGAGCTTCGGTGTCATCATCTGTACAAATACCTTTCTTAACAATATCTACCTTACTGGTGGTTGTAAAGATTGAGTGACAATGAGAAGCCCATAGCAGAGTGCATGGCCAGGATGTGATGCTAATATTTTTTATCATTACATAAAAAAACTACCTGGCTCTGTGACAGCACATGGCAGGTGCTCAAATGAATATCCCACCACACATGCTAGGGGCCTAAATTATCCCCCACCCCAATAATTTGTATATTGAAGTCCTAACTCTAGCACCCCAGGATGTGACTGTAATTGGAAACAGGGTCTCTGAAGAGGTAATTAAATTAAAACGAGGTCACTAGAGTGAGCCCTACTCTAATAGGACTGCTGTCCTTATAAGAAGAGGAAATTTGGACACAGACGTGCACAGAGGGAAGACCACGTGAAGTCACTGGGAGAAGGCCACTATCTACCAAGTGAAGGAGATAGGCCTCAGAAGGAACCAACCCTGCCTACATCGTATCTCTGACTGCCAGCCTCCAGAATTGTGAGAAAATAAATTTCTGTTGTTTAAGCCACCCAGTCTGTGGTACTTTGTTACGTTATGCCGTAGCAAAGGAATACAACACACACACACAAACTCATCGTACCTTTTCAATTGGTGGACAAGGGGCTCCTTCCTTCTGCTGACTAGAAACTGCTTCTTGGCCTGTTGTCCAGTGTTCTCCCACTCAAAGTCCTTACTGAAAGCCCTAAAGATGCTGTGCCTGCTGGGCTGACCATGCTGCCTTGGAGGTGGTGCTGCTCCCTTGGCTTTTGTCTGCTAAGGGGAAGGCATCCAAGAAAGCAAGACCTTTCTCTCTCTCTCTCTCTTTTATTTTTATTTTTTTTTTTTCAGACAGTCTTGCTCTGTCGCCCAGGCTGGAGTGCAGTGGCCCGATTTCGGCTCACTGAAACCTCTGCCTCCCGGGTTCAAGCGATTCTCCTGCCTCAGCCTCCCAAGTAGCTGGGATTACAGGCGCCTGCCTCCACGCCCGGCTAATTTTTTGTGTTTTTAGTAGAGATGGGCTTCCGCCATGTTGGCCAGGATGGTCTCAAACTCCTGACCCCAGGTGATCCACCCGCCTCCGCCTCCCAAAGTGCTGGTATTACAGGCGTGAGCCACCACGCCCGGCCAAGACCTTTCTCTTCTAAAGTGACTGGTGATTTGCTGACCAGAGGCGCTTGTCATGGGACCAGGGAGGGAATGCATCATTCATCAGGGTCCATTCCCGTGGTGCCTTCCGGCTATACGGAGAGGGACGCGCAGTTGGGTGTGTGGTGCTGAATGAAGGGATGAAGGAGGACTGCTAGCGTCTAAGGTGACCCTAAAAGACGAGATGACAGAAGCGATCTGGGGTGGGAGGAGGGAGGAGGGAGGCGAGGTGGCTCCTGTGAATCTCAGTACACTTTCCACTCACAGAAGTGGAAAACTGAATCTGTGGGTCAGCGGAACTGGAATCCAGATCTTTTGCAGGACGCCCTGGGGGGATGGCACGTAGCCCCCAGAGCCGTTGGCCACCGGACGGCCTCCTCGGGTGGACGGGGCAGAGCGGGCCAGCGGGCGCGTGCCCGACACGTCCACCGGGCTCTGCACCCTCCGGGCGCGCGCTCGTTCCCCGACCCGCCTCGCCGCCTGCCGGGCTCTGTGGACCCCGCGCCCGGGGCCGCGCACGCCCCCTCCGCCCGCCGGGACCCTGGGTCCGCGCACCCCGCGCCCCCTTCCCTCCCGGCGGGCGCGCGCGCTGGCTCCCGCTCCCGCTCCCGTTGGCGGCGGCGGCGGCGGCGGCGGCGGGGATTGTTTTTGTTGTCGCTGAGGCCGGAAGAGCCGGAGCCGGGTCCCTGTCCCCGGGCCGGGCGCCGCCGCCGCCCCCTGCCCAGCGCCCGCGTCTCCGCGGCGCCACCCCAGCGCCAATATTCCGGAGATCAAGCGTTACGCGGCGGCGGCGGCGGCGGCGGCGGGGCCCGGAGCGGGAGGCGCCGGGGACCGGGGCGAGGCGGCCCCCGCCGCCGCCATGGAGGCGCTGGGACCCGGTGAGGAGCGAGCTCGGGTCGGGGCGGGACCCGGGACCCGGGACCCGGGGCGGGCGGCCGGGACTTTCGCTGCCCCGTCGCCTCGCCGGGTTCGGGCCGCCAGGCCTCGGGGAAGGGGACCCGAGCCCCGCAGCACGAAGCGGAGGGAGCTGACCCGGGCCTGGGGGGCGGTGACCGCGCCCCAGCCGGCCGTTGGGTGGATCCCGAGGTCCAGGGGGGAGGTTCGGGAAGGTGACCGGCGCTGCCGGGCGGAGGCCACTCTTGGCCCCACCTCGGGGAGACGATATGTGCCCGGGGTCGCGACGAGGGTAGTTTGGGCCTCAGAAGGGGGCGATCCGCTACCCAGTGCGCGCGGAGGCCTGGCCCAGACCGGGAAAAGGGCCCCGCTGCCTACTACCAGCCGGTAGTCCTGGTTTGGGGCCGCGCCCCTATTTT
This sequence comes from Homo sapiens, assembly GCF_000001405.40. Taxonomy (NCBI): domain Eukaryota; kingdom Metazoa; phylum Chordata; class Mammalia; order Primates; family Hominidae; genus Homo; species Homo sapiens. Next base: position 35,808,871 of record NC_000001.11, read on the forward strand.
TCTTTGCACTGGCAGATGGTCCAGAGCCTTCAGATGAGGAAGAAGAACTTCATCCAAACACCTCTCATGATCTCTGAAGGTCAAGGGACAAAATGCCCACCCTTTCTGAAAGGCCCTGATGTCCCAAAGAACATGGTCCTGTGCCTCTGTCACTCAGTCTGTGTGTTAGTCTCAGAGTGGTCTGAGCCAGCCTTTGAGTGACACAGGAGTTGCCAGTCAGTCTGCTCCACCACAGGCTTCAATGCCCTGAGTTCTCTTCTAATTGGGTTATGAGTGGTTGTGAGGATCAAATGAAGGAGAAAGTGCTTTGGAAACTAATTTGTTGTGGATATGGATGGCCTCTGGTTATTTCTCTCTATCCAAACCAGAAGAACCATTCCAGGCTGTAACAAGTGTCCTGAGTATTGGGGCCTGGTGCTTCCACCTCAAAGCCCAACAGGTTTCTAATGCCTTGGCTAAGTAGCTCAGTGTTTAGGGGCTGTGGTGGAATTCACTTTAATATTCAAACTTTACCTACATAATGAACTTAGTCGTAGAGTGTTTCATCTTTTTAGTGCGTAGAAAATTCGAGTTGCCATTTGAGTTTGGAAACTTGGCACGTTTGTTTACTTAGCACTTGTTTGCATAGCTGAGTGATTAAGCCCCACCCTAATTTGCTTCTTAAAGTATTGTTTAAAGGCCCTCATAATCAAATTTCATATGCCTTTTAAAAATAAATTGGCTTGCCGCATTAATATTGTTTGATAAACTTCAGTGTATTATGCCAGGTTAACTTCAGATATGTCCCCTGGCTAAAGACATGCTCAGGTCTTTAGGAATGTAACAGATTCAATCTAGTAATGTAATAGTTGTATGACCCTGGGAAAATTACTCAATTCCTTTGAACTTTCATTTTCTCGTCTATAAATTGAGGGTAATAATAAGTATGTTCTGTAAGATTGTTGAGAGAATGAAATGAGAGTATATGATAAGTCTTATTGTAGAGACTAGTGCCTATAGATGCTCAACAGATGTTTCTTCCCTCCCCCTAGTAATTCATAATTGAAACAACTGTTGCATTTATGATCTGATATCGAAAGAAATTGTGTAACTGTGGGCATAAACTGAATTTCATGGAAAGGATCAACCTGGTGATATTAGGCACTGCCCAGGGACTCTTTTTTTTTTTTGTTTTGATTTTAGCTTTTGCAGGTTTGAGGACTTAGTGGTTCACTCAGGATTGTTCAGATTGTGGAAAATTAATTCTCACTAACCACATTTATAAGACACTAATGAATAAGCCAAAATGTCACATGGATCTTTTCTGTTGAGTGGAATATTTTCCTGTCTGCTCTCTAGCAAACTCCTTTTTTGGTGTTGCAGTACCTTGGAAACCCAACTAATAAGTAGCTGCCTGCTAAGCATAGAATCAGAGCAAAGGGAGTTGATCGTCTTGTGGGATGATTCATCCAGGCTGTTTTAGAACCTAGAGAATCATCCCTGCTTCTTTGGCAGAGCACACCTGGATCTAGTGCTTTGTGCCCTCCTCACTTGAACAGTCCCTGAAGCCTTCTAGTCTTGTTCTATCCCTCCCTGCCCACCGCCTCCCTGCAACCTAGTTCAGTTTCTGCCAATACTCAGAAATATAATTAATTAGATTTCCACTTATTTTGGTAATATGTTGTTTGCAGTACTTTATAGTTTGTAAAGTGCTTTTATGACTATTAGCTCATTTGATCCTCTGGGAGGTAGGCAGGGCAGGTAGTTATTCCATTTTACAGATGAGAAAAGTGAGGTTCAGAGAGGATGAAGTGACTTCATTAGGGTTTCAAAGGGTCAAGTGGTGAAATAAAGACCTGAGTTTGGGTCATTTGACTTCTAATCTAATCATCTCCTCTTCATTAAGGCTGACTTCATCTGTTCTATGTTGTCATATCAGTTGCCCTTTCAGAGAATGCAGTTATCTGACTTTGTCACCACATTTTTGGGATACCCTGAAAATAAAACTGTGGTGGTTCATGCCTGTAATCCCAGCACTTTGGGAGGTTGAGGTGGGCGGATCATTTGCGGCCAGGAGTTCGAGACCAGCCTGGCCAGCATGGTGAAACTCCGTCTCTACTAAAAATATAAAAATTAGCTGGCTAAAAATATAAAAATTAGCTGGGTGTGGTGGCATACCTGTAGCCCTAGCTACTCTGGTGGCTGAAGTGGGAGGATGGCTTGAGCCTGCGAGGCAGAGGATGCTGCGAGCTGAGATCGCACCTCAAAAAGAAACCCTGCCTCAAAACAAAACAAAACAACAAAAAAAAACCAACCAAACCACAACAAAAAAACACCTCAGGGGCTGGGCACAGTGGCTCACGCCTGAAATCCCAGCACTCTGGGAGGCCGAGGTGGGCGGATCACCTGAGGTTAGGAGTTCAAGACCAGCCTGGCCAACGTAGTGAAACCCGTCTCTACTAAAAATATAAAAATTAGATGGGTGTGGTGGTGTGCTCCTGTAGTCTGAGGCTGCTGCAGGAGAATCGCTTGAACACAGGAGGCGGAAGTTGCAGTGAGCCGAGATTGCGCCACTGCACTCCAGCCTGGGTGACAGAGCAAGACTCCATCCAAAAAAAAACAAAAAAAAAAACAAAAACCAACCACCTCAGGGACCTTTGAGCACTAACTATGATTATAACGTTTACAAATGCAATTATAATAGCTAACATTTACTGAGCGTTTACTATTGCAAGGCACTATGTTAAACGTTTTTTGTTGTTGTTGTTTTTTGAGACAGAGTCTCGCTGTGTCGCCCAGGCTGGAGTGCAGTGGCGCCATCTCGGCTCACTGCAGCCTCCACCTCCCGGGTTCAAGCAGTTCTCTGCCTCAGCCTCCCGAGTAGCTGGGATTACAGGCACCCACCACGCCTGGCTAATTTTTGTATTTTTAGTAGAGACGGGGTTTCACCATCTTGGCCAGGCTGGTCTTGAACTCCTGACCTTGTGATCCACCCGCCCCGGCCTCCCAAAGTACTGGAATTACAGACATGAGCCACTGCACCCAGCCTTTATGTTAAACCTTGAATATACATCATCTCATGGGATAGATGCCATTATTATTACACACATGCCCATTTTATAAATGAGGAAACCGAGATGCAGAGAGGCCAAGAAACTGGCCCAACGTCATGCAATTAGGGAGTGGTGAGACCAGGATTTAAACCTAGGTAATTTGGTTCCAGAGCTTTAGCCACTGTGCTTTATTGCTTCATTAAGTAGATAGCTGGCTAAATTCAAAGAAACCAGATTTTTCCCAGCCTTCAGAGCTGTACAAATAAATTTCTGTTGTTTAGCCCAAATTAAAAAAAAAAGAAAAAAGAAAAAAAAAATTAACTTCCAGAATGAAAAAAGTTATAATTTTCAAACTAAATCTTCTAAGCTTATTAAAAGAAATTATCACTCACCATCTAACTTTTCTCTTTGCCAAGGAAAGGAGATACAAATAATATTTACTTTTTGCCACTTCTTAATCGTTTTTCTTTCAATTCTTCTGCCTCTGCCTCTTTGACATTCAAGTACTTCAGATAATAATACATATCACAAGATTATGAAGTATATTGGGAAGAAAAAGTGCTAGGCTAGGAGTTAGGAGATTTGGATTCTAGTTAGTATTTAAACTCAAAGTCGTATGTCCTTAAGCAAGTCATTTGATCCAAGTTTCTGTTTTCAAATTTCTATTATAAAGCTATATTTCTTACAACATTTTTTTTCTTTTTTTTTAAGACAAGTCTCATTCTGTCACCCTTGCTGGATTGCAGTGGCATGATCTCGGCTCACTGCAACCTGCACCTCCCAGGTTCAAGCTATTCCCCTGCCTCAGTCTCCCGAGTAGCTGGGATTACAGGTGCCCACCACCACACCTAGCTAATTTTTGTATTTTTAGTAGAGACGGTGTTTTGCCATGTTTGCCAGGCTGGTCTCAAACTTCTGACCTCAGGTGATCTGCCCGCTTCAGCCTTCCAAAGTGCTGGGATTACAGGCATGAGCCACTGTGCCTGGCCTCTTACAACTTTATGAATGATACAGTGATTGCTTAAGTGTATCTTGAAATATGCAGAGTTGACTTATTTTTATGATTTAATTGGGTTAATTCAGTATGTTTATCACCTCTCACATTATTTACTATTTACTTCTTACCTTGTTACCTTGTTTGTAATTGTCTTATCAATTGTATTGATAGGTCCTCTTGTACACTAGAAGTAGAACTCAACTCCAAGCAATAAGAATACTTTTAGTGGGCCGGGCGCAGTGGCTCACGCCTGTAATCCCAGCACTTTGGGAGGCCAAGGCAGGCAGATCACAAGGTCAGGAGATCAAGACCATCCTGGCTAAGATGGTGAAATCCTGTCTCTACTAAAAATACAAAAAATTAGCCGGGCATGGCAGCATGCGCCTGTAGTCCCAGCTGCTGGGGAGGCTGAGGCAGGAGAATGGCGTGAACCCGGGAGGCAGAGCTTGCAGTGAGCCAAGATTGTGCCACTGCACTCCAGCCTGGGTGACAGAGCGAGACTCCATCTCAAAAAAAAAAAAAAGAATACTTTTAGTATAAATTATGTGCTTTTGCTTCATTGAAAAATAATTGTCAGCTGGGCGTGGTGGCTCATGACTGTAATCCCAGCACTTTGGGAGGCCTAGGTGGGCAGATTGCTTGACCCCAGGAGTTCAAGACCAGCCTAGGCAACATGGCAAAACCCCAAACCTCGTCTCTACCAAAAATACAAAAATTAGCTGGGGTGGTATCTCAGTTACTCTGGAGGCTGAGGTGGGAGGATCAGTTGAGTCCAGGAGGTCGAGGCTGCAGTGAGCCATGATTGACCCACTGCACTCCAGCCTGGGCAACAGAGCAAGACCCTGGCTCAAAAAAAGAAAAAAAGAAGAAGAAGAAGAAGAGGAAGAGGAAGAAGGAAGAAGGAAGGAAGAAGGAAGAAGAAGAGAGACACTTTGGGAGGGCAAGGTGGGCGGATCACAAGGTCAGGAGTTTGAGACCAGCCTGGCCAATGTAGTGAAACCCCGTCTCTACTAAAAATACAAAAAATTAGCTGGGCATGGTGGCGGGTGCCTGTAATTCCAGCTACTTGGGAGGCTGAGGCAGGAGAATCTCTTGAACCCGGGAGGCGGAGGTTGCAGTAAGCCGAGATCGCACCACTGCCCTCCAGCCTGGGCAACAGTGTGAGACTCCATCTCAAAAAAAAAAAAGAGAGAGAAAGAGAAAGAAGAGAGAGAGAAAAAAGGAAGGAAGGAAGGAAAGAAGGAAGGACAGAAGGGAAGGAAGGAGAGAGAAAGAAAGATAATTATGATTTTTGTGTTTAGATTCTATCTGGGATTATTGATACTGTTCAGTTCAACATTTATTGAATTCTTATAACATGATGGCTGTTGCATTAGATATTGAGAAGATTAATAGGAGGTTCATTTCTTTTTTTTAAATTTTTTTTATTATACTTTAGGATACATATGCAGAATGTGCAGGTTTGTTACATATGTATACATGTGCCGTGTTGGTGTGCTGCACCCATTAACTCATCATTTACATTAGGTATATCTCCTAATGCTATCCCTCCCCCCTCCCCCTACCCCACAACAGGCCCCAGTGTGTGATGTTCCCCTTCCTGTGTCCAAGTGTTCTCATTGTTCAATTCCCATCTATGAGTGAGAACATGCGGTGTTTATAAGAGTTTGCAATCTAGTGAAGGAGACAGAGTAACTTAACAAGTGGTTTCTTATACTTGCTCTATGGGTTCCCCTATAGAGAGAGTCTTTTGAACACAGAGGACGGATCCTCTAGTCTGGGAGAATCAGGAAAGGCTTTCCAAGGAGGTTACATCTAAACCTAATTCTGAAGGATAAGTAGAATATAGTGGGAAAATGAATAATTAATATGTAAAATGATTTTTAATACTTTAAGTGTTAGAATATGGTGATCTGTAACCATAAATATCATAAAGTATTTGCTCTAATTTTCCTAAGTGATGTTGGAACAGAACAACTTCTTTTTGTTGTTGTTTTAGACTGAGTCTCCCTCTGTCGCCCAGGCTGGAGTGCAGTGACACAATCTCAGCTCACTGCAACCTCTGCCTCCCGGGTTCAAGCGATTCTCCTGCCTCAGCCTCCTGAGTAGCTGGGATTACAGGCATCCACCACCGTGCCCGGCTAATTTTTGTATTTTTAGTAGAGACGGGGTTTTACTATGCTGGCCAGGCTGGTCTCAAACTGCTGACCTCAGGTCATCTGCCTGCCTTGGCCTCCCGAAGTGCTGGGATTACAGGTGTGAGCCACCACGCCTGGCCCAGAACAACTTCTTGCTTCCAAGTTTTCTCTCCTTAGTGAAGTCTTTGTTCTCAGTGAAATGCCATTGCAGTAACAGAACCTGTTGTAACTTTCCATTGTAACCACAGCCCACTTTGCTCAGTGCCTATTCATAGCAGAAAAGATGTTCATTTTTTAGGCCAGTATCCACTTGATATTGTCATCAAAAAGGAGTAAGATTTTCTCTAAACGAGTGTCTCCCAGACTGTGCTCCACAAGATCTTTTTCTGCTGAGTATTAATAGATGTTCAAATCTTAGAGAGAGAGAGAGAGTTCTGTGGGGAAAAAAAACAGTTAGCTAAATGATGAGGTAAAGTTAACTAGGTTTATTTATTACATGACTTTTTAGATAATTTAATATGATAATATGCATTGAAATTTTAAGAGGGGAGAGAGTATGCAAGGTTTCTTTAACTTATAGAATCTTTTCTTTTTTGAAATAGTTTGGAAATATTACTCTATCTACATCAGGGTTTCTCAACCTCTTTCTCAGCACTATTGATATTTTGGACTGGGTAATTCTTTGTTGTGGGGGGCTATCTTATGCATTGTAGAATGCGTAGCTGTATCCTGGGTCCTTTCCACTAGATGCCAGCAGCACTTCTCAGGTTGTGACAACCAAAAATGTGTCCATATATTTGCCAAATGTTTCCTGGGGAACAAATTTGCCCCGGGTTGAGAACCACTGGTCTAGACTGTACATTCTTTGAAAGAAGGGGCTCTGTCTTCATTCTGAGTCCATAGTACAGGTTAGGCATGTTATAACTGAATAAATGAATAAATGTCTGTGGAATAAACTAGATCTTATGAGCAAGAAATCTCAGATTGTCCAGGTTCTAAAAATATCAAGTTATAAACGAGAAGGTCTAGCTTTATTGGTATTGTTTCACTATCGAAATTAGCAAATAAATTGATAAATAGAGCTGTGGTTTAATCTTCTCCTATATGTACAATTTATAATGATGCAGGCTAATTTGTGAGAGATTAGTAGGTCATTTCCAACTCTGGGGATGGTGGCTCCAGAGTTTAGAGATAGTTTTTAAAATGCATATAATTTTGTAAGTCTAGCTATAGAGCTTTACTAATGCTCATGCAAGATTTTATACTGTAGCCTATACTTGAGAGGAATTCATCATTCTAATTTTGATGTCCTTATGTTAAAAATAATAGCAACTTGGCAAAATATTTAGAAATCTAGAGAACCTTAGGTCGAAAGACACCCCAGATTCTTTATATTAGAGTACATACAGTGAATAATAAGATCTCAATAACTGTAGCCATCATCATCATCATCAAGAAGAAGAAGAATAAATAGCACAGCAGGCCAGGTGCGGTGGCTCACGCCTGTAATCCCAGCACTTTGGGAGGCTGAGGCAGGTGGATCACGAGGTCAGGAGTTCTAGACCAGCCTGGCCAATGTGGTGAAACCCTGTCTCTACTAAAAATACAAAAATTAGCCAGGCCTGGTGGCAGGCTCCTGTAATCCCAGCTACTGGAGAGGCTGAGGCAGGAGAATCGCTTGGAACTGGAAGGCAGAGGTTGCAGTGAGCCAAGATCAAGCCACTGCACTCCACCCTGGGTGAAAGAGCGAAACTCTGTCTCAAAAAAAAAAAAAAAAAAAAAAAGAAAGAAAGAAAGAAAAAGAAAAAAAAAATAGCACAGCAAATGTCTTTCAATCTCTTTAGGACCTCCGGCTAGCCTGTTTCAGCCACCTCGTCGTCCTGGCCTTGGAACTGTTGGAAAACCAATTCGACTGTTAGCCAATCATTTTCAGGTTCAGATTCCTAAAATAGATGTGTATCACTATGATGTGGATATTAAGCCTGAAAAACGGCCTCGTAGAGTCAACAGGTAAGGATTAGAAACAGTGGATTTCTGTATATTTAAGTGCATATAATTTATTTATGTATCATATTGTTCTCTAAATTCATCCAACATGTAGGCTTTGTTATTCTCTAAGATGATAGGTTTCTTAATAGCAGGTTTGCTGTCTCATGCTTGGTTATCCTCTGTAGGCTCTAGCAAAGTGCTGGATATATTATTAGTCAATCAGTAAACACTTATTTAATTATGGAAAAGAAAGGTCGCTCTTTCATTGACCAAGGGTAGCAAAAATTTACTAAAATAGGTGAAGACATTAGTGTCTGTGGGAAATAGAACTATCTGGAAATTCAATTTTTATTATTATATGTTGGTTTTGGACATGAGAAAGATGTATATATATATATATATCAATACAGAAGATTACTTGCAGATTTTTTCTTGGGGGAAAAGAAAGAAAAGTCATCTTGGAGTACTGAGAAAACTAAGCACAGAGAGAAGCTCTAGTTATTTCTAGCATTATCTAAGAGTGGTCCTGATGAGATGATGTAAGTATTGTGGTCTGTATAGCAGGAATTTACCTGGTGTGAAGACAGCCCTGTAGCAAATATTCTTACAGTGTGCTGAGTATACATCCACTTTTGTTTTCTCTGTTTCTATGCAGTGACATTCAGGCAATATTTGATATTAAGATTCTTGCTTTTTTAAGATTGCTCTTTGCTGTCAAGTTAAATATTTTGTGCCGCTTGATATTTTTCTCATTATGGATCAAAATTTGGCTTTCTGGTGTAGTTCATTCTCTTGTAAACCCATTATTGGCTATTGTGTAACTGAGATCAATAGTAGTAGAAGTGGTGGTAATGGATAACATTGATCCATCCAACGAATATTTTATTGAATGTTTATTTTGTGCCAGGTATTGCCCTGTGCTCTGGGAATTCACCATGAACAAAACAGGCAAAAGTTTCTACCTTTGAGGAGCGTATATTCTAATGGGGAAGACCAACAATAAATGAAGAAGCAAACAAAACATGTATTTTATTAGTTGGTAATAAATGCAATAAAGAAAAAGAAAATAGAGATGGAAGATAGGAAATGGGGATAGGATGAGCACTGAGATTTATATATGAATGAATATATATGTTTATATATACATATACATGCATATGTAGATATACACACACGTATGTATATGTATATACGTATGCAAATACCTAGAGAAAGTCTCACTGAAAAGTGATATTTGACCTAGAGGAGGTGAGGGATATCTGCATGAAGAGTGTCCCAGGCAAAGTCAGAAGCTTGGTGAGTTCAAGAAACAGCAGGCCGGGCGTGATGGCTCATGCCTGTAATCCCAGCACTTTGGGAGGCTGAGGCGGGCAGATCACTTGAGGTCAGGAGTTCGAGACCAGCCTGGCCAACATGGTGAAACCCTGTCTCTATTAAAAATACAAAAATTAGCTGGGCATAGTGGCACGTGCCTGTAATCCCAGCTACTTGGGAGGCTGAGGCAGGAGAATCACTTGAATCTGGGAGACGGAGGTTGCAGTGAGTGGAGATCATGCCGCTGCATTCCAGCCTGGGCAACAGAGGGAGACTCTGTCTCAAAAAGAAAGAAAGAAAGAAAGAAAGAAAGAAAGAAAGGAAGAAAGGAAGGAAGGAAGGAAGGAAGGAAGGAAGGAAGGAAAGAAACAAACAGCAGATAATTCTGGATTGCTGGAGTGAGTGAGTGGGGGAGAGTGATAGGAGATGAGGTTGGAGAAATTTCAGAAGGCCTCTATCATGCAGAACTTGTAGGCATTCATAACACTTTGTCATTTATTCTGGTTAGGTGAGTTTTAAATACTAAACCCACAACGTGACTAAATAAATCTAAGACATGACAAACTTATATTTTTAATGGATTGCCCTGGATGCTGTGCTGAAATTAGACCCTAGCAGGTAAGGGTGAAAAGCATGGAAATTAATTAAGAGGCACTTGGAATGATTCAGGTGAAAAGTAATGGTGGTTTAGACTTGAGTAGTATAATTGATAGTGATGAGAAGTGGTCAGATCCTGCAAATATTTTCATACTACTGTCAATAAGATTTACTGATGGATTGAACATGTGGTGTGAAAGAAAGAAATTAGTCATGATCAATTCCAGGGTTTATGTCCTGAGCTACTGGAAAAAAAGGAGTTGTCATTTATCAGATGGGGAAAACTGCAAGAGAAGCAGAAGCAGGGAGTAGCAGATCAGGAGACCTGTGCGTTTTGGACATCAGGGTTGAGATGACTATTAGACATGCTAGTGGAGATCGGCTGTGGTAGCTCGTACCTGTAATCCCAGCACTTTAGGAGGCTGAGGTGGGAGGATTGCTTGAAGCCAGGAGTTTGCAGCAAGCTTAGGCAACATGGCTAGACTCTGTCTATATTAAAAAAAACAAAAGGCCGCGCGCGGTGGCTCACATCTTTGGATGTGAGCACTTTGGGAGGCCGAGGTGGGTGGATCACGAGGTCAGAAGATTGAGACCAGCCTGGCTAATATGGTGAAACCCTGTCTCTACTAATGATACAAAAATTAGCTGGTCATGGTATGGTGGTGTGTGCCTGTAGTCCCAGCTACTCGGGAGGCTGAGGCAGAAGAATCACTTGAACCCGGGAGACGGAGGTTGCAGTGAGCTGAGATCGTGCTACTGCACGTCAGCCTATTCGACAGAGTGAGACTCTGTCTCAAAAAAAAAAAAAAAAAATAGCACCACTGCACTCCAGCCCAGGTGACAGAGTGAGACTCTGAGTCTTAAAAAAAAAAAAAAAAGGAGGTTGAATACAGTATTAAGGTTGGATTCAGGGAACAGTTCGAGGCTGGAGACAAACATTTGAGAATCATGAGCTTATTGATGATAAAGCCATGAGACTGGATGAGATTATGTTGAAAGTGAGTGTGTGTGGAGAAAATAAGGCTCCTACACTGGGTCTTGAAGCACTCCAATATTTAAAGATTTAACTGAAAGATTAAAGGCGATGAGGAAGTATCAGCAGGAAGATTGGCATGGAGAGACCACTGGGATAGGAGAAAACCAAGGGAGTGGTGCTCTGGAGGCAAAGGAAGAAGATGTTTTAAGTTGGAAGGATGGATTATCTAATGTTCAAGGAGCATTGAATTTAGCTATATGGAGCCCACTGGAGGACGTCGATAACAGTAGTTTGGTAGAGAAAAAGCCTTACTTGAGAAAGTTCAAGGGAGAAAGGGGAAGAGGAATTACAGACAACTCCTTCAAGGGATTTTGATACAAAAGGGAGCACAGAAATAGAATGTTCAGACGGGGAGAAACTGAGATTAAGAAAGTTTAATTTTTTATTTATGTATTTTTTTTTAAGATGGAGTCTCACTCTGTCACCCAGGTTGGAGTGCAGTGGTGCGATCTTGGCTCACTGAAACCTCCACTTCTGGGGTTCAACTGATTCCCTTGCCTCAGCCTCCCGAGTAGCTGGGATTACAGGCATGCACCACCACACCTGGCTAATTTTTTATTTTTAGTAGAGACGAGGTTTCACCATGTTGGTCAGGCTTGTCTCAAACTCCTGACCTCAAGTGATCTGCCTGCCTCTGCCCCTCAAAGTGCTGGGATTATAAGCATGAGCCACCCCGCCTGGCCCAAGAAAGTTTGATTTTTTTTTTTAGGATGAGAGAAATTAGAGCATATTTGTATGCTGAAGGGAATAATCCAGTAAAAAGGAAAAATTTCATGATTTAGGAGAGAAGACAATTCTTGGAATGATATCCATGAGCAGATCAGAGTACAAAGGCTTATTGTGGGACAAGCACCATTCTAAATACTCTATGTATTTTACCTAACACTGTATAAATAAATAAATACTCTGTGTGTTTGCTCAATTAAGACAACCACTTTTCAAGGGAAGTATTATTATTATTATTATCATAACTTTACATATGAAGAAACAGACAAGTGAAAGATTAAGTAACTTGTCCAAGGTCATGCAGTTCTGCCACTTAATCATTGTGTGATCAGGGACAAGCCACTTGCCCATTCTGAATTTTTCTTTTTTCTTTTCTTTAATATGAGGACCATAATCATTTTCCTATTTGTTTTACGAGGTTGCTGTGAAGATTAAATGAGAATAGAGGTGAAAGTAGCTCTTTACTCTAAAACTTTTTGGTCAGAATTTAAGAATGTAAGATGAGAAATTACTCTTTTCTAGTATGAAAACGTATAGTTCTTAAGTTAGCTCTTTAAAATGGAGATTGTACGATACCACGTCTCTCCATCAATTTTTTTCAGTCACATGATTTGGTTTGTAAACATGACTTTCCCACAGATTTCATTTGTAGTAATATAAATGTGTTAGCTAGTTGTGATGTATTTTGGCTTTTAAGATATTGTTCCCACACATGAAACTCACAAACGTTGCTAAGTTAAAGCACCTAACTTTTCATTGACTCTAGCATTCAAAAATCTCACAAACCCTGGTCTGTCCATATCTTAAACTCTATACACCAGTTTTTTTGCCACTGCATTTATTCCACGGCCTGCATACAGTGTGATCTGGCATATATGCAAGAACACTTAAGTAAAGTTCTGCATGCTTGATTGAGAAAAAGACTTTTATTCTAAAAACAAAGAAGCTATATTAATAATCTTTTTGGAAAGAGAATATTTTACAACATTCCCTTGTCTACACTGCTTGGAATAAGCACTTTGAAATAAGACAAGCACTTTGGAATAAGACAAGACGGTATACAGAATAATAAATCACTGGCATTAGGCAAAGGGGTTGACTTATTTGTGTATCATGGATCTTAGATTTACTGATCCTCAGATTTTTAAATTCCTGCTGATTCTCTTTCTCAAAACCAATATACTTGAATAAGGATTTTTTTTTTTTTTGACAGAGTTTTACTCTGTTGCCCAGGCTGGAGTACAGTGGAACGATCTCAGCTCACTGCAACCCCTGCCTCCTGGGTTCAAGCGATTCTCGTGCCTCAGCCCCCCAAGTACCCGGGATTACACCATGCCTGACTAAGTTTTCTATTTTTTTTAGTTGAGACTGGGTTTCACTGTGTTGGCCAGGCTAGTCTCGAACTCCTGACCTCAAGTGATCCACCTGCCTCGGCCTCCCAAAGTGCTGGAATTGCAGGCATGAGCCACCACGCCCAGCCAGGATATTGATTTGATGACAAACTTATCATCGTTCAGTGATGTACCTCCGTGTCAAACTTAGATATCCAAGATAGGTTATTCTTTTTTTTCTTGAGACAGAATTTCACTCTTGTTGCCCAGGATGGAGTGCAATGGCACGATCTTGGTTCACCACAACCTCCGCTTCCCAGGTTCAAGCGATTCACCTGCCTCAGCCTCCTGAGTAGCTGGGATTACAGGCACGTGCCACCATGCCGGCTAATTTTGTATTTTTAGTAGAGACAGGGTTTCACTGTGTTGGTCAGGCTGGTCTCGAACTCCTGACCTCAAGTGATCCACCCACCTCAGCCTCCCAAAGTGCTGGGATTACAGCCGTGAGCCACCACACCCAGCCAGGTTATTCTTATAAGGCTGTGTTTATCACAGGAGAGGATTTTGGAAAGAGGAGGTTGAGAGGATACCATAAATGTTATTCTCTCTTTTATTCCCCATTTCTGATATCATCTTACAGTTGTTTTTGTACACTTGTTGCTACCTTTCTTTAGTTAACTATTTTTTAAAGTACTCGAATCAATTGTAACCTTAACTCTTACTTTTTCCAAGTAATACTGAACCGAATTTAAATGATTAAAGTATGATGATGCTTTTCTTACTGTTCACCATTTCTGAAAGCTAACTGCCATTATCTCCATTACTGTGAAGGGAGGTAGTAGATACAATGGTGCGGCACTTCAAGATGCAAATATTTGGTGATCGGCAGCCTGGGTATGATGGCAAAAGAAACATGTACACAGCACATCCACTACCAATTGGACGGGATAGGGTAAGTGTTAAGAGCAAGAAATACTTAGTTCATTTAGTAGTAATTATACATGACAAAAATATTTCCTTTTCTTCCCAACACACACAAAAAACATAAATGTTTGAGGTGATGATATCCTAATTAACCTGATTTCATTATTACACATTGCATACAGATATCAAAATATCACATGTACCCCAAAAGTATGTACAACTGTCATATATCAATTTTAAAAAATCTGTATGTGAGCAGAAACAAAAGTTTCTGTAATAACACATCAATTCTTAGAAATTTTTTTTTTTTTTTTTTGAGATGGGATCTCGCTCTGTCACCCAGGCTGGAATGCAGTGGTTTGGTCTCCACTCACTGAAACCTCTGCCTCCCAGATTCAAGTGATTCTCCTGCCCCAGCCTTCCAAGTAGCTGGGATTACAGGCATGTGCCACCACACCTGGCTAATTTTTATTTTATTTTTTTCCTTGAGAGACGGAGCCTTGCTCTGTTGCCCAGGCTGGAGTGCAGTGGCGCGATCTCGGCGCAGTGCAACTTCCACTTCCTGGGTTCAAGCGATTCTCCGGCCTCAGCTTCCCAAGTATCTGGGACTATAGGCGTGTGCCACCACGCCCAGATCATTGTTGTATTTTATTAGTAGAAATGGGGGTTTCACTATATGTTGGCCAGGCTGGTCTCGAACTCCTGACCTCAGGTGATCCACCCGCCTCAGCCTCCCAAAGTGCTGGGATTACAGGCATGAGCCACTGCGCCTGGCCTTAATTTTTATTATTATTATTATTTTTTTTTTTAGTACAGATGGGGTTTCACCATGTTGGACAGGCTGGTGTCAAACTCCTGACCCCAGGTGATCCACCATCTCAGCCTCCCAAAGTGCTGGGATTACAGGCATGAGCCACCACGCCCAGCGAGAGTTGTTTTTTATAGTGATGATAGATTTGTTATTCTGTCCATATTCTCTTGTCTTAGTTAACTGATAATTGAAAATGAGATGAGCATTAGGATTGAGGTTGATTATGTCATCTTTACGTAATTTCTCACATTAACCATGTACTTTAACAAAGTACTACCTGAATCTGAACAACAGAGTTTTATAAATTATAGAAAACTATATAATACTCACTTATGAAAATAGATTATAATAGCACAATACTTTTTTAAACATTTATTTTTTTTAAATTAGAAAAGTACTGTGTGAACATATGCTCATAATAAATTTATCCAGACAATCTAGAAATGCTGTGATTTACCGCCTCCACCACTTATCTGCACCCTCACTACCATTTTCCTTTCCAAAGGAAACTACTATAGTAGTTTGGTATGTATCTTTTTAGATATGTTATGTATATTAGCTGCTATTTATACATATGTTGATGTGTATTCTTATTGTTTTGCATGTCACTCTATGATTTGCTTTTCATTTAACAATATGCCTGAAAGATCTTTCCATTTCTATACATTTATATCTACCTTATTATTTTTTTTCAAATTTAAGTTTTTATTGTTGTAAAATAATATATAACATAAAATTTACTATTTTTGGCTGGGTGTAGTGCTTCACCCAGCCAAAAATCCCAGTGCTGTGGGAGATCGAGGTGGGAGAATTGCTTGAGGCCAGTAGTTTGAGACCAGCCTGAGCAACACAGGGAGACCCATCTCTACAAAAAAAAAATTTCTAATTAGCCAGGCATGGTGGTGTGCACTTGTAATTCCAGCTACTTGGGAGGCTAAAGTGGGAGGATCCCTTGAGCCCAGGACTTTGAGGCTACAATAAGTTATTATTGCACCACTGCACTCCAGCTTGGATGACAGAGCAGGACCCTGTCTCAAAAAAAACTTATGATGTTATGTTACAGTTTAATGGCATTATGTATGTTCACATTGTTGTGCATCCATCATCACTATCCATTTTCAGAACTTTTTCATCATTCCAAACGAAAACTCTGTACCTATTAAACAATAATTCCCCATACCCTACTGTCCCTGGTCCCTGAGAACCACTATTCTACTTTCTGTCCCTTTAAATTTGACTATTCAATGTACTTCATAGAAATAGAATCATGAAATATTTGTCTTTTTGTATCTGGCTTGTTTCATTTAGCATAATGTTTTCAAGCGTCATCCATGTTATAACATCTACCTTATTTTTTCACTATTGTATAATGTTACATATTAAATTATACCCCTACTCATGGACACTAAGTTGTTTCCAATGTTACACAATTGTAAAAAAAAGTTAAAAGAAATATCCTTATGCATGTATCATACTGCATATTCTTGGGATCTTTCCCACAGCCATTGTAAACATTTGTGTTTGTATTCATGTATTTTTTTCCTTAGGTTGATATGGAGGTGACTCTTCCAGGCGAGGGTAAAGACCAAACATTTAAAGTGTCTGTTCAGTGGGTGTCAGTTGTGAGCCTTCAGTTGCTTTTAGAAGCTTTGGCTGGGCACTTGAATGAAGTCCCAGATGACTCAGTACAAGCACTTGATGTTATCACAAGACACCTTCCCTCCATGAGGTTAGTACCTTGGTTTGGATTATTTCCTACAAATGTCAGACTTTTTTGGTAGGTTGTACTGGAGCCATTGAAAAATTTCTGCATAAGTCATTGTTCAAATTTGATTTCAGCTCCCAGAGTTGAGAGTGAAATGAAGGACCTTTCACATGTTTAATGTGACACATGCAAACTCTTATTTCTTCAGGTACACCCCAGTGGGCCGTTCCTTTTTCTCACCCCCGGAAGGTTACTACCACCCTCTGGGAGGGGGCAGGGAGGTCTGGTTTGGTTTTCATCAGTCTGTGAGACCTGCCATGTGGAATATGATGCTCAACATTGATGGTAGGATGGAACTCTCTTTATCCAATAACTCTTTGGGCTGGTTTTTGTTTGTTTGTTTGTTTTGGCCCTTCCCTTTTCCCTGAAGTGAAGTATCCTTCTCTGTTTGTTAGTATCTGCAACTGCTTTCTACCGGGCTCAGCCTATCATTGAGTTCATGTGTGAGGTTTTAGACATTCAGAACATCAATGAACAGACCAAACCTCTAACAGACTCCCAGCGTGTCAAATTTACCAAAGAAATCAGAGGTAAGTGTTTGCATTAATGTAGTCTTGGAGAAGCAGCTCAGCATGCTGCACGTTGCCTGTGCTCTGGAGTCACACAGACCTGGGCTTCGGTCTCAGGCTAACCACTTCTATCAATGGGACCTTGGTCAAGTTCCTTAACCACTGTGAACCTTAGTGTATTCATCTCTAAGGTAAAGATAATAATATATACCTTGTAGAGTTGTTGTGAGAATTAAATGCAATTAGGCTTATAAAGCTTTCTAGCATAGTACCTGTCACATATCAGGCACTCAGTAAATGCTATGCTTACCCACTTAAGAACTTCCATTTTAATAAAATAACATAAATTCATTTATTATCCTTCTGGGATTTCTTTTCTTCTTGTTATTAGTTAGTTTCCCTCACTAGAATATAAACTTCACGAAAGCTGTCTCCAGACCTGAAAATAAGCATCAGAACATAGTTGATGCTTAATAAATATTTATTGGATGAAATAATAAACTAAAGGAGATTGAGCATCTTAGGTAATCTGAGTTCTAATTTATTCTGCTTAACTCAGGTTTTTTGCCTATAACGATGAAATTGTCCCCATATTCTTGCAATTTTTATCCTGTACAATGTCATGACATTTTGAAGACAACATTTGAATCTGTTTTTGCCACTGTGATTTTAATTAACTGATGTTTTGCCTTTTAAAAAAAATTTCAGGTCTCAAAGTTGAGGTGACCCACTGTGGACAGATGAAACGAAAATACCGAGTTTGTAATGTGACTAGACGGCCAGCCAGTCATCAAACGTATGTTAACCACATCTAAAGTAATACAATTACATTTTTAGTAACAGAGGGAGCTACTATAATTGTTTTAAGAAATTGGTTATTGGCCGGGCACAGTGGCTCACACCTGTAATCCCAGCACTTTGAGAGGCCGAGGTAGGTGGATCATGAGGTCAGGAGTTCAAGACCAGCCTGGCCAAGATGGTGAAACCCCATCTCTACTAAAAATACAAGAAAACTAGCTGGGCGTGGTGGCGGGTACCTGTAACACCAGGTACTCGGGAGGCTGAGGCAGAGAATTGTTTGAACCTGGGAGGTGGAGGTTACAGTGAGCCGAGGTCACACCACTGCACTCCAGCCTGGGCAACAGAGCAAGACCCTGTCTCAAAAAAAATTAATAAATAAAAAGAAATTGGTTATCTTGGCCAGGCATGGTGGCTCACACCTGTTATCTCAGCACTTTGGGAGGCCGAGCCAGGCAGATCACTTGAAGTCAGGCGTTCGAGACCAGCCTGGCCAACATAGTGAAACCCCGTCTCTACTAAAAACTACAAAAATTAGCCAGGCTTAGTGGCAGGCGCTTGTAATCCCAGCTGCTTGGGAGGTTGAGGCAGGAGAATCGCTTGAACCCAGGAGGCAGAGTTTGCAGTGAGCCAAGATCACACCTTGTACTCCAGCCTGGGTGACAGAGTGAAACTCCATCTCAAAAGAAAAAAAGAAAGAAATTGGTTATCTTATACTGAAATTTTCAAGATCACGAGAATCTTTGCTTTTAACACCAAAGTTTTAAAACATTTTCTGAATATTTTTGGTAGAGGTATTTATAAAACACATTCCTTGCCTTTAATTCAATTTACCTCTTAAGTAGAGTATGTTAAACATAGATTAACTTTTATTTAATCTATGTTTTATTTAATCTTTTTATTTAATGATGCAGAGTCATTATAAGCTTTTTTTTATTATACTGTTGTTATTCTTTTTTTTTTTTTTTTTTTTCTTTTGGAGACAGGGTCTCACTCTGTCACCTTCTGGGCTCAAGTGAACCTCCCACCTCAGACTTCCAAGTAGTGGGATTACAGGCATGCACCACCACACTCGCCTAATTTTTTTTGTAGAGGTGGGGTTTTGCTATGTTGCCCAGTCTGGTCTTGAATTCCTGGGCTCAAACAGTTTGCCCGCCTCGGCCTCCCAAAGTGCTGGGACTACAGGTGTGAACCAGCACACCCAGCCTACTGTTGTAATTCTTAATACATGGCTCAAAAGGTCTATTAAGGCCTAGATATCATATAAGGCTGTCAGGAGAAGACATACATGTAAATAAAATATATGAGAAGACATTTTATATGTATGTATGTATCTTCTAAAAAAAATACAGACACACGTATATATATAGTGCTTGGCACCGTCATGGCCCACTGCAGCCTCAGCTTCCTGGGCTCAAGCAATCCTCCCACCTCAGCCTCCTGAGTATCTGGGACTACAGGCATGTGCCACCATGCCTGGCTAATTTTTGTATTTTTAATAGAGATGGGGTCCCACTTTGTTGCCCAGGCTGGGAGAAGACATCTATTGCTTTGTGTTTTGTGTGGATTTCTCTCCCTCCCTTTGTAGGTAGCTGTCACTTCTTACAGCTGTTGGTGTCTATGGCATCCTCCAGCAGCATACTCCTTTCCATTTCCCCAATCTCATTTTCCTAATCACCCAACACTTCTTTTTTTTTTTGAGACAGAGTTTAGCTCTTGTTGCCCAGGTTGGAGTGCAATGTCGTGATCTCTGCTCACTGCAACCTCCACCTCCCCGGTTCAAGCGATTCTCCTGCCTCAACCTCCCAAGTAGCTGGGATTACAGGCACCTGCCACCATGCCCAGCTAATTTTTTGTATTTTTGGTAGAGACAGGGTTCCTCTATGTTGGCCAGGCTGATCTTGAACCCCTGACCTCAGGCAATCCACCCGCCTCGGCCTCCCAAAGTGCTGGGATTACAGGCATGAGCCACTGCGCCCAGCCCATCACCCAACACTTCTAATCTACTGAAAACTGTGCCTCAGTGAGACACTATATGTGAAAGTGCTTTAAAAATTATATCTGTATCTTATTCTTGTAATCAAGATCATGTCTGACATAAACATAAATATTGGCTCTTCTAAATAAAGAGTTAAATATACAGTATACACTTTACTACATTTACATTATTTTGGTTACTCAGAGCCCCCCCCCCCACACACACACCTTTTTTTGCTTATATTCTAATCTGACTTTGTTTTAGATTCATGATTCTTAATTTTCAAACTTTAGTGCATATCAAAATCACCCAGAGGGCTTTGTCTAGATAGTTGAAATTTTCAGATGGCTTCTGGATAAATAAAGTGCATTATTTCAGTCTGATTGGAATAAATTCTTCAGTATGACCTCATGTACACACTACATGAATTTCTTAAGAGTGGTAAATTGGTATTTCATGTATTATTTGTATTATACCATTGACTTCTTTCTCAGAAAAAAAAAAAAAAAAGTTACCAAAACCTTATGAAGTCACTGTTGAGAATTGTAGCATTTGTTCAAGAACTGTGCTCTTTTCATTATTTAATTATTTCACATAACCCTGTTAGAATAATTAGACTTATAGACGTATATAATCTTTGCTGAAAGATTATAACTCATATATTTAAATATCACATAGATGACCCTTACTGCACCACTACTTTGTAAGGCTGTGGCAGTTAAGAAAAGAAGATTAACGGGCTGGGCGTGGTGGCTCACGCCTCTAAATCCCAGCATTTTGGGAGGCCGAGGCAGGCAGATCACTAGAGGTCAGGAGTTCAAGACCAGCCTGGCCAACATGGTGAAACCCTGTCTCTACTAAAAATACAAAAATTAGCTGGGCATGGTGGCAGGCATGGTGGCAGGCGCCTGTAATCCCAGGTACTCGGGAGGCTGAGGCAGGAGAATCACTTGAACCCGGGAGGCAGAGGTTGCAGTGAGCCGAGATTGCACTCTAGCCTGGGCAACAGAGTGAGACTACATCTTAAAAAAAAAAAAAAAAAAAAAAAAAATGCAAGATTAAAACCCGGCATGGTGGCTGACAACTGTAATCCCAACACTTTGGGAGGCTGAGGAAAGAGGATTCCTTGAGCCCAGGAGTTCGAGACCAGCCTGGGCAATGTGGCAAGACCCCTCTATAAAAAATACAAAAAAATTAGCCAGGCATTTGTCCCAGCTAGTTGGGAGGCTGAGGTGGGAGAATTGCTTGAGCCCAAGTGGTGGAGGTTTCAGTAAGCCAAAATCATGCCACTGCACTCCAGCCTAGGTGACAGAACGAGACTCTGTCTCAAAAAAAAAAAAAAAAAAAGCAAGATTAAAGTTATTATTGTACTAAGTATTTGAGATAATTTGCCCACTGGAAAAGCCAAATAGAGTATCTTAATTATGCCAAATATTCTGGCACAGTCTCAGATTCATGTATTTGGTCTTGTTGTCTCCAGATCCACATGTATTTGTTCTAGTTTTAGGATCTAAAAATTTGGGAATCTAAAAATGTGGCCCCAATAACTATGCTACACTCATTTTACATAAAGTTATCTTAAGGGAACAAAACACCTACATGGATTACTCCAAATCTTTATGTTAATTTGAAGCCAGCAAGAGGTTGTATTTGTACCTGTAGGTGTTACCTGACCTCAAGTGAGTCTATGTATGTTCTGGTTCTGCAGTATCTTCTTGTTTTAAGTTATTTTTTTAAAATTCTTCTTAAATTTTAATTTAAAAAAATTTCTCATCCAAGCTTTAACCAACATGGAAAATTTCAATGGAATCATTGTTCTGGTTAAATACTAAACTTACTTAAGTGAAAATGCTCAAATAAAGATTAACTTTTGTTTTTTGGCTGGGCATGTGGCTCACACCTGTGATCCCAGCACTTTGGGAGGATGAGGCAGGTGGATCACCTGAAGTCGGGAGTTCTAGATCAGCCTGGCCAATGCGGTGAAACCCCATCTCTACTAAAAATACAAAAATTATAGGTGGTGGCGCGCACTTGTAATCCCAGCTACTCGGGAGCCTGAGGCAGGAGAACCGCTTGAACCCGGGAGATGGAGATTGCAGTGAACCAAGATGGTGCCACTGCACTCCCGCCTGGGCAACAGAGTGAGTCTCTGTCTCACAAAAAAAAAAAAAAAAAAAGATTGACCTTTGTTTTTTTAAGTGACTGATGAAGGTAGGAATTATTAGTGGGCTTTGTTTGTTTATTGTTTAGAAAAGAAAGAATTTGGCCAGTCACAGTGGCTCACGCCTGTAATCCCAGCACTTTGGGAGGCCGAGGTGGGCGGATCACTTGAGGTCAGGAGTTCGAGACCAGCCTGACCAACGTGGTGAAACCCTGTCTCTACTAAAAATACAAAAATTAGCTGGGCATGGTGGCACACGCCTATAATCCCAACTGCTTGGGAAGATGAGGCATGAGAATCCATTGAACCCGGGAGGCGGAGGTTGAGATCACGCCATGCACTCCAGCCTGGGCGACAGAGTGAGACACTGTCTCAAAAAAAAAGAAAAAAGAAAAAGAAGAAAAGAAAGAACTTGAAGAAATATTCTAAAAAAGACATTCTCTCCTATAGTTTTCCTTTGCAGCTAGAAAACGGTCAAGCTATGGAATGTACAGTAGCTCAATATTTTAAGCAAAAGTATAGTCTGCAACTGAAATACCCCCATCTTCCCTGTCTCCAAGTGGGACAAGAACAAAAGCATACATACTTGCCACTCGAGGTAAGTTAAATTTTCTTTTGCCAATTTGCTGATCTCTTGAATGAGTATATATTTTTAAGTAGAGTTCTAAACTAGTGGTGAAATTTAGTGTTAATTTCTAAAATATTTTTGGCAGATGATTTCACTATATAACCAAATTTTAATTTTTCTGGAAATAGAGGATATAAGATATGGTTTGGCAAAGGTTTAAGATGTGGAACCCTTTACACAAACCAATTTCTCTTTGTCTCTTGGCAGGTCTGTAATATAGTGGCAGGACAGCGATGTATCAAGAAGCTCACAGACAATCAGACTTCCACAATGATCAAAGCTACAGCAAGATCTGCTCCTGACAGACAGGAAGAGATCAGTAGACTGGTCAGTAAGGCATGGTCTTCAAGATGAGCTAGCTTTGAGATGACAAAAAACAAAAGAATAGAAAACTCCTCCTGGGACACAGTTACTCTCTGGTTTTTATATATGCAGGCTTTCCTGTTCTTTAGGTGAAGAGCAACAGTATGGTGGGTGGACCTGATCCATACCTTAAAGAATTTGGTATTGTTGTCCACAATGAAATGACAGAGCTCACAGGCAGGGTACTTCCAGCACCAATGCTGCAATATGGAGGCCGGGTAAGCTTTTTATTTTATTCAGCAAGCTTCTTCCACAACCAGTCAAAAAGAGAATAATCCAGGGTTTCTCTACTCTGCCACTGCTGAATTTACCCATAGTTTTGTTCATTATTGCCTTTTGTGTTCTGGCTCATACCTAATAGAATTTTGTTTATTCACTAGTCAATAGTAAAATGGCCTTAGATTGTAATGTCTTTTCTCTTTTCTTTTGTTTCTTCTTCTTCTTCTTCTTCTTTTTTTTTTTTTCAAAGAATAAAACAGTAGCCACACCCAACCAGGGTGTCTGGGACATGCGAGGAAAGCAGTTTTATGCTGGCATTGAAATTAAAGTTTGGGCAGTTGCTTGTTTTGCACCTCAGAAACAATGTAGGGAAGATTTACTAAAGTGAGTATCTTCATATTTTCAGCTTAGTAATATCCCTTCCAGATATGAAAATACTGTCTTTATGTGAATGTGCTGTGTACACTGGCACTAAATCCCTGACTCCCATAGTGACACCATCTGGCTATATGAAAAAGACCTTGTATTATAGTAATTTGCAAACTTGGGAATTACATTAAGAATCTGACTCAGCTTCCTTACATGTAGAGCAGAAATTTGTGAGTAACAAGGTGGAGACAATGTTGGTTGGCAAATTCTTGAGTTCTTATTGAAGCTTCCTTTGGTATTAATTGTATCTTTTCAGCCAAGATCAAAAACTAGCTTACTTTTAATCGTTATAATTTACTAATGAGCTTGTTTTATTGCAAGGTCTCTGGGTAAAAGTAGGTTCGCATCTTACAGATGCAGCTATCTATATAAAAGAAGTTAGTGGCCAGGCTCAGTGGCTCACACCTGTAATCCCAGCACTTTGGGAGGCCGAGGTGGGTGGATCATGGGGTCAGGAGATCGAGATCATCCTGGCCAACATGGTGAAACCCCGTCTCTACTAAAATACAAAAAATCAGCCAGGCATGGTGGCACGCGCCTGTAGTCCCAGCTACTGGGGAGGCTGAGGCAGGAGAATCACTTGAATCCAGGAGGCAGAGGTTGCAGTGAGCCAAGATCTCACCACTGCACTCCAGCCTCGCGACAGAGCAAGACTGCGTCTCAAAAAAATAAAAATAAAAAAATAAAATTAGGGAGAAGAGTGAAAAAAAATTAAGAAAAGGGAACTAGAGTGAAAGAAAGGAATTCTACAAAATATTGGCAAATGCACCAAAGGAATTCTGAAAGCTTTATACATAGATTGAAGTAACTTCTCAAATCTAAAATTTAAAACTTCAAAGTGAATTTTGCTTTTTTTAAGTGATGATTTCTTTTGACATTTTTATTGAACCAAATCTGTTCCAAGTTTGAATGTAGTCCTAAATACACTGATTTTGTAACAGCATGTCTCTGTGTTCTCAGTTGAGCACAAGCTTACCCAGCTATTTCTGTACCAGGCTTACCAAAATGCACGTTACCTGAAATTTTGACCCTGCTTTTCTTCAGTCCAGAATTATTGATTCGAATGTTTAAAAGATCTTTGAACAGCAATGCTATTCTAGTTCAGCTGCACATAATTATTTAAAAATTTCAGTTGATAATCTGATAGCTTAGTAATACAGATTCTTTTCTGTTTAACTGCAAGTTAAATTGCAAGTTTAATTGCAATTGCCAGTCCATTTTTGGCAACCAGTTAAAGATTTTTATTTATTTGTTTACTTGTTTCTAAATTTGGCTAAGAATTTACAAAACTGAAGGAAGTATTTCAGAGGAAAATGAATGCTAGAAATGTACTCTGAAATGAAAAAAACCGTGTTACTGGTTCTATTTTAACAGGAGTTTCACTGACCAGCTGCGTAAAATCTCTAAGGATGCAGGAATGCCCATCCAGGGTCAGCCATGTTTCTGCAAGTATGCACAAGGTGCAGACAGTGTGGAGCCTATGTTTAAACATCTGAAAATGACTTATGTGGGCCTACAGCTAATAGTGGTTATCCTGCCTGGAAAGACACCAGTATATGGTATGGACCCTTTTAATGCTGAATGAGGGATGATTTCAAGCAGTAGATATAACAGTCAGGATAAGCTAGGTTATGCTGCAGTCACAAACCTCAAACTCTCAGTGGTTCACAACAACAAAGATTTGTTTCTTGCTCCTGTTATGCATCCACTGAAGGTAGACTGCGGCTTCTGCTCTGTGTCATCATGTCATCTCCATTTGGGGACCCAGCTTGGCAGAGCAGCTGCTATTTGGAATGTTGCTGGCCCCACATTCTTTTTTCTCTCTGCAACTCCTTGGCCACAACCAGCCATATGGCCTTACCCAACTTGCGTGGGAGCAGTGGGGATGGGCATTGAGAATGTAGTGTGATACTACCATAGGCCTGGAAGCTGAGAGAACTGGAAATATTTGGTGAAAAGCACTTAGGAATATGAGAGTGAGGAAGAGTGCCACTTCCAGAAGAGGATTTGCTTACTTTGTATCTATTATAAGAAGAATGATACAAAGTTATTTTGGCTATCATTTAAATAAAGGATATAGGAACTATTATTGTTGATGAGACAGAATCTCAGCTCTGTCACCCAGGCTGGAGTGCGGTGTCATGATCACTGCCCATCTCAGCCTCACAATCCTGGGCTCAAGTGATTCTCCCGTCTCAGGCTCTCGAGTAGCTGGGAATACAGGTGCCCACAACCACGCCCAGCTAATTTTTGTATTTTTTATAGAGATAGGGTTTTGCCGTGTTGCCCAGGATGGTCTTGAACTCCTGGGCTCAAGCCATCCACCTGCCTTGGGCTTCCCAAAGCATTGGGATTACAGGCATGGGCCAGCACGCCCAGCCAGTTTTAAACTTTTTTTTTTTTTTTTTTTTTTGAGGCAGGGTCCTGCTCTGTCATCCAGGCTGTAGTGCAGTGGCGCAATCTTGACTCACTGCAGCCTCCGCCTCTTGGGTTCAAGTGATTCTCCTGCCTCAGCCCCCCAAGTACTGGGACTACAGGCACGTGCCATCTCCTGCCTCAGCCCCCCCAAGTACTGGGACTACAGGCACGTGCCATCACACCCAGCTAATTTTTGTATTTTTAGTAGAGATGGGGTTTCACCATGTTGGCCAGGCTGGTTTTGAACTCCTGACCTCAAGTGATCCACCCGCCTTGGCCTCCCAAAGTGCTGAGATTACAGATGTGAGCCACTGTGGCTGGCCCCAGTTTTAAACTTTATAAAATGTCTTTAACCTTCTCTCTACAGTTATCTCTAGTACTTAAAGAAAGAAAAAGGAAGCAAAACAAAACAAAACAAAATAAAATAAAATTCAAAGGGCCGGTGTGTGTACTGAGAGGGAGGAGCTGGGAAGATTGATTCTTTTGCTAAATCAGTCATGTGGGAAGAGGAGCATCAAGGAGCTGAGCAAGTCGTGGCAGGCAGCACAGAGAATAAAGGAAGCAGACTGGCTGCAGGGCCTGCAGGAGGGAAAAAAGGAGAGAAGGGAGGGCCTATCCAAACACAGGGGGAAAAATTGCCCTGGGGGTTTAGCAGATAAAAGGAAGACACATGAGAAGCATCTAGCACAGTGTACAGTATATAGTAGGTTATAAAGTTAATGTGTGGGGTTTTTTTCCTTCTGCTTTTAGTAATTAGGAGACCATTTAAACATGTTAAAATTAATAAATTATTTTTGTAGCGGAGGTGAAACGTGTTGGAGATACCCTTCTAGGTATGGCCACACAGTGTGTCCAGGTAAAAAATGTAGTGAAGACCTCACCTCAAACCCTTTCCAATCTTTGCCTGAAGATAAATGCAAAACTTGGAGGAATTAACAATGTGCTTGTGCCTCATCAAAGGTAAGATTCTGAATGCTTTCCCCACTTTTGTTTAAGATCTAACTTACATAATTTATGGGAAAGCACACAAATATTATATATGCATCTAGATTACCTTTTCTCTTGTATATATATGCACCCATATACCCAATTCCCAGATAAAGATATAGAACATTTCCAGCACCCCATCAGCCTTCCTTATGGCCCCTCCAAATAGATAACCCCCAAAGGTGACCACCATTCTGATGTCTATCACCTATCCAGATTACTTTTGCCCATTTTTGAGCTTCATATAAATGGAATCATGCAGGATGTACTATTTTGTGTTGGTCTTCTTTTGTTCAACATTATGTCTGTGAGGTTAATTTGTGTTGTTGCACTTGGGAGTAGTTTATTCTTTTTCATTGTTGTGTATGATTTCATTTCATGAATAAACGACACAATTTTAATTTATTCTACTATTGATCACTCTGTCCCCCAAGGTTGGAGTGCAGTGATGCGATCTCGGCTTACTGCAAGCTCCGCCTCCCGGGTTCACGCCATTCTTCTGCCTCAGCCTCCCCA
The DNA here is from genome assembly GCF_000001405.40 of Homo sapiens. NCBI lineage: Eukaryota > Metazoa > Chordata > Mammalia > Primates > Hominidae > Homo > Homo sapiens. The sequence continues at coordinate 35,836,537 of NC_000001.11, forward strand.
GTACCTGGGACTACAGGCACCTGCCACCACACCCGGCTAATTTTTTGTATTTTTAGTAGAGACGGGGTTTCACCATATTAGCCAGGATGGTCTCAATCTCCTGACCTTGTGATCCGCCCGTCTCGGCCTCCCAAAGTGCTGGGATTACAGGCGTGAGCCACTGTGCCCGGCCTTGGATATTTTCATACATTCATTATACAATTCTACATTTTTGGTGAACTGAAACACTCTTTCTGTTGTGTGGAATTCCAGGAGTGTAATTACTGAGTTACGGAGAATAGAGTTACAGAGAATACATATATTTACTATTAATAGATACAGTCAAATAGTTTTCCAAAGTGGTTGTACCAATTTACACTTACACTGAGAGTTCTACTTGCTCTATATTCTTACCAACACTTGGTAGTATCAGTCCTTTTAATTTTAGCCATTTTGCTTGGGGATAATAGTATCTCATTATAGTTTTAATTTGCATTCCCTTAATGAGTAATGATGTTAAGCACATTTTCATATGCTCATTAGCCATTTGGACATCTTTATATTTTTGTTTGTTTGTTTTGTTTTGAGATGGAGTCTTGCTCTGTCACTCAGGCTGGAGTGCAATGGCATGATCTTGGTTCACTGCAACCTCCACCTCCCAGGTTCAACCAATGCTACCACCTCAGCTTCTTGAGTAGCTAGGATTACAGGTGCACACCACCATGCCCCACTATTTTTTTGTATTTTTAGTAGAGACAGGGTTTCACCATGTTGGCCAGGCTGGACTTGAACTCCTGACCTCAAGTGATCCGCCTACCTCAGCCTCCCAAAGTGCTGAGATTACAGGCGTGAGCCACCGCGCCTGGCCTGTTTTTTTTTTTGGGACAGGGTCTCACTCTGTCTTCCAGGCTGGAGTGCAGTGATGTGATCATGGCTCACTGAAGACCCAAACTCCTGGCCTTCAACTGATCCTCCCACCTCAGCCTCCCAAGTAGCTGGGACTACAGGCTCATACCACCATGCTCGGCTAATGTTTTTATTTTTTATAGAGACAGGGTTTTGTCCTGTTGACCAGGCTGGTCTAGAACTCTTGAGCTCAAACAGTCCTCCTGGCTCAGCCTCCCGAAGTGCTGGGATTACAGGCATGAGCCACCATGCCTAGCCTAAACATCTTCTTTTATAATGGACCTGTTCAGTCCTTTGCTCATTTTTTTATATTGGGTTGTGAGTCTTTTTCATTAATTTGTAGTAGTTCTTTGTGGTTTCTGGTCCTTCACAAGATACAGATATCCTATAGGCAAACAGGATAGGCAGATTATCTTCTCCTAGTCTGTGCTTTGCCTTTTCACTCTCCTAAATTGTGGGTTTTCTGTTTTTTTCTTTTTAAGACAAGGTCTCACTCTGTCACCCAGGCTGGAGTGCAGTGGGGCAATCATGACTCACTGCAGCCTCAATCTCCCCAGCTCAAGCGATTCTCCCGCTTTAGTCTCCTGAGTAGCTGGGACTACAGGAATGTGCCACCATGCCTGCCTATTTATTTATTTATGTATTTATTGAGACAGAGTCTCACTCTGTCACCCAGGCTGCAGTACAGTGATGCAATCTCGGCTCACTGCAACCTCCGCCTCCTGAGTTCAAGCGATTCTCCTGCCTCAGCCTCCCGAGTAGCTGGAATTACAGGCTCATGCCACCATACTCGGCTAATTTTTGTATTTTTAGTAGAGACAGGGCTTTACCATGTTGGCCAGGCTGGTGGTCTTGAGCTCCTGACCTCAAGCAATCGGCCCACCTTGGCCTCCCAAAGTGCTGGGATTATAGGCATGAGCCACTATGCCCAGCCTTAAATTTTTTTTTAAAGATGAGGTCTTGCTGTGTTGTCCAGGCTGGTCTTGAACTCCTGGGCTTAAGTGATCCTTCCACCTTGGCCTCTGAAAGTGTTGGAATTATAGACGTGAGCCACCATGCCTGGTCAACAGTGGCTTTTGATGAACAGAAAATGTTAATAGGACTGAGTTGAATCAATCTTTTTATGTCCTTTTAAGAAACCCTGTCTGTCCCTCCCTTCATAGGTTTTTTTTGTTGTTGTTTAAATTTGAGTTTGTCAGATTGACTCTAGAGTAAGCAAACACCAAGGCAAGACAGGGATATGATAGACAAAGTGCTGGCTGGGCATTGGGAGATTTGAGTATTGTTACGCATGTGAATTTCTAATATCTCTGGGCCTCAGTTCCTTATCTATCCAGATAATAATATCTGCCTTGTTAACTTGAAAGTGTTGTTTTTCTGTGAAATACTATGTGTGAAAGTGATTTGAAGAGTTAAATTTGGGGCTGTGGTATTAGTCATTGCCATACTTGAAGATGAAATTGAGTGCCTTGCTCTTACGCAATCATATCACAGTTCTCTTTTTTTTTTAATTTAATCTTAGCATATTTTGTCAACTTGATTAGTTGATTTCTTATTTCTTATTTATTTATTTTTTTGAGACAGTGTCTCACTTTGTCACCCAGGCTGGAGTGCGGTGGCACAATCTCGGCTCACTGCAAACTCCGCCTCCCAGGCTCAAGCAATCTTCCCACCTCAGCCTCCCAACTAGCTGGGACCACAGGTGTGCACCACCACGCCTGGCTTATTTTTTGTATTTTTCATACAGACGAGGTTTCTCCATGTTGCCCACACTGGTCTCAAACTCCTGAGCTCAAGCAATCCACCCGCTCAGCCTCCCAACACAGTTCTCATTTTTGTCCTTGGATGAAACTTCTAGGTAAATAAATCCCTCCTTAAACATTAGTGATGAGATATATGGGCCATAGGGGAAGTTAACCTAAAGTCTGTCTTCATTTAATTTTAACCCAAACATTTGAGACAATATAGTGTAGTGGCTTAGAGTGCATACTTTGGCGTTAAACTTCTTTGGTTTGGATTGCAGCTTTTCCTCTCCTAGCTGTGTGATCTTGGGAACATTCTTTATCCTCTTATGTCTTATTTTTTATCTGGAAAAATTGAGATAATAATTGTACCACCCTCATAAAATTTTAAGGACTAAATGAGTTAACACGTGTGAAGTGCTTAGCATAGTGGCTGGTACGTTGTATATGTAAGCTGTTATGTTATATATATGTGTGTTGCCTATATATGTCCGCTGTTATTAACTTCTCTGTGCCAGGCTTATGTTCTGTGATGATACAGAGAGATAAATGGGACACAGCCTCTTCTCCCATGGGACCTTACCTTTAGTACCTATTATATGAGGTTGTCAAGTATGGGATGCCTCTTAAATTACACTTGAAGAATTAACACTCGCAGTCCCAAATCCTACCTTTAAGAATTTATCCCAGCTATCTGGAAGGCTGAAGTGGGAGAATCACCTGAGTCCAGGAGGTTGAGGCTGCAGTGAGCTGAGATCATGCCATTGCACTCTAGCCTGGGCAACAGAGTGAGACCCTGTCTCAAAAAAAAAAAAAAAAGGGTATTGTTTTGTTTTGTTTTGTTTTGAGATGGAGTCTTCCTCTGTCACCCAGGCTGGAGTGCAGTGGCGTGATCCTGGCTCACTGCAACCTCTACCTCCTGGGTTCAAGTGATTCTCCCGCCTTAGCCTCCCCAGTAGCTGGGATTACAGGTGAGCGCCTCCATGCCCGTCTAATTTTTTTTTTTGTTTGTTTGAGACGGTCTTGCTCTGTCACCCAGGCTGGAGTGCAGTGGTGTGATCTTGGCTCACTGCAACCTCCACCTTCCTGGTTCAAGTGATTCTCCTGCCTCTTCCACCTTCTGAGTAGCTGGGATTACAGGCACACACCACCACACCTGGCTAATTTTTGTATTTTTTAGTAGAGACAGGGTTTCACCATGTTGGCCAGTCTGGTCTCAAACTCCTGACCTCAAGTGATCTGCCTGCCTCAGCCTTCCAAAGTGCTGGGATTACAGGCGTGAGTCACCATGCCCGGCCTTAATTTTTGTATTTTTAGTAGAAACAGGGTTTCACCGTGTTGGCCAGGCTGGTCTCCAACTCCTGACCTCAGGTGATCCTCCTGCCTTGGCCTCCCAAAGTGCTGGGATTACAGGCGTGAGCCACCACGCCCGGCCTCTTTTCTTTTTTTAAAGACAAGGTCTTACTCTGTCACCCAGGCTGGAGTACAGTGATGTGACACAGTACAGTGTAGTATAGTACATAACTCACTGCAGCCTCAAACTCCTGGGCTTAAATGTTTTTTTCTGCCTCAGCCTCCCAAGTAACTGGGACTACAGGCAGGCGCTGCCACGCTGGGCTTTCTTATTTTTTGTAGAGACCTGGGTCTTGATATATTGCCCAGGCTGGCCTTGAACTTCTGGGCTCAAGCAGTCCTTCCTCCTTGGCCTTCTAAAGTGCTGAGATTATAGGTATGAGCCAAGGTGCCCAGCCTAGGTCCTGTTTTTTAAATCTTCTCTTCCTACTGTTATAGAAGAGCCATGTTCACTTCTTCAGTCAGTCCAGAGTCACTGTACTGGGTGACATCAATATTCAGTGGTCCGTAGTGTTCTTTCCCAATGGGCTTAAGTCTTTGTTCTCTCTTATAAGGTTATATCTGATTATATCTGGTGATATAATCTTGCTAAACTCAAACATTTTCACTTATATGTCTGAGTGGCAACATCTCCTTAAATCTGAGCAGGCCCTCGGTGTTCCAGCAGCCTGTCATCTTCCTGGGAGCGGATGTCACACACCCCCCAGCAGGGGATGGGAAGAAACCTTCCATTGCTGCTGTGGTTGGCAGTATGGATGGCCACCCCAGCCGGTACTGTGCCACCGTTCGGGTGCAGACTTCCCGGCAGGAGATCTCCCAAGAGCTCCTCTACAGTCAAGAGGTCATCCAGGACCTGACTAACATGGTTCGAGAGCTGCTGATTCAGTTCTACAAATCCACACGCTTCAAACCCACTCGGATCATCTATTACCGTGGAGGGGTATCTGAGGGACAAATGAAACAGGTACTCTCATTATCCCTGTTGCCCTTCGGGGCCCCTAGGAGTCTGAGGGAGATTCCTCTCATCTACCATTCTGGGTAGATCTGAGAGATACTAGGCAAATTCTCAATTAAACATAATTCCATTTCTGTCTTCTAGGTAGCTTGGCCAGAACTAATAGCAATTCGAAAGGCATGTATTAGCTTGGAAGAAGATTACCGGCCAGGAATAACTTATATTGTGGTGCAAAAAAGACATCACACACGACTCTTCTGTGCAGATAAAACAGAAAGGGTAAGAAGATATAATATAAGCTTTGTTATCTGAGGCTCTGGCAAGAGATGTATATATGCACATATATATATATATATATATATATATACACCATTTTTATACAATTTTTTTCTTAAAAGCAGAAATGCCTGATAATAATTTAACTGCAGTTGGGTTTAGATGACCAATTCTGAATGATACGAGTTTTGAGACTGAATATTTTATTTCTCTTGTATAACAGAAATGCTGATTTCTCGAGTTGTTTTTGTGTCGGGGGGAGTAGGTCAGAAACATGCCAGGTACATTGTGATGATATAGGCAACCTTCTAAGGGGTGCTTTTGTTATTTGTTACTTTTTGCTGCACAGTTCTAGGGTATAAAGAAGAATTTATCTTCCAAATAATTTTATATCCGCATAGGACACGGGTCCCCAACCCCCAGACTGTGGACTGGTAACAGTCTGTGGCCTGTTGGGAACCAGGCTGCACAGCAGGTGAGTGGTCAGTGAATGATCATTACCACCTGAGCTCTGCCTCCTGTCAGATCAGCAGTGGTGGAACAGTTTCATCCCAAAACCATCTCCCCGCCGCTCCCCTACCCTCATCCATGTAAAAATTGTCTTCCATGAAACCTGTCCTTGCTGCCAAAAAAGTTGAGGACTGCTGGCATAGAAGATTCATAGGGCACAGACTTTGAATATTTATAGTGTCGCACTTAAACCACAGTCAAATTACTCAACTTCTCTAAGCCATAATATTCTCATCTGTAAAATGTGGTTAAGAACAATATCTGACCTGGCGCTGTGGCTCACGCCTGTAATCCCAGCACTTTGGGAGGCTGAGGCGGGCGATCACTTGAGGTCAGGAGTTCGAGGCCAGCCTGGCCAACATGGTGAGACTCCATCTCTACTGAAAATACAAAAATTAGCTGGGCGTAATGGTGCACGCCTGTAGTCCCAGGTATCCAGGAGGCTGAGGCAGGAGAATCGCTTGAACCCAGGAGCCAGAGGTTGCAGTGAGCCGAGATCATACCACTGCACTCCAGCCTGCACAGAGCAAGACTCTGCCTAAAAGAAAACAAAAAAAAATTAAAATCCAAAACACCTCTAATCCCCAGGCATTTCAGGTAGAGAATGCCCAACCTATATTATTAATAGATAATCTTGCTTCTTTGATATTTTTTAATGACTTTACTTCATCTTGTCCAGGCCCTCTCTGATCCACCCCTAGGAAGACCAGATCTTTCTGTTGCCTAATCATGTAATCTTGTTTGCCACTCCCATTATTTTCAAGTACACTCTAGTTTTTTTGTCTCTAATCCGAGGATGAACTGTTTCTTTTTTCTCTTTTTTTGAGACCGAGTTTTGCTCTTGTCACCCAGGCTGCAATGCAACGGCACAATCTTGGCTCACTGCAACCTCTGCCTCCCGAGGTTCAAGCGATTCTCCTGCCTCACCCTCCTGAGTAGCTGGGATTATAGGCGCCCACCACCATGCCCAGCTAATTTTTGTATATTTAGTTGAGACGGGGTTTCACCATGTTAGCCAATCCAGTCTTGAACTCCTGACCTCAGGTGATCCACCTGCTTCGGCCTCCCAAAGTGCTGGGATTACAGGTGTGAGCCGCCGTGCTTGGCCTGAACTGTTTCTTTTTGTTTTCTGAATCAAGGTTGTTTTCTCATTGGGCCCCAGATCCAATCAGCTTAGATTAAAAGGACTGTCTTAAATTAAAAGGGCTGTTTTAAATTAAAAGGGCTGTCTTTAAATTGCTGAAACCATGAGTTAATAGTACTTCTTACCAACTGGGCTTTACCTCTCTGTAACATACACATATAAGAAATCTGTACCTGTGCCCCCAAAATATATAAAAATTTAAATAAAAAATAGACCAGCACATGTCAAATAAAATAAATAAATAAAAGATATGCTGTGAAAAAAAAAATAGTACTTCTTAGACTTTGCTAATACAAATTCGTTGAACTCTTGCCTGACCTCTGGGCACAAAACCTCCTGCCACCTTCTCCTTAACTGTTGTCATCTCTCCACCTGTCTGTCAACTTGTTATCCATGTAGATTTAAGATCTTCTTCTTCAGGCTTGTCTTCCTAAACTATCTATTAAGCTATTATTAAGCTATCTCATAGTTTTATTCTTTAAATCTTTCAAAATTGACAGTTCCAGTTCTTGGTCTACTTTGTACCCTGACATTTACTAATATCTTCAATTCTCTAAGCATGCCTCTTGCCAATCCACTTGCCCATTTATTTTGCCTCTACTCTTAGGCTGATAGAAATTGCTGGGGGAAAAGTGGTGGATTTTATTTTTTTGGAACAGGGTCTCATCTCACTCTGTCACCCAGGGTGGAGTGCAGTGGCATGATTATGGCTCATGGCAGCCTAGATGCCCCCAGGCTCAGGTGATCCTCCTACCTGAGCCTCCCAAGTAGCTGGGACTACAGGCACTCACCATCACTCTTGGCTACTTTTTTTGTATTTTTTGTAGAGATGGGGTTTCACCATGTTGTCCAGGCTGATCTTGAACTCTTGGGCTCAAGTGATCAGCTCACCTCAGCCTCTCAAAGTTCTAGGATTACAGGCGTGAGCCACCACACCTGTCCAAAAGTGTCTGTTTAATAAAGAACCATATTACAAATTCATGAGAGCAAATCTCAGCCAGGCCTTGGATGCTGCCGTTTTTTCATTTACCCTATTCCCCATAGCATCTGTTCCACACCTTTATACTCTTCTCAAGTCCCCTACCCTATTCATAATAACTCTATTGCCAACAAAGTCCTATCGTCTATTTCCCTCCAAAAACAAGATCTAGAAGGCAAGAATTTTCTCAGCTGCCTCTCCTCTACTTTCAAACTCAGTTACATCTTGTATTTTCCTATCTCCTTCCTCGTATCTCTCCACCTATGCTTTCCTGCCCCCATCCTGTGCTTTCAATCCTAATCCCTCCTGACTTCTCTAGAGCCTTACTTGGTCAATTACGCATTATTTTTCAAAACGTCACTCTTTCGTGTTCTGTTGCCTCCTTCTCGCCCTATAAAGGTGGTTTAAATCTTCCTGAGTTCACCTCACCCTGCTTCTCCCTCAGTCTCACTGCTACCTTATCTTTTCTTCCTTTCACGACTAAACTTTGAGAAAAACAATCACTTGACTTTCTATCTGTACTTTCTCACATCAAACTTTAATTTTCTGTAGCCTAACTTCAATTTCAGTGACTCCATTGAAGTTGTTGTCTCAATGACTTGCTCATTTCAAATCAAGAGATACTTTGTCAGATTCCCACACTGACTTCTTTGTAGCACTTAAGACAATGATTGCCTTATTTGGCCTTAGCAAAGTGACTTTCCAGCTTTACTACCCACCTTTGTAATCAGACTTTTTTTTTTTTTTTTTTGAAATGGAGTTTCTGTAATCAGACTTTTTTTTTTTTTTTTTGAAATGGAGTTTCTGTAATCAGACTTTTTTTTTTTTTTTTGAAATGGAGTTTCTGTAATCAGGCTTTTTTTTTTTAAGATAGAGTTTCACTCTGTCATGATCTCGGCTTGCTGCAATCTCTGCCTCCCGGGTTCAAATAATTCTCCTGCCTCAGCCTACCAAGTAGTTGGGATTACAGGCGCATATCACCATGCCCAGCTAATTTTGTATTTGTGGTAGAGACAGGGTTTCACTATGTTGGCCAGACTGGTCTCGAACTCCTGACCTCAAGTGATTCACCCACCTCGGCCTCCCAAAGTGCTGGGATTACAGATGTCAGCCACTGTGCCCGGCCTGTAATCAGACTTTTTTGATTCCTCTTTCTCCCTCTCTCCATTAAACACTGATATTTCCCGACATTTCATACTTCTCTCTCTTCTCTTCTCAATTTCAGCCCTCTCTATAGTGTCATCCACTTTTCTGGGCGAATTCCCTTGCTTGTAGATTACTAAATCTGTATTTCCAGCCCCAATCTACTCTTCAGCTCCTGATTTGTACTCCCAGTTATCTACCAGACATATTTGCTTAGATTCTCTATAGGCACTGCATCAGTCAAGATAGGCCAAAAACAACAACAAAAACCCAAATCGTAGTGGCTTACAAAGACTTGCTTTTTGATCATATTACACATTCATTGTGGCTCTGCTGCAGCTGTGACCCTGCTGTCCTCCCTTTGGAACCTAGGCTGACAAAGAAGCATCTATCTGGAACACTGCCAGTCATCCTGGCAGAGAGGAAAAAAGATACATGACAAGCCATGTGCTGGCCCAGAAGTAACACATTTCAGGCCACATTTTATCAGCCAAAGCAAGTCACCCCTGAGATAATTGGGTGTGGATGTATAATCCTCCCCCAGGCAGGGGCATGGGAATGTTTGGCACCAGTAATACAATCTACCACAGGCATTTCAAGCAAAGCATGTCTAAACCTTCTATTTATTGTTTTATCCCCATCCAAAACCTATTCCTCCCCAATTTTCCTTTTATTCTATTACTTGGCATCACTGTATATTAAGTCAGCCAAGCTAGAAACTTCAGAGTTGTCTTTAAATTCTTTGCCCCATTTCCAGTCCCTCCATACGCATTTAGAAAATAGTCCTCTGTGGGCCAGGTGCGGTGGCTGACACCTGTAATCCCAGCACTTTGGGAGGCTGAGGTGGGCGGATCACAAGGTCAGGAGATCGAGACCATCCTGGCTACCACGGTGAAACCCTGTCTCTACTAAAAATACAAAAAATTAGCCGGATGTGGTGGCAGGCGCCTGTAGTCCCAGCTACTCGGGAGGCTGAGACAGGAGAATGGCGTGAATCCGGGAGGTGGAGCTTGCAGTGAGCTGAGATGGCACCACTGCACTCCAGCCTGGGAGACAGAGTGAGACTCCATCTCAAAAAAAGATATATATATATATATATATATATATTTAGGGACAGGGTCTAAGTTTGTTCCCCAGTTTGGTCTTCAGCTCCTGGACTCAAGTGGTCCTCCCACCTCAGCCTCCCAAAGTGTTGGCATTACAGGCATAAGCCACCATACCTGGCCCTAGTTTTGACAAATACATACAGTTCTGTAGGCATCACCACAATAAAAATACACAGTCATCCCTCAGAATCCATGGGGGATTGGTTCCAGGACCTGCTGCAGATACCAAAATCCACATATGCTCAAGTCCCTGATATAAAATGGTACAGTAAGCAAGGCGTGGTGGTGCATACCTGTAGTCCCAGCTACTTAGGAAGCTGAGACAGTAGGATCACTTGAGTCCAGGAGTTTGAGACAAGCCTGGGCAACATAGCAAGACTCCATCTCAAAAAACAAAAATGGTATAGTAATTGTATATAACCTATGCACATCCTCCCATATGTTTTAAAACAGGGGTGTCCAATCTTTTGGCTTCCTTGGACCACATTGGAAGAAGAATTTTCTTGGGCCACACATAAAATACACTAACCATAGCTGATGGGCTAAAAAAAAAAATCACAAACAAATCTCATAATGTTTTAAGAAAGTCTACAAATTTGTTTTTGGTCTTTTTTTTTTTTTTGAGACTGAGTCTCGCTCTGTTACCCAGGCTGGAGTGCAATGGCTCAGTCTCGGCTCACTGCAACCTCTGCCTCCTGGGTTCAAGTGATTCTCCTGCCTCAGCCTCCCGAGTAGCTGGGATTACAGGCACATGCCACCATGCCCAGCTAATTTTTGGATTTTTAGTAGAGATGGAGTTTCACCATGTTGGCCAGGCTGGTCTTGAACTCCTGAGCTCAAGTAATCTGCCTGCCTTGGCCTCCCAAAGTGCTGGGATTACAGGCATGAAAGCCACTGCTCCCGGCCCAAGTTTACAAATGTGTACTGGGCCACATTCAAAGCCATCCTGGGCTGCATGTTGGACAAGCTTGCTTTAAAAGATCTCTAGATTACTTATAATACCTAATACAATGTAAAGGCTTAAATAGTTGTTATACTATATTTTAAAATGTGTATAAGTTTTTACTGTTGAATTATTTTAAATATTTTTCTAGGTTGCTTTAGTACCGAATACAGTGTAAATGCTATGTTTTATTGTTTTTAATTTTTTTCATATTAAAATTAAATTTTTAAACATGTTAACAATTTTCTGTATTTGTGTCAGGTCTTTAAAATTTATATTTTTATTTATTTTTAATTGACATAATAATTATACACATTTATGGGTTACATAGGAATTCTTATACAAATAATGTGCAGTGATCAAATCAGGGTATAATTAGAATATCCAAACCTTTTTAAAGAATATCCACAGTTGGTTGAATTCCTGAATGCAGAACCTGTGGATACCAAGGGCTGACTGTATAATAATTCTGTCATACCAAAAAATCTTCAGGTGTCCTTTTGTAGTTAACCTTTCTCCTTCACTCCCAGCCCTTGGCAACCACTGATATGTATTCTGTTCCTACAGTTTTGCTTTTTCCAGCACATCATATAAATAGAATCATAGCCCTTGAGTCTGGCATTTGAGATTCATCCAAGTTGTGTATATATCAGTAATTTGCCCCTTTTTATTGTGAGTGGTATTTCATAATGTGGATGAGCCACAGTTTGCTTATCCATTTCTGAGTTTAGGGGTATTTGGAGTGTTTCCTGTTTTTTACCCAACTTCCCTTTTCAGCTCCTACTTATAAGGCATGGCTCACCTATTTCCTCCTCATCAGCTTTTCCCAATGCTTCCCATATGCCCTTATGACATTGTGTTACAGTTTATTGTATACACTTTTCATGAAGTCAGGAAGGCAAGTTTATTAGTTCTCTTGATGCCCCTGGCTGTCATCCCCAACATCTGCTGCGGAGCCTAGCAGTCATATGGGTGCTCAAGCAATAACTGGTGAATTGAAAAGGCCTGGATTCCCTTTTCTCCAAGGCATCACCTCTTCAGGCTGTCATATGTAGAACCAGAGAGTTTTTTTTTTTTTTAAGGGTAAAATAAATTTAGAAAATGCTATATACTTTATATCCCTTTTAAAGATTATACATGACTAAATAAAGGTTTTGAGTCATACAGTAGAAAAATACTTTTAACTTTAATTTGATCCCATATTTCTCAGGTTTGTTTCACCATAAAATACCTAAACACATCCTGCAAAGCTAATATTCCTAAAGAACACACTTTGGGGAAAAAAAAATGCTAGAACCAACTAGATTTCTTCTGATCCAGCTAGGAACCCAAGATCACATATGCATTTGATGGAAGGAGATTTTTCTATACTCATAGAGTTATGTATGCATAGGTGTATGATCTTCAGCTTAAGGTAACAATAGTTAAAATGGAGCCAAATAAACTCCCATCAAATTTGTGCCTGTATGCTAAAGAAATGTGTTCATACTGAACTCTGCTGTACAGCAGAAGAGGGTGACCAAATAGCAAGATGTAATTCCTTCCCTTGTAATCCATTTCTGAAGTTCCCCTCTTGCCTTCCTAGAAATTTGATTTTCAAATTTTGTCTGTAGAGTTTTTGCTTGGAATTTTAAAAGGGTAAGAGAACATCACCTAATTTTATAGATGATTAGATTGAGGTATAAAGATAATAAGCTTTGTTCAAGGTATATAGTTGCAAGGCTAGGCCTAGATCTGAAACTGATTTTTTAGTTCCCATTTCAGTGCTTTCTTCCTGATAACCATTTGCCAGTGACTTTTTTTTTATTATTAATAAAGTATTTGTTATTGCCAGATGTGGTAGCTCGCACCTGTAGTCCTAGCACTTTGGGAGGCCAAGGTGGGAGAATTGCTTGAGCCCAGGAGTTTGAGTCCAGCCTGGGCAACAAAATTAGACCCCGTGTCTCAAAAAAAAAAAAAAAAAAAAGCCAGACATGATGGCATGTGTGCCTATAGCCCCCGCTACTCAGGAGGCTGAGGTGAAAGGATTCCTTGAGTCCAGGAGTCCAAGGTTGCAGTGAGCTGTGATCCTCCCAGTGCACTCCAGCCTGGGTGACAGAGTGAGACGCTGTCTCAAAAAAAAAAAAAAAAAAAGTACTAGTTATGTTGAACCTGGTAAACCAGTTTAAAGATTCCTTAATCTTTTACTGAAAATTGTGAATTTTTTTTACTCCAAGTAAGGAATAAAACTTTTTTTCTCAGAAAGTTTATCTATCTTAAATGTTAAATGTTTTTTCCCTTTGTGAACATACCACTGTGTCATCTGTAAATACATAATAATGTTGTAGCCCAAAGCCACGGGTAAAATATTTTTGTCCGTATCCTCCTGAAGAGATCCTGGAACATATTTGTTTGTGAAAATACTATAGGTTAAAATGGTTGGGCTAAGGGAAAGTTACAGAGGATTCAACATCTTGAATGAAAGTGATTTTCAAGACTTAAGAGACATTTACCAACTTGCTCCCAATTAACACACAAAAGAAAAAAATGGCCTGACCACAGTTTGGCACTTTGATGACTAATTACTTTTTTTTGTTTTTTGTAGGTAGGGAAAAGTGGCAATGTACCAGCAGGCACTACAGTGGATAGTACCATCACACATCCATCTGAGTTTGACTTTTACCTCTGTAGTCATGCAGGAATTCAGGTAATTTGGAAGCTGGTTCAGATCTTTGACTTGATAGGGAGATGTTTGCAAATTCAGCAACTAGCTTGAGTCGACTTGTTATTTAACACCGTGCCTAACTTTGTTAATGCTTGTATCCTAGAATTATCTTTTGGTCTAGGTATCTGCTTGTAGGTGTGCTAGGCAGAAGTATTTCTGAGTTTAAGGAGTAGGTTTCAATTATTTTCTCTTCTCGTGTCATGTCAGAAATATATTAATCAGGCCAGGCATGGTGGCTCACGCTTGTAATCCAATCACTTTGGGAGGCCGAAATGGGCAGATCACCTGAGGTCAGGAGTTTGAGACCAGCCTGACCAATGTGGTGAAACCCCATCTCTACTAAAAAAAACAAAAATTATCTGGGCATGGTGGCGTGCACCTATAGTCCCAGCTACTTGGGAGGCCGAGGCAGGAGAATTGTTTGAAGTCCAGAGGCGGGGGTTTCTGTGAACCAAGATCGTACCACTGCACTCCAGCCTAGGTGACAGAGTGAGACTCCATCTCAAAAAAAAAAAAAAAAAAACAAAAACAAAAAACGAACAAAAAAAAAACATTAATCATAAAACTCTCTCCTCAGGGAACCAGCCGTCCCTCACATTACCAGGTCTTGTGGGATGACAACTGCTTCACTGCAGATGAACTCCAGCTACTGACTTACCAGCTGTGTCACACCTATGTGAGGTGCACTCGCTCAGTCTCTATTCCAGCCCCTGCATATTATGCCCGGCTTGTAGCATTTAGGGCAAGGTATCATCTGGTGGATAAAGATCATGACAGGCAAGTTTCTTAGGCACAATAAAGTCTCTTTATATTTTAGTAGCATGTTAAAAAAAATGAGCTACAATAGAAAACTTTTTTAAGGATTTAAACTTTCAGAGTTTAAATTGTAAGAAGCAAATAAAATTGCATGTGCCTCTGAGAGCTTGTAATGTGACTTTTGGTCCAAGAAGTGCTCAGGCTTGTTTATACTTGTGTTGTGTCTCTAAAGGAGTTTAATTTGGAGCTGCTTGTGGTTCTCCCATGGAGCCAAATGCATTTCAGTTCTGCTCAGGTCCTAAGTAGCCTCAAAAAGTGGTCAACACAGTACCCTGGCTCCGGTCAAAGTAGTCACAGGGCTGTGGATTCCACTTCATGCAAGTGAGGAGGCCTGACCAGTTCACTTTGCTTTTGGTACATTCTGGAAAAATACCCCAGAGTGAACCTGGATGTGTGTGTGGGAGTGGGGGCACAGATGATTCTCACTCTCAAATAGGCATCTCAGGAGAATCAGAGAATCTGTTATTTTGACCTATTCCTGAGCTACTATTAAATAGTTACACAAGCTCTCTGCATTAATTTTCTTTTCCAAATGACCATCTGTGAAGTGTAGCAGTTTCTGGGCTCTTCCCCAAGTCTGAATTCAGCTGCTAAATAGTAGACATTCCACTGCAAGTCTATTTCTGTAAGGGTTGAAAATACACTATTATGGAAAATGTCCAACTGTGGCTTTGTACCTTCCATTCCGTAATGTGCTTTCATTTATTCGGCATATTTATTAGGTATTGACTGTGTGCCTAGTACTGTGCTAGGTGCTAGAATTACTAAGATGAGTAAGACATGTTTCTTGTCCACGGGGATTTTATGTTTCAGTATGGGAGACAATACAGGCAAATATACAACTGACAAGTAGCCCAAGTCAGTACAGATAAAAGTGCAATGGGACACCAGAGGAGAGGCTTTTAGAGAAGATTTCATAGCTGGATGGATAGAATGGCTCTACAAAAAAGAGAAAAGAATTTTCAGGGCAGAGAGAACAAGGGACACAAAGGGGAAAAAGCAAGTGGCATGTTTGTACAGTAGCAAATTTTCTTTGGCTGGAGGATATTAAAGGGGAACAAGCAGGTATGAGGCTGGAAAAATATGTTAAAGCAAGACCGTGTTTGTTAAATGTAAAATGCTGTTCCTAGGATAGAATAGACAGGACTTAACAGTTAATTGGATATGCATGTCAGAGGAGAGGGTGAAGTAAAAGATGGCTAAGATTTTGAGCCTAGATGATAAGGATAATAATCACTTAAAGAGAAAGTCAGAAGAGGGATGGGGATTTACAGCTTGTCAAGCCCTTTATATCACATGGTATCCTTAAGTAGTATGTTTAGAAGTTGTTGTTGTTACTCCGAAAGACCAAAGTTCAGAGGAGTTATTATGTGTCCAAGGTTATATAGTTAGTGAAGGGAAGACAAGAAGAGACTGGTGGCACAATAGCATTTGCTGGGAATTTCCTATGTTCCATCACTATGCTAGGTACGTAGATGCATTCATTCAACTAATGGTTTATTGAGACTTTGTTGTATTATGTGCTAGACACCAAGGATACAGTGGTGAGCAAGGTGGACAAAATTGCTGCTTTCTTGGAGTTTATATCCCAGTGGGAAAATAAATAATTACCCAAGTAATAATTTAATTTCAATTGTGTTTAGTACCATGAAAGAAAAATATAGGATTCTGTTAAAGCATGTTCCAGGTGGCTCTGACCTGGACCTTAAAGTCAAAGAAGATTTCTGTGCAGAAAAATGACATTTGACTGAAGCCTAAAGAAATTAGCCAGACATAGTGGGCAGTGGAAATCTTTATATGGATACTGTTAAGGATTGTGTCTTTGCAGACATTATATTATTTAATTCTTGCAGCAGCTCATTAAAGAAGTTCAGTTGGCCTGGCGCGGTGGCTCACGCCTGTAATCCCAGCACTTTGGGAGGCCGAGGCAGGCGGATCACGAGGTCAGGAGATCGAGACCATCCTGGCTAACATGGTGAAACCCCGTCTCTAGTAAAAATACAAAAAAATCAGCCGGGTGTGGTGGCGGGCGCCTGTAGTCCCAGCTACTCGGGAGGCTGAGGCAGGAGAATGGTGTAAACCCGGGAGGCAGAGCTTGCAGTGAGCCGAGATTGCGCCACTGAACTCCAGCCTGGGAGACAGCGAGACTCTGTCTCAAAAAAAAAAAAAAAAAAAAGAAATTCAGTTGAGTCAACTGATATTTAGAAGGACATAACAAATTATTCAAGAAGCTAAAGCTTAAGCCTAAGATATTCTAGAATCTAGTACTGTTTGTGCTATTTGAAACGTGTGAAGTTTGAAGTGGTCTTCTGTTACACCTGTTTTTTGTTTTTTTGTTGTTGTTGTTTTTGGTTTTTTGTTTGTTTGTTTTGCTTTGTTTTGTTTTGTTTTATTCTCTTTACAGTGCGGAAGGCAGTCATGTGTCAGGACAGAGCAACGGCCGGGATCCTCAGGCCTTGGCTAAGGCTGTGCAAATCCACCATGATACCCAGCACACGATGTATTTTGCCTGAGAGTCTCAGAAAAAGAACTCAACCAATTTGGCACCCCATGCAGCCTCAAAATGTTTCAAATGCCTACCGCCTCTAGATCGAGCCACGTTGACTTCAGGTGGTCTTCTACCAGCAGCTCGGAATAGTTGCACTGAATCTATACTTTGCAGCACTGTCTGATGCGTCAACAAAATTGAGCCATTTTTTTAAAGTAATAGATACTAATAGATTATCTTTTCTGATGCACTGGACTGAATTTTTACCTCAATGTGCAAAGGCTGATCAGCCTGAACTTTCTAAAGGACTTTACAAGAAGGGTTTCTATGGAATATTTTGCTAGCTGTGGTGTTCACCGCATCCCTCTAGTCTTAGAAGAGAAGATTATTCCTTTTTTCTGTAGTCATTGAGTGGGGTATATGCATAAGTGGGAGAGAAAAACCAAACAATCTACTTCAGTTCAGTGTAACTATTTAATTGTGTGGGTCCATAGACTTTTTAATGAAGATTTCTGACTTTGCCACTGTAAATGCCTTTAATGAGCATTAATTTTTGAAAGTTTTACAGAGTTTTATTAGTTTTACTACTTTATCTTATTGATCTCTGCAGACTTGTGCTGGTGCAAGTACATGCTGACAGGCAATTTGCACTATATTTGGCTGCAGATTCAAATAGGCAGTTCTCTTATTTGGTCGACTTTTGTGAATGTGTGACATAAACAGATGTAATGCATGTCACAGTGACGGAGATAACACTGCCATGATAAAAGTACTCATGTTTCCCCTATTTGGAAAAAAAAATTGCTTTTAGTATTTTTCCAAGTTTTCAAAAGTGCCCATTTTATGCTGCTGTGTGGTTTGTTAAATCTAAATGATTTTTAAACTTTTCTCATAGAAACTTAACTTTGGCAATAAACATTTTTTAAGGTCTCTCCTCTTCCTTCCCCAACAATGTAGTTTTCTAGATGAGATTTCAGTATGATTTTATCAGCTATTTCTTATATATCATAATCTGGCAATTTCTGAAACCAGTCAGAAAAGACATATATTTCCATGCCTTTTTAAAGAATTATTTTTACCTGTTTTATATTCACAGTTGGTGTCCTGTCACTTTGTTTTAAAATAAGCTAGAACCAGGATGCTTCCTTATTGGAAAGGCTTTGCCAGTCCTTAAGGTACAATGAGTGATGCTGCAACTTGCAAATGTACCAGCATTTAAAATTTCTTTTCCTGGGAATCAAGGTAACTCACACGACTACTTGCAGTACAAATTTTTTGCTTCTCTTTCGACATGAAATGTACTTGGTGGGTTTTCCTTCCTTTTATTAAACTAAAACTGTGTGGAAAAGGTTGATTTTTCTTAATAGATTCTGGATTCCACTCACAGGGAGATGGGATTCCTTTCTTGTCCAAACAAAGGGAGTTGCTCTAAAGCGAGCATCAGTTAAAATGTAGGGGAAAATGTATTCTGTATGTAGTGTAGATAATACTTTGTGAATGGACAACAGTTACATAGTGTCTTGGTAGCACCAGCCAGTGTTTCCCAGCCCAGAGTTTACTGACTTGTAATTCTCTATCCAGGACATCAGGAGTGAGGGATGGAAAAGGGGATAAAAGGCCTGGAGCCACACTCTATATGGCTGAGGAAGGAGCTAGGGAAAGAGATAGACACAATGGGGTGAAAACAATTTTGCCGCCCCTGCCTGGAAACTGCTGGTGGGGAAATGATGGTGAAGGGTGTTTGCTTGAACTCATGAGACGGTCCAAATCTCATAAACTAGCCTTCTCAAAATCCCAGCAATATAAAGCACTGTTTTTCTTCAGTCGTTTAAATAAACTTGTAAATACATTGAAGTTTACATTTCCATGTGCTGTTGATCAACGGCGCCACCTGTGTTTGCTGAGACTGGTCTCTGAGAGAGTTTTATGTCGATCGAGGCCTGTTGCTCATTAAGCTGAGTGCAGACGTCCTTAATCCCTGCAGATAGTGGGATGAAAGCAAGTTCTGTAAAATGAAGCACAACATAGCCAGGAGTGAAGAGATGGCAGATGTTAATTTCTTAAAATTTTCCTTTTTTTTTTTTTTTTTTGCAAATACCTCACTTGGATAATACAAATCAGGACATGTTGGTGAGGGGCTGGCTGCTTGGCTGCTGCTTTTATTCACACTTGTTCAGGGAGAGCACAGAGAATACCCTTCAGCATGGCCACTCTGGACCCAAGAGGAGGAAAAAACGGAAGCTTTTTTAGGAGAAGGAGGACTTGCTGGAATCCAAGATGTGAAGAACTCTTGGTGACTGGCTGGCTGGCCAGCGGGCACCACACCTGCACTTGAGTGCCTCGGGCTTGCTTATTAATAACGCACAGAAGAAGCATCACTTCTCACCATCTCCTGGCATGTATGGAGCAGGGAGCAAGGCTATGTTCCCGAAAGCCCTGATTAGCTTGTCTTGCTCTACGCTCGACCTCGAACAATACAGCTTGTAAGACCTCAGTCAGTCCTGGTACACTGGGGTAAATCAGTGTGGTGGTGGAAGAAAAGCCGGGAGGCCTATTTTTATAGGAAAATAGTACCATTAAAGGTGCAATGCTGTCATTTTGGACAAAAGGAAAGAAATTTGGAAGAGCTGGGATTATTGGCAAAAACTTGCTGAGGGGTGAATCTTTAGAGCTAATCACTGCAGAATCAGAGTTGCAGCAATATGATTGCAAGCAAGTCTGAATGCATAGTTTTACTTTAATTCGGCTTGACAATTTGAATAGGTAACCCCCTCGGGACTGACTGAATCGTTATGCATGTGTCAATCAATGGGAGGTGTGCATTCTCTAGAAGTAGTTTTAGGCTGTTTGGTTTGGTTTTGGTTTTGTTTTTTAAATGCAGCCTGTTGAGGCACTGTCATGTGGTGTGAAAGATTTAAATGTAGCAACGCTAAAGAGTAATAATTTGGGGATAAGAAGTGGGGACATTGGCCGGGCGCGGTGGCTCACGCCTGTAATTCCAGCACTTTGGGAGGCCTAGGTGGGCGGATCAGCTGAGGTCGAGAGTTCGAGGCCAGTCTGACCAACATGGTGAAACCCCATCTCTACTAAAAATACAGAAAATTAGCTGGGTCTGGTGGTGGATGCCTGTAATCCCAGCTACTCGGGAGGCTGAGGCAGGAGAATTGCTTGAACCCAGGAGGTGGACGGTGCAGTGAGCTATTACTCCAGCCTGG
Organism: Homo sapiens; assembly: GCF_000001405.40. NCBI lineage: Eukaryota > Metazoa > Chordata > Mammalia > Primates > Hominidae > Homo > Homo sapiens. Next base: position 35,856,796 of record NC_000001.11, read on the forward strand.
GCAACAAGAGCGAAACTCTGTCTCAAAAAAAAAAAGGGGGGGGGGGGACATTAAGAGAGTGGTGATGACCCAAATGTTGAACCAATTATGTTTTGGTGGTGGTGTTCTTAGCTGTTGAATCCTGAATGGTTTATAAAGTGAACTAGCTGGCTTAATGCAGCCAGCGTTCTGGGCAGCAGAACATATTCATTCTTACTGTAAATTCTATTTGCTGCTTCCAAAGGTGATGATTTTCAAGCAGACATGTTCTATATGGTCTGTGTTTTAGGATCTGGTGCCCAGCCTCTATCAGAGCTTGCCTACCTGGCAAAGCTGCCTACCCTTCAAGTGGGAAAATATAATCCACTGTTTAACAAGGCTCACCCTCTCCACCCTGTCCTAACGACCTTTTGTGAATGTGCTGTGATATTTTCTTGCTCAATAGCAAGGTGGTAGCTCTGCTTTCATTTTAAGAAAGTGGAGGCTGAGGGCATTGTATCAATACTGTTGCAACTCCAAGAAGTTTTCCTTGTAAAATTAAAGGAAAGATCTTGTTATTGATTAACCATTTTCTTATGCCTTGCTATTGACATATTCATGCTCTTTCTACGTCTAGTGGCTGAAAATGTTTGCATTTGTTCATTTGACTAATGGTGTGATTTTTGTTTCTATATTATTAGACCTGTAATGTTTTAAAATGTATTTTATTAAATTTGGACTGGATGTATGTCTCTAGCAATACGAGGTACTTTCTAAACTATTAAGGGAGGGGTTGTATCCTCATGTTGAGATAAGATGATGGTCGTTTAAATTTTGCAATTTTTTTTGGCCTGCAGGGATATTTTGTGTTTATGTGTCCAAAAAAGGAATAAATTGGCATTCTTGTGCCAAAAGTTGTTTTTCCTGTCAATTGTCTAATAAGTATGCAGTACACTGTAATGGCAACATACATGGTTGCTTTATAAAAACAGTTTCCTCAGTATGAGAAATTTTACAAAGAACAGTGGAAAAACTTTGTGTTTTTAACTCTTGGGTCTCCCTATTTTTAAAAATTGCTATTTGGTATACAATTATTATGTGTCAATTAAAACTAAAATAAAACTTTTAAAAAAGAAATTTCTATTTGAGAATTTTAGAAGAGCTTTTCAGCAACACTTCACTTATGAAAACTTTTACAAAATTGATCAGAGTTCTGGATATGGCTCTTAATGGGAAGATCTATTTAAGCAATGCTTGAGAAGAATCTGCAGTCTCCAGAGGGCAGTGTGGCCACACACTTTATAAGACTTAACTTCTCCAGAGGAGAAGCTGCTCAAATTCATCCAACCTGGGGCTATCCAGTCTCATCTTTAGAAAAATTCTCACCAGCAAGTCCTTTTGCTAAGTCATGGCAGGGACAATTCCTTAGGGAATTTATAGTTTGCCAGAGGAGAAAGTTCTGCATATAACTCTACTAGAAGGCGGTTGTTTTTTCCATCTGTATACTATCTCCACCATATTTATCAGTTATCAAACATTTATCATGAACTGGGTACATGCCATGTACTGCCTAGGTGCTGGGAACACAGAAGAGTAAAAAATTATTCAAAGAATTCATTCTAATTTGGCATGAGATGGAGGAAGAGGCAGCGAGATTAACACTGAGTGCCTACTATATGTCAGTCACTATATTTATTTATTTATTTATTTATTTATTTATTTATTTATTTATTTTTGAGACGGAGTCTTGCTCTGTCGCCCAGGTGCAGTGGCGCAATCTCGGCTCACTGCAAGCTCCTCCTCCTGGGTTCACGCCATTCTCCTGCTTCAGCCTCCCTGGTAGCTGGGACTACAGGGGCCCACCACCACGCCCGGCTAATTTTTTGTATTTTTAGTAGATTTGGGGTTTCACCGTGTTAGCCAGGGTGGTCTCAATTTCCTGACCTCATGATCCGCCCATCTTGGCGTCCCAAAGTGCTGGGATTATAGGCGTGAGCCACCATGCCCGGCCTATTTTTTTTATTTTATTATTATTTTTTAAACACAGGGTCTCACTCTGTCACCCAGGCTGGAGTGCAGTAGCACAATCATAGCTCCCTGCAGCCTTGACCTCCCAGGCTCAAGCAATCCTGCCACCTCAGCCTGCTGAGTAGCAGGGACTACAGGAGGTGCGCATCACCATGCCCTGCTAATTTTTGTATTTTTTTGTAGAGATGGTGTTTTGCCATGTTGCCCAGGCTGGTCTCAAACTCCTGAGCTCAAGCGATCCTCCCGCCTTGACCTCTCAAAATGCTGAGATTATAGCTGTGAGCCACCGCACCAGGTCTGTCAGTCACTTTCTATTGATATCTTTATCCCAGGAACAGAGTGTTGCTGGGCATTGTATCAATACTGCTTCAACTCCAAGAATTTTTCCTTGTAAAATTAAAGGAAAGATCTTGTTATTGATTAGTCATTTTATAGTCAGAAACCATGGGGTAGTTGGAAAATAGAAAAAAACAGTGTTGCTGGGATAAAGATATCAATAAAAAGTGACTGATAGGCTGGGTCAAATGCTTTCCCTTACTCCTTCTTTGGGAGATAGGATCCCTCTTTATTATAGAAAATTTGTTGTTGTTATTATTATTATTATTGAGATGGAATCTCACTCTGTCACCCAGGCTAGAGTGCAATGGCGAAATTTTGGCTCACTGCAACCTCCGCCTCCCCAGGTTCAAGCGATTCTCCTGTCTCAGCCTCCCAAGTGGCTGGGATTACAGGTGTGTGCCACCACACCCAGCTAATTTTTGTATTTTTAGTAGAGACGGGGTTTCACCATGTTGGCCAGGCTGGTCTCCAACTCCTGACCTCAGGTGATCCACCCACCTCAGTCTCCCTATGTGCTGGGATTACAGGCATGAGCCACCGCACCCAGCCAGAACCCTCATTATTTCGTATGATTCACGTGTGTCCAAATGGCCTTATTCCCACCTCACCCCCCACCACTTGTGTCATACTCATGTCCATCCCTGAATTTCTCGGGGATGTGTTACATCAGTCAGGAATGGCTTGTGGGCCCACTCCACCGTCCTAGGGGGACGGTGGCCAGTAAGTAGGGGAATGACAGACTGATCAGCACCATCACAAGGCGTGTGTCCGTTTTGTTTCTCTCTTTCTTTTTCTCTGTCTCTTGCCTCTGATTTCTTCTGTGTTGACTATTCTCCAGAAGCTAGTGGCAAGTCTTTTTTTTTTTTTTTTTTTTTTTTTTTTTGACAGGGTCTTGCTCTGTTGTCTAGGCTGAAGGTGCAGTGGTGCTATCATAGCTTACCGAACCTCAAACTCCTGGGCTCAAGCGATCCTCCTGCTTCAGTCTCCTGAGTAGCTGGGACTACAGGAGTGTGCCACCATTCCCAGCTAATTAAAAAAATAATAATTTGTAGAAATGTTGCTCAGGCTGACATTTTTTACGAGACAGGCGCTTTAACCAACTAAGCCATAGAGCCACCAGGCTGACATTTTTTAAAGAGATGAGATCATGCTATGTTGTCCAGGCTGGCCTCAAACTCCTGGCCTCAAATGATCCCCCGTCCTCAGTTTCCCAAGTAGCTGGGATTATAGGGTGCGAGCCACCATGCCCAGACAGTGGCAAATCTTTAAGGAGAAGGACAAAATCAGGGGTAGGTGGGCTGGAAGAAAACTAGCAACTATATTACAAATTGAAGAAGGAAGAAAATAAATTTAGTTTAACAAACATTTCTGGAGTTTCTATGGCATGCTAGGAAACAAAAATGAAAGACAGAAGTTAAAAAAAAAAAGATCATGATATGTTTGAATTACAAGTAATCTTAGTAATTTTTGATTATAGGGGATGAGGGAGGAATTGGACCCAAGGTAGGCACCAAGTTCTGAAAGGACAGGACAGAAGTTAAATGGCATTTTACGGAGTTTAGAGTTTATCACATAGGTACAGGGGAATAACAGACTCTAATCTGTGTTAATTTTGCCAGCAGTATTGTGAGTAGGTTGAAGCTGAAGTTCTGCTGAAGAGAAGTTCAAGTTTTATTGCAATAGCCAAGCAATAGATGATGAAGCTTGAATTTGAGCAATGATACTGCCGTTGAAAGAAGGAACGAACACGAGGTAGTCAGAAAATAGAAAAAGCAGAACTTGGTGACAAAATGGATACACAGAGTGAGGGAAGGAGGCAGACTCATTAGGAGGGCTCCCAGGTTTCTGGCTTGGGCAGCTGGGTAAAAAATAGTGCCACTGAGAGAATGAACAGAGGAGAAGCAGATTTTTAGGAAGGAGGAAGGTGGTAAGTTCAGTTTTGTACAAGCTGGAGATGAGAGCTGATGCCTATGGAATGGAGAAAGAAATTGGAAGCCATAAATATATAGGTGGTAATTAAAACCATTCAAATGTGTGCCCAGAAAGATCATGCAGGCCAAGAAGAGATGAAAAACAGACAGTCCTAAGGGGACACAAATATTTAAAGGGTAGACAGAGGAGAGAGATGTCTAAAGGAAATAAAACATGGATGGCCCTGCGCAGTGGCTCATGCCTGTAATCCCAGCACTTTGGGAGTCCGAGACGGGCAGATCACGAGGTCAGGAGTTCAAGACCAGCCTGACCAACATGGTGAAAACCCATCTCTACTAAAAATACAAAAATTAGCTGGGCTTGGTGGCAGGTGCCTGTAATCCCAGCTACTAAGGAGGCTGAGGCGGGAGAATCACTTGAACCCGGGAGGTGGAGGTTGCAGTGAGCCAAGATTGTGCTGCTGCACTCCAGCCTGGGCAACAGAGGGAGACTCTGTCTCACAAAACTAACAAACAAACAAACAAACCCCATGGACAAATGGATAAAAAAGAACAAGTTGTCTTAGAAATCAAGGGAAAAGAGCATTTCATCAAGTATGTACAGGATCGGCTATGTAGGAGTTAGCTGTGTGACACTGGGCAAGTTAACCTCTCTTAGCCTCAGTTTTCTTATTCGTAAAATGGAGATAGTACTAGTACTTACATCCAGGGTTGGAAGGATTAAATGCAATCATACATGTAAAGGCTTGGAAACACATACACATAAGCTACAAAGAAGGAAGTGGCTAACTATCCAATAGTGATCTAAAAAGACAAAATCTGAAAAGTTTCCATTGGAATTTGCAGCAAGGAAGTTATAGGTGACCCTGGTGAAAGCAATGTCTGTGGCTGGAGAAGGAAGAAGGTTGACTATAGAGATCTGAAGAACCTATAGTACTATAGTTGGTAGGTTGGATATAAAGGGAAAGAATGAATTCTGATATTAGCTGGGGTGGGAAATGGTTCGTTTTTCAGAATGGGAGAGATTGAGCACGTTTACACACTAGGGAAGGAGTCAGTAAAGCAGGAGGAATTGGAAATACTGGAAAGAGAAAAGACGCACAATAGAGGGCAAAGCTGAAGGAAGTTGGAGGGAATGAGATCTGATGTACAAGTGGAAAAAAACTAGAAGAGGAAAGTGCGAGAAGACTATTGCCTTTTCTAACTTTTTTGACGTATACATATAGTAAAATATACAGACCTTAAGTGTGGAGCCCAACTTGTCACAAAGCAAAGACATCCATGTAACTTCCACCCAGATTTAAAAACAGAAGCCCTCCAGGACCCCTTCTGAGTCACTACCTGAACCTATTCTGGTCAAAGATAACCACTATCTTTTTTAAAAACAGTTTTTTGAGGTGTCATTGATATAGAAAAGCTGCACATATTTAATGTTACAATTTAATGGGCTTGAACATATGCATCACCATAATCAAACATATCCACTGTCTTGACCTGGGTGTGATGGCACAAGTCTGTAGTCCCAGCTACTTGGGAGGCTGAAGTAGGAGGATCTCTTGAGGCCAGGAGGTCAACACTGCAGTGAACTGTGATGACACCTGTGAATAGCCACTGCACTCGAGCCTGGGCAACAGAGTGAGACCTTGTCTATTAAACAACAACAACAACAACAACCAAACAAAAAGGCCGGATGCAGTGGCTCACGCCTGTAATTCCAGCACTTTGGAAAGTCAAGGTGGGTGGATCCCTTGAGCTCAGGAATTTGAGACCAACCTGGGGAACGTGGCAAGACCCTGTCTCCACAAAAAAATTAAAAAATTAGCCAGGTATGGTGAGGCACACCTGTAGTCTCAGCTACTCTGGAGGCTGAGGTGGAAGGATCGATTGAGCTGGGAGGTCAAGGCTGTGCATGAAAAAAACAAGAACAAAAGCAAAACAACACTATCTTGATTTGTCGCACCGCAGGCAGTTTTGCTTGTTTTGAATTTATATAAGTAGAACCTTTTGTTTCTGGCTTCTTTTGCTCAATTTTATGTTTATGAGATTCAACCATGTTGTTGTATATAACAGAGATGTATTCCTTTTTGTTGCTATATGGTATTCCATTATATGAATAGACTACAATCCATTAACCAGGTTTTGGCACTGTGGTTGTTTCTATCTTTTGGCTATTGTGAATAATGCTCCTATGAACATGGGTGTACAAATACTTCTTCAAAGCCGCTTTTCCATTTTTTTAAGGCATATACTCAAAATTGCTGGCTCATATGGTAATTCTAGGTTTAATTTTTGAGGAACTGCCATACTGTTCTCTATAGCAGCTACACCAGTTTACATTCTTACCAGCATGTAGGGTAGCTTGGGTTCCAGTTTCTCCACATTCTCACCAATGCTTGTTATTTTCTGTTGTTTTTATTTTTTAATAATAACCATCCTAATGAATGTGAAATGGTATCTCATTGTGGTTTTGACTTTCATTTCTCTAATTGTTAGTGATATTGAGTGTAATTTAGTGTGATTACTGGCCATTTGTATGTTTTCTTTGGAGAAATATCTATTCAAGTCCTTTGCCTGTTTTTGTTTGTTTTTTTGTTTCATTTTGTTTTTGAGATGGGATCTCTCTCTGTCTCCCAGGTTGGACTGTGATGCTATGATCATAGCTCACTGGAGCCTCAACCTCTTGAGCTCAAGAGATTCTCCTGCCACAGCATCCCAAGTATTTGGGACTACAGGTGCATGTCACCACCCCCAGCTAATAATTTTTTGTATTTTTTTGTACAGATGGGGGTCTCACTATGTTGCCCAGGCTTGTCTCGAACTCCTGGGCTCAAGTGATTGTCCCACCTAGGTCTCCTAAAGTGTTAGGATTACAGGCATGAGCCACCATGCCCGGCTCTAGTTCCTTAATCTCTGAAGGACAATTTTGATAAGTAATATTGTTTGATGACTTTTTCTTTCAGCACTTTGAAGATGTTATTCTGTTGTCTTTCAGCTTCTATTGTCCTGTTGGAAATTTAACTATCAGCTCCTTTGAAGGTCATTTCCCTTTTTCCTATGGCTATTTTTAGTATCTTCTTCTTGTCTTTGATTTGCAACACTTTTACTATAATAGGCCTAAGTGTTTTTGTATTATCCTTCTGAGGACTTTGTCTCATTCATCTTTGTGAAACCAACACACAGTGTCTGGCATATAGTAGGTGCTCTTTAATGTATGGTAAACAAAATCCAGAGGCTCCCACAGATACTTAAAGAAGCAATGCTCGAATTTCTCTCTGCCCTAAACCTTGCTGTCCTGGTAATACTGTCTCATTTAACCCCGAACTCCAGGCCTTGTGATCTCTTTCCTTGCCCTGCCCCCTGGCCCCTGCACTTGGCATTTGGGCTTGGTTTCTCTTATGTTTAGTCTTCTTCCTCCAACTGCCTTCAGAGTCTCAGTGTCCCATGTGATATTAACCCTCCAACTCCAAGTGTGTGTCAGGGTGTGGGGCAGAGAATTCATACATTAATAATGAAGAGTTTTAAAATGTTTTGTTAAAAAAGATCCCAAATGCAATGACAATTTATTTTACATATTACCTTTCAATACATAACATTTTATATAGTTGTAAAGTTAATACATTTAGGATTTTATATTCTGATATTTGCATTAACTGTCACATAATGAGCAGTCATTGTTTTTCAAGACTGAAATCATGTGGTCATAATTTATTTGGCAAGTATTTACTGAACATCTATGTCCTGCCTGACACTGTTGTAGGCCCTGGGGCTACAAAGATAAATAATATATGGTTTTCTTCATGCTTTTGAGACTTACATGTTTAGTGGGAGAAAGAGGATGAGGAAGAGAAGGCTATGTCAACAAAGGACACCAGCAAAGTGTTTTATATTGCACCACAGGAAAAGCAGGAAGGGACACATGGGAGGGAATGTCAGGAAGTTGTCATGAAGGCAGAAGGACATGACCTGAGTTTTGAAATACGAGTGGGTTTCACTAGTCAGATGGAGATGTTGAAGTTACAGGGTGTTAATAAATCATATCCTCTTCTCTGTACCAGTTCAGAACAAATTGAAAAGTAGATATCAAAAAGTTGGAGGAAGGGCCGGGCATGGTGGCTCACGCCTGTAATCCCAGCACTTTGGAAGGCCGAGGCGGGAGGATCACTTAAGTTCAGGAGTTCAAGACCAGCCTGGCCAATATGGTGAAACTCCATCTCTACTAAAAATGCAAAAATTAGCTAGATGTGGTGGTGCACACCTATAGTCCCAGCTACTCAGGAGGCTGAAGAAAGAGAATCGCTTGAACCTGGGAAGCAGAGGTTGTAGTGAGCTGAGATCATGTCACTGTACTCCAGCCTGGGCAACAAGAGACTCTACTTCAAAAAAAAGAAAAAAAAAAAAAAAAACCTGGGTGTGGTGGCTCAACTTGTAATTCCAGCACTTTGGGAGGCCAAGGCGGGTGGAACACCTGAGGTCAGGAGTTTGAGACTAGCCTGGCCAACATGGTGAAACTCTGTCTCTACTAAAAATACAAAATTAGCCGGGTGTAGTGGCGCACAGCACACACCTGTAGTCCCAGCTACTCGGGAGGCTGAGGCAGGAGAACCTCTTGAACCTGGGAAGTGGAGGTTGCAGTGAGCCAAGACTGTGCCACTGCACTCCAGCCTGGGTGACAAGAGTGAAACTCCGTCTCAAAAAAAAAAAAAAAAATTGGCTGAAGAGCAAGGTGTTGGCTTACTTGCTAATAAGACTTAGATAAGAGGGCATGTTTAGAAGTGAGCACAGGCCAGGTGTGGTAGCTCACGCCTGTTAGCCCAGCACTTTGGGAGGCTGAGGTGGGCCGGTCACAAGGTCAGGAGTTTGAGACCAGCCTGGCCAACACAGTGAAACCCCCTCTCTACTAAAAATACAAACATTAGCTGGGTGTGGTGGCGGGTGCCTGTAATCCCAGCTATTTGGGAGGCTGAGGCAGGAGAATTGCTTGAACCTGGGAGGCAGAGGTTGCAGTGAGCCAAGATTGCACCACTGCACTCCAGCCTGGGTGACAGAGCACGACTCCATCCTGAAAAAAAAAAAAGTGAAGGCAAATGGTAATGCTAGTATTCCTCTTTATTTCATGTGCTTTGCCTACCTACCTAGTCACAGTAAGTGCAGGACAACCTTGGCTTTCCACACAGTGAAGGTGCCTGCTTCTCTAAGCCTACTGACTAAGCACGGTAGGATAAAATTGAAAAAAAACAAAACAAAACATTGAAAATAGCACCAGCCAGCTGTGGCGGCTCACGCTTGTAATCTTGGTACTTTGCGAGGCCAAGGTGGGTGGATCACTTGAGCTCAGGAGTTCAAGACCAGCCTGAACAACATGATGAAACCCCATCTCTACAAAAAAAAGAAAAAAAATAGGCATGGCACGCTCCTGTAGCCCCAGCTACTCAGGAGGCTGAGGTGGAAGGATCACCTGAGCCTGGTGGGTGGAGGCTGAAGCCATGATTGTGCCACTGCACTTGAGCCTGGGTGACAGAGCAAGACAGTCTCAAAAAAAAAAAAAAAAAAAAAAAAAAAGAAAGAAAGAAAAGAAAGAAAAAAGAAAATAGCACCAAAAATGTAAAATACTTAGGGATAAGTTTGAAAAAAAAAAGATGTGCAAGATCTGTTCATTGAAAACCAGAAAACATTACTGAGAGAACTGAAAGACAACCTATCCAAATGGAAAAATACACTATGTCCATGGATGAAAAGACTCAATATTGTTAAGGTGTTATTTGTCCCCAAATTGATTTGTAGATCTAACACAACCCTAATCAAAAGTCAGCTGGCTTTTTTTTTTTTTGTAGAAATGTATGGTTGATTCTAAAATTTATATGGGAATGAAAAGGACCTACAATAGACACACACACACACACACACACACACACACACACACACACACTTTAGAAAGAAAAACATAAAAACATAGTTGGATAACTTATACTACCTGTGGAGGGCAGATTCTAAGATGGCCCCATGACCATCTATTGCTTCTAACCAATAGAATATGGTGAAGGTGATGGGATGCCATTTGTGATTGCATTAAGTTATAAAAGCCTCTCTTGCTAGCAGATCCACTCTAGAGTCTCTTCCTCTTCTCCTTTCTGGCCATGTTGAGGAAGCTCATGTAGCAAGGAACTGGGGAGGCCCCTTGAAGCTAAGGGTGCCCACCAACAGCCAAACAACAAAAAACTGAAGCTCTCAGTTTCCGTTTGCTAACTACCATGTGAGCTGGAAAGCGAATTATTTTTCAGTCCAGTCTCCAGATAAGAGTCCAGCCCTGGCTTATATACACCTTGACCGCAGTCTCTGAGATGCTTCACAGAGGATTTAACTAAACCATGCCTGGCCTCTTGACCCACAGAGACTATGAGATAATAAATATGTGTGTGTTAAGCCTCTACATTTTTCTTTTCTTTCTTTTTTTTTTTTTTTTTTTTGAGACAAAGTCTCGCTCTGTCGCCCAGGCTGAAGTGCAGTGGCACGATCTCGGCTCACTGCAAACTCCACCTTCCAGGTTCAAGTGATTCTCCTGCCTCAGCCTCCCAAGTAGCTAGGATTACAGGCTTGCAACACCATGCCCGGCTAATTTTTGTATTATTTATTTATTTATTTATTTTTGAGATAGAAACTCACTCTGTCACCCAGGCTGGAGTGCAGTGGTGCAATCTCGGCTTACTGCAAGCTCCGCCTCCCAGGTTCAAGCGATTCTTCTGCCTCAGCCTCCCAAGTAGCTGGGACTACAGGCATGTGCCACCATGCCCGGCTAATTTTTATATTTATTTATTTATTTTTTTAAGTCAGGATAACGTTTCACCATATTGGCCAGGCTGGTCTCGAACTCCTGACCTCGTGATCTGTCTGCTTCTGCCTCCCAAAGTGCTGGGATTACAGGCGTGAGCCACTGTGCCTGGCTAATTTTTGTATTTTTAGTAGAGACGGGGTTTCTCCATGTTGGCCAGGCTGGTCTCAAACTCCTGACCTCGAGTGATCCACCCGCCTCAGCCTCCCAAAGTGCTGGGATTACAGGTGTGAGCAACCACACCTGGCCAAGCCTCTAAATTTGTAGTAATTTGTTATGCATCAATAGATAACTAATTACACTATCTGATGTCAAGATTTATTATATAGCCACAGTAATCAAGACAGTATGGTATTTGGCATAAAGAGACACGCGGAACAGAATAGAGAGTCCAGAAATAGGCCCAGACATACATAACCAGTTGATTTTCAACACAAGTGCTAAGGCAATTTAATGGAGGCAATGCTTTCCACAAATGATGCTGGAACAATTGGATAGCCATGAGCAAAAAATTGAATGTTGATCTTTACCTTTCACCATACACAAAAATTTGCTGGAAATGGATTAGGGACTTGCTGGGCATGGTGGCTCACATCTGTAATCCCAGCGCTTTGGGAAGCCGATGCTTGAGACCAGGAGTTCAAGACCAGCCTGGGCAACATAGCAAGACTCCATCTGTACGGAAAAAAAAAAAAAAAAATTAGCCGGGAGTGGTGGTGTGATCCCAGCCACTCTGGAGGCTGAGGTGGGAGGATGGCTTGAGACTGGAAGGGCGAGGCTGCAAGCTGCAGTGAGCTATGATGGCACCACTGCACTCCACTCTAGCCTGGGTGACAGAGTGAGCCATTTCTCCAAAAAAAAAAAAAAAAAAAGGAAATGTTTAAAAGACTTTTATAGACAAATGGTCATAGCAATTTCATTTGTAATGGCACCAAGCTGAAAACAACCCCCCAAATGTCCATCAACATGTGAATGAATATACAAATTGTCATATATCCATACAATGGAGCACACTCAGCAGTAAAATGGAACAAACTTTTTTTTTCTCCTTTCTTGTTGGGAAAAGTGATGGTCAGGTCCAGGGAGACGAACTATTGATTTACACAACAACATAGGTGAATCTCAAAATACTTGTAGTGAGTGGAACAAGCCAGACCCCCTCTCCCCCAAATTATTCCAGTTATATAAAATACTATAAAATGAAAACTTATCTATGGCGACAGAAAAGAGATTAGCAGTTGCAGAGGGAAGGGCAGAGGGGGACGAGAGGCAGGAAACAAAGAGGCAGGATTAAAGTTTGGCGGGGAATGAATAGGGTCGTTATATTGATTGTTGTGAAGGTTTCATGTGTGTATATTTGTTTCAAAACTCATCAGACCGCACACTTTAAACGTGTGTAGTTTTTTTTTTTTTTTTTTTTTTTTAGTTTCACTCTTGTTGCCCAGGCTGGAGTGTAGTGGTGCGATCTCGGCTCACTGCAACCTCCGCCTCCCGGGTTCAAGCGATTCTCCTGCCTCAGTCTCCCGAGTAGCTGGGACTACAGGTGTCTGCCACCACGCCCGGCTAATTTTGTATTTTTACTAGAGACAGGGTTTCGCCATGTTGGTCAGGCTGGCCTCCAACTCCTGACCTCAGGTGATCCACCTGCCTCCGCCTCCCAAAGTGTTGGGATTACAGGCGAGAGCCACTGCGCCCGGCCATGTGCAGTTTATCGAATGTCAGTTATGCCTTAATAGAAGTTGGGGCCTTGGGAAGCGGAAGAACTCAAACTTCCGGCAGACTCGCGGATCTAAATTTACGGACGGAGGGAGGAGCTAGATCGTGCATGCTCAGTCCTTCCTCTACGTTCACCAATCAGATGCCAGTTGCGTGATGGCGTGGGTGGAGCCAAATGTGGACCTGTGAGGACGCCACGTGAGAGGGAAGCCCGTGAGGCAAGCGCCTCAGGAGTGCGTGAGGCCCACGCAGAACTCGGGGAGCCTTTTATCCTGAGGACACAGGGGAAGAATTGGAGGACTATATTCAGGCAAGTAATTTAATCCGGTGTGCATTTTAAAGCAGCAGTTTGTAGCTGTGTTGAAAATGGGCTCAAGAGCGTGGGGAACGACCTGTTGTTGGCAGGCTGTGGAGATATTTATATATTTTTCTTTAATTTTTAATTTTTATTTATTTAATTTTTTTTCCTGTCAGCCTTCTCTTAAACCGTGAACTCTAGAGGGAAAGGACCTCATATTTATCACCCAAGCGTTCCTGCCCTACGTGTACCCCTCCGCCTGTGGCTGGGAGTCCATATGTTTTTGTTGAAGGGGTTGACTAATCTCAGGTCACACTGCTTGTTAGAGCTTGGATTCAAATCTAGGTCTTTTTGTCGTCAAAAGAAAAATAATATAACATTTTTTGTTGTTGTTTTTTGTTTTTTTTTTTGAGACGGAGTCTCACTCTGTCGCCCAGGCTGGGGTGCAGTGGCGCCATCTCGACCCACTGCCAGCTCCGCCTCCCAGGTTCACGCCATTCTCTTGCCTCAGCCTCCCGAGTAGCTGGGACTATAGGCGCCCGCCACCACGCCCGGCTAATTTTTTGTATTTTTAGTAGAGACGGGGTTTCACCGTGTTAGCCAGGATGGTCTCGATCTCTTGACCTCGTGATCTGCACGCCTCGCCTCCCAAAGTGCTGGGATTACAGGCGTGAGCCACCGCGCCTGGCCATATGTATGTTATAAAGGAGAGTATTTGAACAGACACCTATTATCCACCATTCATTTTATCTCCTCCCTACTGAGAGAGAAAATGAATATTATTTTTACCCTTATTTTGGTTTTTTACCTTTATCTTTTGAGATATTCTGTGTGCTACTTCATAATCCATTCCCATTCTTTCCCCTCTGGGATGTAACTACCATCTTGACATTTGAGTTTACCCTTGCTTTTTCTGTATTGTTTAATATGTATATTTGTATCCTTAAACCACATAGTTTACTTTTGCATAGTTTTGAATTTTACAAACTAAGAGTCATACCATAAGCATTCTTCTGCAGCTTGTTTGTTGTCACTCAGTATCATGTTTCTGAGATTTATGTATATCACAATTCATGTATCTGTTCTATTATGGATGGATTTAGTGTAGTTTTCAATATTTTGCTATTACAAACAGTGCTGCTAAGAACATTCTTGTGCCTATCTCCTCTTGGCAATGCAGAAGATTTTCTGTAGTGGAATTGCTGTTTTACAGGGTGTGCACGTCTTCAACTTTACCAAAGAGTGTTGGTTGTACCAGTTTACACTCCCACCAACAGATCATTATTCTACCTCCTTAACTTTTGCCTGATTTAGTGGGTGAAATTGATGTCTCATTGTGGTCTTTGTATTTTCCTTATAAATAATGAGATTAGGCTGGGCGAGGTGGCTCATGCTTGTAATCCCAGCACTTTGGGAGGCCGAGGTGGGTGGGTCGCCCGAGATCAGGAGTTCGAGACCAGTCTGGTCAACATGAAACCCCATCTCTACTAAAAATATAAAAATTAGCCGGGTATGGTGGCGCACACTTGTAGTCCCAGCTACTCAGGAGGCTGAGGCAGGAGAATCACTTGAACCCAGGAGGCGGAAGTTGCAGTGAGCAGAGATCTAGCCACTGCACTCCAGCCTGGTGACAGAGCAAGACTCCGTCTCAAAAAAAAAGAAAAAAAAAAGATTAAACTTTAAAAACATGATTTTTAGTCTGGGTGTGGGGTGGCCCATGCTTGCAATCCCAGCACTTTGGGAGGCCAAGGTGGGAGAATTGCTTGAGTCCAGGAGTTCAAGACCAGCCTGGGCAACATAGTAAGACTCCATCTCTATAAATAAATAATGATTTTTGCCCTTTTCTTCTGTGAAAGAGCTGTAAATGACTTTTGCCTTAAAAAAAAAATAATTGTTGCCTGGGTGCGGTGGCTCACGCCTGTAATCCCAGCACTTTGGGAGGCTGAGGTGGGTGGATCACGAGGTCAGGAGATCGAGACTATCTTGGCTAACACAGTGAAACCCCATCTCTACTAAAAATACAAAAAAATTAGCCGGGTGTGGTGGCGGGCGCCTGTAGTCCCAGGTACTTGGGAGGCTGAGGCAGGAGAATGGCATGAACCCGGGAGGCAGAGCTTGCAGTGAGCCAAGATTGCACCACTGCACTCCAGCCTGGGCGACAGAGCGAGACTCCATCTCAGAAAAAAAAAAAAAAAAGACTGAAGTGTTCTGTTATTCCTTGAACATTTGGCAGAACTCACCTGTACCATTTGATTTTATTTTTTGTGGGAAGATTTTAAACTAATGACTCAATTTCTTTTTTTTTTTTTTTTGAGACGGAGTCTCGCTCTGTCACCCAGGCTGGAGTGCAGTGGCATGATCTCGGCTCACTGCAGCCTCTGCCTCCCAAGTTCCAGCGATTCTCCTGCCTCAGCCTCCTGAGTAGTCGGGATTACAGGCATGTGCCATCACACCCGGCTAATTTTTGTATTTTTAGTAGAGACAAGGTTTCACCACATTGGCCATGCTGGTCTTGAACTCCTGACCTCAGGTGATCTGCCCATCTTGGCCTCCCAAAGTGCTGGGATTACAGATGTGAGCCACCGCGCCTGGCCCGACTCAATTTCTTTAATCATCCTAGCTAAGCCATTTTAGCTAATGGTTTGAAAGTTTTATTTCTATTCTTTTTAATTTTATTTCTATTCTTTTTTTTTCTTTTAGAGACAGGGTGTGGCTCTGTCGCCCAGGCTGGAGGGCAGTAACATGATCATAGCTCACTGTAACCTCAACTCCTGAGCTGAAGTGATCCTCCTTCCTCAGTCACCCGAGAAGCTAGGACTACAGTGATGTACCACTGGGCCCAGCTAATTTTTTAATTTTTTTGTGGAAACAGAGTCTTGGTATGTTGCCCAGGCTAGTCTTGAACTCTGGGCCTCAAGCGATTCTCCCACTTCAGTCTCCCAAAGCACCAAAGCACTAGGATTATAGGTGTGAGCCACCATGCTTGGGTCTATTTCTGTTCTTTTCAGTTTTTTTGTTTGTTTGTTTGTTTGTTTGTTTGTTTTTGTGATGGGGGCCTTGCTATTTTTCCCAGGCTGGTCTTGAACTCAGGGCTCTGGTGATCCTCCCACCTCAGCTTCCCAAGTAGCTAAGATTACAGGATTGTGCCACCATCCCTGGTTACTTGTTTTTTTTTTTTATTGGAGTATTACTGTCTATGCTTAGCAAAGTTTAAAGTTAATCAATACCTTTATCCTTGTCCTAAACAGTACAAGGATCTCTAGAACACTTTAGCTCTGATCACCCCATCTCCCAACTTACATGCTGTTGACCAGTATTTTAGTTCTGTCCCATTAAAAAAAGAATCTCTCTCTTTTTTTTTGGTATAAAAAAGTTTTATAACCAAGCTGTATGGACATTAGGGGGCTTAGGTCTTAGCAGCAGGCCACTGGATATGTCAAAACTGATTGCTTACTCTAACACCTCAGACCACTGGTAGCACTGGATGTCCTGGAAGCTCTTCTTAATGGGCTGTATTGGTCAAGAGTAGATCTCACTCATCTCGATGATGGTGGTGAGTTGAGATAACTTATATCGTGGTGATAGTCCCTCAGTTGTTTTGTTTCATACCAACTCTTGGTTTCATAGCTATAAGCTTTTTACAATAAAGGCAAATTTCCTCTTTCAGTTTCTTGTTGCTCCCTCTGGTCTGTTGAGAGCACTGTGATATAACTTAGGGGTATGACCAATCAGTCTTCCTGATTTTTCAGTCTGTCTTGACAGTTCTCTCAAAAGCCTCTCTTTTCCCGATCAGCTTCACCTCTTCTCTCGTGAAAGAGTACTTTTCCTAGATCAAAGTGATGTTTTTGCAATCCTTTTTTTATCTAATTGCAGGAAAGCTTCAAATCTAGTCTTGTCAGCTTCTTCAGTGCTCTCCAAATATCCCTCCATACTTCTTGACCACTTATATCAAATACGCATACCTTGTTTTATCATGCTTTGCTTTACTGCACTTTGCAGATACTGTGTTTTTTTTGTTTTGTTTTTACAAATTGAAGGTTTTTACCAACTGTACATCAAGCAAGTCTGTTGGTGCCAAATTTCCAACAGCATGTGCTCAAATTGTGTCTTTCTCACATTTTTGTAAATCTCATGATATTTCAAATGTTTTCATTATTACTGTATCTGTATGGCAATCTGTAAGCAGTGACCTGTGATGTTACTATTGCAATTGTTTTGGGGCACCATGAACCATGGCCAAATAAGATGGCAAATTTGATCTACCAATGTCATGGGCTTTGTTATTGTTTTAGAGACAGGGTCTCATTCTGTCACCGGGGTTGCTGAAGTGCAGAGGCATGATCATGGCTCACTGCAGCCTTGACCTCCTGGGCTCAATCGATCCTCCCACCTCAGCTTCCTGAGTAGCTGGGACTACAGGCATGCACCACCATGCCTGGCTCATTTAAAAGTTTTTTGTTGTTGTTGTAGAGATGGAGTCTCACTATAGTGCCCAGGCCGGTCTCAAACTCCTGGACTCAAGTGATCCTCCTGCCTTGGCCTCCCAAAGTGCTGGGATTATGGGCATGAGCCAACGTGCCCAACCTTATGTGTATTCTAAATGCTCCATGACAGGCCACTCCACCATCTCTCTCCCTCTCCTTGGGCCTCCCTATTCCTTGAGACACAACAATACTGAAAGTAGGCCAATTAATAACCCTGCAATGGCCTGTAAGTGTTCAAGTGAAAGGAGGAGTTGCACATCTCTTGCTTTAAGTCAGAAGCTAGAAATGATTAAACTTAGTGAGGAAGACATATAGAAAGCTGAGAAGGCCAAAAGTTAGGCCTGTTGCACTGCACAACTAACCAAATTGTCAATGCAAAGGAGAAGTTCTTAAGGAAATTAAGAGTGCTAATCCAGTGAACACATGAATAGTAAGAAGCAAAATAACCTTATCTGATATGGAGAAAGTTTTAGTGATCTGGAAAGAAGATCAAACGAGCCATAACATTCCCTTAAGCCAAAGCCTAATCCAGAGCAAGGCCCTAACTCTCTTCAATTCTGTGAGTGCCAACAGAGGTAAGGTAGCTATAGAAGAAAAGTTTGAAGCTAGTAGAGATTGGTTCATGAGGTTTAAGGAAAGAAGCCATCTCCATAACATAAAAGTCGAAGGTGCTTATGTAGAAGCTGCAGCAAATTAGCCAGAAGATCTGACTAAAATAATTGATGAGAGTGGCTACACTGAACAACAGAGTTTCAGTGTAGATGAAACAGCCTTCTGTTGGAAGAAGATGCCATCTAGAACTTTCATAGCTAGAGAGAAATCAATGCCTGGCTTCAAAGCTTCAAAGCACAGGCTAACTCTTTTATTAGGGTCTAATGTAGCTGGTGACTTTAAATTGAAACCAGTCCTCCGTTACCATTATGAAAAGCCTAGAGCCTTTAAGAATTATGCTGTGTCTACTCTGCCTGTGCTCTATAAGTGGAACAACAAAGCCTGGATGATAGCACATTTTTTTTTTTTTACAGCATGGTTTACTGATTTATTTATTTATTTTTTGAGACAAAGTCTCGCTTTGTCGCCCAGGCTGGAGTGCAGTGGTGCGATCTTGGCTCACTGCAACCTCCGCCTCCTGGGGTCAAGTGATTCTCCTGCCTCAGCCTCCTGAGTAGCTGGGATTAAAGGTGCATGCCATCATGCATGGTTAATTTGTGTATTTTTAGTAGAGATGGGGTTTCACTATGTTGGTCAGGCTGGTCTTGAACTCCTGACCTAGTGATCTGCCTGCCTTGGCCTCTCAAAGTGCTGGGATTACAGGCATGAGCCACCGTGCCCAGCTGGTTCACTAAATATTTTAAGTCCACTCTTTAGATCTACTGCTCAGAAAAAAAGAGTTCTTTCAAAATATTACTGCTCCTTGACAGTGCACCTGGTCACCCAAGAGCTCTGATGGAGTTGTACAAGGAGAATAATGTTGCTTTCATACCTACTTACACAACATCCATTCTGTAGCCTATGGATCAAGGAGTAATTTCAACTTTTAAGTCATTATTTAAGAAATACATTCCATATACAATGATTCCCATAATGGATCTGGGCAAAGTAAATTGAAAACCTTCTGGAAAGGATTCACCATTTTAGATGCCATTAAGAACATTCATAATTCATGGGAGGAGGTCCAAATATCAACAAAAATAAGGGTTTGGAAGACATTGATTCCAACTGTCATGGATGACTTTGAGGGGTTCAAGACATCAGTGGAGGAGATAATTGCAGATGTGGTGGAAACAGCAAGAGAACTAGAATCAGAAGTGGAGCCTGAATATGTGACTGAATTGCTCAAATCTCATGATAAAACTTGAACAGATGAGGAAATCCTTTTTTTTTGTTTGTTTTTTGTTTTTTTTTTTTTGAGACGGAGTCTCACTCTGTTGCCCAGCCTGGAGTACAGTGGTGCGATCTCGGCTCACTGCAAGCTCCGCCTACTGGGTTCACACCATTCTCCTGCCTCAGCTTCCCGAGTAGCTGGGACTACAGGCGCCTGCCACCATGCCCAGCTAATTTTTTGTATTTTTAGTAGAGACTGGGTTTTACCGTGTTAGCCAGGATGGTCTTGATCTCCAGACTTCGTGATCCGCCCACCTCGGCCTCCCAAAGTGCTGGGATTACAGGTGTGAGCCACTGTGCCCGGCTGGAAATCCTTCTTATGGATGAACAAAGAAAGTGATTTCTTGAGGTGAAATTGACTCTGGTGAAAGTGCTGTGAACATTGTTGAAATGTCAACAATATATTTAGAATATTGCATAAACCTAGTTGATATGGCAGTGACAGTGTTTGAGAGGATTGACTCCAATTTTGAGGGAAGTTCTACTGTGGGTAAAATGCTATCAAACAGTATTGCATGCTATAGAGAATTTTGTTTTTTAAGAGACAGGCTTTGGCTGTGTCCCCCAGGCTGGAATGCAGTGGTGCAGTCATGGTTCACTGCAGCTTCGACCACCTGGGCTGGGCTTAAGTGATCCTCCTGCCTCAGCCTCCTGAGTAGTTGGGACTGCAGGCATGCTCCTCCACACCTGGCTAATTTTTCTATTTTTTGTAGAGAGGGGATCTTACTCTATTGCCTGTGCTCATCCAGGGCAGCCTGTCCAAAGCTGCTAGGCTTTCCTGTTCTGCCAGGCCAAGTTTAGGGTTTTGGGGCCTTCGTGTGTGCTAGAGAAGATGCAGGAAAATAGGCTTGATCTGGGTCAGTTCGGTTTCAGGCTGGGTGAAACTGAACCGTGAATCTGCATAGAGTGTCAGAACCAGGGACAGCTCCTCCTGTCACCTTTGCTGCCTTTCCCCTGGCTTGGGCTAGGGAGCGAATGGGCAGATTTCGTGATGGTATACTTCTCTAGCTTCTTTTCTCAGTGCTTCTTCCTTCCATTTTTATGCAAGAATATTACTACTGATAGTTCCTGGTGTAATGTGCTATTTCTCACTTCATACTTTCTGTTAATGCTGCTTAGTACACCTTTCTCCCATCTTTCCTTTGCCTGGCTAATTCCTGCTCATCCTCACAGGCCTGTTTAAGTAGATATCTCTTCTATGTAACCTACCCTGATTATCCCAGACTAGATTAGACATACCTCCTCTTAGTTCCCATGTCGCCCATGTGCCTCTGTCATTACACTTAAAGTTTCATTGAAATTATCATCTATACTGTCCAGTACAGTGGCCACTAACCACATGTATTAAGCATTTGAAATGTGGCTAGTCTGAATTGAGATGTGTTATGTGTAAAATACACACTGAATTTCAGACTTACATAAAAATATAAAATATTAGTAATTTTTTTTTTTGAGAAGGAGTCTTGCTTTGTCACCCAGGCTGGAGTTCAGTGGCATGATCTCGGCTCACTGCAACCTCTGCCCCCTGAGTTCAAGTGATTCTTCTGCCTCAGCCTCCCCAGTAGCTGAGTAGCAGGCGAGCGCCACCACGCCCAGCTAATTTTTGTATTTTTAGTAGAGATGGGGTC
Source organism: Homo sapiens (assembly GCF_000001405.40). Lineage (NCBI taxonomy): Eukaryota > Metazoa > Chordata > Mammalia > Primates > Hominidae > Homo > Homo sapiens. The sequence goes on from NC_000001.11 coordinate 35,877,888, forward strand.
TCACCATATTGGCCAGGCTGGTCCTGAACTCCTGACCTCATGATCTGCCCACCTCGCCTTCCCAAAGTGCTGGGATTACAGGGGTGAGCCACTGCACCCGGCCCAATATTAGTAATTTTTATATTGCTATGTTGATTTGGGGGGTTAAATATATTACTAAAATTAATTTCACCTGTTTCCTTTTTATTTTTATTTATTTATTTATTTATTTTTTGAGATGGAGTCTTGCTCTGTCACCCAGGCTGGAGTGCAGTGGTGCAGTCTCGGCTTATTGCAATCTCTGCCTCCCGGATTCACGCCATTCTCCTGCCTCAGCCTCCCGAGCAGCTGGGACTTTAGGCACCCACCACCATGCCTGGCTAATTTTTTTTGTATTTTTAGTAGAGATGGGGTTTCAACTTGTTAGCCAGGACAGTCTCAATCTCCTGATCTCATGATCCTCCCGGCTCGGCCTCCCACAGTGCTGGGATTACAGGTGTGAGCCACCACGCCCGGCTCCTTTTTAATTTTTATAACATAGCTAAAAGAAATTCTAAAATTACATATTTAGCTCATATGATACTCCTGTTGGACAGCACTGATATATGTATTTGTTTCTTCTTAGCGGTATGGACTGGCTCAATTACATCCTTGTATCTTTGAATTTCTGGGGCACACTACATGGGGATGGGTAGGGATACCTGATGCTCATCCTCAGAACTTGGAGGCTGGAGTAGCAAATGTCCAATAGACATTATTACATTATTTTCCGTCCAGGAACTCGGCCTCTTTCTCTTCTTAACTCAGGTTATTTTGTATGTCTTCTTATTGGTTCTTATAGATTTTCTCATACAAATCACATACATCTCATGAAGTTTATTTCCAAGAATTTTGAATTGGATATTTTATCATAATTAGTTATTACTGGTACCAGCAGTGAATGCTACAGATTTTTGGTTATTTTTTTGAATCCTTTTACTTATTTAATCTGTTAATTATACTACATTGATTTCTTTTTTTCCTCAGTTGTTTTTTTTTTTAACATTAAAAGAGGAAAATGTAGATTGGGATGCAAACTTTTCTCAGGCCATTCTTATTATATTGGCTCCAGGAAATTCTTTGTATAGAGAAGATATCTAAGTAGAAGACTCTGGCCCACACAGCAGAGGCCCTTAGGTGTGAGTTAGCTATGGACTGAGATGCAAGGATGAAATGGAAACAGAAGGAGCCAATAGGTTTGGTGGAACATATATCAGGGATTACTGAAAGAAGTTTATCAGCATAAAAAAGTAAAATGCAGGGGCTGAGCACGGTGGCTTATGCCTGTAATCCCAGCACTTTGGGAGGCCGAGGCGGGTGGATCACCTGAGGTCAGAAGTTTGGACCAGCCTGACCAACATGGAGAAACCCTGTCTATATTAAAAATACAAAATTAGCCAGGTGTGGTGGTGCATGCCTGCAATCCCAGCTACTTGGGAGGCTGAGGCAGGAGAATCGCTTGAACCCGGGAGGTGGAAGTTACTGTGAGCCAAGATCGTGCCATTGCACTCCAGCCTGGGCAACCAGAGCAAAACTCCATCTCAAAAAAAAATAAAAAAAAGTAAAATGCAGCTGGGCGCAGTGGCTCACTCCTGTAATCCCAGCATTTTGGGAGGCCGAGGTGGGCGGATCACCTGAGGTCAGGAGTTTGAGACCAGCCTGGCCAACATGGCGCAAAAATTAGCTGGGTGTGGTGGCATGTGCCTGTCACCCCAGCTACTCGGGAGGCAGAGGCACGAGAATTGCTTGAAGTTGGGAGGCAGAGGCTGCAGTGACCCAAGATTGTGCCCCTGCACTCCAGCCTGGGCGACAGAGTGAGGTTCTGTCTCAAAAAAAAAAAAAAAAAAAAAAAAAAAAGCAAAATGCTATCTGGATTTCCATTTTACTCTGCCACTTTGCCTAGCTGAGAGTGAAGTCCCTGATTATAGGTGCACTGTACAGAAGGACTTTGAGAGGCTGGGGCCAGGCTTGACTTCACTAGCTGCTTTGGAGATGGGTCAGAATAGTGACTACTGCCTTTGCACAAAGTTAAGTATGAGGTTGAGTATTTAGAACAGGGGAGTCAGACTCTTCTTATGGAATGCTGAGGTTCCAGCTCAGTTACATCAGGGCAGAGGTCTTTCTGAGACCTTTGAGAGTTTTTTGAGAGTTTTTCTGAGTGCTTTTTGATGCCATCTTGTTGATTCAGGTAAACCCAAATTTACTGATCATTCTAGGCACAGCTTGTGCCAAGCACTAAAGGAGGACAGCAGTGTATCTGATATTGTCCCTGTTTTTAAGGAACTTAGATGGTAGTGTGGAGCCAGGTGTGGTAGCTCACCTTTGCCCTGGTGTAACTGAGCTGGGACCTTTGCCCTAGTGTAACTGAGCTGGGACCTCAGCATTCCATAAGAAGAGTCTTTGGGAGGCTGAGGCAGGGGGATTGCTTGAGCTCAGGAGTTCAAGACCAGCCTGGGCAATATAGCGAGACCCTCATCTCTACAATAAGTAAGTAAATAAATAAATAAAAAGTCAGGCATGGTGGCATGCACCTGTAGTCTCAGCAACTCGGGAGACTGAGGTGGGAGAATTACTTGCGCCTGAGAGGTGGAGACTGCAGAGTCCAGATTGTGCAGCTGCACTACAGCCTGGGTAACAGAGTAAGACCCTGTCTCAAAAAAAGAATATAGTGTGAGAGGCAAGTAATGATTATGATAGCAGCTGATATTTTGCTTGCATTCTTTTTAGGCACTGTTCTAAAGTGTTTTTGTTTCGTTTTGTTTTTTGTTTTTTGAGATGGAGTCTTGCTTTGTCACCCAGGCTGGAGTGCAGTGGCATGATCTCAGCTCACTGCAACCTCTGCCTCCCAGGTTCAAGCGATTCTTGTGCCTCAGCCTCCCGAGGAGCTGGGACTACAGGCGTGTGCCATTATGCTCAGCTAATTTTTGTATTTTTAGTGTAGATGGGGTTTCACCATGTTGGCCAGGCTGGTCTCGAACTCCTGACCTCAGGTGATCTGCCTGCCTTGGTCTCCCAAAGTGCTGAGATTACAGGCGTGAACCACTGTGCCCGGCCACTGAAGTGTTTTTATGTATTAACTCATTTAATCTTCACAACAACCGAATGAGGTAGGTACTATTACCACTGCCATTTTACAGAGGAGGAAATTGAGACACGGAGAAGTTAAATAATGTGCCTACTATTACATGTCTAGTAAATGCAGGGCCAATATTGAAACCGAGACAGTCTGGCTCCAGAGTCTTTGTTCTTCACCTCTACTTCGTATGTAAAGCAGTAATTCTCATAGTCCCCAGATCGGCAGCATCATCAGCCTTATCTGGAAACTTGTTAGAAATGCACATTTTTGGGTCCCACCCAACACCTACTGAATCGAAAACTCTAGAGGCAGGGCTTACCAATCCAAGTTTTGTTTTTTGGTTTTTGTTTTTTTTTGAGACGGAGTTTCACTCTTGTTGCCCAGGCTGAAGTACAATGGCGTGATCTCAGCTCACTGCAACCTCCCCCTCCCCGGTTCAAGCTATTCTCCTGCCTTAGCCTCCTGAGTAGCTGGGATTACAGGTGTCTGCCACAACACCTGGCTAATTTTTTGTATTTTTAGTAGAGACGAGACTTCACTATGTTGGCTAGGCTGGTCTTGAACTCCTGACCTCAGGTGATCCACCCGCCTTGGCCTCCCAAAGTGCTGGGATTACAGGCGTGAGCCACTGCGCCCAGCCACCAATCCAAGTTTTAACAAGCTTTCCAGGTGATTCTGATGGTTGCTGTTTGAGAACCTCTAGAAGCAAGGCATGGTATAAGTGTCAGAAATTAATCTCCTCATGAGTAAGGACCGGTTATGGTCCATCCCTTAAGTTCCCAGCCTCTGCATGGCATCTAGTGTAAAGCAGGCATCAAAAATTTGTGAGTTTATGGGAAAGTGATGTTTGAGCTGGGTCTCTTACCCCGCCTATCACTGCACCAGACCGAATAGGAGGGAGAATGGGAGTTCCCAGAAACTTTGAGACTAGCAAGGAAGTGGTTGTGATACGTCTAGCAAGATATGATAAGGGTCTGCACCAGCATAAGAAACCATCAGAATGGCAGTGAATCATGTGAGAGCAGTTCAGAAGGTAAACATGTCAAGACGTGGTGAACAGCTGAATAGATGGAAAGAACAAGGGATAGAGGAACTGTCATTTCTGACATGAAGGTGCTGTTCGCTGAGATAGGAAGCACAGGGCAAGTATGTTTGTGAGTGAAAGATAAAGTGTTTGGTTTGGACTTCTTAAATTTGAAGTGCTGGTAGGATATCCAGGTGGAGCTGTCCAGCAAACACTTGGAAATGTGAGTATGAGACATGGTTGGAAACAGAGATTTGGAAGGATAGTTGGGCCGTAAGAGTGGATGAGACCTTTAAGGGGAGAGTGGAATGAGAAGAGAGCTGGGTTTGGAACCACAGTGAACAGTTAATGAGGCAAAAGCAAAAGGGGCCCTTTAGAAAGACTGAAAAGGACTTAGGCAATAGGAGACTGCAGAAGATGCCGCAGCCAAGTAGAAGGCTCAGAAGGGAAGTAGAGGCACAGTGACAGATGCTGCAGAGAAATAATTGAAAAGTATCCTTTGGATGTCAACCCCAAAAGTCATTTAAGTGACGTGATGAGGGCAGAAGCTGATTGACAGTTCAGGCATGAACTGTAGATGAGAAAGTGGAGGCAGGTGCTTCCCAGGTCCGGCGGATAGAGCTCTGTAGCTGCACTTAAGTTCAAACTGTGACATCTTCCAGGGTAGGCCGCGTCTCTACTTATCTGTGGTCTCAGCGTCCAGCACATGGCGTGGAAGAGGGGGTGGCGTCAGTGAGTTCAGTGACTAGGGACGGAGAAAGACTTCGTGGAGGCAGTCGCTTTGCAGCCAAGGCTTGAAGGATGAGGGTGATTGGGAGGAGAGGTGGGAGGCAGGGCCCCTGGGCGCTGGAGTGCCAGGGGGTCTGGGAATGAAGTGGGGTTCCCATAATGTGTGCGCGCAGCTCGGTGCGACAGGCGGGGGCTGTGTGTAGGTTTGGAGGGACCTATTTGGGGAAAAGACACAGGGCTGAAGGCTGCTGTGGCGGGATGTCCCTTCGCCCTGCCCCACTTATACCACTGCGCGGTTCCAAGGCACCTCTACTGGCGCCCTCCCGCCGGGCTGCATGGCGACGGGTGACCGCCAGGGGCCGCTGCCTTGGGTCCCCGGTGCCCCCGCCCCTCTCCATTGGCCTTTGTTGCCGTCGGAGCGCCCCGCTTGACTCGTTCCGGTCCGCCCCCTGGGCCCGGCGGTCGCGCCTGCGCACTGGCAGCTGGCCGGGCGCTCGCAGTGGGAGCTGCTGCAGGCTCCGCGGCGGCGGCAACGGAGGCTGCGGGGGCGGCGGCGCGAGCGGCCGGGCTTGGTAGGGGAGCCGAGCCCGGCCCGGGATCCCGAGCAGCGAGAGTGTGGGGTACCTAGGCCCCTCACGCTGGACTTCACAGTCTCCGGGCCGCCTGACCTCCGCACGGGTATATGGGATGGAAGCGGGACCCTCGGGAGCAGGTAAGGGTCCCCAGGAGGGGGAACGGTGCATGCTCCAAGGACTGGGGGATCCCGCATGAAAAGCGTGGTTTCCAAGTGATGGAAGCGCTCCTGAGTGAGGAGAAGGGCTCTCCCACGATGGGGGCCCAGTTTGAAGGAGGCTGTGTGCAGTTCCGGGGGAGAACCATGTGAAGAGAGCCCTGAGATGGGGGCTGTTTGTCCAAGGAGGCTGTATACAGTCCTGCGGGTTGGAAGTAATCTGGGAGAAGGGCCTGCACGCACGGAAGGACTCCCAGACATCCGTGGAGGCCTACGGAGAGGCCCGGCAGGTGGCAGGGGACGGGCTCCAGGTGTCCAGGAGAGGAGGGGGCGACACAGATGGGCCTGGAGCTACCGCATGCCGGGGGCGGGGGCTCCGCTGGGCTGGAATAGGCTAATGTCTCTTGGGAGAAGGCGCCAGAGCTGGACTGTGAGCTCCGCCCCACTGGGCCTGACGCGAGGGCGAGGGTCAGGGGGCGGTGGGTGGGGACCCAGTCCCGGGATTACCCCCCGTGGGTCTGGGGAGTCGGAGCGGAGGCTCCAGAGCATGCGCGGAGGTGGCAGCTGGAAGGGGCTGCCCGACGTGGTGGGGGCGTGGCTGTCCGAATACCCCCACCTCTCCACACCCCCCCGCCCCGCCCCGTTTGGCTTGGAAAAAGGAGCGCGCTGATGGGGTGCATTCTCTCTTAGGTTATGCTGGCAGTGTGCAAATGGTTATGGTCCCCTCCCCCATTTTAGGGGCTCTTACACTTGGCCCTCAGTCACAGTTTGCTAAGAATGGGTTGAGGGAAGCTGCCAAAGTGCATTTTTCTGCCACAGGAAAGACTGGGACCGAAGCGATGGGTTCTGGGGGTGGGTCCTCCTGAAGATAGGCCTTAGGAAAGGTATTGGTTACGGAGGAATCAAGGACAGGGCAGGGGCTACCTGGAAGGAGTTGTCTGCTTGGTTTGCAAGTTTCTGCTCCAATACTGAGTAGTGATGGGGGCTTTTAATCCAAAGATTTTCCATTGAATTGTCTGTTAAGGTTACACTCTACATTTATAACATTTATTCTAATATTTCTTAATATTTTCATGGCTCCTATCTTCCACTGGATATCTTTCCGTTTTCCTCTCCCCACTCCCCAGAAACTGTCAGGGCTGTCTTTAGAGCCAAGATCTAAACCCTACAAACACGTTGGAGGATGGGGGAGTTTATAGCCTTCATCCTGGTGAGGCCTAGGTGATAGCCTTAACTTCTTATTTGCAGGCAATGAGGAGGAAAAGACATAGGAACAGAGGATAAACTGAGGCAGGATTGCCTCAAGAAAACTGGAGTCCTTAGGATGGGCTGTGGGGTGGTGATACCTCTTGTGTCTTAAGTGTCTTACCCTGTGATGGGACGAGGAGCCTGGACCTGGGAATCCTTCAGGTCATCTCTCACCACTTCCTTACATTTGGTCTGGGGATGGGAATCAAATTTCCATTTAGGCCATGAACTTCATTACTTTCCTAGTGGAATTATTTTGTTTTTTTTGTAGCAGACCTAACTCCCTCCCACCCTCCCAAGGAAATAGCTCCTACGACCTCACTCAAGTTATCCATTTAGTGATCTCTAAGTACTTAGTGACTGTTTTCCCTCTTAACAACCAGCCTTGTATAGACTGTGTAGTCGTAAGGATAAGCACAGGGAGCAACTGACTTGAGTACTTCCTCTCTGTCAGGACCCTCTCTCCATCCCAGGAACTTCTGTTTTTCAAGGCTGGGGACTATTTCCAACAACCCATGAACTAGAGTAGTGGGGTAGGTCATTGAGGTCCACATGGATTGCTGGTTGCTGGTACCCATTCTAGACTAATGATTTTTATCCTGATGAATTCCTAATAGGCTCTGGAGTGATGAAAAATTGACTTTTTAAAAATTTGTTACAAAAAATAAGCTTATAGGAAAGGAGCTAGAACCTGCTGTTTGGAGTCAGCCAAAGCCTTGGGAAAAGCCGAATAGGACAGGCTTTGCCTCAGTAAAGGGTATAATTGAGATTCAGTCTGGAAGCTGCAAATTGAGGGACCCCATAACTGCCTCCTTCCTAGGCCCGGACTGTTCTCTTATAAGAAGTTAGAGTGGTGTCCCAAGGTGGCCTGAGGACATAATACACAAAACTAAAGCGTTGTGTAAAAAACAACAACAAAAAACCCCCCAAAAACTAAAGCATTGTTGCTAGCCTCACTGGGCTTATGCCCAGGTCTGCCTTCTGTGCTCAGGTGTGTTCCAAGCACATACAGTGGACTGGGTGCTCCCTGAGGGTAGAAGCAGTGTCTGGTTTATTTGTAGAACTAGCAAGTGCCTAGTGTATAGGCCCTGGCACAGAATACATGTTTATTAATTAAATCAAATCACATTCAAGTGTGAACATAAATGGTTAAGCACGTATGTGGATATTTAATAAAGTGTATACTCACATGGAACAGATCCTTTTTGGAGAGATTGGCTTGTTAGTCTTTGCTTGCCCACCAGCTAACCTAACCTAACCTAACCTTGAATTTGTGTCTTTTGAATAGGCAGTCTGGCTCCTTGGGAGGTGTGTGGGCCTCAGAACTGCAAGAAAGGAATCCTGAGCCAGGGTTTTCAGCTCTGTTACTTTTCCTTCTCTGGGCTCCTTGGGGATGGGGGAGGGGGAGTGTCCTTTTCAGGGCCCCTCCCTCCTTGCTTTTGTCTGAAGAGAAGGGTCCCGCCCCTTTCCCCCTAGGCCCAAGCTTTGTCCTCTGTGCTGGGGCCCTCATCTGCATCACAAAGTGGCCGTCTGTCCCTGTCTGGGTCTGTAGGGAAGTGTCTCCCTTTCTCAGACTAAAAGCTGGGGTAAGGGGGGCGGGGAGGAGACAGTGCTGTTGTTAGGCTTTCAGGGGGATGTAATGGGAGAGAGGTTCCTGCTTCCTGCTGTCTTTCCTAGTTTGGAGATGAAGTGGGGGTGTGGGCTCCCCTGTTTTCCCAAAGCCTCTTTGGAGAGGAAGGTGCTCTAAGGCTATGTGTGGTATGTAGTCGGGTTTCTGGGGAAGAGAAGGCTTTGAGGCTAGAGTGTCTGTCCCATCCCCCATCATTTCTAACTAGCCCCCCAGCTCTAGGAGTTATCTTTCTCCGAAGGCCCCAAATGATTATTCAGTCTGGGAGGGGAAGAAGGTGAATGAAATATAAGAACTTGGGGAGGGAAAGGATGTCTCTTACTGGCTACACCCACAAACGTGCATATTTGTCTTGTGTAGTGTTTATAATTGTTTCTGGGCAATTGCAGGTGTTCGTGTGTCTGTGTGCTGTGTGTGCTTGTGTGTTTTTGTGGTGTGTCTATGGATATGTTTGTTCATTCATTTCATATCAGTATGTTGAATACTTCCTGTGTGTGTGTCAGACACTGGAAATTAAACAGTGACCAAGGCAGATATAGTCCCTGCCTTTGAAGAACTCAGTCTAGGGCAGTGAAGGATATGTGTGTAAGTGTAAATTGCCAAGGTCTAAGTGTGTGTTTGGATGTGTGTGATGGGGATGTGTGTCTGTCTGTCCGTGAGCTTGTGTGCAATTTCTGTCCAGCACTTTCTGAGGTAGGCAGCCAGGTGCTAGTAGATAGGTTTTCCCTTCCCCATGTAGCTGAGTTCTGAAGACCTTTTCCATCCAGGCTGGGCCTTCATTTCCCTGTCTGCAGAGTGGGACTGGGCTTGGACAGGTGGTTAGAGGGAAACAGAGCAGCTTAGCTCTGGGAAGCTGCCCCTCCCATGAATGGTTCTGACCTCTTCCTGACCCCCAGCTGAGGGTATGCCCCATCCCCCCAGCTTGTCTGACTGTGAAAGCAGAAGTCTGATAATGGGAGGTTCTGGGCTGGTTTATCCCTCTCTTCTCCCACCTGGGCTAGTTCTCTACTGCCAAGAACAATAGCAGCATATTATTCCCTTTTTTTCTCTCTTCCCCCCAAGCTAGAAAATAAGACTGGAGACAGCAGCCAGACTGGCAAAAGAGGGTAAAGTAGCTGGATCTGGCCTTACCCTATCCCTTTCCCAAGGGCCTCCTCTGTCTTGAAATTGATCTCTTCTGCTGCTGTCTGGACCTTCTGTGTGGAAGGATCTGTGGGGCATGGAGAGAATCTTGTGTTCTTCCCAGAGCCAGTGTCTCTTCTCCAGCATTCTAATTGCCACCTCTTCTTCCCAAACCCGTTAGTTCTTTCTTTATTCAAGCTTTTTTTTTTATCATTGTCTCCCCAGTTGCTGCTTTGTTTCTTCCTGCCTGAGCTTCCAACCCTAACCTCTTTTGCCCCACCCCTTGACTCCAGCCTTCTCTTTCTCCTGGCCTTTTTCTTTTGTGACCTCCAGCTCTGTCCTCTTCTCCAACCCCCTTTCTCTTTTCCTTAGTCTCCAAACTCTGTCCTTTGAGCCTTTTCTCCTTTTCCCTGTCTCCAACTCTCGCCATTCAGTTGCCTTAATTCTGCCTCAAACACTGACCCTGCCCTCTCCAGCCTGGCCTTGTCTGGATCTTATTCCTGCCCACCTATAAAGGAACATCAAGGTTATGCCATTTTGTATTCAGCATGGTGGCGAATGGAGTGAGCATCTGGCTGGCAGAGAATAGAAATTCTTGGTCTGCTAGATACCTGGTGGAGGCAAGTGTCTTACTCTACTAGAAGAAAGAAAGGGTTTTGTTACTAGGAGCCAGATTTAGTCTCTCTGCTTAACATGCAATAGGAACTTATTATATATTAACTTAATGAATTAAAAATAGACAATAAGGATAATTTTCCTAACTGGAGAGAGATTAAAAAAGAAAAAAGAGAAAAAACACAGATGAGCTTGAGATGTCCCCTGGAAGCCCTTGGCTGGGTTGGGTAGCAGGAAAGAGGCATTCTCTATACTCTCGTGTTCCTGTTCTGGGAGGCCTTGTTCCTCCTCTGATAAGAGTAGTTAGGAGATTGCCAGACTTTACCCTCACCAGCCTCTTTGTCTTGTAGCTGCGGGCGCTTACCTGCCCCCCCTGCAGCAGGTGTTCCAGGCACCTCGCCGGCCTGGCATTGGCACTGTGGGGAAACCAATCAAGCTCCTGGCCAATTACTTTGAGGTGGACATCCCTAAGATCGACGTGTACCACTACGAGGTGGACATCAAGCCGGATAAGTGTCCCCGTAGAGTCAACCGGTAAGTGATGCACACCTAAGCCACCAAATCTGAAAGACACCAACCTTGAAAGAGGGGCCAGAAAGGTAAAAGAAAAACCAGTAGAGGGTAGTATCACCAAATCTAAGGAAGTTTTTGAACGGGAGATGCCACGTCGGGTAAATGCTGAAAAATAGTCCAATTGGACTTCGCTATTGGAAGATTATTAGTGGCTTTTGCCAGAGCAATTTCAGCAGAAAGTAGTTGAGCTAGTTAATCTAACTACATTGAGTTAAGAAATAAGTACAGTACCTACTACATTTCAATATTAGTTGAATGAATAAAGAGTTTTAAAGAATGAGATATGGGTATGTTTACAGATTAAGGAGAAGGAGCTAGTAAAGAGGGAGAGGTTAAAGGTATGGGACAGAGGGGAGAAATGAATGGGATGTCCTTGATGAGGCAGAAGGACAGAGGGGAGAAATGAATGGGATGTCCTTGATGAGGCAGAAGGACAGAGGGGAGAAATGAATGGGATGTCCTTGATGAGGCAGAAGGACGTTGTAGGATGCACAGTTGGAGGGATTAGCCTTATTTAGAGGAAGTGATATTTCCTTTTTTTTTTTTTTTTTTTTGAGAGGGAGTTTTTCTCTTGTTTTGTTTTTGAGAGGGAGTTTTGCTCTTGCCCAGGCTGGAGTGCAATGGCGCGATCTCAACTCACTGCAACCTCTGTCTCCCAGCTTTAAGCTATTCTCCTGGCTCAGCCTCCTAACTGGGATTACAGGCATCTGCCACCATGCCTGGCTAATTTTTTTGTATTTTTAGTAGAGACGGAGTTTCACCATGTTGGCCAGGCTGGTCTCTAACTCCTGACCCCAGGTGACCTGCCCACTTTGGCCTCGCAAAGTGCTGGGATTACAGGCGTGAGCCACCGTGCCCGGCCTCTGTGATATTTCTTTAATTAATTTTATTATTTGAAAACTATATGTATAATATTAAAAAATTCAAATATTACAAAAAGAATAATAGTGAAAAATGTCTCCTTACTATCCTGGTCTCTAGTCCCCCAGTACCATTAATTGTTACCTTTTTTTCTTTTTGAGAAAGAAAAATTAGATTTTTCTTTCTCCCTCTGTCGCCCAAGCTGGAGTGCAGTGGCGCCATCTCAGATCACTGCACCCTCTGCCTCCTAGGTTCAGGCAATTCTCGTGCCTCTGCCTCCCGAGTAGCTGGGATGACAGGCAAACGATTCTCCTGCCTCAGCCTCCTGAGTAGCTGGGACTATAGGTGCTCCCCACCATACCCAGATAATTTTTTGGTATTTTTAGTAGAGACAGGGTTTCACCATGTTGACCAGGCTGGTCTCAAACTCCTAACCTCAGATGATCTGCCTACCTAGGCCTCCCAAAGTACTGGGATTACAGGCGTGAGCCACCGTGCCTGACCAATTGTTACCATTCTCTTCTTTTTTTGAGACGGAGTTTCACTCTGTCATCCAGGCTAGAGTGCAGTGGCGTGATCTCGGCTCACTGCAACCTCTGCCTCCCGGGTTCAAGCGATTCTTCTGCCTCAGCCTCCCTAGTAGCTGGGATTACAGGCACCCACCACCACGCCTGGCTAATTTTTGTATTTTTAGTAGAGACAGGGTTTCACTATGTTGGCCAGGCTGGTCTCAAACTCCTGACCTCAAGCAGTCTGCCCGCCTCAGCCTTCCAAAGTGCTGGGATTACAGGCATGACCCATCATGCCCGGCCAATTGTTACCATTCTTGAATATGCTTCCAGATACTTTTCTACATATATACAGGCATATATGCACATATAACATTTTTAAACACCCAAAACATAGGGTTCTTTATACATTGTTCTATACTTTGCATTTTTCCACTTAACAATATATTTTTGAAGATATTACATACCGGCACATATGGATCTGCCTCATTCTTTTGCATAGGTTGAGTGGCTGTAATATAACTTATGTAATAAATCTATTGAGGAACATTTGAGTCTAAATTCTGCTACTAAAATGAAACTGTTGAATATTATTATATATAGATTCATTTTTGCACTCATATGAGTATATTTGTAGGATAAATTGCTAGGAGTGGGACTGTTGGCCTAATACATTTCAGAGTTTTCAGATATTGCAACTTGTTTTTAAAGGTAAGTTGTATCAACTTATACTCCCATCAATAAGGCATCAGAGTGTGTCTTCCTATACCTGCACCAATCTAATATTTCAGATTTTTTTGATCTTTGGCATTCTGATCTTGGTCTAATTTTAAATTATATTTTTCTAATAAGTGAAGTTGAATATATTTTCGTATGTTTAAAAATAATGTATGGAAGGGGCATTTTGAGTATAAGAAGAAAGGAGAAAAATTGATGCACACACATATAAATATGTTTGTGTATATGTCTGGAAACTCGAGGGTGGCCTTGCGTACTATCCTCTGCCTTTTTCAATATTAGAGCTGCTTCCTGGTAGGAGACAAGTACGGGGTCTGGAGTTAGAGGCTAGTGGAGAAAGTTCTACATAGTCTACATAGTGTAGGAGGGATAGAAGTAATCAGGGACATGAAAAAGATTGCTAGGCAGCACTGAAGCCTAATTGGGATTGAAACCATATGATCACAGTGCTTCTAATGTACCATTTTGAGTTATCCAGTAGTAGTCAAGAACTTTGATCTAGAAAGTGTGAAGGTCAGTTGGTCAGATAAACTGGAATTTTGAAGGAATAATGGACACCCTGGGGTCTAAGTTTCAGAGGTCAGGAAGTAAGAGATGGTAATGGAGAAAAAATAGGGTGGTGAGACTAAGTGCTTCAGAGAGATGGAAGAGATGAGATTTTTCTTCCACAGTTTATTCTTATTCCAGTTCACATCTCTTCTACCTTTTTTGCTTATCAGATCTGGGATTAGAGATCTGGGATTAGATTGGAGCAGCCTAGATTCTGTTCCTGATTTTTTTGTTTTGTTTTGTTTTAATTTATTTTTTATTTTTTATTTTTTTTTTGAGACGGAGTCTCACTTTATCGTCCAGGCTGGAGTGCAGTGGCATGATCTCGGCTCACTGCAACCTCTGCCTCTCAGGCTCAAGTGATCCTCCCGCTTCAGCCTCCTGAGTAGCTGGGACTGTAGGCACACACCACCTTGCCTGACTAATTTTTGTATTTTTTGTAGAGATGGAGTTTCTCCATGTTGCCCAGGCTGGTCTCAACCTTGGGAGCTCAAGCAAATTGCCCGCCTTGGCCTCCCAAAGTGCTGGGATTATAGGCATGATCCACTGCACCTGGCCATCCTTTTTTTTTGTTTTTTGTTTTTTTTTTGAGACAGGGTCTCGCTGTGTCCCCCAGGCCGGAGTGCAGTGGTGTGATTATAGCTCACTGTAACCCCAAACTCCCAGCCTCAGGTGATCCTCCTGCCTCAGCCTCCCAAACAACTGGGATTATAGGCACATGCCACCATACCCAGCTAATTACAAACATTTTATTTTTTTGTAGAAGATACGGTCTCACTCTGTTGCCTAGTCTAGCCTTGAGCTCCTAGGCCCAAGTGATCCTCCTGCCTTGGCTGCCCAAGTACTGGGATTACAGGTGTGAGCCACCATACTTAGCCCTATTCCTGATTGTTGATAGACCCTGGAGTCAAGCTTTTCTCCCTTTAGCCTCCCCCTCTTCTCAGAAGGCACTCACACCACTCTTTCAGGTCCATTACAGCCTTGGTGATCTGAGGACCAGCAGTGTCACTTAGGAGCATGCTAGAAATGCAGAATTTCAGGCTTCGCTCTAGACCTGCTGAATCAGAAGCTACATTTTAATAAAATCTCCAGGTGATTCATAGGAATATTAAAGTTTGAGAAGCACTGTCATAGAGTAGATGTTAGGAGTGAGTATAATAGATGGGACATTGCCTGGACTTTGAATTACTTCCAAAACTTGAAGTGGTGGTAGTCTCTCAGCTTCCACAGGCCACTCCTATCCCCCACAGGGAAGTGGTGGAATACATGGTCCAGCATTTCAAGCCTCAGATCTTTGGTGATCGCAAGCCTGTGTATGATGGAAAGAAGAACATTTACACTGTCACAGCACTGCCCATTGGCAACGAACGGGTAAGGTTGGGAGTCAGGCTAGGCCTGTGTCAGGGGTCTGGGGTAGAACCAAGCTCATGTAAGCCTCTTTGGAGATCCAGAGATCCTTTTCATCTTTTGTGCTGAGAAAGTATGTTTTAGGGTGAGGGGTGGGTAGGTGCTGATGTTTATTTAGTCTATCATGTGCCTGTCCGTGTCCTAAACAGATTGAGATTAGACTTAAAATAGACCTAAGGGCTTCCTGCTAGGCTGAGAGGTAGTTGAGAGGAACAGAAGCACTGAGCCAAGGTGGCTAGAACCTAAGGGGCTAGACTTACTCTGGATTTTCATTATGAGCCCCTATCAACTTGAAAAACATGTTCTCAGCAAATCCATGGAGTTGGGGGTCATTCTCGCAGAGCAATGGCAATCCTTCATCCCTTTCTTTCACCCTCCTGAAGGTCGACTTTGAGGTGACAATCCCTGGGGAAGGGAAGGATCGAATCTTTAAGGTCTCCATCAAGTGGCTAGCCATTGTGAGCTGGCGAATGCTGCATGAGGCCCTGGTCAGCGGCCAGATCCCTGTTCCCTTGGAGTCTGTGCAAGCCCTGGATGTGGCCATGAGGCACCTGGCATCCATGAGGTATTGGGTGTAGTTAGTATCTGGGCTACTAGTGTTGGCAGAACTGCTGTCAGGGGAGGAGGGGGAGCACATATTAAGGTCCCACAGAGTGCCATTAAAAAAAAAAATTATTTGAAGCCCTACCACTTGCCAGGCAAATGTGTATTTATATTTAGATGGTTTAAAGCCCTGGCCCTGAACTTCTTAGATATCTTTGGGCCTCATCCCATCTGTCCCTGCAGGGCAGAGAGAAGGTAGAAACTTGTACAAGGTCAGTCATACAACTAGTAAAGCATCAGAGCTGGCATTAAAGCCCCGGTGTCCTGCCTTTCAGGCCAGGGCTCCTCCGTGCCCAGGATGCCTCACAGGGTGGGGGCCTGTGCCCGAGGGACCAGTTCTCTGCCTGTCCCTGCCAGGTACACCCCTGTGGGCCGCTCCTTCTTCTCACCGCCTGAGGGCTACTACCACCCGCTGGGGGGTGGGCGCGAGGTCTGGTTCGGCTTTCACCAGTCTGTGCGCCCTGCCATGTGGAAGATGATGCTCAACATTGATGGTGAGTGGGGAGAGCTATGGAGCCAGGGGCACCCCAAGTCCAGTGACCACACTCCCAGCCTCATCCCTCCCAGCTCTGCAACCACACTCCTAGTCTAATTCCTACAGCCCTGGCACCCCCTTCCCCCATCCCAATGCCCTTTAAGGAAGAGGGTATAAATTGCTGTGCCTCCATGTATTGTGGAAGACAGAACCTGAGCTGAGCTATCTTTACCCTGTCCCCACAGTCTCAGCCACTGCCTTTTATAAGGCACAGCCAGTGATTGAGTTCATGTGTGAGGTGCTGGACATCAGGAACATAGATGAGCAGCCCAAGCCCCTCACGGACTCTCAGCGCGTTCGCTTCACCAAGGAGATCAAGGGTGAGGACCCAACAGGAGGGGAAGGGAAACAGCGCCACTTTAGCCCTAAGAGGAAATCCCCTTGGGGTATGCTCAGGGGAGAGACCAAGCCTGGGCACATGAGCAACCTATTTTAGCCCTGACAAGCAGTGTGTGTATCTCAGGCCTGAAGGTGGAAGTCACCCACTGTGGACAGATGAAGAGGAAGTACCGCGTGTGTAATGTTACCCGTCGCCCTGCTAGCCATCAGACGTAAGTTGGCAGGGGTGCTGAGTCATACTTTGTTGGTGGAGAAGGGCTGAGATTTAAAACTATCTTTCCCTCCCTCCCTCCCCCACTGGCCTTGAGAATGAGCCTTGGGGACTGGCCCTGTTTTTGAAGATAAGCTGTGGGAATTTGGCATCCTTTCTCAACCTTCTCTGATCTGTTGATACTCTCCCTACCATTTTTACCTTCTTGATCTCCTCGCCTCTTTGGTTCCTTACTTGAGAACAAGTGTGTTCTCTGATTCCTGTTAGGGTTAGGCAAATGTTAGAATCTCTCTCAAATTATTCTTTCTCTTGAAAAAAGAAAGCGAGGCTCCTGGGCTCCTTGGGGAAGCTGTCATTGATTCCATTCCCATTCTTGACCTTAGGCTATACTGATTATTATGAGTGTCTACTCTGTGTCAGGCTTTATGCTCAACATTGGAAATAAATGAGTCAGATAGTGTCCTGACTTCTGACTTTTGTGGAACTTGCCTTTCAAACCTTTGGCTTCTCTCTTGGAGCCCTGTATGTCCTGTTTTCCCATGAGTGGCAATGCTCAAAGAAGTTGGATAGGATGAAGCAAAGTCTGGGACTTCCTTCCTGCACATCATATTGGGGCCAAATGAAAAAGGAAAAAATCTGAGGCTTCCATGGTTGTGGGTCTAGAGAAGTGGGACTGAATGCTGGGTTATGACACCCCCTTCCTTCCCTTCTTCTGAACAGATTCCCCTTACAGCTGGAGAGTGGACAGACTGTGGAGTGCACAGTGGCACAGTATTTCAAGCAGAAATATAACCTTCAGCTCAAGTATCCCCATCTGCCCTGCCTACAAGTTGGCCAGGAACAAAAGCATACCTACCTTCCCCTAGAGGTGAGATTGCCAAGTAATGGCTGGGGAATAGGCATTGTATATACCTGCATGCTGATCATCAGATGTCTGTTCTTTCATTTTGAAGTTTGGAAAACTGACATTCTGAGAAGGTATGAGGTAGTTCTCCTGTGAAATAGAGGCCTCATTCTTACCTGCTAAGTTGTTTCCTTATCCCCCATCCTACTCTCATGTTCTTTCAGGGCTGCCAGGCAGAGACAAGCTGAATTTACTGTTTAATAAGTAATTAGTTCGTAGAGGACAGAGATTTTAGATACCCACACTCATGTTCTCTTAATTTCTCTTCCCCTGTTGTTTAGAGCTGGGATCCTAAGTGACCTGAAGATATAAGTCTACCTTATTCTTCACAAACTGGTGATAAATACTACCTATAATGTAAATCATGTTTCTCCAAGGATTAATGTGTTCCTTTTGAAAAAGTTTTAGCCCCAAGATTGTCATACTTTTATAAGTCAGTAGACCTTTGGAATTCTGCAACTAGAGGAGGAATAGTAACTAACACTAAGTTATAGAATACAAATACAGAATCACTGGGCTATATTTTGTTTGGTATATACTAGCCAAAATATTGAATGAGAAACTACTGCCTACTGCTTCATTGTCTCGTCCAATGCTACTCAAAAAGTGTGGTCATGTGTACCAATAGGATAGGCATTACCTGAGAGCTTGCTTAAAATGCAGATTTCAGATTCCACCCATACCGACTGAATCAGAATCTTTTTTTTTTTTGAGATGGAGTTTCGTTCTTGTTGCCCAGGCTGGAGTGCAATGGCATGATGTTGGCTCACTGCAACCTCTGCCTCCCGGGTTCAAGTGATTCTCCTGCCTCAGCCTCCTGAGTAGTTGGAATTACAGGCATGCGCCACCACACCCAGCTAATTTTGTATTTTTAGTAGAGACGGGGTTTCTCCATGTTGGTCAGGCTGGTCTCGAACTCCTGACCTCAGGTGATCTGCCCACCTTGGCCTCCCAAAGTGCTGGGATTACAGGTGTGAGCCACCGTGCCCAGCCAGAATCTGTC
Organism: Homo sapiens; assembly: GCF_000001405.40. Lineage (NCBI taxonomy): Eukaryota > Metazoa > Chordata > Mammalia > Primates > Hominidae > Homo > Homo sapiens. The sequence goes on from NC_000001.11 coordinate 35,896,309, forward strand.
CTTTAACAAGATCCAAAGGGAATGTACATTAACGTTGGAGAAGCACTGTACTAGACTACCCTCTTTTTCTTTTTTGTTTTTTTGAGACAGAGTCTCGCTGGAGTGCAGTGGCACCATCTCGGCTCACTGTAACCTCCTCAGCCTCCCAGGTTCAAGCAATTCTCATGCCTCAGCCTCCAGTAGCTAGGATTACAGGTGTGCGCCACCGTGCCCAGATAAGTTTTTTTTGTATTTTTAGTAGAGATGGGGTTTTGCCATGTTGGCCACACTGATCTCCTGGCCTCAAGTGATCTGCCTGCCTCGGCCTCCCAAAGTGCTGGATTACGGGCATGAGCTGCCACGCCTGGCCTACCCTCTTACTTTTATCCAACAGCAGAAGTCAGATAGCCCAGACCAAAGCTCTAGTCTTCTGGTGAGCTTCTAGGATTTCAGAACTAACCTGAGGGAGTTAGGCTGAAGGGAGAAGAGATCCCCAAAACCAAGAACTCTGACTTGGTTAATAGCTACTGATGCACATGAAGGCAACATGTTCTCTGAGGTATAAACAGAGGTCTTTAGGGACAATCTTAGCTAAGTAGATAGTAGGTGATATTTACTGTAAGCAGAGATTTGTTAGCAAATTAACATTATTTCTATTTAAACAGCAGTTTCCAAGGGGTATAATTTATGTTATGACTTAGACCTTGATTTCTGTTGTTGCTTATTTAACATATATTTATCGAGCTCCTACTATGTGTCATATACTCTCAGGTGCTAGGAACATGGAGATTAACAAGACAGACAAGGTCCCAGCTGTTATGGAGCTTACATTCTAGAAGGGGGAGATAGACAATAAGTTGATAAACACGTAAAGTAGTTTCAGATGGTGATAAGTGCTATAAGAATAATAAAATAGGTTAAGGGGATAGAAGTAAGGGAGGAAGAGGGTAGAGAGCTATTTTAGTTGTTAGGGAGGTCCTCTTTTAGGAGACATTTGAGCTAAGTCCCAAATTATGACATAGAATCAACCTTGTAACAACCTGAGAGAAGAGCCTTCCAGGCAGGAGGAAGTACAAAGGTTCTAAAGCAGAAGAGAATTTGGATCTTTTTGAGGGATAGACAGAAGGCTATGGTGGCTAGAATGTATTGTGTGAGGGGAAAAGCAGTAGGATATGATTCTGCAGAGGGTCAAATAATATAGCCTGTTGAAACCACGTGGCATTTTATTACTGTTTTTTGGAAAAGCTTTATCCAGGTTGGCTGTGTGGCTCATACCTGTAATCCCAGCACTTTGGGAGGTCAAGGCAGGAGGATTGCTTGACTGCAGGTGTGGTGTGGTCCCAGCTACTTGGGAGGCTGAGGTGGAAGCATTGCTTGAACCCAGTGAGCTGTGATTGTGCCGCTGGATTCTAGCCTGGGCAACAGAGGGAGACCCTGTCTCAAAAAAAAATAAAAAAACAGCTTTATCGAGATATAATTCACATACCATAAAATTCACCATTTTAAAATGATTAGGTAGTTTTAGTATATTCACAGAATTGTACAACAGCCATCACCACTATCTGATTCCAGAACATATCACTCCTGAAAGAAAGCCTGTATTCATTAGCAGTTATGCACCATTCGTTCTCTCCCCAACAGCCTGTAGTAACCACTAATTTACTTTCAGTCTCTGGGTATACCTATTTTGGACATATCATATATGTGAAATAATACAATATGTGGCCTTTTTTGACTGGCTTCTGTCATTTAGCATAATGTTTTCAAGGTTTATCCTCGTTCCATCAGATGGATATGTCATATTTTGTTAATTCATTTATCAGTTAATGGACATTTGGATTGTTTCTACTTTTTGGGTATCATGAATAATGCTGCTGTGAACATTGATGTACACATTTTTGTGTGAACATAAGTTTTTATTTCTCTGGAGTATACACCTAAGAGTGATATAATATATAACAATGTTTAACATCTTTTTTTTTTTTTTGAGACGGAGTATCGCTCTGTTACCCAGGCTGGAGTGCAGTGGCACGATCTCGGCTCACTGCAAGCTCCGCCTCCTGGGTTCACGCCATTCTCCTGCCTCAGCCTCCGGAGTAGCTGGGAATGCAGGCGCCGACCACCACGCCTGGCTAATTTTTTGTATTTTTAGTAGAGATGGGGTTTCACGGTGTTAGCCAGAATGGTCTCGATCTCCTGACTCATGATCCGCCCGCCTCAGCCTCCCAAATTGCTGGGATTACAGGCGTGAGCCATTGCACCTGGCCAATGTTTAACATCGTGATGAGCTGCCTGATTGTTTCCCAAAGTAGCTATGATATTTTACAATCCCATCAGCAAAGAATGACAGTTGTAATTTCTGGCCAGGTAGGATTTTATTCTAATTATAATATGAATCCATTGGAAAATTTTAAGTAGAAGAACAATGTGGATTATTGTTCTAGTTTCTAGTTGTGAAGATTCAATTAGAAACTAGAAGTAGTGCCTCCAGTCCACCTCTGTGTCTTCCTTGAATAGTTATGTAGGTCATTGAGTGTCCACAAAATCATTTATTCATGTTCAAATCACAGTTCATTCCTTCTTCCGTCTTTTTCAAATTGTGGTAAAATATACATAATGTAAAATTTACCATTTTAACCATTTTTAAGTATACAGTTCTGTGGCATTAAATACATTCATGCAGTTGTACAACCATCACCATGACCAATCTCCAGAACTTTTTCATCATTCCACACTGAAACTCTATACCCATTAAATGGCAACTCCCTCCTTTTAACCCCTAGCAACCACCATTCTACTTTCTGTCTTTATGAATTTGACCACTGTAAGTACCTCAAATAAGTGGAATCATAGTATTTGTCCTCTTTTGACTGGCATATTTCACTTAACACAATGTCTTCAAGGTTCATCCGTGTTGTAGCATGTTAGGATTCCCTTCTTTTTTAAGGCTGAATAATAGTCCGTTGTATGTATATATCATGTTTTGTTTATTCATTCATCTATCCATGGATACTTGGGTTGCTTCTTCCTTTTGGTTATTGTGAATAATGCTGCTGTGAACAGAGATGTAAAAATATTTGTTGAAGTTCCTGTTTTCATTTTTTTTGAGTACATACCCAGAAGCAGAATTGCTGGTTTATATGGTAATTCTGTGGTTAATTTTTTGAGAAATTGCCATACCATTTTATATTCCCACTGGCGTTGTACAAGTATTCTAATTTCACCACATCCCTGATTTAGTCTTTTGCTAGTGTTAATTCTGTATCTTTAACCACCTGTAGAGAATGCTACAACTTTAAGGCACCTTTAAGAGAGCAATCTCACAAATTTCAATAATTTTGGATTTTCATTACGTGAATTGACTATTTTGTTTATTCTCTGGAATATGGAGTTTGAAGGCAGGTGACCTTGGGCTGGTTTTCCTTCCCATTGTTTACCATGAACTCTGGGAATTAGGACGAGAACTAGTATGTAAAGAATGTTGGCCCTATGGGAGCAAGTTCCTCATTTCATCTCATCTAAATCCTTACAACAAACTCATGAGACAGCTAGTGTATTTTTTTTTCTCATGTTTGAGATTAAAGAAGAAGATTCTCAGAGTGGTTAAGAGTCCTGTTTAAGGTAACATCACCTAGAAATGGCAAAGCTGGACTTCAAACAGAAGTATTTCCAGACCTACTGGCTCTCTCAATTCTAGAAGCCTTTCTGTTCACAGCATCCTGAATATAGTATATTGGGGAGTGGAAGTCTTGTATGTCACTAGACAGCTTTTTATGATCTCTGTTGTTTTCTGTTGGGCCCAGAACAGATGAAGTAAATGGCAGGATGTTTCTCACACCAGCAGAGGACACTGTCAGCCAACAGAGACAGTGATAGCTGTAGGCTGGGGGCTCAGGAGTTTAGAACCAACCCTAGTCCTGGTGGGTTGCAGGATGGAGCAACCTGTCACCATTGGACAGCTGCCTTAGAAATCTAATTTGTGTATATTGAGTTGTTCAGTATTCAGAAGAGCTCTATATATGGTCCTTTGGTAAATAATAATCTGTGCTACAATTTATTGTTTACTGTGTTCCAGAACTATACTCAGTCCTTTAAGTGCTTTATTTAATCTTGAGGCAACTCTTAGATTGTTACTATTATCCTTCCTTAAAATATGAAGGTCAGGCATGGTGGCTCACTCCTGTAATCCCAGCACTTTGGGAGGCGGAGGTGGGTGGATCACCTGAGGTCAGGAGTTCAAGACCAGCCTGGCCAACATGGCAAAACCCCATCTCTATTAAAAATACAAAATTAGCCGGGCATGGTAGCACATGACTGTAATCCCAGCTACTTGGAACGCTGAGGCAGGAGAATCGCTTGAACCTGGGAGGTGAAGGTTGCAGTAAGCCGAGATCGTGCCATTGCACTTCAGCCTGGGCAAGAAGAGCAAAACTCCCTCTCAAAAATAAACAAATAAATACATAAGTACAAAAATTAGCGAGGCATGGTGGCGGGTGCCTGTAATCCCAGCTACTTGGGAGGCTAAGGCAGGAGAATTGCTTAAACCCGGGAGGCAGATGTCTCTGAGCCGAGATTGTGCCACTGCACTCCAGCCTGGGTAACAGAGCGAGACTCTATCTCAAAAAAATAAATAAATAAATAAAATATGAGACCTGAGCCCAGATCTGGCTCTGGATCACAAGCGGTTGAATTGCCCTTTTTTTTTTTTTTTTGAGACAGGGTCTCACTCTGTCACCCAGGCTGGCGTTCAGTGGCGTGATCTGGGCTCACTGCAACCTCCGCCTCCCGGTTCAAGCGATTCTTGTTCCTCAGCCTCCTGAGTAGCTGGGATTACAGGCGCACGCCACCATGCCTGGCTAATTTTTGTATTTTTAGTAGAGACTGGGTTGGCCAGGCTGGTCTTGAACTCCTGACCTCAAGTGATCTGGCCGCCTTGGCCTCCTAAGGTGCTGGGATTGCAGGCATGAGCCACCATGCCCGGCCTGAATCGCCTTTTACAATGCACACGAATATTTTCTAATTTACCTATCAAATGATACTCAGGAGGAGAATACATGTATGCACAACGGATTTTGCAGTTCCCTTCCCCATGGCTGACAGCCAAGGTATCTTTCCTTATTGTGGGGCTCTGGGTACAGGGTGGACTGTACTCAAGCCAGAGCTACCTGTCCTTCTTGTTTCCTCAGGTCTGTAACATTGTGGCTGGGCAGCGCTGTATTAAAAAGCTGACCGACAACCAGACCTCGACCATGATAAAGGCCACAGCTAGATCCGCTCCAGACAGACAGGAGGAGATCAGTCGCCTGGTCAGTGGGCCTACTCATTTGCTCAGTCATTGGGGCCATTGGTAGCATAAATGTTTTAATGCCCCAGCAGGACCTTCCTTCAGGAGAACCCAAGTCTAGATTTGTTGCCTAGGACTGTATAAGGCTGCTTTTGCTTCTTGACCGTATAGCTACTTTGCTTTCTGTCTCTTTTTCTCTCCTGTATTACTTTGCTGTGTTATTCCCTCACTTCCCTCATCTTCCACTTTCTCTCTCTTTTTAGGACTATTCCGTACCAACCCCAGCTTCTCCTTAGGGTTCTCTCCTTGATACCCAGAGGGTGAGCAGTATTGCCAAGCTCCTGTTCTCCTGAGATTGCTCTCTTTTGTCCTGCAGATGAAGAATGCCAGCTACAACTTAGATCCCTACATCCAGGAATTTGGGATCAAAGTGAAGGATGACATGACGGAGGTGACAGGGCGAGTGCTGCCGGCGCCCATCTTGCAGTACGGCGGCCGGGTGAGCAGGGTCAGGGCCAGACAACATCTCGGGGCATATGGGGGTGGTTGGGTTGTATAGCCAGGGGCTTTTGCTCCCCTACCCACCTGACTCTACTGAGGCTCACCTAGGCGCCCCCTCTACCTATCCCCAGAACCGGGCCATTGCCACACCCAATCAGGGTGTCTGGGACATGCGGGGGAAACAGTTCTACAATGGGATTGAGATCAAAGTCTGGGCCATCGCCTGCTTCGCACCCCAAAAACAGTGTCGAGAAGAGGTGCTCAAGTAAGGAGGGTTCGCTGTAGGGGTGGAAGGGTGGGAAGGACCCTGGAGCTGCCTGCCTTCCTGTAGTCCACAGGGGCTGATATTGATCAGTAATGTGTTCTGTCTTGACTCTGCCTGCATTGTGCTTTCTGGCTCAAACTTCTACCAATTCTTTTTCTATCCATCTGTGATCAGGGGAAGTTAATAAGGAGCCATATCTATGTCAAAGATGATGATTTTAGGGCATGAATCTCCTGAGAGAGGCCTGAATTATTGTTATAATTATTATCATTGGTAATAAATAGTAGTAGTGATGACTGTAATGTTTACGCCAAAATTATACTTAAGTACCTAATTTATATTCTCTTATTTCATCTTTACAGTGAGTAGGTGGTGATATGTCCATTTTCAGGAGACTGAGGCTCAAAAGAGGTTAAGTAACTTGTCCAAAGTTTGCACATCATCAGGAAAGTGTCAGAGTTGGAAGCAAATCAGATCTGAGCTTCAAGACTTGTGTTCCTAATTGGAAACAAAATAGAGCAGCTTGTTTAGCTGGTTGTCAGGGCCTCTGTGCCACCGTAGCTGGGAGTAGATGGCACCAATGAGGAAAGTGTTATAGCCAAATGGTTTAAAGAAACCAGGCAGTAATGGCTTAAGAAGTCAACAACCCCTCACCTGGAGTCTTTTTTTTTTTTTTTTTTTTTTTTAAGACAGAGTCTTGCTCTGTCACCCATGCTGGAGTGCAGTGGCACGATCTTGGCTCACTGCAAGCTCCACCTCCCGGGTTTCACGCCATTCTCCTGCCTCAGCCTCCCGAGTAGCTGGGACCACAGGCGCCCGCCACCACGCCCAGCTAATTTTTTGTATTTTTAGTAGAGATGGGGTTTCAGTGTGTTAGCCAGGATGATCTCGATTTCCTGACCTCGTGATCCTCCTGCTTCGGTCTCCCAAAGTGCTGGGATTATAGGCATGAGCCACTGTGCCCGGCCTTTTTTTTTTTTTAAGTTTTATTGAGATAGGTTTAAAATGCCACAAAACTCAGTTAGTTGTTTCATAGATACAACATACAGTTAGTTGGTTACTGCCATCTTTCGAAGTGGTTGCTTTTCATATTCTCTGAATCTGGAGTGGGGTCAATGCACTCTAGGGATGAGGAGGAGTTGATGGAGCCGACCATTTTGGCTAGACAAGGGTAGTGGGGAAGTATGCCATGACGAATTCAGCTGACCTTGGAGTCATCATGAGAATTCGTTCTTAGCTGGGGTGCAGTGGTGCGTGCCTGTAGTCCTGGCTACTCAGGAGGCTGAGGCAGGAGGATCACTTGAGCCCAGGAGTTTTCTGGGCAATATAGATCCTATAAGTTCTAGGCTGGGCATGGTGGCTCCTGCCTGTAAACCCAGCACTTTGGGAGGCTGAGGCGGGCGGATCACAAGGTCAGTAGTTTGAGACCAGCCTGGCCAATATGGTGAAACTCCGTCTCTACTAAAAATACAAAAATTAGCCGGGCGTGGTGGCGCGTGCCTGTAGTCCCAGCTGCTCAGGAGGCTAAGGCAGGAGAATCGCTTGAACCCGGGAGGCAGAGGTTGCAGTGAGCTAAGGTTGTGCCACTGCCCTCCAACGTGGTAACAAAGCGAGACTCCATCTCAAAAAAAAAAAAAGTTCTAACAGCTCCTGATGGATCTGGAGACTATGGGACCTGCCCTTGCTCTTCTTCCCTTACCCCTCACAGATACACAAACACCATCATAATTGTAGTTCTTGCAAATGGGTTCTTGTCTCCTTTCCTGAGCTCTTTTTTTTTTTTTTTTTTTTTGAGGCGGAGTCTCTCTCTGTCGTCCAGGTGCAGTGGCGCCATCTCGGCTCACTGCAAGCTCCGCCTTCCGGGTTCACGCCAGTCTCCTGCCTCAGCCTCCCAAGCAGCTGGGACCACAGGCACCCGCCACCACGCCTGGCCAATTTTTTGTATTTTTAGTAGAGATGGGGTTTCACCATGTTAACCAGGATGGTCTCGATCTCCTGACCTCATGATCCACCCGCCTCGGCCTTCCAAAGTACTGGGATCACAGGCGTGAGCCATCGTGCCTGGCCTTTTTCTGAGTTCTTTAGCCCCCATTTAAGCCAGGCTGCTTGGCAACATTGGAAAGGCTCCCAGCTTTTTGCCTTTGTGCCATAGTCACTTCATTGTAGTTCTATTCTCTATGTGCTCTTGTCTTTCTCCCATGTCCTTCCCTTGTCCATTTCTTTTGGGATGATCTATTGTTTTGGCCATTTGGGGTATGGGCACCAGTAAACCCAGAAACTCAAACTTGGAAGAGTTTATCAGTGACACCTAGTTGTAAGGGGTAAGAATGTGGCTTATGCATCTGGGTCAGTAGTAGCCAGTTAAATCTGTGGTTCTGACTGGGCTAAAGGTAAATATTTCCAAGTCATCTATAGCAGTGGCTGAGATTGTCCAGGGAGAATGTACATAGTAAGCAGAGATTGAAGATATAACTCAGAGAAACTGGAAAATAAATAGAGCAAAGTCCCTAAGTGTGGATGAGGTGATGGGATCCAGGGCACTGAGAAAGGGCATCCTTTCCACTGAGAAAGTGGGGGAAAACATGAAGGTGCTATGGGGTTTGACAAACTAGTAGTTGGGGGATGATGGATGAGAGAGTTCTAGACGCAACCCTCAATTTTTTTCTGGCTAAAGAGGCCCTATTACTTTAGCTATATCACCTTTAAGATGGGATTTTAGGACCTTCCTCATCTTAAACATCTCACAATACTTTGTGGCCCCCAGCATTGGACACAGTATTCCAAGTGTAGTCTGGTAGTAGAGAGAAGATTGGAAATAACGTCTTTCCTTGAAGTTGAGACCCACTATTCATGAAATCTGGTAACATACTGGCTTTTTAATAGCTACATTGCAGTTGTATACAGGGCAGAGAAATGGAAAACATACTATTAATGGTCAAAGCCCTAGCTGTTATTTACATGAAACAGTGGTTAGGTCGTGTTTTTTTATTCTAACATTCATTTTGAAAAATTTTTTTAAGATAATAAATGTAGAGAATAACATGTATCCATTTTTGTCATATTTACTTTATCCTTTTTTAAATGTAAATATTACAGATAAATTTGATGCTCCTTCATGTCCTCCACCCTAGTCCCATTCCTCCCTTCTTTTTTTGACAGCCTCGCTCTTGCCCAGGCTGGAGTGCAGTGGCGCAATCTCGGCTCACTGCAGCCTCTGCCTCCTGTTTCATGTGATTCTCCTGCCTCAGCCTCCTGAGTAGCTGGGATTACAGGCACTCACCACCATGCCCGGCTAGGTTTTTTTTGTATTTTTAGTAGAGACAGGGTTTCATCAGGTTGGCCAGGCTGGTCTCGAAGTCCTGGCCTCAAGTGATCCGCCCACCCTGGCCTCCCAAAGTGCTGAGATTACAGGTGTGAGCCACTGCACCAGCCCTATTCCTCCCTTCTGATGAGGCCACTGTTATGAATTATTGTAACCAGGCTACTCAATTTATATACCTATATATAAATGATTTTAAATTTTGCATAATAGTATCAGACTGTTTCTTTTCTTGTGTGTTTTTACTAAATATGTGAAAAAATACTTTCTCATAAAACTATCACATTGCTTTTTGTATGCTATATAATAATAACATCTCCTAAACAGCTGCTTCCATTCTCTTCTTGTACATTGTTTTTAAATTTAAATGGAAGATTATCACAAATTAAATTTCCTGCTGCTTATTTCAGTTTTTGAGTATCTTTATGTAGCTTGATTTTTTTACTCTACTGCATGTGTGTCCTCTCTTGCAACTTTGTCTTCCTTTCCAGGGTAAAGCCCTAAAGCCAAAGGAAGCTTAATAATTGGCTCTTAGGTTTCAAAGAACCAGTTGGGAAGGAGGGAACTCATTTTTACTGAGCATCTCTTGTGCTCCCATCACTGTTGGAACCTCATTTGCTTTGAGCAGAAAGGCCTTACACGTGGGCATCTGCCTATTTCTTTGGACATGTAATGAAGCACAGGAATCAGCTGCTTGAGCGGGGCAAGGTGGGAACCCTGAGAATTCCCATGGGTCCCTTTTCTGGGCTTCCTCGTCTCCTTGCTTGTACCATCGAACACTTAGCAAGTACTCTCTTACCTTACTCAACTATAAACATATTTTTTACATTAGCTATTATTGTGTATCATTCATGTTAGAATCTCAGTGTTAGCTGGGTGCGGTGGCTCATGCCTGTAATTCCAGCACTTTGGGAGGCTGAGGTGGGAGGATCACTTGAGTCCAGGAACTTGAGACCAGCTTGGGCAACATAGTGAGATCCCATCTCTACCAAAAAGAAAAAAAATTAGCCAGGCATGGTGGCATTCCTCTAGTCCTACCTACTCAGGAGGCTGAGATGGGATGATTGTTTTAGCCTAGCAGCTCGAGGCTTGAGTGAGCCCAGATTGTGCCATTGTACTCCATCCTGGTTGACAGAGCACCCTGTCTCAAGGAAAAAAAAAAAAAAAAACCAATCTCTCAGTGCCTCTTATAGTGCTAAGCACCTAAGATGGATGGATTTTTGTCAGAAGAATTCAAGTGAGACTCACTGCCTCCTTTGTGACCATGCGTGTGTACAGGAACTTCACAGACCAGCTGCGGAAGATTTCCAAGGATGCGGGGATGCCTATCCAGGGTCAACCTTGTTTCTGCAAATATGCACAGGGGGCAGACAGCGTGGAGCCTATGTTCCGGCATCTCAAGAACACCTACTCAGGGCTGCAGCTCATTATTGTCATCCTGCCAGGGAAGACGCCGGTGTATGGTACAGTTCTCTTGGGACAGTGATAATGGTGATAGGACTCTTCTCAGCGTAGTTCCCTGGGGTCTCCTGGGAAGGACTCAGTCTGGATTCTTGGCTTTGACCAGAGCTGTTACTTAATGTCAGTGCTCCTCTTATAGGAGAAATAGCATGCCTGAGCCATTGAGTTATCCCAGATCCTAATTACCTGCACACACTCCTTCCCAGCAACATTTACTGGGGTCCTTTGTGTGCTGGTCCTCATGCCAGGCTATGCTGGGCCAGGTACAGAGACGGGTTGGTCTAGATTCCTGTCCTTAGGAGTGCGTTCCTGTCCTCAGGAGTGCATTGTTTATCTGAACATCGTGCAGCACAACCAAGCAGAATAGGTGGTCCTGTTAGTATCGTGTTGCCTGGTAATTACTTGGACTTTTTGAGAGGCTTGCTATCTCTCCTCTTTTCCTCTCATTTTTTAGAATAAGAATGATTATATAAATTTCTGTCACAGCACTTTTCTTTTATGCCATTTTCCGTCTCCATCTCTCCTGCTTCAAAGCAATAAGAGTTTTTCTTACCTTGTTCAACTAACTCCTCTGTGCTCTTATTCCCAACCCATCCTGCTACCTTTGGGACTTTATACCTTTCAACCCTCAAATATATTCAGATCCCCCATCCTAATGCACATTACCACAATCTTACCATCTCTTTTAGCTTTTGTCTTCCTATTTCCTTCATTAAACCTTCTGAGGCCTGGTACAGTGGTTCACACCTGTAATCCCAGCACTTTGGAATGCCAAGGTGGGAGGATCGCTTGTGCCCAGAAATTCGAGGCTAGTCTGGGCAACAAAGCAAGACCTCATCTCTACAAAAAAATAAAGTTACCCAGTCATCTTGTGCACCTGTGGTCCCAGCTACTTGGGAGTCTGAGGCTAAAGGATTTCTTGAGCCCAAGAGGTTGAGGCTGCAGTTACCCAGCTTGGGTAACATAGTGAGACCTTGTCTCAAAACAAAACAAAAAAAACTTTTTGAATGAGTTCTCTATATTCTCTATGCCCTATACCTCACCAGCCACTTATTCTTTAGCCTCTTTCAGCCACCTTGCCTTCTGTCTACCTTTCTCCTAAATCTCCTCTGCACAGGATTGCCAATGACTTTTCTCAGTTGTCCTCTTGACTTCTGGATATTTTCTTCTATCTCTCCTTATTATTTTTGTCATTACCAGGAATCCTTGGTATTCTACAGGTTCCTATTGTCTGCCTTCTCATTCTGCCTTTACATTTTATTAAAATTCCCATTCATTTCAGTTGCTTCAATCATCACCTATTGCTATTATATGTGATTAAAATCTTGATTCAATCCTTGAACCCTCTGCAGCTTTGGTCTGTCCCTTTGGCCTCTCTCCCTCTCTTCAAGAGTTTATTGATCACCTATTATGTATGGAACACTGTCCAACATCTGGATATATTGATGAATAAAACAGATATAGTCTCTGCTCTTAGAAAGTGTTTTGTTGGACCATCTCTTCAGTAGTTTGTCCTCTCTACAAACCTTTGTCTTTACTACTTCTGTATTTGACATCACAGTTGCTTCTAAGTACCTTCATTCAAACTTCGGAGACAGTCTTGTCTTTTCGCTTCACCTTCATTGTTCTTCTTCAAATTTTTCTCAAGATAATATGCCCTGCTCTTGATCCACACTTCTCAACTGAGTTCTAACCTTCCTTTTTTTTTTTTTTTTTTTTGAGACGGAGTCTTGCTCTGTTGCCCAGGCTGGAGTGCAGTGGCGTGATCTCAGCTCACCGCAACCTCCACCTCCCAGGTTCAAGTGATTCTCGTGCCTCAGCCTTGAAAGTAGCTGGGATTACGGTGCGCACTACCATGCCTCGCTAATTTTTATATTTTTAGTACAGATGGAGTTTCGCCATGTTGGCCAGGCTGGTCTCAAACTCCTGACCTCAAGTGATCTGCCCGCCTCGGCCTCCCAAAGTGCTGGGATTACAGGCATGAGCCACTGTGCCCTGCCTTAAGACTTTCTTGAATGGGTTCCAAGAAAGACTTCTTGTGACTCTAATATCAAAAAAACCTTCATTGATTCCTATTATTCACTGCATGAAGGGTTTTCATGGACCTGATTTTAGTTTAATGTTTTCAGCTTTATCTTGCACTGTTCACTTGCCACTCATACTGGAATGATTGCTGGTTCTGGAATTGTTGAAGAGAGCTGAATTTGAATTTAATCCTGGCTATACCAGTCAACTGGCTTGGACACATATCTAACCTTTCTAAGCATCATGAATTAATTATATAAAAAGCAGAATCTAGCACAGTGCCTGGCATGTAGCTGACACTCTGAGTGCTCATTTCTTGTCTGTGGTTTTCAGTCTCTGGTGTTGTACACATCATTTGCCTTTGCCCGGAGTATCTGCATCCTCTTCTTCTTGTCCCCCACCTTGCACTTAAAATTCTCTCCATCCTTTAATACCCAGTTTAAATACTACTTATTTTTTATTCTTGACATTTCACCTGGAGAGTGAACTTGTCTTTTTCTGGATTCCTCTAGTTTATCAGGCCACTGATCAGTTACTACCTTACTTGATACTTTGTTGTGGAGTGGATCTGATTCTGCTCTGAAATCTTTCCTCTCTATATACACACCTAAGGTAATGCCTTTCACTGATACAATACTCAGTAATTAACTTATGGAGAGAAGTTGTTTGATCTTCAGTCCTTGTCTTTCTTGGACCCTTGTATGGATAAGGATGCTTTTTAGGAGAACTTCCTTGAATAAGTATTCATGTTTCTGATTTCCCTCCATTAAAGGGAAAATCCAATGTTTTGGCTTGGGAATGGTACAGCATGCTTCGGAAAGGCAGTACTTACTCAGAATTTTCCCTTTCCTGGGCTCAATTATGTTACACTTCTCTCTAGCCTCAAATATTTTATTGGGACTTCGAGTTTCTTTCATTTACATGCGGTTCCTTGATTATACCACCTGGACAATCTGACTGGTACTCTTTTCTGCTGGCTTAGTTCCTAGGCAATGGAGTCATTTGCCTAGGAACTAAGCCAGCAGAAAAGAGTACCAGTCAGATTCTTCTAAAGACCCTTCACCATCCCTCCTGGGAGGCTGGGTAAAATGGCATCCTCCTAGTGATGGTCAAAGCAAGGTCCCATTGGCTTTTGGTTGCCCTGAGAGCGTAGAAGGACAGTGTCACATTTGCCCTGTTCTGATCAGGTACTATACCTATCTTGTCTTTAGTATATTTAATTGCTTCCTCTCCACTAAACTGATATTATTGTTTTTTTAATGTAAACTTTTTATTAAATTGTATATATAGAAATCTTACATGTTTAGCTCAGTGATATTTCATAAAGTGTCACAGCGTAACCAGCACCCAGTTCAGCAGCAGAACCTTACCACAGCCCCAGTCACTACAACCTCCTACCAGTGGTAACCACTATTCTGGCTTCTAATACCATAAGTTAGTTTTGCCTATATTTAAACTTTATATAAATAGAATCATATAGTATATACTTTTTTTGTTTCTGACTTCTTTCATGCAACATAAAGTTGTGGTTTGTTATAGTTTTTCCATCATATGAATATAACACCATTTCCATCTATCCATTCTGTTAATACACATATTTGGATTGTTTCCAGTTTTTGACTGTTGAAAATAATGCTTCAGGCTGGGTGCAGTGACTCGTGCCTGTAAACCTAGCACTTTGGGAGGCCAAGGCAAGTGGATCACCTGAGTTGAGGAGTTTGATACCAGCCTGGCCAACATGGTGAAACCCAGTCTCTACTAAAAATACAAAAAATTAGCCAGGTGTGGTGGCGGGCGCCTGTAATCCCAGCTACTCGGGAGGCTGAGGCCGGAGAATTGCTTGAACCCAGGAGATGGAGGTTGCAGTGAGCCAAGATCGTGCCACTGCACTCCAGCCTGGGCAACAGAGGAAGACTCTGTCTCAAAAGAAAAAAAAAATAATAATAATGCTTCAGTGAACACTCTTCTTTGTGTCCTTTGAACATGTATAACCATTTTTCTTGGGAGTATATCTAGGAGTGGATTTTAAGTATACCAATTTATCCTTTCACCAGCAGTGTATAAGAGTGCTAGATAGTTCATATCCTTATCAAACTTGGTATCCGTCTCAAGAAAAAGAAAAATGAAAAAGAATCCCAGGGTCATGAAGATACTATTTGAAGTGTTTTTTTGAATGATTTTAAAAAATCATTCATATTTAGAATTAATTTATCTCTAAACAGAGCAAAAACTGTTGCTTTTCTTTTCCATGGCAGTGGTGCAGAGCTTAGACTCTTAGCTTCCTACCCACACCTAGATTCAACAAATGTACCCAGGGTAAAAGCAACTGCAGAAGATAGCTCACCTCTGAGATTTTTTTTTTTCTCCCTCTCTGGAATTTTACCCCCTCTAGTTCTTGTTTTCTTAGCATTCTCTGCTGCCTTTAAAAAGATGATTTTTATATTTTATCTGGCTTTTCTGAGTGTTGTCTGTAGAACTGGCTTGCCGCTATTCCATCTCTCTTGGAAGTAGATATGATCTTTTTAAACATGCTCAAATCTCTTCCATTGAAAGCATACCAAATTCTTGGTCAGTCCTACATTTTCTTCCTGGTACCTTAAATCACCACAACAATTTTTGCCTCTATACACTAATTTTTTTTTAATCTTAATATCACTAACTCCAGAGGACATTTCTGGTCCTGATTTTACCTCATCTCTTAGACACATTTCACTTTGTTGACCACTTGCTCCTTCTTGAAACACTCTCTTTCTTCCCTTGGCACTCGTGATACAACACTATCTTAGTCTTCCTTCTAGCTTTCTGGATTTTTTTGTCCTTTGCTGACTCATCTTCTTGTTCTGCCAATACTGGGAGTTCCTCAAGATTCAGATCTAGGTTGTCTTCTCTTTTTACTATGTTATCTTCCTTAGTGATCTCAAGATCATGCCTTCGGCCGGGCGCGGTGGCTCACGCGTGTAATCCCAGCACTTTGGGAGGCCGAGGCAGGCGGATCATGAGGTCAGGAGATCGAGACCATCCTGGCTAACATGGTGAAACCCCATCTCTACTAAAAACATACAAAAAATTAACCGGACATGGTGGCGGGCACCTGTAGTCCCAGCTACTCAGGAGGCTGAGGCAGGAGAATGGTGTGAACCCGGGAGGCGGAGCTTGCAGTGAGCCGAGATCGTGCCACTGCACTCCAGCCTGGGAGACAGAGCGAGACTCTGTCTCAGAAAAAAAAAAAAAAAAAAAAAAAGCATGCCTTCAACTACTACCTGTACCTAATTATCACACAAATTTGCATCTCCATTTCAGACTACTCTTTTGAGCATCGAACCATGAGGCCCATTTGCTTAGTTGATATCCTCACTGAGATGACCAAAAAACTACTTCAGACTCAAAATGTCTCACAAATAATTTATGGCCTATTTTTATTTTATTTTATTTTTTTATTTATTTTTCTGAGACGGAGTCTTGCTCTGTCACCCAGGCTGTAGTGCAGTGGGTGTGATCTCGTCTCACTGTAACCTCTGCCTCCCAGGTTCAAGTGATTCTCCTGCCTCAGCCTCCCAAGTAGCTGGGATTACAGGCACATGCCACCACACCCAGCTAATTTTTGTATTTTTAGTAGATACGGGGTTTCACCATGTTGGCCAGGCTGTTCTTGAACTCCTGACCTCGTGATCCACCCACCTGAGCCTCCCAAAGTGCTGGGATTACAGGCGTAAGCCACCGTGCCCGGCTGGCCTATTTTTATTACAGAAGCTGGAAACTTAAAAGTTATCCATAAAAATTTTCTTTTCCCTTACTCACACATGTAGTCTATAACTTGAGTCCCTTAAATATCTGTGGAATCCATTTGTTTTTCTCCGTCTCAACAACTCACCCATCTTTTTTTTTTTTTCTTCTGGATATGGAGTCTCACTCTGTCGCCCAGGCTGGAGTGCAGTGGCACAATCTCGGCTCACTACAAGCTCCACCTCCCGGGTTCACGCCATTCTCCTGCCTCAGCCTCCCAAGTAGCTGGGACTACAGGCGCCCGCCACCATGCCTGGCTAATTTTTTGTATTTTTAGTAGAGATGGGGTTTCACCATGTTAACCAGGATGATCTCAATCTCCTGACCTCATGATCCACCCGCCTCGGCCTCCCAAAGTGCTGGGATTACAGGCGTGAGCCACCGCGCCTGGCGTTCACCGGTCTTGTTAATCTAGGCTACCCTTATCTCCTCTGGTAGGTCAGTCTAATGACCACATTCTTTCCTTACAACATGCTCCCCTTGCTCTTCTTTTTAGCTGCTATGGCCTTTCTGTTTCTCAAACACATCTTGCTGTCTTCTAGCAGGGTGCATTTTTGCATGTTGTTCCCTCTGCCTGGAATGCTCTCTCTCAAACTCCCCCTCTCCTCTAAGTCCTTTGCTGTCATCAGATTTCATTTCAATCATTACCTACTCAAGAATCCTTTCCTGACTAGGTTTTTATTTCCCATTTTATGCTGTTATTGTTCCATGAAGTTTTCTGTTGTGTCATTTATCAGCGTTGTAATTTTCACGATTTTTAAAATTAGTCCCTATTTAGTAAGCACTTTGAGAGTAAGGACCTTATGTGTTTCCTGTCATTATTGTGTTCCCTAGCACCTCATACACTGCCTGGCATCTAGTAGGCATTCAGTAAATATTTGTTGAATGCACTAATCATTTCTCTCCCTGCCCTTAGCTGAGGTGAAACGTGTCGGAGATACACTCTTGGGAATGGCTACGCAGTGTGTGCAGGTGAAGAACGTGGTCAAGACCTCACCTCAGACTCTGTCCAACCTCTGCCTCAAGATCAATGTCAAACTTGGTGGCATTAACAACATCCTAGTCCCACACCAGCGGTATGAACTCTGTTGTCCACTTGCCCTTGTCAAGGTACCATGCTGGGAATTGATGAAGAGATAGGACCCTGGCCAGGCAGACTGAATCAGACATAAGGGGGAGAAGAGCAGAGTGGGTACTGGATGGTGCCAGCTAGAGAAGACCCAGCGCCTCACCATTTTGTTTTCTCTTCCTTGCTCAGCTCTGCCGTTTTTCAACAGCCAGTGATATTCCTGGGAGCAGATGTTACACACCCCCCAGCAGGGGATGGGAAAAAACCTTCTATCACAGCAGTGAGTGATATTCTGTAGCTGCCTCATAAGGTTCTCCTCTTCGCTCTGAGTCCTCAAAACTGCCCATGATTTCCTTCCCTCAGCTCTGGCTCTTGAGCCTTCATAAGATGTCCATTTAGCTCGCTATTCCCAATTCCCATTCCCTTGATATCTCATAAAGGTAGCTCTGTATGGTGTCTTTTTTCAGGGAGAGTAATGAGAGTGTAGCCAGAGACTTGACTCATTCTGCATCACTCTTGCTCTGCATTTGAATGTCTTTCTTTCCCCATGCCTGCTTTTGGGATGTAGGGGAGGGACTATATCTTCTCTGAAATCCCTTTAAAGGGAGTTACTTAGTTGCGAGGACTATCCTTTGCTCTGCCCATCCTCACCCCGATCTGTATAATAGATTAGATGTTTCTCTTATCTCTCTCCTGACTTTTCTGCTCTTTGTCTCTTAGGGGCTTCCAAATTGCTAGGGATTAGACCTTCTTTCCCACTTATATTTCCTAAACCCTCACATTTCTGTAAGCACACTGGTCTTAACCTCAGTAAGTGCAGGGAAACCCTATAATATGCTTATCCCTGTTTTCCTTGTGGCCATCCCTCCTAGGCTTTGGCTGCTGTCTCCTTTGTAAATGGCATTTCTTCCATCAACCACAAGAACACTGTTACTATGGTCATGATTCCTGGGTAGATTAGCATTTGAATGGGAAAAAGGATAAACTTGGGACTGGATGAGGCCATTGTTTGATTTAGTAGTGCTAAACCTTCACATGCTCCTCTGCAAAGGGGAGAGAAATCAGTTTATCAAGTACCTACTGTGGGCTACGTCCTGTGTAAGGTGCTTAATATGGACCCCAGTAGCGCTGCAAGCAGGTGTTCTTATCACCATCT
Organism: Homo sapiens; assembly: GCF_000001405.40. Lineage (NCBI taxonomy): Eukaryota > Metazoa > Chordata > Mammalia > Primates > Hominidae > Homo > Homo sapiens. The sequence continues at coordinate 35,915,151 of NC_000001.11, forward strand.
GAGAAGAGGAAAAAAGATCAGAGAGATTGAGTAACTTCTGCTTGTGTGATAGAATAGAGATTGAAACCAGGGCTCACTGAGTCTCAAGCCCTAGTCATTCAGTTGTAGTTTTCTTGCTAAGAAGCCTTTCCACAAACCCATAGCCTGACAGTGAAGGTGAAGGTTCTAGGAGCTAATCCTTTCTCTCTGACTGTCAGGTGGTAGGCAGTATGGATGCCCACCCCAGCCGATACTGTGCTACTGTGCGGGTACAGCGACCACGGCAAGAGATCATTGAAGACTTGTCCTACATGGTGCGTGAGCTCCTCATCCAATTCTACAAGTCCACCCGTTTCAAGCCTACCCGCATCATCTTCTACCGAGATGGGGTGCCTGAAGGCCAGCTACCCCAGGTAGGGCCCACAGTAGGTGGAGAAAACCTTCACATCATGGCTGGAAAGCTAGGTGCTACTACCTTTTCTAAGCTATTGGCACTGAGAGGTGTGTCACTTCTTAGTGAGCTTTGCTAAATGGAGTAGACTTGGGGGCAAGGATCGCAACTGAGGGATGGAGTGTACAAGCATCTGTAGATTTTTCTTCTCATAATAGAAGACCCTCACTGCCTATTTAAGTAGTTGGTTCATGTTGGAGACTGATTGTTTAGACCAGTGATTCTCAAATGCTAGCTTACATTAAGATCGCCTGGAGGGCTTGTTAAAACAGTTTTAAGGGCTCTACCCTTAGAGTTTCTGATTCAGTGAGTCTTGGATGAGGGCCAAGAATTTACAATACTGACAAGTTCTTAGGCGATGCTGATAGTCTGGAGACTACATTTGAGGACTAATGCTGTTGACCCTCCTTCATAATATTCCTCCTATTCATTCTCACTGCCAGCCTTCATTTTTTTTTTTTAACTTCTATCCTGAACTGGTATCCTTGACTACCATTTAATAGTATTATAACTACTGTTCCAATGAACTTCCTATGTGCCATGAACTGTCCTAAGCACTTCACTTTCTTTTTTTTTTCCCTAAATCTGAGTGGAAACATATGTTCTATTTAATGCTTTACAATAGTCCTTTGGAATAATAGTGTATTTCCATTTAACAGATGAGAAAACAGGCTTGGAAATGTTACATGATCTTTAATGTCATCAAAGATAATTAGGAGTGGAACCGGGATTCAGACACATTGGTCTGATTCCATAGTTTATGCTCTTAACTGTTATGCCCAGTTTCTTTTTTTCTTTTTTTTGGGGGGAACAGAGTCTCGCTCTTGCCCAGGGTGGAGCGCAGTGGTGTGATCTTAGCTCACTGCAGCTTCTGCCTCCCGGGCTCAAGCGATTCTCTTTCCTCAGCCTCCCAAGTAGCTGGGGCTATAGGTATGAGTCACCACACCCAGCTTATTTTTGTATTTTTAGTAGAGATGGGGTTTCACTATGTCGGCCAGGCTGGTCTCAAACTCCTGACCTCAAATGATCCACCCGCCTTGGCCTCCCAAAGTGCTGGAAATACAGGCGTGAGCCACCGTGCCCGGCCATTATGCCCAATTTCTAAGTCATCCAGTATTTTCTAAAATAACAGACACATTTATCATATCACATATCTGTTCAGAAATGTCTAGTGGCTTCACATAGCTTTGAGTTAAAATTCAAACTGCTTAGCAAAGCAATCAGTAGTTATTAAGCCCTACTAGGTTTTCTATGCTTTTACTTAATTGTCTATCGTAGTCTTCTTAATAGCTTTGTGAAGCAGGTCTTAGTAACATTAACAGACGTGGAGAAAATGAGACTTAGTGGAGTTGAATAACTTGCCTGATGTAATACAACTAGATAAAGCTTGGATTTAAATCTAATTGATTCCAAAGTCTATCCTTCTCTACCATACAGTTTTGACCCTCTGTATCTGACATCCACGGCCACAGGCAACTATTGCCTATGATTATTTACTTCTAGCTTTTCCCTTAGCTAGCCTGTTTTCTTATAATCCTGCTGCTTTGCAGGACTGAATTCACCTACTCTCTCTGCACCCATTATGGAACTATATGTCTGCTCTTCTCTGGTGGTCCACAACCTGTCTGCTCTTGGAGCCCAAAGGAGAACTCTCATTAGTCACCTGATCCTGTGTGAAACTAACTTTGGGCATTGTGATTTTAGTGATTTCTCTGTGAACCTTGGTTCTGTGTCTTGGTATTAGGTCTCTTTATACACAGGAACCAGATGAGTGTTGTCTTCTGATGCCAAGCCTCCTGGCCAAGGTTTTATAGGAGCATATTAAGTGAACTGAGCATAAGGCTGCTTTTGACAAGAAGGGCCTGTCATCTCTAATTGTTGAGCATCAGCATATAAAGGGAGACTGAGCCAAAAGTTATATTACAAGTGGCAACTCCTTAGTTCAGAAGGGTATGTGAACTCAAGAGGAACTGTGTATTTCTTTGTTTCCCTCCCCATTTTTTTGTGCCTAGATACTCCACTATGAGCTACTGGCCATTCGTGATGCCTGCATCAAACTGGAAAAGGACTACCAGCCTGGGATCACTTATATTGTGGTGCAGAAACGCCATCACACCCGCCTTTTCTGTGCTGACAAGAATGAGCGAGTGAGTGAGGGACTGAGGCCTCCCATCCCCTCCTTCTGTCTCCCTTATCTTAATAGAGAAGAAGCCCTTGAGATAAAGGCTGGGGATTTAGTCCTTGTCCTATCTATCCTCCCTGGCCCCTTCCCTCCTCCTAGCTCTTGTGGTCCTTCCTCTGCCACCGCCTTCACTAGTGTCCACCTCCTCCCGTCCTTCCCTTATACTTCCTTTCCCTCCTCCTAGCTCCCTGGCCTAGACCCCATATATAGACCAGCTCCTAGAGAAGGGGAAGGGAACTACCATTTATTGAACTCCTCCTATGTGCCAGATACTGTACAAGGCGTCTTCCTCACAGCAACCCTGTGAGGTACGTATTATTATTATCTCCAATTTAACCTCAGAAAGGTTAAACGACTTGCTAAGATCACACAGCTAATAGGACTTGAACACAGGTCTGTGTGACTTTAGAAGCATATTATTTTAAGATTCAGTACCCTCAGGGAATAGCAACTTTGGCTTTGTTCTTGGGATTTTGGTGAAATCAGAGTAGAATTGAGCCAGGGTCCTGGTTAGGGCCAGGCAGGTCTTGGGATCTTGGTTGTGTTTGTCTCTATACAGATTGGGAAGAGTGGTAACATCCCAGCTGGGACCACAGTGGACACCAACATCACCCACCCATTTGAGTTTGACTTCTATCTGTGCAGCCACGCAGGCATCCAGGTAGCTGGGCTTTATCTTGTGGTTCCAATGGGTCAAAGATGAGTTGTTCATTCATATTGCCTCTAGAATGTATCAGTCATCACTGAATGACATCCAAATTAGGATTGCTCTCTTTTCTGTTTGTTCTGTTTTGTTTTGTTTTGAGGCGGAGTCTCACTCTGTCCCCCAGGCTGGAGTGCAGTGGCACAATTTCAGCTAACTGCAACCTCCACCTTCTGGGTTTAAGCAGTCTTCCTGCCTTCCCGCCTCAGCCTCCCAAGTAGCTGGGATTACAAGCATGCGCCACCATGCCCAGCTAATTTTTGTATTTTTAGTAGAGACAGGGTTTCACCATTTTGGCCCTGCTGTTCTTGAACTCCTGACCTCAAGTGATCCACCCACCTTGGCCTCCCAAAGTGCTGGGATTACAGGCATGAGCCACTGTGCCCGGCCAGGACTGCTGTCGTAATAAGCCCTGAGTACACTTGCAGGTTGCTTATAAGAAGAGTGCTTTATGACATTGGTAGTTTTGCATCTGCCTGTTCATGGGTGAATTATCTACCCAGCCATATTCTTAACAGTGATCCTGTTCCCCTATTATCAGCCATCTTCTCTGCCCAGCCTGGGACCCCTCACCTTCCTATCTTCCCAGGGCACCAGCCGACCATCCCATTACTATGTTCTTTGGGATGACAACCGTTTCACAGCAGATGAGCTCCAGATCCTGACGTACCAGCTGTGCCACACTTACGTACGATGCACACGCTCTGTCTCTATCCCAGCACCTGCCTACTATGCCCGCCTGGTGGCTTTCCGGGCACGATACCACCTGGTGGACAAGGAGCATGACAGGTGAGGCCTGGGATCAGGTTGGCCTCCTTTTTGCTTCAGCCTATTGTGCCAGATCTTCTTAACTTTCCTTGGGTAGAAGGAAATGAGTGCTGTCCAATTTGGTGTCATTGGGCTCGTCTGCCCAATCCTGGGTTGGGTTTCTCTCTTAAGTTGGTATGGGAATTGGCATCCCAGGGCTGGGCGAGGGAATTAGCAGCAGCTCTCAGTTCACCAGGAAGGACTTCTTTCATTTTTTCCTTTTCAGTGGAGAGGGGAGCCACATATCGGGGCAGAGCAATGGGCGGGACCCCCAGGCCCTGGCCAAAGCCGTGCAGGTTCACCAGGATACTCTGCGCACCATGTACTTCGCTTGAAGGCAGAACGCTGTTACCTCACTGGATAGAAGAAAGCTTTCCAAGCCCCAGGAGCTGTGCCACCCAAATCCAGAGGAAGCAAGGAGGAGGGAGGTGGGGTAGGGAGGAGTGTAGGATGCCTTGTTTCCTTCTATAGAGGTGGTGTAAGAGTGGGGAACAGGGCCAGCAAGACAGACCACCAGCCAGAAATCTCTGATATCAACCTCATGTCCCCCACCCCTCACCCCATCTTGTCACATCTGGCCCTGACCCCACTGGACCAAAAGGGGCAGCACTGGTGCCCACCATACACACAGGTGTCTCATGTGACTCACAGTGCTAAAGACTCATGCTTGACAGCTTGGTAAGGTCAACTCTGTAGCCCTGCAGACAAAAGCTGGTTAGGTTTGGGTTTGATACTTTAGATGGGAAAGTGAGGGGCTTGAGAAAGTGGGTGGGAGGAGGGAAGGATTTTTTAGGAGCCTTAATCAGAAAAGGACTAGATTTGTTTAAGAAGAAAAATGAAACCAGACCCAGATCAATATTTTAGGATACTAGATGTTTTAATGGGTTCAGAATCCAGTTTGTAGGAAGATTTTTTAATGGTTTTGGTTGCTCCTCCCCCAGCTGCCACCCCCCACCTTACCCTTATTCCTCTCTGTCCACATTTTCTGCCCCACCTTACTTCTCCTCCCTGACAGACATCCAGCCCCTAGTAATACTTAAGGCACTATGGCACTTAGCTTTGAAGTGACACGACCCTGTCTTCCTTCCGCCCGCTGGTGGGTAACCAGTGCCTTCCCTGTAACGGTAATGCTGCAGAACTGCAACCTTTTGTACCTTTCTTTGGGGAATGGGGTGGGGGTGGGAGAGGAGGTAGATGGGGAAGAAATACCCCAGACCCAACAAACCTCCAGCCAGAAAGCCAGCTATTTTGCATTTGAAGGAATTGACTTCCTCATTCATTGAGCTTTTTAAAAGATCACAACCTCAAGATGGTTAAAATCCATTGACATTTGCACTTTCAAACATGACAAGTCTCGGAGCTGCTGAGATGACAGGCCCCTGGCCTTTCCACTTATGCCTCCTTTTCTCCTTATTCCTCCTACCTCCCGCCCCGCCCAGGTCTGGAGTTACTTTCATAGCATTTTTCACTCTTGGCTTCTTTTCTCCCTTGATGGTCAAGTCTCTTATGTTTCAATATTTCTTAACTGGGGTGTCTTATAACAAAAAACTCTTAGGTCTAAAATGAGAAAAAAGAGAGAAAACAAAATGTTATTTTTATACCATAACTTGAGTGTATTGCCAAAATTTGGAAATCCTTCCCATGCCTGATGAGTTTATATCCCAGAAACATTGAGCCATCAGAATGAACTGTGTACCTGATTTGTTCTCTGACCTGGCTAGGTAGGGAGGGGGTGGTTATCGCCCCAAGATGGGGTCCAGGCTCCATCCTTCCTCTGTGCAGATAATACCTTTTTCTTGCTATAGCCTCCCTCCTCTGCACTGTCCTGCACTCTTTCTTGCAAGTGCATCTTTTTCCTTCCCCTGGACTGTCCTCTGACCCTTTGGCTCATCCTAGATTGCAGTGTGTCCTGTGGACAGGCTGGGGAATTTTGCTGCTCCCTATTGCTTCTGTTTACAAAAATGAATTTTTCCTGGTTTCCCACTAGGGCATGTGGGTGGGTGGCATGGACTTTTTTTTTTTTTTTTTTTTGTCTTGAGACATGGGGTTTGGCTGTCTTGCAGGACTGGAGAAGGTGGTGGTTCTAGCTTGGTCTCTGTTGGCCTTGAAGCAAGCATCCCCCCTGCCCTTTTTCCTTGACTGTTCATTTTTTTCCTGCCCCACTGCTTGGGATGGGGAGTTGCAACTTCAGTGTGGAATTTCCTCTTTGAGGAGCCTGGGCTTGGATCTATCCTGATCTGGTGATGAAGCCATGATTACTTTAGACCTAGCCCAGGCTTGGAGGCCAGCTGGAGGAAGAAGGGTCTAAATCCTGGCCTGTAGAGTTAGAACTACCATTTCCTCCCCTTAGCTGCCCTTGTATGACCCGGATTTGCTATGCAAAACAATCTATCCCAGGTTCTGTTCTGGTTGGCTACATTGTTCAGCAACTCACAAAACGTAGCACAAACATTCATTATGGAGAAAGCATCAGGACTGTTGAGTAACTCCTCCTTTACTTTTTTCCTGCTGGCTACAGCATGGGGTGCCCTATAGGCACAAGCCCAGCTGAAGAACAGAATGGAGGGCTCTGGGAGGAGGCAGCTCACTGGAGAGCCTACATTCCTTACACAAGTGCCTAAAGAGAGTGATGCTAACACTCCATCTGCCCTGTCCATTGCCTTCATATACAGTCTACTTCGTGTTCTGTCACCCTTTGGGGAGGGGAGTTCTCCTGGGACAGTGGGCTCTGCATGTTCTCCACTTGGATACATTTTGGGGCTAGGATCAGGGCACTATTCCTGGAGGGTCCAGTCATTCACCAGCATTTGCAAATGTCCATAGGGAGCAGGTGGCAGCCTCTACTCCCAGCAACAAGTTTGTGTTCTCTCCTTTTCTCTCTTTGCCTCACTCTCTCCAGTTGGTTTTCAGCTGGGGCTTGAAATGCATTTTTAGCCCTTTGACGTGGCTTATGCCATTCAAGAAATAAAAAGCAAGAGAATCAGCTTTGGGCAATGACAAGAAATGAGTTCTTACTCTGATTTTTTTGTAAAAAGATAATTTTTGAGACTTGAAAAATACCCCGACCTTGAGATTATTCCTGTTTGAAAGGTGGTGCATGCAGATGGAGAAGTGGTGTTGGCAGCAAGCTTTGGCTCATGTGGATTTGGTTTAAGTGGTGCTTCTTACCCAAGCTTCAAGGAAGTGCTTGGGGGACCCCCAGCCTCATCCTCTTAGTTGGGTCTCTTGTTCCCTTTGTACCACTGTTTTGCCTTCCTTTTCCTCTTCTCTCTTTGCCTGGCTTCCTTTCCCTTTTCTTCTATTCACTCTGCTTGCTTGCTGGCCGGCCTGCCTGCCTGCCTGCCTGCCTGCCTGCCTGTCTGCCTATGTGATGATGAAATCTCTGCATGGCTGCAATGATCCCACTGTTAGCTGGCAGGGTCAGGCTTAGCTCCTTGACTGCAGAAGACCAAGAACCTGTTCCCCAAGCCCAGAGATGTCCACCTGGGCTGGACTGCCCTCAAGCTTATACTAGAGAAGAGCAACTGACCTGCCCAACTTGTGTGAAGTCAGGAGGGTTTCTGGCATTTTCCACACCTGTCCACTCCTTGGAGCTGGTTTCTCTCATTGCTTTTTCTAAATCTGGTTCTTTTTCTCTTTACCTGGGGCCTGGCTTTTCTGAGATTGTCTTAGGGTTGAGCTATTTGGGTATCCTGGGTTTGAGTGTTAGGGGATGGACATAAAGGAAAAAGAGTGATGAGAAGAGAATGGAGAGAATTTGAATAAAAGGTGGGAAAGGAGAGCACTGTTCTTTGATTGTTTATCCAGTCCAACCTGATCCATTAGGGATCGAGGTGCTACACTGGCCTCCAGGGATAAGCCTGGGGCTACTGTTGCTGGGAACTTAGGCTTAACATAAAGCCGAAGAAGGTACCTAGAAATTTGAAACTTCCCTAAAAAGCTCCTAATGCCCACCTGCTAGATAGCTTCTCTGTGGCCTCCTATTTAGCTAAGCAGCAGTGTTTTTGGATACTTTTTTTTTCTGTTTGTGAATAAGGCCAGCACTCAAGATGGGCAGCCAAGGGTGCACTGACTATTAGCTGGCCCATAGGATATCTGTAAGGCTGGTGGGACAGTTTTGGACCTGGAATCATGTGTAACTAACAAGGTTGGACGTTTCTTCCCCATCAGGGTAGAAAAATCATCTCAAACTAGCCAAAAGGCAGTTTTGGAAACTACATTGGGGGACGTTATTTTTATTTATATATGGGGCCTAGGCCAATCCAGGATGGTAGCTGGAATACCTTCCTTCTTAAAATCTGATCATGGCAGGGATATGCAGGGCACTTTTTACTATTTGGCCTTCTAAGCAGATTGGGAAGGAGGTATTTTCTGGTTTTCGCTTTCCTCCGACTTAATAGGACTTGCCTTCTCCCTGGGCAGGGAGAGAGGCTGGGTTGGTGCTCTCCCTTACTCTACTCATACTGACTTAGAGCCTCTGGCTGCTGTTTGGGCATCCAAGAAAGGGAGGGGAAGGAATGAGCTAAAAACAAAACAGAATGAGGTGGGAAAGGGAGATTTTCTTCTTTACAGAGGAAAATAGGAAACCCTCCAAGAATTGTGCAAGTAAAGACATTTGTTGAATGCACTGAGTCCCTTGGTGTAGTAGCAATAAGGAAAAATGAAATTACTTTCCTGTGCACACAGTCCAGCCTAATTGGTATGTGATGTTGCACTTAGCAGCCATGTGGTGGGCATGTGTGACTACTCTGGTTTTCACTTTAGTTTCTAAACTTTTTATCCCTCTCAAGTCCAGCATGGATGGGGAAATGTCTCTGGATCCCCACAGCTGTGTACTTGTTTGCATTTGTTTCCCTTTGAGATTTGTGTTTGTGTCCTGCTTTGAGCTGTACCTTGTCCAGTCCATTGTGAAATTATCCCAGCAGCTGTAATGTACAGTTCCTTCTGAAGCAAGCAACATCAGCAGCAGCAGCAGCAGCAGCACAATTCTGTGTTTTATAAAGACAACAGTGGCTTCTATTTCTAAAGTGCGGTCTTTCTCTTTTTTTTTCCTACCAGCAAAACAAACTTTTGGGACTGATTACATCTCTAATAGATTTTAGGTGAGAATAATACTGTAGATTGTTATGCAGGAATACTTCACAGAGCCTTCATTTATTCTTCATTCAACAAACATGCAAAGCACTGTGCCAGCAGTATTGTGGGGAGGGGAGGCACAATTCAAAATGAGGAAAATAGTGTCCGTCTCATTAAGGGAATTAAGTTTGGTGGGGGATATGATTAGCCAAATAGTCCCCTGGCATAGGAGGAAGATAATGAGGGAGTGGAATAAGGCTACAACAACGAATATAGGGAGGAAGGGACAGATTTGAGAGACGAGGTAGAATTAATAGGACTCGATGGCTGGTGGGAGGAGAAGACAGGAGTAGAGGTTAGCTCCCAGGTTTCTCCTTGACCATAGGAGTGTGTTGGGACATTCTGCCAGTCAAGATGGGGGTGACGGGGAGACTGTAGAAGGAAGGTGGGGAGTTTTTGAAGAAACAGAATGTTGTATAGACTGAGTTTTGAGGTGTTTGTGGGGCAGTAAGGGTAAGGTGTCCAGTAAACACAGGTTGGTGCTCAGGTAAGACTGTAAAACTGCATTTATAGATACAGGAGTCTTATAGATGGTAGTTAAAGCCATAGGCATGAATGAGATAGCTTAGAAAAAGAGAAGAGAAACTAGTATACAGCCCCCTAAGAAACTCAATTTAAAGGTTCGGGGGAGGAAGCAGATCTTAAGGTGACAGATCACTGGTAGACAGTTTGTGGGTTTTTTGTTTCTTTGTTTAGCCAGTTTGGTGAGGTAGGAGAAGAAATCAGAGTAGAAGAAGGTTCATGAAGGGAGTGATTAACAACATGAACTGCTGCAGAGAGGGAGTTCTTTTTTTTTCTGTGTGTTTTACCTTTCTACTCCCCATCTTTTGGGGATCTTGTAACTCTATGACTTACTTACGTTATTCTCCAGTATTTCTTGAAAATGAGCATTGGAAAAACCAATTCTAAAATGGCTAAAACTAGGACTTTCAAGTTCACCACAACTACCACCAATTAGGAGATAATTGTAAAAGAATAAACAAAACCTAATTTTGTTCCTAGCCAATATTATAAACCATGTTCCAGCATACTAGATAATAGTAGCATACTATATTTATTTCCATAATTTGTCTTCTTTAGAGCCTATGAACTCCTAGGAGCAGAAGCTATATTCTCTTCATTTTTGTCATCTCAGGGTCATGGCATATACCAACAGATCAGTATGTGCAAATATAATTGAAATAGGCTAGTAGTCTGTGGTTTATGAGTATGGGCTGGGTGGGCAGTGGATCAAGAAGTGATAGGAGTACACAGGATGAACTCAGAATTCCTGAATCTTCAGGTAAGCAGATACTTAACTACATTATCATTGTCTTTTCCCACTCACCCCAAGTTGGAGGTTCTATGGTTTTGTACTTTAAGCTGGTGGTATAATTGTCAAGCATGTAAATTCTGGCATTCTTCCTGGTACTGCTAGAGCATTGTTATTTCTATGCATGGGGGTAAGAAGGCTCAGAGAAGGATCCTGGCGGATACCCCAGTGAGAAATCGTCAGTGGCAGCCAGTGTGTACATACGTGGACCTAGCATTCCTCTGGAGGCCAAGTGTTGTAAATTGGCCTGTGGCTATCATCTGGCAGACTCCCTTGGGAAAGAGCCAGCCAGCCCCATGCTTCTTTTCAGCAGCAAGGGTTAGGGAGGTTGGTTGAACTTGAAGAGCAGATTGGACATGGAGCAGATTTTGACCAGTTGAAATAAGACATAAATTTATGACTCCGAGTGAGGCAGAAATAAAGAACTTAGCAGGGGGAATAGGAGGAGGATGATTATGGCAAATTTTGCTATAAACTTTAGTTTTAGAAAAGATTGATATTGAAAAGCCTTCAGGATTTGCCTGTGGTTGCTACTCAAGTTAAAAAGACTGGGAGCCTGCATTGTTTGGTCCTGGAGCTCAAGGTTTTCAGTGAAGGCTTGTCCTGGCACCTCTGGGCATTCCTTTTCATTACTGGTTGAGCATCCTTCCTTCTGCTCTGTCAATTGGCAAAATATGCTGGAGCACATTCTGGACTAGCAGTTGCCTTGGGGTAGTCAGGCTGGGTATTTGTTTGGTATCTCTTGGTGTAGCAGACCCCAGAATCTCATGGCAATTAGGATTTGGTGGCTAAACGAAAGAGTTAGTGCAAGGAAAAGCCTAGTTGGAATTTCTGAGTCTGGGCCATCCTTAAGCTGCTGTCTACTGCCTGAATGGGAAGTAATGTCGAATTGGAAAATTAGCTCACCATTTTTGTTCTAGCTTTGCAGACATTTATTCCTCTGATGATAGGCTGAGAAATGCCTAGGCCGGCTTAGAAGGCACACAGCATGACAGAAGTACTCCTTCAAAGCAGCTGTGTCAAGAAGGAAGAGCTGGAAAAGTGGATTTGCTGGGGAATTAGATGCATTTAGTTTTCCACTTACGCACAACTGCCTTCTCCAGTATATCATACCAAGGTTTTTTAGGCCTTTGTGGCTTACCCTGCAGGAACATACTGTGTCCTGTTGTTCTGGACTGTAGCATCTTCACCACCATCCTCTTGGCAATGGTTTTTTGTTTGGGGTTTTTTTTTTTTTTTTTTTGGACAAAGTATAATAATATTGAGGGACCTTTCTAGGGAGCCTTTGGTCCTTTGTCCCCATTTTCCAAAGGGAGGGAACTTTCCTCTTAAAAGAGACAGTGGGAACTTTTAGCCAGGTTTTTGGAAAAGGCCTGTGGGCTATTAATGAGAGTGAGCTGCAAAAGGAGGAAGGGTTTGTTTGGGTACTTTGAAGTACTTAGCTAGGTGTTTTCTACAGTATCTTATATAATTGCATCTTACAGCATCTTTACATGCGAAATAGTTTATCAGTTATCTTCAATTGCATATTACAAAATTCTGATTAAATTTTTCTTAAATAAGAAAACTATCATTTCATATGACAAGAAATCCTAATTTAATGTTACTCCAAGGTTGGTTAATTCAGTGGCTCAGTGATAACACCAAAGACTCAGTTTCTTGAAATTTTTTTGCTCTGCCATCCTCCATGTTTATCCTCACGCCAGTTCGCCTCATGGTCCCAATATGGCTACTGTAATTCTGGGAAGGAAATGCTGACAGAACCGTGTCTGGCAAAAGAGAGACAGATTTTTCTGTGTCCTTCTAAAGCAAGGAAGTCTTCCCCTGGAAGCTCCAACAGATACGGCCTCATGGCTTTGCTAGAAATGGGTCATCTCACTCCTGTCATTGGCAAAGCAAGTAAGATCATCCATCAGGAGTGGCTTAGATTAATGAATTATCCTTTGAGTCGTGTAGACTAGAAAGTTCAGTCATGTCTACTAGCAAGAAAGGAGATAAGGGCTGTTGGATAAGCAGCATCTGGTCTCAAAGGTACTTCAACTTTTACAGATGAGAAACATGAATCAGAGTGACTTTCCCAGGCTCACAGCAAGTAAGAGAGGGCCTTCAGTGTTAGCTGTGTCTGTCCCTAAAGCCCATGTTTTATATTGTATCTTGCTAGAGTATAAAGTAACTTACTTTCTACCTTGTAGAAACTGATGGTCTAGGAGAAGAGATTTGAACTCAGGTGCCCAGTTGACTCTAATCTTGGCCCATGTGAGAGGATTGTACTCAGTTGCTCTCCTCATCCAGTGATGTTTCTTGTCTAACACAAGAAGCCTAGGAGTAGAAAGTCCTAAGCAGAGTAGAATAATAGCGGCAGCAGGGAGGGAAGTGTGAACTGTGTGTCCCTGAGCCTGACTTACTGGGCAGGGACATGACACTTAAAGCGGCAGCTGGCCACTCTGTCTTTCCTGCATGCACTGAGTATTTGGTAGCTCATTAGTGACCAGTGATATTGATCATCTTTTCATGTGCTCACTTACTATCCCCATATCTTTGTTGTTTGCATCTTTTACCCATTGTATTTGTTGTTTTTGAGACAGTGTCTCACTCTGTCACCCAGGCTGGAGTGCAGTCTCATGATCGCGGCTCACTGCAGTTTCTGCCTCCTGGGCTCAAGCAATCCTCCCACCTCAGCCTCCTGAGTAGCTGGGCTTACAGGCGCACACCACCATGCCCAGCTAATTAAAAAAAAAATTTTTTTTGTAGCAGTTCGGTCTCATTAGTATTGCCCAGGCTGGCCTCTCTTAGCTTCAAGCTATCCTCCCGCCTCGGCCTCCCAAAGTGCTGGAATTACAGGCATAAGCCACAAGCCACTGGGCCCAGCCTCTTTTACCTGTTTCAAAATTGAGTTTTATTGAGTTGTAAGAGTTCTTTATTCATTTTAAACACAAGTCCTTTGTTGGATATATCTTTTACATCTATTTTTCCCAGTCTGTGGCTTGCCTTTTCATTTTGAAGAGCAAAAGTTTAAAATTTTGTGAATTTATTAAAGCTCCGTTTGTTGCTTTTTTCTGTTCTAGTTTATACTTTTGTATCATATTTTAGGAAATTTTGCACTGGGTATTTGATGGCTCCTGAGGAGGTTCAACTTTCAGAGCGCACTGATTTCTCTGCACCTGAGATTTTGTACTATTTCTGTATTTCTTTCTTCTCAGAACAACCAGTGTCACCAGGTATGAGGGCAGAGTTTTAGCTTGTTTGCTGAGCCCCATTCTTGAAGCTCATTTATTTATTCACCTATCTGTCCATCAATCCAACAAATATACTGAATGCTGCTATGTGCCAGGTACTGGCACTGTTCTAGGTACTGGGGCAATGACAGTTAAGATAATACCCAATGACCCTGCTCTGTACCCTTAAGAGCAGACTCAGTTGGGAATGAGTTATCCAAATATAGGGTGTACATGTAGTCAGGAGAGAGCCTCATACAGCTTTGCCTTTGGCAGAATCCTTCAAACCTCTTTGTCTTCCTACTTCTTGATATTACAAATCATGAGCCTTTCACATGCATTGACTCTAAAGAGGTGGGTTCCTGGATAGCAGAAGTAGATAGGAAGGCATCATTGACATTTACTGAGATGGATTGAATCAGAGGGTGTAAATTCTGCTCCATCAATGTTGAAAAAGACTAGCCCACCCCAAAGGTTTATCACTGTCACCATGTCTAATGTCTATTCTGGAAGAAGCTGAAGAAGTCTGCCTTTGTTTAGGGAACCGGTTCCAGAATCAGAGGGGTTGAGGATATAAAAGACCCTTGCACAAGAGTTGGTATTTACCCTGTCAGATGCTGCTACCAAGATTTGGATTGTGTACAGTCGAGGATTAAAAATGACTTTTAAGATGCAGTGTTTCATCTGGTGACATTTAATTTGATATTTTAAAATTGGGGAGGGTATTTTCAGCCATGGGGGTAGGGATGTGAAAGAAGAAGAAAGTAAGAATTGGAGTCAGATGTGGTTTTGAGTCCCATACATTTATTGTTTAATATTATATGGTAAGTACTTTAAAATGGTAAATAGTAAATACTTGTGTTATTCACTAACATTTGGGGAGGATTTTCTCTGTGCTTTATGTATATTACCTAACCTTACAAACTGTGTAAGGTACATGCTGTTCTCTCAATTTTTCAGATAAGAAAATTGAAGCCCAGAGAGATCAAGTGACTGATCCAAAGTCCCACAGTGAGGGGAACTGAAGATAGGATATTCTTTCTCCTTTTCCTCTTTAAAAAATTATTTTGATTAAAAAAAACCGTATTACTGAAGCATAGGGACATGGGGAGAAATTATGAATGATTCCTCAGCCTGAATAAAATAGTATGTTTCATTAAGGCAACAAATATTTATTAAGGACCTAATATTTGCCTGACATTCAAGTGAGGTGGGGGGCACACAAGTAGTAAATAAATAACAGACTGGGCAAAGGGCTACCAAGGCAATACTGTAGTAGACTAACAGGTGCCCCACCATAGATGGGTGGTCCGGAAAAGGCGTCTCAGATGTCTTTCGTTGAGACGCAAAAAAAAGCTGTGGGGTAGGGCGTAAGGGGAGGGTGGAGAAGAGAGAGAGGGTTCCTGGCCAAGGGAACCAAAAGCAGAGAAGCTCCAAGTCAGAAAAAAGCAGCGGTTGGCCCGTTGGGAGAATTGGAAGCCAACCAGTATAGCTGTAGCACAGGCGGGGCCCATTTACGCCGTGCGTTTTCACCCTGGAAAGGAGTTTGGGTTTTCAAGTGTGACGAGGCGCTATTAAAGAGTTTTAAACATGGAAATTACTCGATCTGATGTTTGTGTAGTGTCCTGTTTGTTAGTCATCTTTTCCAAACTATAATACATTTTTTTTTTCCTAAAAATGGTCGTTAAAGCAGCCTAGGACTTAGGTCAA
Organism: Homo sapiens; assembly: GCF_000001405.40. Lineage (NCBI taxonomy): Eukaryota > Metazoa > Chordata > Mammalia > Primates > Hominidae > Homo > Homo sapiens. The sequence continues at coordinate 35,930,646 of NC_000001.11, forward strand.
TTGCGGTGGTCACTTGACCGCCTGTGAGGAGGCGGCGCGTGGGGTGGATCGGACTGGGCGTGGCGGGGGCTCAGGAAGGAGGGTGGCCCTACCCCAGCGGGCTCGGCTCGGGGCCTCCGCGGCAGTTCGGGGTCCTTCACCCGCCGGCTCCAGGTAGGCTACTCCTCAGGTAAGCCCCGCCGCCAGCCGCGACGTCGTCGCAGACAGGCACCGCCCCCACTCGTGCGGCGCGAGTAGTCCTGCCCCTCCGCGTTGTCTCCGGCCGGCACGGCCCGGCGGGGTACGGCCGAGCCCGCCGCATGTGGCCCGGCTCCCGGACACCTCCCCGGCGTCCTCCGCGCCGGCCGCTCCTGCCCCGACGTCGCTCCGGCACGGCTCGGGGCCCAGAGGCGAGGCGAGGACGCCGGGCAAGCCAGGCAGCGGAACTGACGCCGGCGAGCTTCCGGGGCGGCCCCGGGCAGGTCGGCGGCGGCGGCCCGCAGTCGTGGAGGAGCGGTGGGAGCGTCGGCGGCCGCGGGCGATGCAACTTCCGGACGGGACTCCCCTCTGTCCGCGCCTCACATCTCCCCTTCCTCTCGCCTAGTCCTGTGCCGTTTTCCGTCCGCGACTCTTCCGGCCCAGAGCTTTCGGAGTGCGGTTGCTCAGGGGAAGCCGTCGCCGCCCCCGCCTCGGGGCCGAGTGAGAGTGCCCGTCGCGTCGCGCCGCGTCGCCCCCCGGGCCGCCTCCTTGCCGCCAGTGGCGGGCTCCGTTCTCCCTCGAAGCACTCCCCCCAGCTCCATGAATGGAAATCGGCTCCGCAGGTGAGTCAGAGTAGCTGGGCCAGGTAGGGGATGTCACCCAGCTACTGTCCTCTGAGCATCCCTGCTCCTCCCGCCCGGCCCAGGTGCGCGAGGTGAGCGTCGGGCGGGCATCGCTCGGTCTCCCGCCCCTCGCCCTGCTCCTCCGCGACCTCCCCGCAGCCCAGCCCCAGTTCCCCGGGGGCCCCTGAGTCGGCGAAACTGCGAGGCGGGGAAACGCTTGGAGGATTTAAGTTTGGGGTTATCTAGGCGGCATTACTCTTTGCTGGAGTACCCTTCTTCTAGACTTTAGAATGGTTTGCCATTGTCTAGTTGGAGTGCGTGTCCTTTAGCCAGGTTGTGTGTTCCGTAGAGGCTGGGCAGCCAGCCAGCTCCCTTACCTACCTCTTAGGATAGTTGTGAAGATAGGCTGAGATAACGGATAACTTCAGATTAAGTTCGAAGGAGGTGTTGGTGCAACGTTAAATTCAACATGGCATTGCTCCTACCCTCGAGTTCTTTTCTGTTGTTTGTGGCAGCATGGTAGATAGTTTCTGAGGAGCTTGGAAATGTCATAGCAGCCTGGATCCCTGCTTATACGAGGAGGTGGTTCTTAAAATTGCTGACAGTATATTTTTTTTCATTCTCTATTCCTTAGAGAAGTAGTTGTCATATTCCTGGAAATTTGGAATTTAAGAAAACTGCTTTATCTCTGGGGGCAAGAGCAGCAGTTTTGCAGTCTTAAGAGAAAATTGCAACATGGATAGTACTTGTCCTTAAAAAAGGAAAAGTATTGTTTATGGTTCTAAAGTAATTAATTCAGGGACAGAAAGGTGTTGCATAACGGTTTGCCTAACAAATGATCATGCTTGGCTTATTAAATTTGAAAGTATGCTTCAGACGATCACAAGTTCGTAAATTAATTTTCAAAATATTTGCGGGGCTGTCTTGTTACTAATGGTGTTACAAGTTCCTGAATTCCATATCTCTTTTTGCCAATTTGATATAAGAAAAACTTACGTAAAAGAAACCAGTGACATAACGATAGCTAAGAACTTTGTTGAATAGATTACGTGTCAAATGGTTGCAAAAAAGCACTCAAACTGGGGAGATGAGATGGGGAGAGAGTTACAAATTTTTTTTTTTTTTTTTTACAAATTTTGTTACATGGAAGTTTCTCTAATCAATTTAGACCATATCTCTTTTTCCTGCTCCATTGTTTCGCTTTCCCCCATATCGTCTTAAAAGGTCTGTCTGGATTGTGAAAAGATTTCGACTCTTATTCAGTTTTGATTTGTGTATTTCTGAAACTGTCCTGCCCTTTTAAAAAAATTACCATACTACTGTTTTACTGTACAGGAGATGTGATTATTTGGGACCATAGGTGATCTTTGTACATAACTGTCCTGTTGTCAAGTCTGGAAAACAAGTCATGAAGGTCAGACCCTTTATTAATCATCCCAAAACTTTTAAAGATATTTCAAAAAAGTTTTTAAAGTTTTTTCTTTTTCTCCTTAGGGTTTTTCATATGATATTGTGCCCATATATATGGGAAATGTCTTAGAAAACATTTGTTACATCAAACCACCTAGTCAACTGGTACAACTAAGCCAAGTACAGCTCAGAAAATACATTTTACCTCTTCTTTTTTGGGTGTCCCATTGCTGAAATGGATACCCATTTAGCTGTCTTCACATTTGGGGAAGTGTGTAGTTAGATTATCAACTATATGCCTGGGTCTCTTGAAAAGTAAAGTTTTTTCTTCAGTACAGTTTATACATGATTGAATGTAGCCTAATAATGAAGATAAGCTATACTTTGGCTCAAGATTGTCATCAGAAACAAAATTTTCATTATTCCTGAGACTTGTATATAATTGGTATGCTTAGCTTTAAGTTGAAAGCATAGCTGTGCAACTAAATTTTAAATCCATAATTTAGGCTGGGTGTGGTGGTTCATGCCTGTAATCTCAGCACTTTGGGAGGCTGAGGAAGGATGATCGCTTGAGCCCAGCAGTTGGAGACCAGCCTAGGTAACATAGTGAGACCTGCCTCTACAAAAAACAGAAAACTTAGCCGAGAATTGTGGCACATGTCTCCAGTCCTAGCTACTTGGGAGGCTGAGGCAGGAGAATGGATTGAGCCCAGAAGGCAGAGATTGCAGTGAGCTATGATCGCGCCACTAACTCCAGCCTGGGTGACGGAGCAAGACCCTGTCTCAAAAAAAAAAAAAAAAAAAAAAAAAAAAAAAATCATCATTTGACACGTATTTTGATTTTAAAATTTTAGTATAAATGTTCTCAAAAAGTCTATTGACTCAGTATTGAATCTTGGCTTTCCAATTCTGCCATAAGTTTTTCTTTTTTGTGGAGATTCTCAGGAATCATCTTGTGATAGGATATTTTAAATTCTAGTTGCTCGGTGGATACACAGAAAACTGTTAAATTTGTTTACATTAGGGAACCTCGAACACAAATACCATATAAGTTAGTATTTGTTCTTTCATATGAAATATTTTAAATGCTTTTTAAGGATATCTTGTGCAATCTACTGATTTAGTACCATCAGAACTTTGATTTAACAAAAAAAAAGGTGAAATTAGTTAAAAATTAATCAACAGTTTAACATCTGTGTCTGTGACTCTTTAGTTGGGGAACATCTGATGAAACACCGTTTTTTATGGTCTAATTACTGCTGAACTAAGAGTATAGGTTATGTTTCAGTTCTAAATAAAGTGGGAATAGGGAGCTGCAGAAATGCTTGATGATGTTACTTCTCCTGAGTACTCATTTTTTAGGTCCATACTATTCTAGTCTATGTTTTCAGGTAATGTTAGACTACCGTTTAGGACAGAGGAACTACACTTTATAATGGAAGAAAAACATTTACTTTTACCTTAAATTAATGACATGCAAATTGTTTGATGTTTGGTGGAAGTTTTATACAGTCTTGCAAAAGTGAATAGACTGTTTCTTTCTTATTTACACTTTTAAATTCATGTCTGAAAATAGTTGTTTTAGAGTTCTGTGTTTATTTAATAATAAAAGTTTTAGAAAAGTTATTTGGAACCAAGTTCCAAAGGAATAAAAGTTGCATATATGGGAAGCTAGAACTAAATCAAGATTGGGATTTGAATGATGTAGATAAAAATTATGGGTCAAAAATACCTACTAAAATATGTAATGCCATCAGGGTCCCAATTTAGTATTTAAAACAATCTTCTTTTTATTTATTTATTTTTTTTGAGATGGAGTCTTGCTTGCTCTGTCGCCTAGGCTGGAGTGCAGTGGCATGATATTGGCTCACTGCAGCCTCTGCCTCCTGGGTTCAAGTGATTCTCTTGTCTCAGCCTCCCGAGTAGATGGGATTACAGGCGCGCACCACCATGCCTGGCTAATTTTTTGTATTTTTAGTAGAGACGGGGTTTCACCATGTTGGCCAGGCTGGTCTTGAACTCCTGACCTCAGGTGATCTGCCTGCCTCGGCCTCCCAGAAAACAATCTTCTTTAATAACTTTGAGAAATGTTTTTGTCGTTATATAAATTTTCTCACTTGTAGTTCTTTGCCTTGAAGAAAAAAAATCAAATTACTGCTCTGTCTGTGGGCATGAATTTTGAAAGTGATAAAGGTTTTTCTACTGGGTTGTCACTTAAATTTTGGCTTATGCTGCCCTGGAGTGACCATTATGACTTAAAAAAAATATATTTATTGCACTTGACTGGCAGTGGGACTTATAAAAATGTGCAAGATTGTTTTGATATTTGGTTTAGAATTTCTCTTTCAATGAAGGGACTCCGAGGGAAAACAAAAATTGAGACATAAAATAAATTTTTCCTTCTAAAAAAAGACTTAAGGGAAAAGACATATAGATAACCTTCAAATATAATTCAGTTAACATGAAGACATTTACAAAATTACCCATGATTCTATCAGCCTCATATAACCGTTCTTTACATTTTTAAACCAAATTCTAAACTAATCTGTTTAGTTTTTTAAAACTTAAGGAATTAAGTTATTTAGGAAAGCCATTAGAATGAATGAAAAGATATCTACATGCTACTTCATTTTGCTTTTTTGGAGAATTGTATGTAATAAGTTGGTAATTTAGAATTAATTTGTATTAGTTTATATCTTCCAATGGGAACATTGCGTTTTTTAGTTACTGCCTGGCCTGACAGTATGCAAAGAGGCCTGGGGCCCTGTAAAGGGGACATTTCCTGGAAGAATTCTCTGTTGTATATGGAAAAACCCTGGCTCAGAGTAGATTTCTTGCCAAATTGTCTAAGCTGATGGATTCTAGTTGAATACCATTTTGCTTTATAATATAGCCATCTAGTTTCACATCGGTTTCTATATTCTTAAAATACTTGAGGATCTACCTGAAAGGTGAATTAAAATATTATTAATCTAACAAAACATATTATCTTATAGTACTTAAAACTAGAATCTTAAAAAGTAATTTATAAGTTTTTGTTGTTGCTAATGGGTAGGGGAAAAAAGACCAAAGTGATAATTCTGTTTTCAGGAAGGTAAAACTAAAAAGATAATTTATTTAAGATCAGTATCCTTTCCAGACCTGTTTAGTCTCAGACTGTTGAGATGAACAGCATTTACCAGACATTCCTACCTTCTAATTCAGTTGTCTTGGATACTGAATAGACCCTCATTCTTGGCTCATTAACAAAACAGATGTGAGAAAGAATATTGTGTGGTTTTTCAGCCATAATGGTTATGCTGTTAGGATACATGAACAGCCTTTCTGTATTTGGAGTTTCTGTGGTTTTCTGCCATTATCTGTGTTAATATTAATGACTTTCTTTGGCTAGCCACTGCTTAAAAAAAAAAAACCAACTATTGAGATTCAGCAAAACCTTGTCACACAACTGATGCTTTCTCTTATACATTAAAATGTGGGCATTTTGTGGTTTGGTTATAATAAAAAAAAGTGTGCATTAGTCTGAAATGTCAGTTTAAGGAAATGAAGAATTCCTTGTTTTTTGTTTGTTTGTTTGTTTGAGACAGAGTTTTGCTCTCGTCGCCCAGGCTAGAGTGCAATGGTGTGATCTTGGCTCAGTATTTTTAGTAGAGATGGGATTTCACCATGTTGGCCAGGCTGGTCTTGAACTCCTGACCTCAGGTAGTCCACTCACCTCGGCCTCCCAGAGTGCTGGGATTACAGGCATGAGCCACTGCACCTGCCCTAGAATTCCTTGTTTTACATCAGCCAGTTATTTTATACATCATTTCCAAATTGTCAAGTTCTTGGGAAATCAGAACGTGGTATCTACAGTCTATTGATGTGAGACATTTTTAGATTAAAAAAATATTTTTTGTAGAGACGGGATCTTACTATGTTGCACAGGCTGGTCTTGAATTCCTAGGCTCAAATGATCCTCCTGCCTCAGCCTCCCAAAATGCTGGGATTGCAGGAGTGAGCCACCATGCCCACCCATATTTTTAGGTTTTTCATTTGTAGAAGAAATTTTACAAGAATGTGTTCTCAATTGTAAGCTTACATAATACTACTTTTGAGTCATTACTAATACTTGGTATTTTAACTGATTTCTGAATCTTCTAACAATATGAGAGAGACATAGTATTTCTGTGAACTTTAAAAATGATGAAAGAATAGATTGCAAAATGGGCTCTTACTAATAACAAGGGAAATGTCCCCTTTTATTTTCAAGGGAGGAAATGCCTTTTAAAAATTGTTTCTCACTCCTGTAATCTCAGTGCTTTGGGAGGCCGAGGCAGGTGGATCAGCTGAGGTCAGGAGTTCGAGACTAGCCTGACCAAAATGGTGAAACCTCGTCTCTACTAAAAATACAAAAAATTAGCCGGGCATAGTGGCGGGTGCCTGTAATACCCGCTACTCGGGAGGCTGAGGCAGGAGAATCCTTTGAACATGGGAGGTGGACATTGCAGTGAGTTGAGGTCACGGCATTGCACTCCAGCCTGGGCAACTCAAAAAAAAAAAAAAATTGTTTCCCAGCCGGATGTGGTGGCTCCCACCTGTAATCCCAGCACTTTAGGAGGCTGAAGCAGGCAGATCATGAGGTTAGGAGTTCAAGACCAGCCTAACCAACATGGTGAAACCCCATCTCTATTAAAAATACAAAAATTAGCTGGGCATGGTGGCGTACACCTGTAATTCAGCCACTTGGGAAGCTGAGACAAGAGAATTGCTTGAACCTGGGAGGCGGAGGTTGCAGTGAGCCAAGATCGTGCCACTGCCCTCCAGCCTGGACCACAGTGCGAGATTCTGCTCAAAAAAAGAAATAAATTGTTTCCCATACTGCCACCTGATAAGCTTAACCCTCAACTGGCTGGATGTTCTATAAGTGATTATTTAATTGTAATGAGCCTAATAATAAGTGCGGTATGTTTGGACAGATTCATTGAATGAAAAAGTGGAATTAGCAGGTAGGAGGTTCCTGAAGTTCCATGCTGTTTACTACGTAGCTTTGCAGACTTAACATGTATAAAATCAGAGACATTTCATTAAGTCAGATTTTGAGATCAACACAATATATTTCTTTTTCCAAAACAAAAATGTATTCTTTTTTTTTTTTTTTTTTGAGACGGAGTCTTGCTCTGTCGCCCAGGCTGGAGTGCAATGGCATGATCTCGGCTCACTGCAACCTCCGCCTCCTGGGCTCAAGCAATTATCCTGCCTCAGTCTCCCTAGTAGCTGGGATTACAGGTGCCCGCCACCACGTCCAGCTAATTTTTGTATTTTTAGTGGAGATGGGGTTTCACCATGTTAGTCAGGCTGGTCTTGAACCAGACCTGACCTCAGGTGATCCACCCTTCTTGGCCTACTGAAGTGCTGGGATTACAGGTATGAGCCACTGTGCCCGGCCCAAAAATGCATTCTTTTTCCAATTATAAAATAATAACTACATGTTTATTACTTTAAAAAACAAACGATATAAGAATGTCTCAAATAGAAGATGAAAGTATGATCCTATCCTCCAGATGAAACCATTGTTAACTCTTTCTTGTATATCTTCCCAGACATCCATCCGTCTGTCCATATATTTATCATACGAATTGTTTCTAACCTTCTTTTTCCACTTAGTAATGTGTCGTAAGTATCTTTCCCATATCATTACTTACATCTATATAATAGTATAATAATTTATACTGAGTACATAGCATTTAATTTTATCTGTATATTGATCAGTCTCATTGATAGTGGTTTAGATTTTTTCCAGTTTTTTGTTATTATGACTAAAACTTTGTAAGTATTCTAGTACATATGTGTTTGTATACTGGTCCAGTGCTTGCTTTTGGATAAATTGTTAGAAGTAGAATTATTGAAACAGTATTCCATGAATATTAAAGAAAATGTTTCCAGTGAAAATCTATAAGTTAGTAATTGGCTATAGTATATGTTATAGTTGATTTTGATTTATTCACTGCTTGTTTTTTTTCATCAGTCACATTTGCTGTAGGCTATTGTTTAGCTTTAGACTTTCCAACTGGTACACATTGGATTACTAGATGAGTGAACAACATGGACACATGTATGCTTTGGAAATGTATGGTTTTATGTTTGAAATTTAGTTTGGTTAGTTATTATCCAGTACATACAATAACTGCTGAAAGAAAAGTTTGATATAGGGAGAAAGTCCAGATAGTGCTTTGTATTTCTGTGTAGTTATATTTCCAACTCTAGTGGGCAGTATGTATTTGTTAAATAACTAAAATATGCTTCATTGGAAGTATAATTCATTGTATTGACAGAATTGTTTCATCTGCTAATTTACATTATTATGTAATGTAAATATTTCATAATATTCTGGATATTATGAAAATATCCAGAATATTTTCTGGATACTAAACTTGATTAGTATCTATAGAATTCTGTTCATTGCTTATTCATGCAACAGAATTTTGCTTTGTGCCAAATTATTTAAAAAGCACCAGGTAAAGTAATGACCATGGAGAAAAAAATTGACAGTATGATATAGTGTAAAAAACATGGGTTTTAGAGACAGATTCTGGCTCTTAAATTAACTGAAATTTATTAATGATGTGTCGGTATAGGTTTGAGTGCAAATGTTCTCCTCTTGTAGAGGATGTTGATAGTAGGGTGTCTGTGTGTATGTCAGGGCAGGAGGCCTGGGACATATGGGAAATCTCTACCTTCTGTTCAATTTTGCTGTGAACCTAAAACTTCCCTAAAATAGTCTATCAGAAAAAGTTAACTGCTACTTTGGGCAGTGCATTTAATCTTCCTTAACCTTAATTTTCTTATCTGTACAATGGGATAGTAAGAAGAGATGACACATGCAAAGGAAATGGCCATTTCTCTCTTTTTTATGATATTTTACTATAGAGAATTTAGGATGTATACATATAGGCAGAACTGTATAATAAACTCTATTGTACCCACCACCCAAACGCAGTCATCAACCCACGTCCAATCGCTTCTCTTCTACTTTTCCCTCTTTTATATTTTTGAAGCATATTCTAGGTATAATATGATTTTATTCATATTTAGTAGTAACTATAAAAGTTATGGACTCATGATATAGTACCATTATCACAGCAAAATAATAATCACTTATAAAAATTTCTAATCATTGTTCAAATTTTTACTTGTCTCACATATTATTTTTTAAACTGTTTGCCTTAAAAAAAAATTTTTTTTTTTTTGAGATACAGTCTCACTCTGTTGCCCAGGCTGGAGTTCAGTGGCATGATCTTGGCTGACTGCAACCTTCACCTCCCAGGTTCAAGCGATTCTCCTGCCTCAGCCTCCTGAGTAGCTGGGATTACAGGCATGCGCCATGACGCCCGGCTAATTTTTGTATTTTTAGTAGAGACGGGGTTTCACCATGTTGGCCAGGCTGGTCTTGAACTCCTGACCTCAGGTGATCCGCCCGCGTCAGCCTCCCAGAGTGCTGGGATTACAGGCATGAGCCACCACGCCCAGCCTAAAAAAAATTTTTGATTCAAAATCCAAATAAGTTCTACACATTGTGATTGATCGATATGTCTTTTAAGTGTCTTAATCGGTAAGTTTTCTCTCCTTGTTTTTCTCCTCTGCAATTTATGGGCTGTTTGTCCTTTTAGAATTTTTCACGATCTGGATTTTGCTGGTTCCATCTTTACAATTTAATTTAACATAATCCTTTGAATTTCCTGTAAACTGCTAGTGGATCCAAGGGCTTGATCAAATTCAGGCCATTCTTTTTGAACTTACTACAGTTGGGTTTTTGTCCCTAGCACTTGACTGGAATTGTTTTTATCAAGGTCAGCAAAGACTTAGCTAAACCCAATAGTTCCCAGATCTTCATTTTATTTCATCCACATCTAATGACATTTTCTTCTTGAAACACTGTTTTTCTCCATTTGGTTTTCAGGGTACCACTCTCTCCAGGTCCTCCTCCAACCTTGTTGGCTGTTACTTTTCCAGTTCCTTTGCTGTTTTCATTTCCCTAATTTCTAAATATTGGGAGTATCCTTGGGGTTAGTATTCTGTATCCATGCCACAGTCTGTCTGATCTCTAATCCAGTGGTTTTAAATAACACTTCTATGCTGAGGACACCCACATTTACACCTCCAGCCTGGACCTCTCCTCTGAACTCCACACTCATCTAACTGCTTACTATTCATCTACTTGTAGACACCTCAAATTTAGCATATCCTTAAAATCCTCTTGATTTCCCCTCCAAACTTGCTACTATCACTGAGTCTTTCCTATCTCAGTAAATGACACTTCTGTTCTTTCAGTTGTACAGACCAAAAAACCTTGAGAATGTTTCTCCTCATACCCCACATCTAGTCCATTTAACAATTCCTGTCAGGCCTACCTTCTAAATGTTTTCCACATCCACATCACTCCCCTAACTGTACTACTGTAGTTCTAGCCAACATTATCTTTCACCTAGACAGCCACATAGTCTGCTGACTGGTCTCCCTGCTTGTACCCTTATGTATAATTTTTCATACAGCAGCTGGAGTGATACTTAAAAAAAAATTTAAGTCAGATCATAACACTTTTTCACTCAGAACTCAGAGGGCTGACACTATCTAACTAACTTCAAGACTCACAATAAAGCTACTGTAATCAAGATAATGTGGTATTGGTGAAAGAAACAACTAATGGAACAGAACAGAGAGTCCAGCATGGCAGGTTACCATCCCAATTCTCCTACTTACTAGCTATAAAAATTTTAGGCAAATTATTTCAGTTTTCCTCATCTGTAAAATGATTCCTTCCTTTATAGGGTTGGTATGAAGATTAAATGAGATAATGCATGTAAAAGCACCTAGCAGGCCAGGCTTGGTGGCTCACACCTGTAATCCCAGTATTTTGGGAGGCCAAGGTGGGCAGATCAGTTGTTCTCAGGAGTTCAGGACGAGCCTGGGCAACATGGTGAAACCCTGTCTCTACCAGAAATACAAAAACTTAGCCCTGCATGGTGTAAAATAAAAGCACTTAGCACATTGCCTGAGACATAGTCAGAACTTGATAAATTTTAGAATTTGTGGATTTTCTAAGTTGATCTTGACAAGTTTCATAAGAAAGAGGCAGATCAAGTATTATTTTCATTTTTTAGATCAGGAAACAAATTCAGGGACAGTATTTGGTGACAGTCAAATGATTAGATAATTGGCAGAGCCAGTACTAAGGGCTAGTACGGAATTTGTACAGTATTACTTATCTCAGGCTAGGATAGGAAAGATTATGCCCTCTGAAGAGATTTTTAAAAAAACACAAAGCGGAATTTAAAAACAAATGATTCAGGCAGCATTTTAGTCTCTTTTCATCTACACTGAATAAAAGTTATTGTTAGCCCAATTTTTTATTCCTGATACAAACTCATTCTTTTGATATATTGTTGGATTTAATTTAACATTTTGTTAGGATTTTTGCATGTATATTCGTGAATTAGATTAGCTTATGATTTTCCTTTTTTATAGTGTTTTTGTCAGGTTTTAGTACCAGAATTTTTCTGGCATCATAAATTGTATTGGGGTGTGTTTACTTCTTTTCTGTTCTCTGGAAGTGTTTGTATAACATCGGTGTTATTTTTTTCCTTAAATGTTTGGTATAATTCTCTAGTGAAGCCATCTGGATCTGGAATCTTTTTGTATGTATGTGGAAGTATTTTAAATTGTGGATTTAATTTATTTGGAGGACTTTTAAGATTTTTTTAATGTAATTTTTAGTTTATTCAGATAATAGTTTATTAATTTATTGTTTGAATTTTGATTAACAAAGCTGTATTTTGAGCTTCAAAAATTTAGTGCTGGACATCACAGGTTTTCTTTAAATTTTTTTGATTAAAAAATGTAAAATATACAACCATTAAATTTACCATCTTAACCATTTTTGTGTATAGTCAGTAGTGTTCGGTACATTCACAGTGTTGTGCAGCCAATCTGCACAACTCTTTTCATTTTCTATAACTGAAACTATATCCATTTAACAAATCTGCATTTGCTCATATCTCAACTCCCGGTGACCACACGTCTACTTCCTGTTTCTTATGAAATTGACTACTCTAGGTACCTCATGTAAGTGGAATCATATAAATTATATAGTGTTTGTCATTCTGTGACTGGTTTTGTTTTTTTTTTTGAGACGGAGTCTCGCTCTGTCACCCAGGCGGGAGTGCAGTGGCATGATCTCAGCTCACTGCAGCCTCCACCTCCCAGGTTCAAGTGATTCTCCTGCCTCAGCCTCCCAAGTAGCTGGTGGCTACAGGTGCACACAACCACACCCAGGTAATTTTTTTGTATTTTTTTGGTGGAGATGATGTTTCACCATGTTGGCCAGGCTATTCTCGAACTCCTGACCTCAAATGATCCTCCCGCCTTGGCTTCCCAGAGTGTTGGGATTACAGGCGTGCCATGCCCATCTTTTTTTTTTTTTTTTTTGGGACAGAATCTCACTTAGCTGCCCAGGCTGGAGTGCAGTGGCACAATCTCGGCTCACTGCAGCTACTGTCTCCCAGGTTCAAGCAGTTCTGTCATCCCAGCCTCCCAGGTATCTGGGATTACAGGTGCCTGCCATCATGCCTGGCTAATTTTTGAATTTTAGTAGAGACAGGGTTTCACCATGTTGGCCAGGCTGGTCTTGAACTCCCAACCTCAGGTGATCCACCTGCCTTGGCCTCCCAAAGTGCTAGGATTACAGGTGTGAGCCACCACCCCCAGCCCTTTTTTTTTTTTTTTTTTAAGTAAAAGGGTCTCGCGCTATCACCCAGGCTGGAGTGCAGTGGCATGATCTCGGCTCACTGTAACCTCCACCTCCGGGGCTCAAGCGATTCTACCACCTCAGTCTTCTGAGTAGCTGGGACTACAGGTGCACACCTGGCTAATTTTTTGTGTTTTTGGTAGATACAAACGGGGTTTTACCATGTTGCCCAGGCTGGTCTTAAACTCCTGAGCCCAAGCAGTCTGCCCACCTCGGCCTCCCAAAGTGCTGGGATTACAGGTGTGAGCCACCATGCCCGGCCTGTCTTATTTCACTTAACATAATATCTTCAAAGTTAATCATGTTTTAGTGTGTGTCAGAATTTCTTTTTTAAGGCTGAATAATATTTCATTGTATGTATATACCACATTTTGTTTATTCATTCATCTATCAGTGGGTACTTAGGGTGTACAAATAACTCTTCAATCAGTTCTTTCTGCTTTCACTTCTTTTGAGTGTATACCCAGAAGTAGAATTGCTAGATCACATGGCAATTCTGTTTTTCATTTTTTGAGGAACCATCATACTGTTTTTCAAAGTGAGTGTACCATTTTATAGTTCCACCAACAGAGGACTTTTCAAATTTGATGAATAATACTTTTTTTTTTTTAAGACAGGGTCTTGCCATTTTGCCCAGGCTAGTCTCAAACTCCTAAGCTCCTAAGCCTCCTGAGTGTCTGGGATTACAGGCACAAGATGCTGTGCCTGGCTATATAGTACTTTAGTGTATCAGTAAGTTTTATTTCTCTAGGAATTTGTCTGTTTCATCAAACTGTCAAATTTATTGACACAATGTAATGTCTTCAGTAGCTGTAGTGACTTTTTTTCACTTCTGTTATTAGTTAAGCCCTTTTCCTCCTTTTTAAAAGAAATCAGTGTTGCCTAGATTTTATCAATTTTATTTACTTTTTTTTTTTTTTTTTTTTTTGGTAAGACAGAGCCTCACTCTGTTGCCCAGGCTGAAGTGCAGTGGTGCCTCAGCCTGCTAAGTAGCTGGAACTACAGGCCTGCACCACCATGCCTGGCTAATTTTTGTATTTTTTTAAATAGAGACAGGGTTTCACCATGTTGGCCAGGCTGGTCTTGAACTCCCAACCTCAGGTGATCTGCCCGCTTTGGCCTCCCAAAGTCCTGGGATTGCAGACGTGAGGCACTGCACCCAGCCCACTTATCTTTTTTTGTTTTTTTGTTACGGGGTCTCACTCTGTCACCCAGACTGGAGTGCATAATCTTGGCGCATTGCAAACTCTGCCTCACAGGCTCAAGCCATTCTCCCACCTCAGCCTCCTGTGTAGCTGGGACCACAGGTGTGCACCACCACACTCAGCTAATTTTTTGTATTTTTGGTAGAGATGGGGTTTTGCCTTGTTGCCCATGGTGGTCTCAAACTCCTGAGCTCAGGCGATCCACCTGCTTTGGCCTCCCAGAGTCCCAAAGTGCTGGGATTACAGGTGTGAGCTGCCATGCTTGGCCTGAGATACTTACCTTGTCAAATAATCAAATAATTGATTCTGTACTTTCTTGATTCTTTTTTATTACATATTGCTTCTTATTTTACTCTTTTCTTTTCTTTTCTTTTTTTTTTTTAAATAGAGACAAGTTCTCTCTCTGGCACTGAGTCTGGAGCGTCGTGTTACTATCATAGCTCAAGTGATCCTCCTACCTTGGCCTCCTAAAGCACTAGGATTCCAGGCATGAGCCACCATGCCCTGCCCTTTCTTCTACTTTCTTTAACTTTACTTTGCTATTGGTCTCACACTCTTTAGGTCTGACTTGTGCTTGCTCATGGTCAGCTTGGTTTGTGTGATTGTTCTTCCTTCTCTCTGCCCTTTCCAGAACAGTTTTCCAGAGGCATACGGTTTTCTGTGTTTATTTTTAATGAAGAGAGGAAATCTGGGGTGACAGAAGTTGAAGTGTTAGAAATGATGTCATCTTGCAGAACTAGGTTTTAGCCATTATCAGCTGTACTTATAATTCTAATATACTCTGGTTGACAAGGCTTTGGAATACAGCTTGTAACTGTGACTCTTTTTTTTTCCCTTTCCCCTGGCAGGACCCGCTGGGGCCCAGCCCCTACTCATGGTGCCCAGAAGACCTGGCTATGGCACCATGGGCAAACCCATTAAACTGCTGGCTAACTGTTTTCAAGTTGAAATCCCAAAGATTGATGTCTACCTCTATGAGGTAGATATTAAACCAGACAAGTGTCCTAGGAGAGTGAACAGGTAAGAATCATGAAACTGCAAAGATCTTTTGCTATTTTTTTCCTTAGTAATTATCCATGTTTATTTTGTATATCTGAATAACAATTACAATGTGTAACAGTTTGACCAAAAACATCTGGTAATTTGTTTTAAAACTGATTGTACTTCAGGGGTGTGATAGTGGGGAAAAAATCTTTGAAATTATTTTGTTATAACACGAGCTCACATTTTCCCTGTGATAATAGAAAAGGTTCAAGTTATTTTTACATGCTCCTGAAATCAGGCTGCACATCATGAGCACATCATTTTCCTTGCTGTTAGGTAATATGTCCATGCTTGCTTTTTTCTCCTCACCTCTCTTATGTACCACTTTCATAATGTTCCCTTTAAGATGACGGTGGTGATGATAGCAGTTGGGGGTAGAAATACTGGTTTCATGCTTTCTTTTCTCCTTTCCCAATTCCCAACTGTTTCTTACCATTATATAGGAATAAGTACAGATGGTATATAAAGATTTATCAGCCTGCTTTCAGTAAGCTTCCTCTCGCCTCCCCCAAATGCCATTTATATTCTTGGATGTGGTTTCGGTAATACAGGAAATATAAGAGGAATTTATGATTGGATATATACTATGTCTATTTGGATTTTGTTTTTAAAAACAAAGACAACACATTTTAAAAAAATGTGATATTCAGTTTAGCATTTTGGTTTCTATGATCCCAGCCTCTTCTTATTCATTAAATGTTATTAAGAGTCTTCATTTAAGACATTTAAGAAAAAGAATGTTGTTTCTCTCAAGAAATTTGTAATTTGGTAGAGGAAATAAGACATGTAAGAAGTATGAAGGTCTTTTTCTTGGACTTGTCATCCTAATTGTTAGTATTTCTGTTATACCTGAAAGTGAATGAGCACTAAAAGACTTTGTGATAACACGTTAAAAACAACAACACCTCTAAGAATGTTGTAATTAACATGTAATGCAGAGTTCTTTGTGAGGTCAGGAAGACTCGTAGAGTGTTACAGTTGAAAGGAACCTCTTAAGAAGTTAACTAATCCAATACCTTTTTTATTTATAGCTGAAATCCAGAAAGGTTAAGGGATTTAGTCAAGAACACATGTTTCAAGTAGGAAAGGTGAAACCAGAACTCCAGAATCCTGACTTGGTAGTCATTAGGAAGTATTTTGTAAAGGAAGAAGTTAATCTAAAACAATTGGTAAAATTTTGGTTAGCTGTAGTAAAAATAACATACATATAATTTTATTTATTTATTTATTTATTTATTTTTGAAGGAAGGATAGCAGTAACAAAAGCATAACGGTTGAGAAGAACCAGGTGTATTGAGTCTGAACCAGGCTTAAGGGGAAGGTTCTTTGCATTACATGTTAATTACAACATTCCTATAGGTGGTTTTTTTTTTAACATGTTATCAGATACTGCTTTAAGATACTATCTGTTGAATAGATGACTCCTAATCTTGCTGTAGCCTCTACCTCTTTCCTAAACTTCAGATTGACACCCAAATGTTCCTAAAGTGAACAACACAAGTCAAAAGAGTAGTGCCCTACTCTTCTGTGACCTCGTAGTACTTGATGTACACTTCCATTGTGGTGTTTTTAGTGCATTGTGGTTATTTTTCTCCCTTTCTCCAGTATAACCCCTTCATGAAAAGTAGTGTTTTTTATCATCTTTGTCACCCCATGTCAGCTCAGTGATTGGCACATAATACTCAGTAAAGTGAATGAAATGTTTATAAAATGGCATGAGTGTGATGGTGGGGGACAGGAAAGAAAACTGGATGTTCTAGAGGGCTGTTTTCCTGAACATGGGTTTTTCAGTGCCGTACTCTTATCTCCTAGGATCTTAGGCTAGTCTTGGTTTTGGTCTTCCTTCACTCTCTTTTATGTCTTTCTGTGAGCCGTCATCCACTTATGGGGACTTAACTGACTCATGCTGTACTCTCATAGAGATTCCCTTTTTCTTGTTTCTCAAAACTGGTTCATTAATGTATAGATTTGAGTGAAGGATAATCCTGACCCTTCTGGTAGATATTTACACTTTAAAAAGGCATTTATTAGCTGAGCCATGGGCCTGTAGTCCCAGCTACTCTGAAGGCTGAGGCAGGAGGATTACTTAAGCCCAGGAGTTAAGGCTGCAGTGTGTTGTGATTGTGCCTGTGAACAGCCACTGCACTCCAGCCGGGGCAACATAGTGAGACCACATATCTAAAAAATAAATAAATAAAAATAAAAAGGCATTAGTTAATCTAAGTAAAGATCTGGGGCTTGAGGGATGTCAATTCAAGTTTTTTTAGTATGCCAGATGAGTTACAAGGAAATGATATGGTGGCAAAAATATTAAGTAAAAGGAACAGAATTTTTTTTTTTTTTTTTTTGCAACAGAGTCTCTCCCTGTTGCCCAGGCTGGAGTGCAATGGCGCGATTTCCGCTCACTGCAACCTCTGCCTCCTAGGTTCAAGCAATTCTCCTGCCTCAGCCTCCCGAGTAGTTGGGATTATAGGCACCTGCCACCATGACCAGCTAATTTTTTGTATTTTTAGTAGAGACTGGGTTTCTCCATGTTGGCCCAGGCTGGTCTTGAACTCCTGACCTTGTGGTCCCCCCCCGCCCCCACCCCACCGCCGGCCTCCCAAAGTGCTGGGATTACAGGCGTGAGCCACTGTGCCCGGCCGGAACAGAATTGTTTATTAGATTTATTCTTTCTCCTGCCTAACATTTTTGTTTTATTTTTTGGTAGGGTGTGGGTAAAGGAAAATTTGTGTATTATATATGTGTAATTATATATGTGTATATAAAGTTGTGTAGCATAGAATTTCATGTGTATATGCTCAATGTATTAAGTTTGTGAGAAAAATATGTGTCATAAATTGGTGTGGTGCATTCTGGTTTTAACTTACGATTCTTTTGACATCCTTAATTACATTACATCTTTAGGTTGCTTTATCTTACATTTTTTTGACAGTACCAATAATTTAGATTTGTAATTTAAATGTTTCCAAGTGGAAAGTTTTTAAATTTTTGTGATGTAAAATTTTAGTCATTTTTATCATGTTTTTGAGTTTTTATTTATTTTATTATTATTTTATTTATTTATTTTTTTGAGATGGAGTTTTGCTCTTGTTGCCCAGGCTGGTATGCAATGGCACGATCTCGGCTCATTGCAGCCTCCATCTCCTGGGTTCAAGCAATTCTCCTGCCTCAGCCTCCCGAGTAGCTGGAATTACAGGCATGTGCCATCATGCCCAGCTAATTTTGTATTATTAGTAGAGATGAGGTTTCTCCATGTTGGTCAGTCTGGTCTCGAATTCCCAACCTCAGGTGATCTGCCTGCCCCGGCCTCCCAAAGTGCTGGGATTACAGGCGTGAGCTACCGCACCCGGCCCAAGTTTTTATAGGAACTGTAGGACTTGTTTGGGATTCTAAAAATCATATAAATCAGCTTTATACTTTGTTAATAATATTGCTTTGATTTAATGTCAACATCTGCAAAACTTATTCCGTTTTCTTCAGCTGACTTGCTTTTGTCTTCAGTTTTTACAGTATTACTGCATGACTAGTCAGTTGAAACTTGGTGGTCTTCTGAAATTGATGTGGTGGCTCAGTTCCTGTGCTTCAACAACTGGAATTCTAGGCGTTAGAAGGAACTAGATAGAACTTAACAATTCCTTTTCAATATTAGCAAAACAGTTAAGGGACAAAATGCAGTGGTTCAGTTATGTCTAATTTAACTTATTCAAAATATTAAAACAAAACAAATTGTTTTATTTCCTTTTTTAAAAGTCAGGGTCTCAATCTGTCTCCCAGGCTCTGGAATGCAGTGGCACAATCATAGCACACTGTGTTCTCAACCTCCTGGACTCAAGTGATCCTTCCACTTAAGCCTCCTGAGTAGCTGGGACTACAGGCACCACCACACCAAGATCATTTTTTAAAATTTTTATTTGCAGGAGACGAGTTCTCCCTATGTTGCCCAGGCTGGTTTTGAACTCCTGAGCTCAAGTGATCCTCCCAAAGTGCTGGGATTACAGGCATGAGCCACCATGGCCAGCCTTATTTCGTTTCTTATTAAAGATTTATATTGGCCAGGCATGGTAGCTCACGCCTGTAATCCCAGCACTTTGGGAGGCTGAGGCGAGTGGATCACGAGGTCAGGAGATCGAGACCATCCTGGCCAACATGGTGAAACCCCGTCTCTACTAAAAGTACAAAAATTAGCTGCATGTGATGGCGGGCGCCTGTAATCCCAGCTACTCGGGAGACTGAGGCAGGAGAATTGCTTGAACCCAGAAGGCAGAGGTTGCAGTGAGCCGACGTCGTGCCACTGCACTCTAGCCTGGCAACAGAGTAAGACTCCGTCTCAAAAAAAAAAAAAAATTATATTGTTGCCTTCTATAAAGTCATAGTGATTCTCCTCTAAGTGACTTAAATGTTTTAATACTTAAATTATCGTGCATGAAATTTTTCTTGTCCATATGCCACATGAACAAATATTTGGCACTAAGGCATTAATCATAATAGTAGAAAGATGTATTATAGCCAAACAATTGCCACTTTAGTTGGAGTCTTCTTAGACACAATATCCAGGAAATGCTAGTGAATCATTTTGTGGGTCAACCTTTCTACAAATTTATTCTTTAGATTTTCTGTCCATTGCTTTTTTTGTCCTTTCCTCACCCCGTTTTGTGTTGGGGGGCCAAGTTGGGGAAGGAGATTCTTTCCTTCCTTCTTTTCCCCCTATTAAATGATTTTGATTGAATGTTAGCTTTTGTTAAAAGAGTATGTATGTTAAGTATATTTCAAATGTTACTAGTTTCTAATAGGTGAATGGTCTCAATGACTAAAAAACAAATATTTTTTAGAAACATTATGACCTAGAGTATACATTCTGTAACTTGAGATTTTATGCTAGTTTGTCCAACCTCTAAATACACCTTGAATAGATAGTATATGTATTTATTCAAAACCATTAAATAATGGAATAGATACATGTTAAAAATTATGTATACAACATGATTATAACTGCAATATCTATTTTAAAACATGAATAAAAATTTGAAGGAATCTTAAAATAGTAGTAGATTGTGGTTGCATTTTTATTTTATTTATTTATTTTTTAGACAGAGTCTTACTCTGTTGCCCAGGCTGGAGTGCAATGGCACATTCTCAGCTCACTGCAACCTCCGCCTCCTGGGTTCAAGCAATTCTCCTGCCTCAGCCTCCCGAGTAGTTGGGATTACAGGCACCCATGCCCAGCTAGCGTTTGTATTTTTAGTGGAGTCGGGGTTTCGCCATGTTGATCAGGCTGGTCTCGAACTCCTGACCTCAGGTGATCCACCCACCTCGGCTTCCCGAAGTGCTGGGATCACAGGCGTGAGCCACCACACCCAGCTGTGGTTGCATTTTTTTGGCTCAGTTTTCTTTTACAAATGAAACATCATTTTTACTACTGTTACTGTTAATATTCTATGATGATTAATAACATGCCAAATATTTCTGCATATTTCATATTGATATAATGTTTAATGCTGATGATTTTTATTTTATTTATTTATTTTGAAACAGGATCTCGCTCTGTCACCCAGGCTGGAGTGCAGTGGTACGATCACAGTTCACTGCAGCCTTGACCTCCCTGGGCTCAAGCAATCCTCCCACCTCAGCATCCTGAGTAGCTGAGACCAGGAGCATGCCTGGCTAATTTTTCTACTTTTTGTAGAGACAGAGTTTAGCTATGTTGCCCAGGCTGGTCTCAAACTCATGGGCTCAAGACATCCACCCACCTTGGCCTTTCAAAGTGCTGGGATTATAGGTTTGAGCCACTGCACCCAGACAGATGATTGAATTTTAGAAAGAAAAAAGTAAATCTATATTGATCCAATTTTGGCTTTTTAAGTGGAAATCTCAGAGCAGCAATGTGTTTAAAGAAACTTCTTTTCTGCTGTTAGGAATGTCATTTTTATGGTGTTATAGTTGGATAGTATGCCAAGAGGGGGCATATTTCATTTTGAATAACTTGATGGATATATAATTTACATGCCATAAGTCACCCATTTTAAAATGTACACCTCAGTGGTTTTTAGTATATTGCCAGAGAGGATGTACAGCCGTCACTTCAATGTAATTTTAGAACATTTCATCCTCTCAAAAAGAAACCCCATACTCATTAGCAGTCACTGCCCATTAGTCCCTCCCCACAGTCCTTGCCAACCACTAATCTACTTTCTTTCTCTGTAGATTGTCGGTTCTGGGTCGGTCTTTCTTTCTTTCTTTCTTTCTTTCTTTCTTTCTTTCTTTTTTTTTTTTTTTTTTGACAGAGTCTCGCTCTGTCACCTAGGCTAGAGTGCAGTGGCGCGATCGCGGCTCACTGCAACCTCTGCCTCCTGAGTTCAAGCAGTTCTCCTCAGCCTCCCAAGTAGCTGGGACTACAGGCGCCTGCCACCATGCCTGGCTAATTTTTGTATTTTTAGTAGAGGTGGGATTTCACCATGTTGGCCCAGCTGGTCTCAAACTCCTGACTTCAAATGATCTGCCTACCTCGGCCTCCCAAAATGCTAGGATTACAGGGGTGAGCCACTGCATCCGGCCGGATATTTCTTATAAATGGAATCATATACCATGTGGCCTTTTGTGACTGGCTTCTTTTTGCATAATGATTTCAAGGTTCATTCATGTTGTAGCATGTATCAGTATATTCAGGCACTGCATAACTTTTCAGTGAATTACAGACCACATGTATGATGGTGGTCCCATAAGATTATAATACCGTATTTTTACTGTACCTTTTTATGTTTAGATACACAAATACCACTGTATTACAGTTGCCTACAGTATTCAGTATAGTAATGTGATGTACAGGTTTGTAGCCCAGGAGTAATAAGCCATACCATATAGCTTAGATGTGTATATGGCTTAGATGTGTAGTAGGCTCTACTATCTAGGTATGTGTAAGCACATTCTATGATGTTCACACAACAAAATGATAATGCATTTCCTGGAACATATCCCCATCGTTAAGTGATGCATAACTGTACTTTATTCCTTTTTATTGCTGAATAATATTCCATTGTATGGATATAATACATTTTGTTTATCCATCATTTGATGGACATTTGGGTTGTTGCCATTTTTGACTACTACAAATAATGCTGCTATAAACATTCATGTACAGGATTTTGTGTGGACATACATTTTCATTTATGTTGGATATATACCTAAGAGTGATATCATATGATAACTCTATATTTAACCTTTTGAGAAACTGCCAGACTCTTTTCCAAAGTGGCTGCACCAGCCAGACATGGTGGCTCATGCCTGTAATCCCAACACTTTGGGATGCTGAGGTGAAAGGATCACTTGAGTCCAGGAATTCAAGACCAGCCTGAGCAATGTAGCAAGACATCATTTCTACTAAAAAGAAAAAAAAAAAGAAGGCAGTGTCTGCACCATTTTACATTCCCACTAGCAGTGTATGAAGATGTTTTCCCATATTCTCACCAATATGTTATTATTTGTCTTTTTAAAAATTATTTTCATCCTAGTGGATGTGAAGTTGTATCTCATTGTCGTTTTGACTTGCATTTTCCTGATGACGGATGTTGAACATTTTTCATGTATTTATTGGTCATTTGTATATTTTATTTGGAGAAATGTCTATTTAGGTCCTTTGCTAATTTTTTTTTTTTTTTTGAGACAGAGTCTTACTCTATTGCCCAGGCTGGAGTGCAGTGGCACGATCTTAGCTCACTGCAACTTCCACCTCCCAGGTTCAAGCGATTCTCCTGCCTCAGCCTCCCAAGTAGCATACCACCATGCCTGGCTAATTTTTGTAGTTTTTAGTAGAGATGGGGTTTCACTATATTGGCCAGGCTGGTCTCGAACCTCTGACCTCAGGTGATTCACCCGCCTCACCCTTCCAAAGTGCTGGGGTTACAGGCATGAGCCACTGTGCCTGCCTGCCCATTTTTAAATTGGGTCATTTGTCTTTTTGTTATTGAGTCATAGGAGTTCATTATATGTTCTAGATAAAAGTCCCTTATTAGATATATGGTTGCAAAATTTTTCTCTGTTTATACATGTTGCATCTTCATTGTCTTGATGGTGTCCTTTGAAGCACAAACTTTTAAAATTTTGATGATGTCTAACTTATTTTTTCTTTTGTCGCTTGTGATTTTGTTGTCATATCTATAGAAGGGTTCTATATTAAAATGATTTAGACAACATACTTCAGAAAACACTACCAGTAAAAACCAAATGGTATAGTTTTGAGTGTTTAGTGATCTTGGGGAAACTATTATACAAAATATGTCAGCTAATAAATAAGTTTTATTTTCCTTTTAGTCACTTGGAAGATAGGAAAGTTAACAGATGGTAATTATTTCACATCTCAAAATTCTTTTAGAGTGGCATCTAAATACAATACTAAGTAGAAATTAGCCTTTTGACTAATATTCCTATAATATATTTGAAACTTGAAGATACTTTCATAAATTAACAAATATTTACACACAAGGGACTAGTACATAAGGTATTATTACCAACATCTATTTGTGTAGATATAAATTACAATAGCTGTATAGTGTTCTATTATATGAATGTACCTTGATTTGTTTACTTTAACCTGCTCCAGTTTGTTAGGTTAACTTAAATCTATTTAAACCATTTATCTGAACTTACCACATGTTTATACCAAAGTACTATGCTATTGGTACTAGATTTACAGGATATACGGAAACTTAAAGATCATTTTTGAATCTTCTCTATGTTTTCATTAACTGTTTACTCCTGTTTTGTGTCAGGCACTGTGCTAGGTTCTAGCAATAATACAATAGATAAAACATGATCTCTTTAAAGTTTTAAATTCCATATGGAGTGACAAATTCTGTGATATGCACATTATGTACTGTGATGAAAGAGTAATGATTCCTGCCTTTGGGTAAGGAGGAGGATGTGGTGTATCACATGGTATTTGAGCAAAATAATTGTATCATAAAAGGTACAGTAAAAATATATCATCTTATGGGACCACCATCATATATGTGGTCTGTAATTGACTGAAAAGTTATGCAGCACCTGCCTGTGCTGATATATGCTACAACATGAAGTTGTCCAGTGGACAGGGAGAAAGAATAATCCACATAGACAGCATGAGCAAAGGTATGACATGTTGGTATAACAGAAACAGGCCAGTATAAATAGAGTAGCTAGAGATGAGTCTGAAGAGTTAGCTAGGGAGTAGGTTATGAAGAATCTGAAATCCGTGCTAAGGCTTGTGAATTCAGAAATAGTAGAGAGCCAATAGAACCTTTTAAACAAATGAAGAATATCGGTATTTAGGACCATACTTGATGACAGTGTGGTGAATGAGAGATGAGAAAGACTTGAGTCCTGGAGAACATTTGGAAGGCTGTTGTAGTAGTCTAGGTTAGCGGTCTTCAAACCATTGATCACACGTCCCCATTAATTAAAATTTGTTTGACCAAAAAATACATATAGATATAAATGCACACACATTTCAAAAACTATAATTTGTTGGCGTGTACTACTGTTTTAATATGTAACTGTAGAAAAAGATGAGAAAGATAATTTTGAAATGAACTATTTAAAAATACATTTAAATAACTTAAACTTTTCAGATTAATGGTACAAAAAACCCTGACTGAATATGTGTCACACACTTGAACTACAGAAAGTTGCAGTGTGCTGAAAATGAATGAACGAGAGGTACACTGTTAACTTTTTTTTTTTTTTTTTAATTGAGACAGGAGTCTCACTCTGTCACCCAGGCTGGAGTGCAGTGGCGTGAACATGGCTCACTGCAGCCTCACCCTCCTGGGCCCGAGCAATCCTCCCACCTCAGCCTTCATAGTAGCTGGGACTACAGGCACATACCACCATGCCCGGCTAATTTTTGTATTTTTTATAGAAATGGGATTTCGCCATGTTGCCCAGGCTGGCCTTGAACTCCTTGTCTCAAGCGATCTGCCCACCTCAACTTCCCAAAGTGTTGGAATTACAGGCGTGAGCCACTGTGTCAGACCTTAACTCTTATGTGTTGCAGAACTCCCATTACTCTCCTAGGATTCCTGGTGTACCGTGTGTTGCACCTGACCATCTAATGTGGAATAACTGAAGGCACCAGTATCAATCCATACTCATGAATATTAGTAAATCTTAATTCCTAATTGTTCACTGAAAATTAAATATAAATATGTCTAATTTTTCCTCATACTGCAGCATACCCCTTGGCACCTCTGGTACATATTTTTCTGGATTATAGGTAATATGTTCAAAGACACAGTGGCAATAATGATGATGGAGGGCATAGATGGAAGATTTAGAAAAAGAATGAACAATTTAGGTATGTAAGGAAAGGATAGAGATAAGAATGGCTTCATAGTTCCTAGCTGGTGCATTAGTAATGGTTTTAACAGAAATATAGATTCTGAAGGGACCAGGTTTTTGTATACTATTTTGAATATTTGGAGGTTGAATTGCATAAGAAACATCAAAATGGCAGAAGTTCAATAGGTTATTGGAAATAAGTGTCTAGCTAAGTGTCAGGAGATAAGTCAAAATGGAGATTGTGATTCGTCAGCATGTAGGTGATAGTTAAAAACTGGGGAAGTATGTAAAAATAAAAGAACTGAGACTAGATCTCTGAGATACTATTATTTCAGGTTTACCAGTGAAAACACACAGGGATTGGAAAGATAGGAGAACCAGGACAAAGTAGAAGCTATTTCAGAGAAGGCAAGGTAAGGATCATGATTTTCTTTTTTTGTTTTTTTTTTTTTTTCTTTTGGAGAGGGAGTCTCGCTCTGTCGCCCAGGTTGGAATTCAGTGACATGATCACGTGATCTTGGCTGACTGCAACCTCCGCCTTCCAGGGTCAAGCAATTCTGTCTCAGCCTCCTGAGTAGCTGGGACTACAGGTGCATGCCACCATGCCTGGCTAATTTTTTTGTATTTTTAGTAGAGATAGGGTTTCACTGTGATGCCCACGCTGGTCTCAAACTCCTGAGCTCAGGCAGTCCGCCCACCTCGGCCTCCCAAAGTTGCTAGGATTACAGGCATGAGCCACTGCACCTGGCCTTAAGGATCATGATTTTCAAGGAACAAAGTTTGATTACAGTGGCAAATGCTAAACAAAGCCAGGCGTATAGAGACTGAAAATGCGCCATTACACATGGTTGTTAAGAAGTTGGTGGCCCAGCCTGGTGCAGTGGCTCACGCCTGTAATCTCAGCCCTTTGGGAGGCCAAGGTGGGCAGATCACTTGAACCCAGGAGTCTGAGACCAGCCTGGCCAACATGGTGAAACCCCATCTCTACTAAAAATACAAAAATTAGCTGGGCATCGTGGTACATGCCTGTAATCCCAGCTTGGATTACTTGGGAGGCTGAGGTACGAGAATTGCTTATACCCAGGAGGTGAAGGTTGCAGTGAGCTGAGATCATACCACTGCACTCCAGCCTGGGCGACAGAGCGAGACTGTCTCAAAAACAAAAAAAAGAAGTCAGTGGCCTGATAAAAATAATTCACATATGAAATGACTACAAACATAGTGTATAGTGAAATGCTCTGTATGAGCTGAGCTCAGTGGCTCATGCCTGTAATCCCAGCACTTTGCGAGGCTGACGCAGGCAGATCACTTGAGGTCAGGAGTTTGAGACCAGCCTGGCCAACATGGTGAAACCCCGTCTCTACTAAAAATGCAAAAATTAGCTGGGCGTGGTGGCACGTGCTTGTAATCCCAGCTACTCGGGAGGCTGAGGCATGAGAATTGCTTGAACCTGGGAGGTGAAGGTTGCAGTGAGCAGAGATTGTGCCACTGCACTCCAGCCTGGGCAACAGAGTGTGATTCCATCTCAAAAAAACAAAAATGCTCAGTATCGATTTTATATTACAAATTATTAAAATTTTGGCCAAGTGCAGTGGCACATGTGAGGCCTGTAATTCCAGCACTTTGGGAGGCCAAGGCAGGAGGAGTGCTGGAGGCCAGAATTTCAAGGCCAGCCTGGGCAACATAGGGAGACCCCTTCTGTATGAAAAATTTAAAGATTAGCCAGGTATAATGGTGTACACCTATAGTCCTAGCTACTCAGGAGGCTGAGGTGAGAGGATTGCTCACTTCAGGAGTTGGAGGCTGCAGTGAGCCATGATTGCACCACTGCACTCCATCCTCTGGGTGACAGAGCAAGATCTGTATCTTTAAAAAAAGAAAAAAGTATTAAAAATTTGTCCTGGCCAGGCGTGGTGGCTCACGCCTGTAATCCCAGCACTTTGGGAGGCCAAGGCGGGCGGATCACAAGGTCTGGAGTTCGAGATCAGCCTGGCCAACATGGTGAAATCCCGTTTCTACTAAAAATAAAAAAATTAGCCAGGCATGGTGGTGCGCGTTTGTAATCCCAGCTACCCAGGAGGCTGAGTCTGAAGAATCACTTGAACCCAGGAGGTGGAGGTTGCAGTGAGCCGAGATCACACCACTGCACTCCAGTCTAGGCGACAGAATAAGACTCCATAATAAAAAAAAAAGAAAAATTTTTGTTCTACCCAGCACTTTGGGAGGCTGAGGTGGACAGATCACTTGATCTCAGGAGTTCAAGACCAGCCTGGGCAACATGATGAAACTCTGTCTCTACAAGAAATACAAAAATTAGCTGGGCATGGTGGCACACTCCTGTAGTCCCAGCTACTCGGGAGGTTGAGACAGGAGAATGGCTTGAGGCAGAGGTTGCTGTGAGCTGAGATTGCACCACTGCGCTCCAGCCTGGGCATCAGAGCCAGACCTTGTCTCAAAAAAAAAAAAAGAAAAAAGATCTAAAATATAATCCCTCTCTTCTCTGTTTTGCATACCTTAAACTTTATCTTGTTGCACAAGTATTTATTGGCTACCTTCTCTGCTAGTAACCACAGAGTAATAAAGATAAGTTAGAGATTGGAAGGATACAAAGAGAGACTGCCAGCTGTTTTAGTTGTGTTTTATAAACCTCTGGATGATTTTGACATTTTGTTATACTTTAGCAATCTTCTTTCTGTCTATACTGTAGTGACACATTCATTTATTGTAGCCATGGATAATGTCAGTAGACTTTTGGGGAAAATATTCTTTCATGTTGTCTTCTGTAGACTAGAATAATATTTTTCATTCTGTCTTTTGGGAGCAGAGAATTAAGAGGTACCTAATAAAGTGAGATGGAGGTGGATCTCTATAAGCTTATAGTAATTACAACTCACAGGAAAATAATTTGCTCTCCTCTTTTTTACATTAAAGTTTCTCTCTTCCCATTTTTCTGCTGTATAAGTCAGGTGGTAAAATGGGACTTAATGAAATTATTATTAAATTTTACTTTATAATCTGTGCACCAGAGCATGATGGAGTCAAAAGAGTTGGTATCAGAATGTAGGAAGTAGTGATTGAAGTAAGGGTGGTAGGATAGGCTGTACCCCTTTAGAAGATCTAATGTATTCAGGTAGATTTCATTTTTGAAGTTATTACCAATTATTCTTAAGGATTCTTAAATTCTCACGTGACGTTCTAAAAAATGCATCACAGTATAATTCTGCAAGAATTCTTTTCTTCTCAGACTAAGGTTATTAGTGAAAGGAAGCCACTAAAGATTGGTTAGACATTCTTATCTGTGTTTACTCAGATTTTATTTCCCAAATTACTTTCCCAAGCACTGTTTTAGAAGTTAAAATATTTTATGTATTTTTATTAGTCTAGTTTTACTACTTACGGTAAGCTAAGAACTTGTTTAACAATATACACTTAAATATTTTGCTAAAAGTACTGTATTTGAACAAAAGATTCCACTCCTAACCCTATTGTTGTAATAAAAGACTAGTGTCATAAAATATAGAGGAAACTCAGTTATCAGTTTATGTTAATTACCAGAATTATTCATTATTTGTGTTAATTTACTATATTTGATGCTAAAACATTGTAGTGTATTCATTTGTTATTTGGAAGACTTCAGTATAATTCTTAAAATATATTTGTGAGATAATTATGCTTAAATTTTAATATAAAAATATTATTATACATATTTGTTTTTTTAATCTTCAAATTATTTTCACTAATATTCCATTTGGTTCCTGAGACTGTTATCTCATTTTTATTGATAAAGAAACTCAAGTCAGAGAAGTTAAATAACTTTCTTAACAACTTAGTGACAGAATGGGACTAAAAACTCATGCCTTCTTATTTCGGTACTTATATTATCATATATTTTAAAGGTTTCTCAGGTTGGTAGTTTCCCAATTCCAAGTTTCATCGTAATATAATAGCACCTTTGCTACTATAGCTGACTAGATGGCTTAGGAAACTAGATAAATTACTGTTCTAAAGAGTGTTTTTTCTCTAGCTCCACATGCCTACCTATTAAAGATTCTAATAAACTACCCTTTTCCCTAATATCCTTTGAGATAAGAAATGAGAATTTACTGTCCCTAGATTTGCCATTTTGTTAGCTTGCATACTAAAATCTGCTGGATGCCCATATTCCCAGTTACTCAGAAGGCTAAGGCAGGAGGATCACTTGAACTCAGGAGTTTTAGGTTACAGTGAACTGTGATCACATCACTGCACTCAAGTCTGGGCAACAGAGCAAGACCTGGTCTCAAAAAAAAATTTTTTTTTTTCGCTAAAATTCTAAATATATGAATTTGGCCAGGCACAGTGGCTCACACATGTAATCTCAACACTCTGGGAGGCTGAGACAGGAGGATTGCTTGAACCCAGGAGTTGGAGACCAGCATGGGCAACATAGTGAGACCCCATCTCTTTAAAA
Organism: Homo sapiens; assembly: GCF_000001405.40. NCBI lineage: Eukaryota > Metazoa > Chordata > Mammalia > Primates > Hominidae > Homo > Homo sapiens. Next base: position 35,960,649 of record NC_000001.11, read on the forward strand.
AAAATTCTAAATATATGAATTAATTGTGTCATATTAGTGAGAGGTTAAAAAATAATATAACTCTTGGCCCTCATGAAAGATGACTCTCTTTGTAGCATAGGTTTTGTCAGTTATGAACTTAAAAAACTGTCAAGTGGAAAAATTGACCCGTATACTATAGAATTCCAGTGCTATTTCCTTAAGGCTCTGAACTAAATTGTCAAATGTAAGTGTAATTATTCATAAAAGTAATATCTAATGCCATGATACGATTTACCATGATAAAATTTACAATGTTTCTTTTCTTTTTTTTTTTTTATTTTTATTTTTTTTTGAGATGGAGTCTCGCTCTGATGCCCAGGGTGGAGTGCAGTGGTGCGATCTTGGCTCACTGCAAGCTCCACCTCCCGGGTTCACACCATTCTCCTGCCTCAGGCTCCCGAGTAGCTGGGACTACGGGCACCCGCCACCAAGCCCTGCTAATTTTTTTTTTTTTTGTATTTTTAGTTGAGACAGGGTTTCACCGTGTTAGCCAGGATGGTCTCAATCTCCTGACCTCTTGATCCGCCTGCCTCGGCCCCCCAAAGTGGTGGGATTACACGTGTGAGCCACTGCGCCTGGCCATTGTTTGGTATTTTTTAAATTAAATTTTACTATAAGAGGGTATCGCGGATATTTCATTTTAATCTTAAATTTATATCTTCCCTGACAGTTGGTCATATAGCTGCTCTTTGAACAGTTCTAGCAAAGATGAACTCAGGTACTTTATAAGGTAGTGTAATTTACTTTTGAATAACTCTGGTGGTTAGAAAATCCTGAAAATTTCGTTCCAAAATGTCTAATGTTCCAACTATTTTTCCTAGTTCTTTCTACTCAGTTTTTCACATGACAATCTATCAAAATAGCCAAAAACTTATTCTGTAATTTTCTTTGAGTTTTTCCTATTCCAGACTAAGACTTTCCTATTCCAAACCAGACTTGGTTTGATTTATTTTTACTCATATTACATGATTTCCTATCAGGATTGCCTCCTTCTCATTATATTTGAATTTTTAGGGTCTTAAATTTTTCACAAATTGAACAGAGTACTCCAAGATGTAAAATGATCTGTTTTAATATATGGTGGGATAGTTACCTGCCTTATTAAGTGGATTATCTGAGTACTTAAATATATGCAACCTCAGTTTTTTACTTTTGAGGAAGCTACATCATACTGTTAGCTCATTTGGGGCTTGTACCCTTTTCCACAGCAGCAGTGGGTAAGTTGAGATTCTCTAATTTGTTCTTATTACAGTTGAAGTGTTTGGACGTTAAGTGTTTAGGTATTACAGTTACCCTTATTATGTTTCTTCTTTATTTTGTTCATTGTTGTAGTTGTTAGTAGCTTTTAACATAGTAATTTATGTTTTTAACATGCTAGTCATGTCTTCCAAGTATGTGTTGTTAGAGGTTTCTTAACCAACAGATATTTATTAATTACTTACTATATGTAGGGCACTAGATATGTTTCCTTTCCATATGGTATTGATAGTTTTCTAAGGTGGAAAATTATTCCAGTGTTCAAGTATACTTAGAAAAAGTAGGGAAACTTACCCTGCCCCATAATAAACACTCTAGTGAAAACATACGTTACTGGCCAGGCGCCGTGGCTCACACCTGTAATCCCAGCACTTTGGGAGGCCAAGGCGGGTGGATCACGAGGTCAGGAGATCGAGACCATCCTGGCTAACACGGTGAAACCCCATCTCTACTAAAAATACAAAAAATTAGCCAGGCATGGTGGCGGGTGCCTGTAGTCCCAGCTACTCGGGAGGCTGAGGCAGGAGAATAGTGTGAACCCAGGAGGGGGAGCTTGCAGTGAGCCGAGATCACGCCACTGCACTCCAGCCTGGGTGACAGAGCGAGACTCCCTCTCAAAAAAAAAAAAAAAGAGAAAGAAAGAAAACATCTTGTACTGGCACAAGAACAGACAAACAGAACACTGGGACAGTATAGAGAACTCAGATTGATTTATATATGGGAAGTGAATGAGATAAAAATGCCATTACAAATTGATTAGTTAAGTATAAGCCGTTTAGTAGGTGGCATGAAGAAACCTGCTCACTAGATGGAGATAAATAAAATTGGGTCCTTGCTGTTTATAAAGAAGAACCAAAAAATGTAGACAAAACTGTAAAGTTAATAAAACATAATTTATCTTTTTGACTTTGTATTAGGAAAGTATTTCTTAATACCTCAAAAGCTTGAAGTCATAAGGTGAAATTTAATTTGATGATGTTCTCAAATTCATTAGTAATAAGAGAAATCTAAATTAAAACATGCTTTTAGTTTATACCGATTAGGCTAACAAAAATTAGAAAGCAGAACTGGATAATGCCACATATTGGCTGGACGCAGGGAAATAGGAGCCTCAAGGAGTGCAGGTTAGTGTAGTCATTCTTGAGAACAATTTGGCAGTACATCATTTACTTGATAAGATTCATTTTGACCTAACAGTCTGTTTCTGTGTCTGTAAGCAGAGATTAATTCTCACATGGGTTCATAAGGGGACATGTAAGGAGATAATTCATTTCAACATTGTTTTTGGGTGTTGCAATTAAAGATACTGTGAATCTGCAATGCTGGGGGAGTGGATAGACAACATGTGGAGTACTTTGCATCAATCAGAAACAATGAACCAAGTCACTGAAATTGTATACAACCAATTTTTTACAGATAAATCTTTTAAAAATAATAAAAATAAATATACCATAATAAATATACCACAGCAACGTGAATAGGTTTTAAAACATCTAATGCAGAGGGTAAAAGTAGGTATACATAGAAATAGAAGAATGTTCATCAAACAAATTAGAAGAATAACTTCTTGGGAAGGGGAATGGGGTTAGGAAATGGAGATGGAAAGAAAATCAGTTAGAAGAGGGATATTATACAGATGATGATAACACACCATGAACTGAGGAGTATGATTAAATTTTTTGTACCCAAGGAATAAAAATGGGGCTTGGGAAATTATTTAACAGTGAATGTAAATTGGGTTGGAGTAAAAAAAAAACTATGAACATAAAAAAGAAAAACTTAAAATAATCCAGGTACAAGGACATGAGGCTTTTCTTTAGGATTGTGGTAATCGGGAATGGAAAGTAAAGGACTAGTATAAGAAATACTGCAAAGACGTGGTGTCAACAACCAGTTGGGTGAAGAGATGAGCCAAGTTTTGAATCTGGGTAACTGGGAAGATGGAGATACTATTAATTAAAGAGGAGTAGCAAACAGAAGATAACCACATGTAACTCTGACAAGATGTGTTGAATTCAGCTCTAGATATATTCCATTGGAAGTTCCAGCATTTCACTGAGGTAGTTATTCACTGTTAGAGCATTTATTGAGGATATACTATGTGTTAGGCATCAAAGCAGGATATATATATATATTTTGCCAAAATTGTAGCAAAAATTGTATATGTGTATGTATATATCCTGCTTTGATATATAAGTATACATTTATATATGAACATATATATGTATTTAAGTTCAGAGGTATATGTACAGGTTTGTTATATAGGTAAATTTGTGTCATGGGTTTATTGTCACCCAGGTATTAAGCCTAGTACCCATTAGTTATTTTTCCTGATACTCTCCCTCCTCCTACCCTCTACCCTCTGGTAGACCCCAGTGTCTATAGTTCTCCTCTATGGGTCCATATGTTCTCATCATTTAGCTCCCACTTATTAAGTGAGAGCATGCAGTATTTGGGTTTCTATTCCTGTGTTAGTTTGCTAAGGATAACGGCCTCTAGCTCCATACATGTTCTGCAGAGTACATGATCTTGTTCTTTTTTATGACTGCATAGTATTCCATGGTGTATATGTACCACATTTTCTTTATCCAGTGTACCATTGATGGGCATTTAGGTTGATTCCATGTCTTTGCTATTGTGAATAGTGCTGCAGTGAACATACACATGCATGTGTCTTTATGATAGAACAATTTATATTTCTTTGGATATATACCTAGTAATGGGATTGCTGGGTTAAATGGTAGTTCTCTTTTTACGTCTTTGAGGAATTGCCACACTGCTTTCCACAATGGTTGAACTAATTTACACTCTCACCAACAGTGTATAAACATTCCATTTTCTCCACAACCTTGCCAACGTCTGTTATTTTTTGACTTTTTAATAGTAGCCATTCTGACTGGCATGAGATGGTATCTCATTGTGGTTTTGATTCGTATTTCTCTAATGATCAATAATATTGAGCATTTTTTCATATGCTTGTTGGCTGCATGTATGTCTTCTTTTGAAGTGTCTGTTCATGTCATTTGCCCACTTGTTAATGGGTTTTTTTTTTCTTGTAACTCTGTTTAAGTTAAAGCAGGATATTTTTTATTCCTAAGATGTTTTGGCCCTGGTATTTCAGTCTCCTCCATTTTGATCCTTAGAGTGATTTGATTGGGTTTCCCAGAATTCGTAAGGTTGAAATTATACCAGTTTACTGTTGAGTTAAAAAAAAAAATGACAAAATGGTTAAAACATCCCAACAAATTAGATCTGTAAAATTTCACCTAAGAAACCAGATTTTGGCTGGGCGCAGTGGCTCATGCCTCTAATCCCAGCACTTTAGGAGGCCGAGGCGGGCGGATCACCAGGTCAGGAGTTCGAGACCAGCCTGGCCAACATGGTGAAACCCTGTCTCTACTAAAAATACAAAACTTAGCTGGACGTGATGGTGCATGCCTGTAATCTCAGCTACTTGGGAGGCTGAGGCAGGAGAATTGCTGGAACCTGGGAGGCGGAGGTAGCAGTGAGCCGAGATCGCACCACTGCACTCCATCCTGCGTGACAGAGCAAGACGCTGTCTCAAAAAAAAAAAAAAAAAAAGAAAAAGAAAGAAACCAGATTTAGTAATAGTGGCCACAAAGGAAAACTTAAAATGGCAGAGAATCATTGAAATTTGCTTTGAACTAAAAAATGAATAGGTGAATCAAATTTTTGTTGTAAAATTTACTCTAGAAGAGGCTTGATACTGTTTTCAGTAGTTTCAGTAAAACAAAATTGAAAAGGGAGGGAAAAAATAGAAACTTTGTGCCATGTAGAAAATCGCTCTGGGTATCCAGTCAGCTTGATGTTTTTATTGTTCCAGAAAATGCTGGGTTCTTGCCCCCACTTAACTGAGGTAGACTTGAATCTCTCTTTTTTTTTTTTTTTTTTTTTTGAGACAGAGTTTTGCTCTTGTTGCCCAGGCTGGAGTTCAATGGCGTGATCTCGGCTCACCACAACCTCTGCCTTCTGGGTTCAAGCAATTCTCCTGCCTCAGCCTCCCAAGTAGCTGAGACTACAGGCATGCGCCACTGTACCCGGCTAATTTTGAATTTTTAGTAGAGACAGGGTTTCTCCATGTTGGTCAGGGTGGTCTCAAACTCCCGACCTCAGGTGATCCACCTGCCTTGGCCTCCCAAAGTGCTGGGATTACAGGCGTAAGCCACTGTGCCTGGCCTTGAATCTTTTAAATTAGTTTTAGATTATATCAATACTATGTGAGTACATTCTCATTGTAATATATTTAGATTTTATAAACAAAATAAAAGTGACCCTGTAATCCTGTCACTTCCCTCTCTAGAGGTAACCACCATTTGGAATATATCCTTTCAGTTTCTCTGCTTTTACAAATGTGTGTACAAAAAATACGTATTGATTTGTGAAAATTTGGTATTTCCTATATAGTCTGTAAGTTTTGAATATATAAGTATTGAATATCTTTCTGTGTCAGTTACATTGGCTCAGATGTTTGCTGGGTAAAAATGGAGGTTTTATAATATCCTTACTAGCTAGGTACTGTAAGGATGGGAGGAGAAAGGAACACAGGTATGTTTGCTGCTCTCAGGAGGCTCACAGTTAGAAGAATTGAAAATATATAATCATTATAATAGACAAAGTGTCCTAATAGAGATATGTACTAGGTGTCTTCTTGGTACAGAGGAAAGATTACTCTTGGAGAAAGAAGTTAATATGTTAGGGAGTGCTTAGAGATGGTAAAAGAGATTTTGAATCACTTTCTAAGAATATTTTGCAGGTCAGATGTATCCTGGAATGATTAAGTAATATGCTCGCTTCATTCTTCTCTGTCTAGTGAAATGTATGTCATCTTTTGGCAATAATCAATCTTTTTGGTGTCTTAAGCCAAGATTCTAAAAGCAAAATCTTTATCATATATGAATATTTTTTAGAATTTTGACAGCTTTATACAGTGGCAGAAATTACTTCTGTTAATATTTTTATATTTCATCTTACAGAGGATTATGTGAATATATTGTTTCCCTTCTTTAGGGAGGTGGTTGACTCAATGGTTCAGCATTTTAAAGTAACTATATTTGGAGACCGTAGACCAGTTTATGATGGAAAAAGAAGTCTTTACACCGCCAATCCACTTCCTGTGGCAACTACAGGGGTAAGATATGCATTCCTGTATTGGAAAGGTATATTTTTGAAGTGTCTCCTTTTACACGCATTTATTACCATTTTTATTACAGTCCATATATATGTGAATATTTATCACTGATTGTTTTTAACTTTTTGTTTTGAAATAATTTCAAACTTAAAGAAAAGTTGCAGGAATCATGCAGAGAACTCTCATACACCCTTTATGTAGCTTCACTGAGGTTCTGAACATTTCCACCTTTGTTTTATTTTTTTTCTTTCTCTCTTGTACATACATACTTATTTTTTCCTGAACCATTCACAAGTAGGTTGCACATACCATGCCCCATTAATATTTATTTTATTTTATTTTATTTTATTTTATTTTGAGACAGGGTCTCGCTTTGTCACCTAGGTTGGAGTGCAGTAGTGTGATCTCGGCTCACTGCAACCTCTGCCTCCCAGATTCAAGTGATTCTTGTACCTCAGCGTCCTGAGTAGCTGGGATTACAGGCACGTGCTACCACTCTTGGCTAATTTTTTTGTGTTTGTAGTAGAGATGGGGTTTCGCCATGTTGGCCAGACTGGTCTCAAACTTCTGACCTCAAGTAATCCACCCAGCTCAACCTCCCAAAGTTCTGGGATTTTGGGAGTACCACTGCACTCTGCCAGTATTTAATACTTTAATGTATATTCCTAAGAACAATGATAAAAACCCTTGTACAGTTATCAAGTTCATTAAATTTAACATTGATATGATACTTTTATTTAATCAACAATACAAATTCCAGTTTTACCAGTTTTTCCAATGATGCCCTTTAGTATTATTTTTCTCCTCTGTTACAGAATCCAGTCCAGGATCATGATATAGATACCATGTCGTTCTTTCCCCAGCCTTTTTTTATCCTTCATGACAGTAACGTAGTTGAAGATTATCGGTAAATTATTTTGTAGAATGTCCTTCAGTCTGGGTTTGTCTGATACTTCCCCTTGATTACATTCTGGTTATGCATTATTGGCAGGAATATTATATAACCATTCTTTCCTTATCAGTGCATCATATCAGGAAGCACGCAGTATGTATTTGTTCCATTATTGGTGATTATTGGTGATGTTAACTTTGGTCAGTTGATTAAATTGGTGTCTGCCAGTTTTCTCCTATTGGGGTATTCTTTTCCTCCTTGTAGTTAATAAGCATCTTGTAGGGAGATTCTTTTTGTAATTGTGATAAAACATATGTAACATAAAATTTACCGTCTTAACCATTTTTAAGGTATATTTCAGTGGTATTAAGCACATTTACATTGTTATATAATTATTACCACCTTCCATCCCCAGAATTGTCTTTATCTTTCAAAACTGAAACTCCATATCCATTAAACAGTATCCATTGCTCCCTCCCCTCAGCCCTGGCAACCACCATAGTACTTTCTGTCTCTGAATTTGACTATTCTAGGTACCTCATGTAAGTGAAATCATAGATTGTTTGTCTTTTTATGACTGGCTTATTTCACAATTTATCCACATTGTTTCATGTGTTAGAATCTCCTTTTCAAGGCTGAATAATATTCCATTGTATGTATGTAACACATTTTGTTAATCCCTTCATGCATCAATGGACACCTTTTGGCTATTGCAAATAATCCTGCTATGAACATAGATGTAAAAGTATTGAACTCTGCTTTCGGTTCTTTGGATATATACCCAGAAGTAAATTTGCCAGGTCATGTGATAATTATTAATTTTCTGAGAATCTGCTGTATTGTTTTCCAGAATGGCTCCATCATTTTACATTCCCACCAACAGTGAACAAGAGTTCCAAACTCTCACTTCCATGCCAACACTTGTTTTCTGTTTTGTTTTTTTTTTTGTTCGTTTTCTAATAGTAACCATCCTAATGGGCGTGAGATGATATCTCATTGTGGTTTTGATTTGCATGTCCCCCAACAATTAGTGATGTTGAGTATAACTTTGTAGGCTTATTGGCCATTTGTATATCTTCTTTGGAGAAATCTGTGGTCAAGTTGTTTGCCCATTTTTTGAACTGGGTTGTTTGTTTTGGGTTTTGGGCAGTGAGTTGTAGGAGTTCTTTATTTTTAGATTTTTTATTTTTTTTAGCTAAACTGATCAATACCATTGTAGGAGTTCTTTATATATATTCTGGATATTAACTTCTGTATTCTGGATATTAACTATATATATTCTGGACATTAACTTCTTATCAGATATATAATTTGCAAACATTTTCTTACATTTCACAGGTTGTCTTTTCACTATGTTGTGTCCGTTGATACACAGAAGTTTTTAATTTTGAAATGGGAGATACTTTTAAGGATCCTGTTGCTCATTGGATTTTGATTATTCTTGCTTGGCAATTGATTATTCTTGCTTGAAAGGATTATTACTATGTAGAAGTGGTGATTTTCTAATTCTGTCATTCATTCTCCGTATGTTCATTAATCTGCTGTAAGGGAGTATATTTTCTTTTACTCTATTTATTGATTTCACTGCCCAGATTGTCCCAGATTTGGCCAGTGGGAACTCTTTTAAGCTGACTCCTGTGTCCTTTTGAAATGACACTTTTTGGGGAATACAATCCTGCATCACCTAAAACAATGGGGATATGCTCTGCGAAATGTGTCCTTGGGCAATTTTGTCATTGTGCTATCATCACAGTGTATACTTACGCAAACCTGAATGGTATAGCTTACTACACACATACACCATATAATATGGTTTATTATTGCTATAAACCTATATAGGATGTTACTATACCGAATACTGTAGGCACTTGTAAGACAATGGTAAATATTTGTGTATCTAAACGTATCTAACTATAGAAAAGGTACAGTAAAAATACATTGTAAAAGATTGTTTAAATGGTACGCCTGTATAAGGCAGCTTCATTATAATCTAATGGGACCACCGTGTATATGGGGTCCATTGTGGACCAAAAATCATTATGTGGTGCATGACTCTACTTCATTACTTTCTGGCACAGGATGTTCCTGGTTTATTTTATGTTTTCTCTGCTGCAGTCCTGCAACTAACCATTTCTCTGAGGATCTCTGGTTTCTTTTAGTTGGCAAATGCAATTTTGAAATGAAAATCTGGGTACTGGTATGTTCACAGCTGCTGGGGTATATGTGCTTCTAAGCCCTTTCAATGGATAGAGGTAGGAAATTTATAAATAAGTAGATAAATAAATAAAACGGACAATAAAAACATATTACACTTTGTATGGTAAATCTAACACATATATATAGGAAATCGTGAGTTCACACCCGATTCTTCCAATTCTAGTCCGTGCCTCATGGGATTCTTCCTTTCCTCACTCCATTTCATATTTGTATCTTTCTTCTTTAGTTAGATTCCTGGCTCCTCAAAACATCACCACTCCTTCTCATTTGCTCAGTCCTACAGTACATATAAAATAGTTTGTGAGAAAACAAACCTACTAATGATTCAAGGCTTTATTTTGTATGCAATTCTTCTAAATCCACCCTTTCTCTACCCCTAGAATTAAGACTATTGTCAGTATACATACTGTGTTCAAGAGTTACTTGAATTAGAGCTTCCTTTTTCTTTTTTTTCAATGTGGTTATGTTATTTATTTGAAATTTATTTGGGTTCATTTGATTCTGTTTATGATATTCTGTTTTAATTTTTTCCCTCCCTCCCTTTGTTTATTTATTTATTTATTTAGACAGGGTCTTGCTCTGTAACCCAGGCTGGAGTTCATTGGCACACTCACAGCTCACTGCAGCCTCAACCTCTCAGGCTCAAACGATCCTACTGCCTCAGCCTCTCAAGCAGCTAGGACCACAGGTGTGCACCACCACACCTGGCTAATTTAATTTTTTGTAGAGACTAGGTCTTGCTCTGTTGCCTGGGTTGGTTTAAAATTCCCTGGCTCAAGCAGTCCTCCTGCCTCAGCGTCCCAAAGTGCTGGGATTACAGGAGTAAGCCACCATACCCAGCCTAAATATATATATATATATTTTTTATTATAAATATATAAATTATAAATAATATATAAATTTATATTATAAATTATAAATAATATATAAATTTATATTATAAATTATAAATTTATAAATATATAATATATATTTATTTTATTTATTTATTTTTTTTTTGAGCCTCACTCTGTTGCCCACGCTGGAGCACAGTGGTGTGATCTTGGCTCACTGCACCCTCTGCCTCCTGAGTTCAAATGATTCTCGTGCCTCAGCCTCCCGAGTAGCTGGGATTACAGGCATGCACCACCACACCCAGCTAATTTTGTATTTTTAGTAGAGACAGGGTTTCACCATGTTGGCCAAGCTGGTCTTGAACTCCTGACCTCAAGTGATCAGCCTGCCTCAGCCCCCCAAAGTGCTGGGATTACATGCATGAGCCACTGCGCCTGGCCTTTTTTTTTTCTTTTTTTTAATATGTAGAACTTTAATATGCTTCCAAATTTCAAAAGTATACCAAAACATATACTCAGAATTGTTCTGTCCTTATTTTTTCCAGTCCATTCCCTCCCATCCTTTGAAAGTAACTAGTTTCTTTGTTTCTGGTTCATGCTTCCTGTGTTTCTTTTTGCAGAAGTAAGCAGATATGTGAATATTTTCCTCCTTTCTTACACAAAAGATGTCATAATATTTGTAATCTTTTGTACTTTGCTTTTGTCACTTAATAGTATAGCTTGGAAATTTATTCCATGGCAGTTTCAAGAGATTTTCCTCATTCTTTTTTCATAGCCGCATAGATGTTGGAGCATTTAGGGTAGTTTCCAGTATTTTGCAATGACACATAATGCTGGCACGAGTAACTATGTTATTTAAATTTTATCTACAAAAAAAAATGGTATATTTTAGTCTATTGACTTTATTTTTGCCATGTTTTCTCTTAGATATTTTTATAAGTTAAATCTAAAATAATTGTATTTATCTTTTTCAACATTTACCAGTTGACTCTTTTCCCATCAACAGGTAGATTTAGACGTTACTTTACCTGGGGAAGGTGGAAAAGATCGACCTTTCAAGGTGTCAATCAAATTTGTCTCTCGGGTGAGTTGGCACCTACTGCATGAAGTACTGACAGGACGGACCTTGCCTGAGCCACTGGAATTAGACAAGCCAATCAGCACTAACCCTGTCCATGCCGTTGATGTGGTGCTACGACATCTGCCCTCCATGAAGTGGGTGCTTCTGCTTTTTTTCTCTTTAGATTTTAAACTCCCAAGAATGAATTGTGCAGGCTTCCCTTGGTTAAACCTTTATTTGTCATATATTTTGATTGTTCAACTGAAATGTTGAACAAGAATAGCATCCATACAAATTCATTGACAGGAGTACGTTACAGAAAATTATCTGGCTTTTGCAAGTAACTATACGTCATTAGCTTAGCTAGTCTCATGAATAATTTTATAGAAAAATATCTCACCCTTTCTCTTAGGATCTAAAAGTCTTAACAGATCTATTTTCAGATGTATTTATTTAGTTATCTTGTTTTAAAAGTAATTTCACTGTTTATACAACAATATCAAATTGTGTTGAATTGCTTTTTTTCAATAACCCTAGGACCTCACATGTGTAGGGTATGCTCCTGTGTGTGAGCGCATGTGTACCCGTGTATTTTTTATTGTTTGGTTGGGTTTTTTTTGAGACATGGTCTCACTCTGTCACCCAGGCTGTAGTGCAGTGGCACAATCATGGTTCACTGCAGCCTCAACCTCCCAGGCCTAAGCAATCCTCCTACCTCAGCCTTCTGAGTAGCTGGGACCACAGGTATGCACCATCATGCCTGACTAATTAAAAAAAAATTTTTTTTTTTTTTTTTTTTTGTAGAGATGGAATCTCCCTATGTTGCCCAGGCTGGTTTCAAACTCCTGGACTCAAGTAATCCTCTCACCTTAGCCTCCCAAAGTGCTCGGATTACAGGTGTGAGCCCCCACACCTGACTCAGTATGTTTTTTTTTAAAGAAAAATAGTATGTCTTGCAAACACATTTATATAAATACCTTTTTGTTCAATAATTATTTACTTGTTAACATTTTTAAGGTCGGAACTGTTAACTTTTTAAAACCTATTTTTAAGAAATTATTTTAAATAAAATTTATTCTTATTTCAACCAACAATTTTGAGAAAGGAAAATTTAAGTAGATTTTTTTCCATTTAGAGTGGATACTTTTTGCTTTCTCAAATTTGGAACATGTTTAGTTTCATATATTCATAATGATAAGCATCATTATGTTAATTGTGCTCTAGTCTCCCCTTTTCTGCAGATTTAAATACTTGCATGAGAAGGAAAGGATTGAACATGCCATTTTAATTTTTGTAGATACACACCTGTGGGGCGTTCATTTTTCTCCGCTCCAGAAGGATATGACCACCCTCTGGGAGGGGGCAGGGAAGTGTGGTTTGGATTCCATCAGTCTGTTCGGCCTGCCATGTGGAAAATGATGCTTAATATCGATGGTAAGGGAACTAAAGCCATATTCTGTATTGGGTGGTGGATTTCTGTATGATGTGTGTACATAAATTTTATATATAATTATACATACTGGTGTCTCGAAGTAATATTTGGACATGTATTATGATCTACTGGAGAAACCTTTATATTTTTATTACATTTCATTTAGAAAGCCTGTAGAATTTACCTTGGAATGCTGCTAAACATGAAGCAAGCACATGAAGACAGATTTAAAAGCCCTGATGATTATCTGAGCAATCTTCTATTATAACTCACTTTTGCCCTTTTAACTCTAAGCCAACATTTTATTATGAAATATATATTTTAAGAAAGATAATTCTGTTGGGCATGGTGACCCCCAGATGTTATACCCACTGCTGGTCTTAATGTGATGCTAATTGCATTCTTGTTTTTAGGTGTTTTCTTACAAAATATTTTCAAGCTTATGTAAAAACAGAGAGAGTAGTATTATGAACTACCACATAGGTAGCCATTACTCAGATTGTCAGAATTTTTCTACCTTTGCGTAATCCGAGTACATTTCTTCCTCTACAGTAGTGTTTTTAAATCTAATTCCAGACAGCATGTTATTTTATCCCTATTACTTCAATGTGTACCTCTAAAACTATGGATATTTTCTTATAGCAGCAATGGCATTATCATATGTAGGAAAATTATAAACAAGCATTTATTTTTACCCTCTAATACCTGTCCACAATCAGATTTCCCTGATTGTCTGAAATATGCCTTTTTCTTGTTAGCTGGTTCTAATCAGAATCCAAACAAGATCCACACATCACATTTGATTATTGTGCCTTTTGCCATCTAGTAGTCCCATTTCCTTTCCTGTTTTCTTATTTCTTTATGCCATTGACATTTTACAAAAACTGGGTCACTTGTTCTGTAGAATATGTTCAAATCTGATTTTGTCTTTTTGTTTTCTTGTGTTATTACCTTGTTCCTCTATCCCCTGTTTTTTCTGAAAATGAAAGTTAGCTTAGAAGTTTCATTCCATTCTGGTTCAAAATGCTTAAGTGCTTTATGTCGTGTCATATTAGGAAACACAGTATCTAGTGGTCCCAATTTTAGTGATTCAAAAATCAGTCTCTAGGTTCAGAGATTAATCAGTAGATTCAGAGATCTCTCCATTGTAAATTTCTTAATTAACCTTTGAATTGCTAATGTTCTGTTCACTGATCGTTGTGGCCCAAATTATTTATTTCACTAGGGATTACGAACTGGTAATTTTTCTGTTATTCTTTTTGCATTAGGTGGAATTTTTCTGTGGAAAAGCTCAGTGTCCTATTGAAAATTAGTAAATGTTTGAAAGCTTTCTTGCTTTCGGGCACAGCAGGATATTCCTTGCTCATCTTATATTTCCTGCCCAGTACCTGAAATTAGACATTCCTCCAAGGATCCCTGGATCCTTCCAGATTAGGGTATAGTTTCCTCATTTTTTCAGCTGCACCTACCATTGTGTAATATATGATTGAGGAGGGGATATATTTAACCAGTTTTCTTTAGATGTATACTAGGGTTATTTTTAACTTTTCTATTTTACATCATTTTATGTATATTAAGATAAGTCTGTAAGATACATTCCTGGCGGTTAGACTGATGAGTTAAGGGCAAATGTATTAATATTTGTAATTTGTATCATTGTTGCCAGATTGCACTCCATAGAGATAGTAAATATTTTGCATCAATGAATGAGAGTACCAGTTTCCTTATATCTTTGCCACTAGAATCATCAAACTCTTAGATTTTCTTCAATCAGATTTGCAAGAAACAGTTTTCTTGTGTCTTCTTAATTTGTATTTGACTACCTTTTCACAAATATAAGGGCCACTTGTGTTTCTTTTTTAATGAACTGTTAGTTTATATCTTTTGCCCTTTTTTTTCTATTGGATTTTTCGTCTTCTTATTTACTGAGAATGCTTTCTAAATTAAGGAAGTTAGCTGTTCATCTGTCATGAGTTGCAGATATTTTACCTAGGTTGCTATTTGTCTTTTGACCTTTGGTATTGTGATGTTTTTTTTGTTGTTGTTTTTGTTTTTGCCATGCAGAAGTTTGTTTGTATGTTGGTGTGTGCACACATACATATGTATTGGTCAGTCATTTCTTTTATGACTTTTAATATCTGATAGGACTAGTCCCATTTTTCTCTTTTCAGGGTTTTCCAGACCATTCTTATGTATAAGCTTTAGAAATTCCTTGTTTAGATCCAGTGAGTGGGAGAGGACAGATTGTTATTTTTATTGAGATCCTATTAGATTTATAAATTAAGTTAGGACAAATTGGCATATTTAAGGTGTTGTCTTTTCTGTCAAAGAATATACTATGTCTTTCTATTTGTTTAAGATTACTTTCATTTTCAAGAGATCTTAAAGCTTCACATAAATTTTGCACATTTCTTTTTTTTTTTCTTTCTTTCTTTTCTTTTTTCTTTCTTTTTTTTGAGACAGAGTTTCGCTCTGGAGTACAATGGAGTGATCTCGGCTCACAGCAACCTCCGCCTCCCAGGTTCAAGCAATTCTCATGCCTCAGCCTCCCAAGCAACTGTGATTACAGGCATGCACCACCACACCCAGCTAATTTTGTATTTTTAGTAGAGATGGGGTTTCACCATGTTGGTCAGGCTGGTCTCGAACTCCTGATTTCAGGTGGTCCACCCACCTCAGCCTCCCAGAGTGCTGGGATTACAGGCGTGAGCCACTGCACCCAGGCCATTTCTTGTTATTCCAGGATATTTTCTCCTTTTTGTTGCTATTAAATGGGTTTATAGATACTAACTGGTAATTGCTTATATATATTCAGGCTTTTGATTTCTGTATACTTTCTCTCTTTCTGTGTTATTGAATTCCATTATTGTTTGTGGTATTTTTTCAAGCGATTTTATTGGGGTTTCTAGGTTATAATCATCACCTGCAACTAGTGATAAGTTTACCTCTTCCTTTGGATTTTTATACCTCTAATTTTTTTTATCAGATTATATAGACTAATTAGACAGGGTAGGATTAAATAGTAGTGATTAATGTGCGTCCTTTTTCTTTCTTGCTCTAGAAGCATTAAGCATTGTATGTATACATTGTCATATTAAGGAATATCTGTTTCTTATTAAGTACGTTTATCAAGAGTATGTGTTAAATTTTGTCAGATGCCTTTTCAGCATCTATGGAGCTGATGATGTGATATTTCTCTTATTTTTAACAAACATTGAACCAAACCAGGACTCCTAGATTCTTTTAATTGATGCTGGATTCTGTTTGCTAATACTTTCCTTTTATAAATTAACATGCAGAAGTCATATTAATCTGCAGCCTTCCTTTTTTGTACAATCTTTGTCAAGTTTTGGTATTATTTCCTAAAAAATTCAGAAGTTTTCCATTTTCTAAAATGTATAACAGTTTTAAAATAGTATTGATATTATCAGCTCTTGTATGATTTCGTAGAATTCCCCTATAAAACCTTGTGACCTGCCGTTTTTTGTTTGGTTTGGTTTGGTTTGCTAGGTAGCTGTTTTAAAACTTCCCTCATTTATTTTGTGAAAATCAGTCTAATAATTTATCGTACAATTAAAAATAACTAAAAATATAATTGGATTGTTGGTAACATAAAGAAAGGATAAATGCTTGAGGTAATGGATACCCCATTTACCCTGATCTGATTATTATGCATTATATGCTTGTATCAAAAGCTCGTGTAACCCATAGATATATACATCTAGTATGTACCCATAAAAATTTTTTTTTAATTAAAAAAAAAAGTCTGTTCAGGCTGTTTAGGTTCACTTTTGGTAGCTCACATTTTACTGGAAAATTATTTTATTCATATGTAATTTAATTATACAGAGTTTTACAAAGTAGTTTCTATCGTTATTATGATTTTTTTTTTTTTTTTTTTGAGACAGGGTCTTGCTCTGTCACCCAGGCTGGAGTGCAGTGGTGTAATCTTGGCTCACTGCAACCTCCACCTCCCAGGGTCAAGCGATCTTCCCACTACAGCCTCCTGAGCAGCTGGGACTACAGACACATGTTACCACACCTGGCTAATTTTTGTATTTTTTGTAGAGACAAGATTTCACCATGTTGCCCAGGCTGGTCTCAAACTCCTGGTCTCAAGAGATCTGCCTGCCTTGGCCTCCCAAAGTGCTGGGATTACAGGCATGTGCCACCGTGCCCAGCTAGTTTCTATTAGTTTTTGAAATTCTGTGTATTTTTGTGGTTTTCCCAGTCTGTTATTTTGCATATGTATGCTTTGTTCTTTTTACTTTTTTTTCAGGTAGTGAAATTCAGTGGTATTTATTTTTCTCCATCTTTTTCAAGCTTTCAACAATAAGCATCTATTACTTCTTATCAAAAAACTAAAAAAAAGACGGTATGGCATCATAAATATTTATTTTAGAAAACAAAATGTATTTATTGAGTGCTTTCTGATTAAGAACAAAGTATAGTTAATGAATGCTGATTGTTTAATTAAGTAGTTTAATCCTTAACCTTTTTTCCTATGCCCTGACTTCTTTTTTGGTAACATAGTCTTCCCAATTAATGAATTACTGAAACCTATAATAAAGAATATTTTCTATTATTCTAGCTCAGGTGTATATTTAGTACTTAAACTTAAATACTTGAATCAATGAAATAAAATCTTGATGAACTCTTTCTAGAGATGTAAGGTACCCAAATTTCTTGACACAATTTTTTTTGAGTTTTGCTCTTGTCACCCAGGCTGGAGTGTAGTGGCTCGATCTCGACTCACTGCAACCTCCGCCTCCCTGGTTCAAGCGATTGTCCTGCCTCAGCCTCCCAAGTAGCTGGGATTACAGGTGCATGCCACGACACCCAGCTAATTTTTTTGTATTTTTAGTAGAGATGGGGTTTCACCATGTTGGTCAGGCTGGTCTCGAACTCCTGACCTCAGGTGATCCGCCTCCCTCCGCCTTCCCAAGTGCTGGGATTACAGGCGTGAGCCACCGCATCTGGCCTGAAAACAATTTTTTTTTTTATTAACGTTAAACTCACTAGAAAACTCTCAAGAATTGTGTTGAAGATCATTTGAAAATATATCTGCCAACTTCCTCTTCCTTCCTGAAGTGTGTTTACAGACAGAGCAAGTTACAACAGTCTTACTATTCTTTGAGGATAGAGCAGCTTCCTGGGGATTCTGGAGGCTCAGTTTTCTGGTCTGTTATTAGGACACAATACTGATGTTGAGGAAAGTAAGGCCTTGCTGACAATGGGAATTATTCTTAAAAGTTATTTTTCTATCTATTTTAGCTAGATTAGTAACATGTACTTTCATTTTGTTGGTGGAAATATTTAAAACAATTATTTTTCTGGTGATCACTGTTTTAGCCGTATTACAAAGCTTCTAATATGTAGTATTTTTATTATATTCTAGAAACTAGAAATACATAATATTATTTTCTAGAAACTCCACAAATTTCATTTGTATTTCCTCTGTGCTTGAAATATTGTTTGAGAGACTTTTCAAATTTTCAGATTGAAGATCTTTTTGTTTTCTGGATTTGTTGTGAATTTCTAGTTTCATTGTGTTGTTAAAAAATGTTGTTTGTGGCTGGGCGCGGTGGCTCATGCCTGTAATCCCAGCACTTTGGGAGGCCGAGGCGGGCGGATCACGAGGTCAGGAGATTGAGACCATCCTGGCTAACACGGTGAAACCCCATCTCTACTAAAAATACAAAAAATTAGCCGGGCGTGGTGGCGGGCATCTGTAGTCCCAGCTACTTGGGAGGCTGAGGCAGGAGAATGGCGTGAACCCAGGAGGCGGAGCTTGCAGTGAGCCGAGATCGCGCCGCTGCACCCCAGCCTTGGGACAGAATGAGACTCCTTCTCAGAAAAAAAAAAATGTGGTTTGTATTTTTCCTTTTAGAGTTTCTAGAGGTATTTTTTGTAGCCCAATATACGGTCAATTTTTGTGATAGTTCTATGGCTATATGAAAATAAGATATATTCATATATTAGTTTAGAGTGAAATATCCATCAGAGCTACCAGTTTGATTATGTTGCTTATGTCATTTATTTCCTTAGTTTTGTTTTTTGTTCTCTCAGACTAGGATAAATAAATTTCCTATTATTAATATCTTTCTGTTTCTTCTTTTATCTCCTGTAATTTCCATTTTCTGAATGTTGCTACTGTATTAGGAGCATATATATTCATATCTGTTTTCGTTATGAATTATAACCTTTATATAAGTGACTTTCTTTTTGTACTTTTTGACCAAAATTCTACATTATCTAATAAAAAGATTGCACTTCATGCTTTTGTGAACTTTATCCTATCCTTTAACTTTTTTTTTCAGGTATATCTTGATGACAGCATAGAATGGTTTGCTTTGTGGGTCAGTTTAAAGCTTTTTTTCTGTTTGGTGGATGAATTAAGCCAGATATAGATAGGAAGGACATATCTTTCTGTCAAGTCACAACCATTGGTCATGGTTTTGTAAAATTATTTTATGCCATTTTTTACATTTGTATATATTTTGAAACTTTGAGTGTTGTGTTTTCTGTGCTTTTTAAATGGTAGTCCTCATCTTAGGAAGATTTTTCCCCCCAGTGGTTATCTTTATACTTATACCTTCATATGATACCTATCTTCCTCTGTTTTAAAGCAGTCTTTTGTTTCCCTTAATTGAGTAACAATTACATTAGCTTTATTCTCTTCCCTTCTTTCTACTAGTTTTAGCCAATATAGTATTATTTTATTGCTCTTTATAATTTTATTCTGTCATGTTGCTTAAGTTTTTACTGATTGACTTTCAACTTTGACTCCTACCTGTTGCACATGAGGTGCAGTCATTGAGCTTATTCTACTTTTCATATATTCTACTCTTAACATCCATTTGTATATATTCATTGATTTGAATTCCTACATTCTTAGACCATGTAACAGTTTCATTCCATTTGTTTTCAATCTTAAATCTGCAATTAAATGTATTGTTGCTCACTGCCAGTCCTTTTGCTGAAATTTTTCTGGTCATTTGTTGGTTTCAGTTTGTCCTCAAGTTGTTTCTTCAAGAAATGCTCATATGAATAAGGCCTGAGTTATCTGTAGCCTTATTCCTGAAGGACTGTTTGGCTAGATGTGGAATTGTTGGCTCACACTTTTTCCTTGAGTACCTTGTAGGTATTTTTCCACTGTCTTCTGGCATTGACTGTTCAATAGAGAAGTATGATGCCAGCTTGATTTTATTTTTCTTAGAAGGAGTGTGCTTTTTTGTGTGTGATTGCTGAAAGTATTTCTTCCAAATACCAAATAATTTAGAAATTATTTTATTAAGTGACATCAGTAAAATTACTAGATGTTTTCTTAGTTGACCATTTTGGGTCAGTTTTATATCCATCATTTTATTTACTTTTAAAAAATTTCTATCCTACATGCTTCTTACTGTGCCTTTGGTGTTGTATATTTTTACCATGTGCTCATTGCATTTTAGTCTTCATCTTTTTAATTCTTAAAATTCTTTTTCTCCCATTTCTTTTCTGAGTTCTGCCATGCTTGTTTCACTACAACTCCTGTTGACTGGTTAGTTGCTCCTTGAGTTTCTAAATTTCTCCTCTGAACTTTTTCTTCATAACTGCATTAGGAATTTTTCAGTGTGAGTAAAAAGTAGGGTTTTAATTTTCCTCTGCTTTGTGATGATATTGTCTGTTGAGTTTTCTTTGTCAGAAATGTCGCGGTGCCTTTTTACATTTTTTTCTATGGTATTATTGTATGTATACTTACCACTTTTTTGTTGCTTATATTGGCATGAGATGAGTTTCCCAAACCATCTGTTAGAAGGGACTTAAGGGTGTTAGGAACATTAGGAACACCTTCGGAGCAAGATAGTTTTCCAGGTTTCTGTGCTCAAGGCCTCTCTCCTCCATTGTTCTGGTGGACTCTTTCTTCAAAATGCAGCCACATCTCCTATGCCTCTCAGTAACTTAAGGGGTTTAAGTAATATGAACTACCAGCCATGAGTTCCCCAGGTCCTGACTAGTTCTGCTACCAAGGGATGCACCTCCTACCCTTTAAATTGCCTGCCTCAAATGTTAACAATTAAAGAATTTGTGACAGGTATACAGGAGTTTTTTGTACTATTCTTATAACTTTTCTGTAAGTTCGAAACTACTTCAAAAGAAGAAATTACAAAAGAGCATGCCTCACTTGTAAAAGGGTGGTCCTTTCTGAGATCTGTCACTTCCAAACCACCCTCCACTTATTGTTCTGCCACTTTCTACACCTCCTTTCCTTACCTCCTTCTGAGAATCCCCCATTTAATCTCAGTTCTAAACATTGTAGTTCCCGCTTGGTATAGATTCTTTTCTTTCTGGGAGTAAATATGTGCTATTCCCCCACCAGATTCCTTTATACTTCTTGTCATTCTCTCATGCTCAGATGTGGCTTCTTTTAGTCTCAAGTACTTTGGGTCATATTTACTTAGAAGTTGGCATTTTTAGGTTTTTATTATCCCCTAGTTTCACTAAAGATATATGGTATTTTTTGTTTTTAACATTGTTTTTGTTGCTCTGTACAGGTTCTAGGAGAAAGATGGGAAAATTTGGAACTAAATTGCTGTTATGTTCCTACTAGAACTTGAAGTCCAGCTTTGAAAATTATTAAGAAATAATTTCTAGGCTGGGTGTGGTAGCTCACACCTGTAATCCTAGCACTTTGGGAGGCCAAGGTGGGAGGATCACTTGAGCCTTGGAGTTTGAGACCAGCCTGGGCAACATAGTGAGACCCCATCTCTATTAAAAAATAAAGAAATGATTTCTAAATAACCCCTTGTTTAAAGAAATCACAGAGAAAATTTTGAACTGAAGGACAATGAATACAATACATATCAGAACTGGTATGATCAGCTAAAGCAATGCTTAGAGAGAATTTAAAACTTGAAATGCCGATTTTAAAAGAAAAAAGCATCAGTGACATAAGCATTCATTCTCAACAAGTTAGAAAAATCACAGAAAATTAAATGCAAAGAGAATAGAAAGAAATAAAAGATAAAAACAAATCAATGAAATAGGAAAACTTCTCTCTATCCTTTAGATAGGGATACTTCAAAGGTTTTTAAGAAGGATAGTGACATGATCATATTTGTTTTCCAGAAAGAGACCTCTGGCAGCAGTGTGGAGAATAGATAGAGGAGAAAAAACTAATCTGAGAAGCCAGTTAGGAGGCTTTTCAATCACTAGTTCAGGTAAGAGATGGTGATGGTCTAATGTGGGATGGAGAGGAAGGATTAAGCTGAAAAAATAGGTTTAAGAACCATGTCCAGAAAAAAAAAACTTTGGGTGTAGTACTGGTACATGGAACGGATTGGAAAAAAATAGACCAGAGCTTTACTAGATTTTTGAAAGAATTGTTTTTGCAAATAAACTACAAGCCTGGCATATCAGTCAAGGTTCAGAACCTAGAGAAGCAGAACCAGTACGAAGTATAGAGAGAGAGTTTATGCAATTGTAGGGGCTAGCTAGGCAAGTCTGAAATTTTGGGGGCAGGCTGTCAGGAAGGGCAGGGAAATTCAGGCATGGGCTGAAGCAGTTATCTATAAGTGGAATTTCTTGCTCTCAGGGAAGCTTCAGCCCTACTTTTAAGACCTTTCACCTAATTGAATCAGGCCCATCCACATTATTCAGGATAATCTCCATTACTTAAAGTCAACAGATTATGGATTTTAATTACATCTACAAAATACCTTCATAGCAACACCTAGATTAGTGTTTGATTAAACAAATGGCAGCTGGTAGCCTAGCAAGTTAACACATTAAAAACAACACCTGCCATGATGGCTTACACTTGTAATCCCAGCACTTTGGGAGGCCAAAGTGGGAGGATCACTTGAGATTAGGAGTTTGCGATCAGGCTGAACAACATAGTGAGACCTGATCTCTACCAAAAAAAAAAAAAAAAAAAAGAAAAAGAAAAAAATTAGCTAGGTGTGGTGCGTACTTGTAGTCCCAGCTGCTAGAGAGGCTGAGATGGGA
This sequence comes from Homo sapiens, assembly GCF_000001405.40. Classification (NCBI taxonomy): domain Eukaryota; kingdom Metazoa; phylum Chordata; class Mammalia; order Primates; family Hominidae; genus Homo; species Homo sapiens. Next base: position 35,983,500 of record NC_000001.11, read on the forward strand.
GGGTGGCTTGAGCCCAGGATATCAAGGCTGTGGTGAGCCATGATTGTGCCACTGCATTCCAGCAGTGACAAAGCAAGGCCCCATCTCAAAAATAAATAAATAAAAAGAAAAACAACCCTCCACACCTGGTCTGAAATTTTCTGTGATTATTCAGCCCTCGAAACAACTTTCAGGTACAGTGACTGCCATAATGTAAACTGGCTCCCAAGAAGGTCATACTCTCCAATGTACATTCAGAGTACTGACTCTGAGTTTTCTGCCAGGTATGAATGGTGGTACTGTCAACTGAATATGGAGGTAGATCTGCTATTGCTGGTTAGTTGGCAGTATACACCATGTATCAATGTTAACATGTCCAAAGCTTGAGGATTCTATGGAACATATAGATAGACATATCTAGTGTATATTTAGAAATTTAGGTATGAAAATCTATAATGGTGGGAGCTGAAAGTAAGAGTGTTGGGACTCTTCAGTATGTAAATCCATATTTGAAACTATAGAAGTGGAAAAACTCTTTAGGAATAGTATTTAGATTGAAACAGGAAAGAGGAGGATAAAGCCGTCGAGGAATACTAGCATTTAAGAAAAAAAGAACTAGTGAGCAAGTAATGATTATACAAGGCAATATGAGACACCAAATATGATGTCAAAAAAGCCAAGAGGGGAAACATATCCAAAAAATAAATGAGCTGGGCACAGGGGCTCACGCCTGTAGTCCCAGCTACTTGGGAGGCTAAGGCAGGAGGATAGCCTAAGCCCCAGGAGTTGCAGGCTGCAGTGAGCTGTAATTGAGCCACTGTACTCCAGCCTGGGCAACAGAGTGAGACCCCTATCTCTAAAAAAAGAAACAAAAAGTAGATGATTTCACAGTTAAACAATGAGAGCTTTTTCAATAAAATCAAGAGACAAGGATATCAGTGCTATGATTTTTAGTCACTATTGTGTTTGCTAACTTCTGTTCTTCTTACAGGTTTCAGTCTACATGTTACTTCCTTGAGAAGCAGTGTTTGACACCCTTCTCCCCCAATCCAGCCATCCCCCAAGTCTGAGTTAGGTATTTCTCTTCTGTATTCCCATAGCACAGTGTAATTCCCCTATAATAGCATGTATCACCTTGAATTATGGGTGTTTATTGTTCTGTCTCTCCTGTTAGAACGAAAGCTCCATGAAGGGATTGTCATTTTATTCACCAGTGTACCCTCTATGCCCAGCACAACTTTTGGTCATATTAAACAAAGAATGAATAAATAAATCCAAGAGCATAGGAGGAGGAGCATCCAAATGAGCCTGAAAAATTAGAGAAATATTTGTAGTAGTATGTGATATCTTAGCTGAGCTTAACAAGTATAATGAGATCAAGAGTTTGGATTGAAAATGAGGTACTCAGGAATAAACGATTTCTGAGGTCTCTAAGATATTATAAAACTTTATTGAAAGATCTAAGAAAATTTAATGAAACACATTGTCCTTATTAATCTATAAATATAGTTTTAATTAAAATTCCAATAGGGGGCCAGGTACGGTGGGTATGCCAGTATTTCCAGCACATTGGGAGGCCAAGGTGGGAGGATTGCTTGAGCCTGGGAGTTCTGACCAACATGGTGAAACCCTATTGCTAAAAAAAGACAAAAAAATTAGCCAGGCGTAGAGGTGTGTGACTGTAGTCCCAGCTACTCAAGAGGCTCAGTTGGGAGAATCGCTTGAGCCCAGAAGTCGAGGCTGCAGTGAACTGTGATCTCACCACTGTACTCCAGCCTGGGCAACAGAATTAGAACCTGTCTCAAAAAACAAATAAAATAAAATTCCAATAGGGTATAGTATAACACTTGATAAGTCGATATTAAGATTTATATGGAAGAATAAGTGACTAAGAAAAACCAATAGAATTTTAAAGAAAAATAAAGCAGAAATTGCCCTACTTCCTATAAAACTGTAACAGTTATACCACATGGCTTCAGGTGCAGGAACAGGCAGATTAATGAAGCAGAGTCTAGAAACGAGCCACATATGTGTTTATGGAAACTGTAAATATCTGATGTAGTGTTTCAGATCAGTAGGGAAAGAGTAGAATATTTAATAAATTGTGTTTACACAGTTTAACTTTAAAAAAATTAGATCCATCTTACATTAGACACAAAATTTATTTCTAGGTGAATTATATCCCAAATATGAAAAGCAAATCTTCAAAATTCTTTTAGGATAAAAATGAGAGAATGTTCCTAACACCAAACAAAGTACAAAGTATAAACTGCAAAGGAAAATACTGATAAACTTGACCAAAATTTAAAACTTGTGTATCGCAAAAGAAACAATAAAGTTAAAAACATTAGAAAATTTGTAACTCATATAACTGAGAACTTTACAAAATATAAGAACAGATAAATTGAAAAATAGGTAGTTCTCAAAATAGGAAATGCATATAGCCAGTAAACACATGAAAAGATTCTCATTCATTAATAATCAAGAACTTGCAAGTGAAATCAGTGTTACCATTTTCTACGCATCAGATTTGTAAAATTAAAAAGCCTTATGATTTGCAAAAAGTGCAAGGTGAAAAGAAAAATCTTATGAAATACCAAATGTTGGTGAGGATGAAGTAAAAGGAACTCTCACACATTGTTTGTAGTAGTACCATTTGGTACAACTACCCCGGAGAGCAATTCTCAACTAGAAGAGATGAAGTAAAGATGAAATTGCATAACTTAAAACCCATAAAGAGATATCTTGCATGTGTGCTTGAAACATTATATGTAATAGCAGAAAATTGGAAACAGCCTAAATTCCTGTCAGTAGCAGAATGAATAAACAGCACGTAAATAGTTACATAATATTGTGGTGTACTACATAACAGTTAAATAAATGAACCAGATCTATATGTATCAATGTGAATTATTAAAATAATGTTGTACCCAGACATCATGGCTCATGCCTATAATCCCAGCACTTTGGGAGGCAGAGGCCTTCGGATCATATGAGGCCAGGAGTTCAAGACCAGCCTGGTCCACATGGTAAAACCCCATCTCTACGTAAAATACAAACATTAGCCAGGTGTGGTAGTGCACGTCTATAATCCCAGCTACTTGGGGGTTGAGGCATGAGAATCACTTGAACCCAGGAGGTGGAGGTTGCAGTGAGCTGAGATCACACCTCTGTACTCCAGTCTAGGCAACAGACTGAGACTCTGCCTCAGAAAAGAAAAAAGAAAAAAAAAATGGGCTGGGCCTAGTGGCTCAGACCTGTAATCCCAGCACTTTGGGAGGCCAAGGTGGGTGGATCACTTGAGGTCAGGAGTTCGAGACCAGCCTGGCCAACATGGCTTAACCCTGTCTCTACTAAACATACAGAAATTAACCAGGCGTGATGGTGCACATCTGTAATCCCAGCTACTTAGGAGGCTGAGGCAGGAGAATCACTTGAACCCAGAAGGCAGAAGTTGCAGTGAGCTGAGATTGCACCACTGTATTCCAGCCTGGGCGACAGAGTAAGACTCCGTCTCAAAAAAAAAAAAAGGAAAGAAAATGTTGGGGGTGAGTAAACAGCAAAAGGGGCTAGGCACGGTGGCTCATGCCTGTAACCCTAGCACTTCGGGAGGCCAAGGCAGGTGGATCACTTGAGGTCAGGAGTTCAAGACTAGCTTGGCCATCATGGTGAAACCCCATCTCTACTAAAAATATAAAAATCAGCCAGACGTGGTGGCACGCACCTGTAGTCCCAGCTACTCGGGAGGCTGAGGCAGGAGAATCAGTTGAACCCAGGAGGCAGAGGTTGCAGCGAGCCGAGATCATGCCACTGCGCTCCAGCCTGGGCGACAGAACAAGATTCTGTCTCAGAAAAAAAAAAAAAATTAGCCTGGCATGGTGGCGTGTGCCTGTAATCCCAGCTACTAGGGAGGCTGAGGCAGGAGAATTTCTTGAACCCAGGAGACGGAGGTTGCAGTGAGCCGAGATCACGCCACTGCACTCCAGCCTGGGCAACAGAGTAAGACTCTGTTTCAAAAAAAAAGCAAAAGGATATGTTATTATTTATATAAACTTAGAACAAAAGTATGTACTAGGTACATACAAATAAAGTAAAATTATAAAACAGATGGGACAAATACACACCAATTTCAAGATTTTGGATCCTTTTAGGAAGAAAAAAGAGAAATGGAATAAGGTGCCTGGGTTGGGAGAAGAGATAGACCAAAAAAATTTAAGAAAAATGTGAGAGTATGTTTATGTGAGCAAAGTATAACGTGCCATTGGGAGGCAAAAAAATAAGATTGATTAAAAAAAAAAAAAGACCTATGGGCCAGGCGTGGTAGCTCACACCTGTAATCCCAGCACTTTGGAAGGCCTAGGTGGGCAGATCACGAGGTCAGGAGTTCGAGACCAGCCTGACCAACATGGTGAAACCCCGTCTCTACTAAAAATACAAAAATCAGCTGGGCATGGTGGCGCACACCTGTAATCCCAGCTACTCAGGAGGCTAAGGCAGGAGAATCGCTTGAACCCGGGAGGCGGAGGTTGCAGTGAGCCGAGATCTTGCCACTGTACTCCAGCCTGGGTGACAGAGCAAGACTCTGTCTCAAAGAAGAAAAAAAAGAAAAAGACCTATGGTAACTTAATGAAATGGAAATAAAGCCTAACATTTGAAGTTGGTTTATTTTCTCCCCAGCTAATGTATTCAGGTATGATTAACAAGTAAAAGTTACATGTATTTGAGGTATACAGTGTGATTTTTGATAATACATATGCATTGTGAAATGATTACCACAATCAAGGTAATGAATATAACAATCACCTCATAGGTATGTGAGAGACATAAGAACATGAAATTTACTCTCAGCGTATTTCAAGTATACAATAATAATTATAGTCACCATGCAGTACATTAGGTCTCCAGAACTTACTCATCTTATAACTGAAAGTTTCTATGCTTTGACCAACATCTCACCATTTGCCTCAGCCCTCAGCCCTGGGTAACTACCATTCTAACCTCTGTTTCTGTGAGTTGAGCTTTCTTAGATTCCACATGTGAGATCATACAGTATTTGTCTTTCTGTGTCTTGCTTATTTTATTTAACATAATATCCTCCAGGTTCATCCATGTTGTCACAAATGACAAGACTTCCTTCTTTTAAAGGCTAAATAATATTCCATTTTATGTATATACCACATTCTTTTTATCCATTTGTCTGTCGATGGTCGCTTAGGTTGTTTCCATATCTTGGCTGTTGTGAATAATGCTGCAGTGAACATGGGAGTGCAGGGGTCTCCTTGAGATAGTGATTTTATTTACTTTGCATGTAGTCCCTGAAGTGGGATTGCTAGATCATGTAGTAGTTCTATTTTTAATTTTTTGAGGAACCTCCATACTGTTTTCCATAAAGGCTGCAACAAGGGTTTATTAATTGCCAATAAAATGCTATGAAAAATAATGAGAAATATTGCACTGACCATCTTACTTGCTTACATTTCCTTTTTGCTTTTGCGTGATTTTGATTTTGCAAGCCTTGTACGTGGTATATGCACTGAACTAAACAGCCTTTATTGAACTTGAAATCAGCTGGAGAAGACTGGTAATTGAGCACTATAATAAGTACTGTAAAGGAAAATACCAAGTGCAATGGAAGCATAAAAGGGAGGGATCCATTGTAGTCTCACTGGTTGAGGGATGTTTCCCTCAGGAAATGACAGATGGGAGCTAGGCGAAATTGGTGATGGAAATAAGCATGGAAGAGTACTCTAAGAAAGGGAGCAATTCTCTCTAATTGTGTGATTGGTCTTGAGAATGATTGTTCTATTGGCATTTAATAGCCTAACTTTCAACTGTGTAATTAAACTTGCTGTATTTTACCAATCTAAGACTCAAAATTTTTTGTTTACATTTCAACATCTCTGAAATTGGGAGATATCTTACAATTGATGGTTTGTCACAGTTCAGTTGGCAGGTTTCTTTTTAAAGAATACATAAAATACTGGTGCAGCTTACCATCAATGGCATCTTAGATTTGATGAAATGAAGAATATTTCTTTAGCTTGTTTTGAGGCCAGCCCATTTGCAACTTGCATTTTATTATTGTAATTCACAGATTTTAAGACCATCATAGTGGCTGGGCATGGTAGCTTACACCTGTAATCCCAGCATTTTTGGGAGGTTGAGGTGGGTGTATTGCTTGAGTCCAGGAGTTTGAGACCAGCCTGGGCAAGATGGTGAAACCCTGTCTCTACAAAAAATATAAAAATTAGCCAGGCGTGATAGCATGAGCTTGCAATCCCGGCCACTCAGGAGGTTGAGGTGGGAGAATCACTTGAGCCGGGAGGTGGAGGTTCCAGTGAGCCATGATCTCACCACTATACTCCAGCCTGGGTGACAGAACAAGACCCTGTCTCAAAAAAAAAATAAAAAGACCATCATAGTGAATCTGATGTTTGTTAGTTATATCTCCCTTAAGATGTTATTTACCTCTTATTATGTACCAGATAGAATGCTAAGCATTTTATATTAATTATTAATACTACAGTGTTGCATGTAAATTCCACCACAGTTGTATAAGTTGGTAGTATCATCAACTGAAGTTTAGAGACAGAAAGTCACATAGTTTATATTTAAAGCGGGAGAAGTTCAACTCTTCTGACTCCAGTGCTTATACCTTTAACATAGCTCTGTACTGCATCCCTTAAGAAGCAAGATCCCTGGCAGGCAAATCTCAGATCTTAGACACATTAGTTAAATTTATTTTTGTGGCCAGGCACGGTGGCTCACGCCTGTAATCCCAGCACTTTGGGAGGCCGAGGGGGGTGGATCACGAGGTCAGGAGATCAAGACCATCCTGGCTAACACAGTGAAACCCCGTCTCTACTAAAAATACAAAAAATTAGCTGGGCGTGGTGGCAGGCACCTGTAGTCCCAGCTACTCGGGAGGCTGAGGCAGGAGAATGGCGTGAACCCGGGAGGCGGAGCTTGCAGTGAGCCAAGATTGCACCACTGCATTCCAGTCTGGGCGACAGAGACTCCATCTCAAAAACAAAAAATTTTATTTTTGTTTACTGTTACTTTTCAGTAAAATGTAGCTGTCCGTAAAACATTCACTATCCCATTTTGCTTTTAGTAAAAAGTAGGCAGAATATGTAAATGGTTGTAGAATTTAATAATTTTATTTCTGCAAAGTAGTTAGAAGTTCACACTGCTGCTTTTGCAAGGAAAACATTTCTAGTAAATAAAAATTTCTAGTAAATAAAAAATTCTAGTAAATAATTTATTAATCACAGTATTAGTGTTGCTTACTTCATGTATTTGTCTTGAGTTCAGGTATAAGATTGCTAAGATTGAGAAATAATTTGATTTTATAATATTCAAATTAGTCCTTTCAGAGGTAGATCAAAGCAGAACTTTTCTTTCGGGTGGAATGAGAGTTATCAGCTGATTCAGGCATCTGGGCAAGAACTTTTAGCAACATGAGTTCAAACAAGACCAACTAAAGATATCTGGATCAGGCTTACCCAGGCGGGCTATCTTCACATTAGAAAAACAGTATAAGGCTGGGCACGGTGGCTCACGCCTGTAATTCTACCACTTATGGGAGGCCGAGGTGGGCGGATTGCCTGAGCTCAGGAGTTCAAGACCAGCCTGGCCAACACAGTGAAACCCTGTCTCTACTAAAATACAAAAAATTAGCCGGGCATGGTGGTGTGCATCTGTAGTCCCAGCTACTCGGGAGGCTGAGACAGGAGAACCCAGGAGGCAGAGGTTGCAGTGAGCCAAGATCGCGCCACTGCACCCAGCTTGGGCGACAGAGTGAGACTCCATCTCCAAAAACAAAAACAGTAATGGCTGCAGGAATCTCAGTGACAGTCTTCATGAGATCTGTCTCTTGATTCTCACTGTTTCAGTCTGGTTGAGTTATGCCCTTTGTGTTTGGTGCGCAGCTGTCTTCTTGAGATCACACTTCACTGTTGCCCTGGGAATTCCTTTTGTCTTTGTTCTATAATCTTATTTCTTTTTAAAAAATTTTCAGAATCTTCATGAGAATAGGGTACCTGGGGAGCAAATTTTATATATATATATATATAAAATATATAATATATGTATATATTAGAAAATGTATTTATCAACAAACTTAAAATGATAGTTTAGCTCTTTCTGTGGTGGAAATAATTTTTCTTCAGAAATTCGAAAGCATCACTCCATTTTTAAAATAGCTGTATTGACGTTTAATTTACATACCATAAAATTCACACGTTTTATTTCCTAAGTGTTATCTTTCATAGCATGCTATTCTTGTTTCACAGATGCAGTATCCTCTCTTAGCTCTCTGAGCATAATTTATTTTGGAGTTCTTCCTGTACATGCTTATGCTTCCCTCAAATTCCTTTTTGTTTGTTTTGATCTCTGTCTTCCATTTTGGAGGCGTTCATCCAATATCTAGTATTCTTGATTACTGTCTATTCAGTGTTAATCTAAAAACACTGAATGCTCTGAAGGCATGGATAGGGTTTGTTGACTCTGAGCCTCATCATAGGGTGATTTCAGAGGGCTTAGGTTGGGGAATCTACAATGTTAGGATCCTTAGGTCTCTTCTCTTGGCTGGTCAGGTTGTCCAAAGGTGAGTCTTCTAAACTCCTGCCTAAAGGATAGCAGTGTGGTTGCCTGCATTCTGGAAGCCTAGTTGGGAGTTCTAGCTGGGGGAACTTCTGTATTCAGCATTTAATATGTTAAAGTCATTTAATCTCTTGTTTTTGGTACAGTCTTGTGCTCTCAACTGTGTCTGGCATCCTTCTTCCAGGGAGCCTCTGTTGTATCTCTTCCAGTTAGTATGCCTGCAGATCTGTGCAAGGATGAACAAGAGGCAGCTGTTCATCAATGTGAGCTAGACAGAGGATATAGGACTCTACCTGCTTCTCAGACTGCTTTTCTCTTTATTTTTCTGCATCACTCCCATCCTTTTATCACCAACTTGCTCACTTGCTTTTCATCTTTCAGAATGTTGATATATCCCCTGTTCTGTTCTCCTTCTAGGTTTGTACCTTAAATTTTTTTTTAAATTCATAGTTACAGTGGAGTTTGAGAAAGGAATGAAATGAAGAATGATAATAGATGCTCATTGTTAATCTGCCATCTTAACCCAGAATCTGTTATTAAAGGGCAGGGGCTTTGTCTGGTTTATCTCTAAATTTCAACCCATAAAGGAATCTGTGACATAGCATATACTTAATAAATGTTTGGATGGTTAAGTCTTATTTTATGTCTGTGTTAGTTATCTACCACTGCATATCAAATTATTCCAAAACGTAGTGACTCAAAACAATAAACTATCTCACACATTTTCTATGAGTTAGGAGTGACTTCGATGGTTCTAGTTCATGAGGCTGCATTCATCTCAAGTCCTTACAGGGCCTGGGGGGATTCACTTCCAGTAGGACTCACTTAATTGGTAACAACTTAGTTCTGGAGGCCTCAGTTCCTTGCCATGTGGACCTCTCTATAAGGCTGGGTAAGTATCCTCACAACATTGTGGCTGGCTTCCTCCAGAGCAGGAATTCATGAGAGAGCAAGGCAGAGGATATAATAACATTAAGACCTAGCATTGAAAGTTACATTCTTTTATTTTTATAATACCCTATTGGTTACTCAGATTACTTAATGTTCAGTATGGGAAGGGACTGTACAAAGCTGTGAATCCCATATGTCAAGACTCATTGGGGACCATCTCAAAGGCTGGCTACCACAGTTTCTGACTTAAGCTAGAAATAGAAGAGCATATTAAATCCAAAGTAAGCAGAAAGTAAGAAATAATAAAGATTAGAGCAAAATTTAATTAAAAAACTGTACAGAATATCAATGAAGCCAACTGTTGGTTATTTAAAAAAAATAAGTAGGATTAATAAACTCCTAGCAAGACTAATCAGGAAATTAGGAAAAAGCAGATTACCAGTATCAGGAATGAAGTGAGGGTATCACTAAAAATTCTTCAGAATTGAAAGATTAATAAGGGAATGGTATGAACAACTTTATGCCAATTAATTTGATAGGTGAAACAAATTCCTTGACAAGCCACACCTTTACCAAAATTGACTCGAAAAAGAAGCCTGAATAGCCCTATATCAAAGAAATTGAATTCACAATTCCTCCTCACAAAACTCCAGTCCCAAATGATTTCACTAGTGAGTTTTTTCTATAATGTAAGGAAAAATAACATCAATCTTTCACAAATTCTTTCAGAAAATAGAAAAGGCTTCCCCAACCACCACCCCCTGCTTTTTTTTTTTTTTTTTTTTTTTTTTGGAGACAGAGTCTTGCTCTGTCGCCCAGGCTGGAGTGCAATGGTGAGATCTCTGCTCACTGCAACCTCCACCTCTCAGGTTCAAGCCATTGTCCTGCCTCAGCCTCCCAAGTAGCTGGGTCTACAGGCATGCACCACCATGCCCGGCTAATTTTTGTTTTTAGTAGAGACAGGGTTTCACCATGTTGGCCAGGCGTGTCTCAAACTCCTGACCTTATGATCTGCCCACCTCAACCTCCCAAAGTGCTGGGATTACATGCGTGAGCCACTGCGCCCAGATTTTTTTTTTTTTTTTTTTTTTTTTTGAGTCAGGTTCTTACTCTGTCACCCAGGCTGGAATGCAGTAGTGTGATCATGGCTCACTGCAGCCTCAACCTCCCGAGCTATGCTGCTCAGGCTGGTCTTGAACTCCTGGGCTCAAGCAATTCTCCCATCTGGGCCTCCCAAAACACTGGGATTATAGCCATAAGCCACCATGCCCGGCCCCAGTTCATTTTTTGAGGCTGGTAAACCTGGTACTAACCCCTGACAAAGACAATATAATCCTCTCAACAGGAAAATTGACACATTTTAAACATTCTCATGATAAAAATTTACAACAAACTAGCAATAAAAGGAAATTTCTTCAGCTAATTAAAAACACTTAGAAAAGCATACAGGCATCATCATACTTCTGTGGTGAAAAGATTGTACACTTTTGCCCTAAATTCAAGAACAAGGCAAGGATGCTTGCTCTCATTATTTGGTAATCATACTGGAGGTCCCAGGCAGTGGCAAAGCAAGAAAAGGAAATAAAAGGCATAATTTGTAAAGGAAGAAATAAAACTCTGTTTGTAGAAGACATAATACTCTACATTAAAGAATCTACCAAAACAAACCCCATTAAAATTATTAGAATTAGTACATGAATTTAGTGAGGTCACAGGATGCTAACTGCATAAACAAATAATACCAGCATTCAACAATTGAAATGAAAAAAAATTTAAGTGCCATTCATAACATAAAACATAATTTTTAGGAATAAATATAAAGATGTGCATGGCCCCCACGCTGAAAGCTACAAAGCATTACTAAGAAAGACAAGGAAGGTAAAGAGGTGTTCTTGGACCAGAAGTCTCAAATTGTTAAGAATTTCATTCTCCCCAAATTGATCTATAAACTCAATACAATAGAAATCCCATCAGGCTTACTTTGGGAGGCCAAGGTGGGTGGATTGCCTGAGCTCAGGAGTTTGCGACCAGCCTGGGCAACACGGTGAAACCCTATCTCTACTAAAATACAAAAAAAATTAGCCGGGCATGGTGGCGTGTGCCTGTGGTCCCGGCTACTCGGGAGGCTGAGGCAGGAGAAGTGCTTGAACCCGGGAAGCAGAGGTTGCAGTGAGCCGAGGTATCACCACTGCACTCCAGCCTGGGCAACAGAGCAAGACACTGTCTAAAAAAAAAAATATATATATATATATATATATATATATTATATAAAATTGTCAAGCTGATTCTAAGATTTATATGCTGGTACAAAGAACTTAACATTTCTATTTTGAAGAGCCAAAAAATCTTTTAAAGAAGAACGAAGTTGGTGGATTTATACTACCTGTGTTCAAGACGTGCTATAAAACTACTGAAATCAAAACAGTGATACTGGGGTAAAGATTGTCAGGTTACAGAATAGCTACCAGAATAGACCCACTAATGTAGCTGGTTGATTTTTGGCAAAGGGCCCAACATAATAGAATGCCAAAAAGGTTAGTCTTCTCAGTAAATGATGTAACAACTGGGTATTTGTATTAAAAAAATTATCCTCTACTTAACAGCACACAGAAAATTTAATTCAGAGTTTATCCCAGGATAAAACATTAAAACTGGTAAATTTCCAAGACAAAATGGGGAAAATATTCATGATCTTGGACGAGGCAAAGATTTTTTTCTTCTTTCGAGACAGGATCTCCCTATCACCCGGACTGGAGTGCAGTGGCTTGAACTTGGCTCACTGCAACCTCTGCCTCCCGAGTCCAAGTGATTCCCCCACCTCAGCCTCCTGAGTAGCTGGGACCACAGGTGCATGCCACCACGCCTGGGTAATTTTTGTAGTTTTAGTAGAGACGAGGTTTTACCATGTTGGCCAGGCTGGTCTCGAACTCCCTGACCTCAAGTGATGCACCCACCTAGGCCTCCCAAAGTGCTGGGATTACAGGCATAAGCCACTGCACCCGGCTAGGATTTGTTAATAAATTGAAAACCATTGCAATTAAAAGCTTCTCCTTTTGAGAACACCATTAAGAAAATGACAAGGCAGCCAGGCGCACTGGCTCACACCTATAATCCCAACACTTTGGGAGGCCTAGGCAAGAGAATCGCTTGAGGCCAGGTGTTTGAGACCAGCCTGGGCAACATAGTAAAAAAATTTTTTTAATTAGCTGAGCGTGGTGGTGCATGCCTCTATTCCCAGCTTCTTAGGAGGATGAGGTGAGAAGATTACTTGAGCCCAGGAGTTAGAGGTTGCAGTAATTATTATCACCACTGTACTTCTGCCAGGGCAACAGAGCAAGACTCTGACTCTTAAAAAAAAAAAAAAATGAAAACACAAGCTACCGCTGAGAAAACACATTTGCAAAACGTAACAGAACAACGCTTAGGTCCAGAATATATGAAAATTGTACATAACTCAGTAAGAAATAGAAAAAAAGTAGTAGTAAAAATCACATACTTCACAAAAGAATATGTGTGGTCGGGCACAGTGGCTCACACCTGTAATCCCAGCACTTTGGGAGGCCGAGGCGGGCAGATCACCTGATGTCAGGAGTTCGAGACCAGCCCAACCAACATGGCGAAACCCCATCTCTACTAAAAGTACAAAAATTAGGCAGGTGTGGTGGTGGTCACCTATAGTCCCAGCTACTCAGGAAGCTGAGGCAGGAGAATTGCTTGAACCCAGGCAGCAGAGGTTGCAGTGAGCCAAGATTGCACCGTTGCACTCCAGCCTGGGCGACGAGCAAAACTCCATCTCAAAAAAAAAAAAAAAATTATATGTGAATGGCCAGTGAGCCCTTGAGAAGATGCAGAACATCGTTGGCCGTTCAGGAAATTCAAAAAGAACCACAGTGAGATACCACCCATACGTACTAGATTGACTAAATTTAAAAGACTGAAAATAACAAATGTTGACAAAGATTTGGAGCAACTAGAAATTTAGGAGTGTAAAATGGTACAAGTACTTTGAAAAATAGTTTGGCGGCCAGACGCAGTGGCTCTCGCCTGTGATCTCAGCACTTTGGGGTGCCTAGACAGGCAGATCGCTTGAGGTCAGGAGTTCAAGACTAGCTTGGCCAACATGGTGAAAACCTATCTCTACTAAAAATAGAAAAAATTAGACGGGTGTGGTGACATGTGCCTGTAATCCCAGCTACTTGGGAGGCTGAGGTGGGAGAATCGCTGGAACCTGGGAGGTGGAGGTTGGAGTGAACTGAGATCATGCCACTGCACTCCAGCCTGGGTGACAAAGTGAGACTCCATCTCAGCAAAAAAAGAAAGAAAGAAAGAAAAATAGTTTGGCAGTTTATTTTAAAGTTAAACCCAGTCCTCAACTTAGAATGGTTTGACTTCCGATTTTTCAACTTTATGATGGTGCAAAAGTAGTATGTCTTCAGTAGAAATTGTATTTATAGTACAATATTCTCTCAAAATGTTGTGCAGCAGCAGCAAACCACAGCTCCTAGTCAGCCATGTGATCACAAGGGTACAGTGTACTGTGTTGCCAGATGATTTTGTCCAACCGTAGGCTCATATAAGTGTTCTGAGCACATTTAAGGTAGGCCAAGCTACCTATTGTGTTGAGTAGTTTAGATGTATTAAAAGCATTTTCGCCTTAACGATATTTTCAAATTATGATGTGTTTATTAGGATGTAATCCCGTTTTAAGTCAAGGAGCATCTGTATTCTCTGGGGTTTATTTGAGACGTAGTCTCCATCTGTTGCCCAGGCTGGAGTGCAGTGGCGTGATCTCGGCTCAATGCAACCTCCTCCTCCTGTGTTCAAGTAATTCTCCTGCCTCAGCCTCCCGAGTATCCAGGATTATACGCGCCTGCCACCACGCCCAGCTAATTTTTGTGTTTTTAGTAGAGACAGGGTTTCACCATGTTGGCCAGGCTGGTCTCGAACTCCTGACCTCAGGTGATCCACCCGCCTTGGCCTCCCAAAGTAAGAAACAGAAATTTGTTTGTCAATTATAAATAAATCTAATAAAAGATATATGAGTTTTAGAGTATATTATAAAACCTTAGTGGAATTTAAATGACCTTAATACATTCAGAGATATACTATGTTTATGAATTGAAATACTATCCCACTGATATTTTGAACATTAGTCTATTTTGGTAAATTTCTTTTCCCTAGTTATAGTTATCTAGATACATTTTCCCCTAAACTCCCCTCCTTTCTGTTTTATTTATCTGAATTCTAGTGGCTGCTCATTAATTTTAATTATATGAGTATAGTACAATTTATCAATCCAGTTTATAATACAAAATATCCAAATATGTTGACACATATTTAGGTTGTTTCCATTCTTTTTACTCTTACAAATAATGCTACAATAAGGATATGAGCATTCTTATTCATGTCTCCTTTTGGAGACAGGGAATTTCTCTAGAGTATATATTCCACTATAACAGAAGTGCTGGGTTGAAAATTATATACAGCTTCCAATTTATTATATATTCCACTTCCTTTCCTAAGTGACTTTATCAGTTTATATTCCTACAGTCTGAGAGCTTTCATTCTTCCATTGGCTTATTTTCAGCTTGTTACCCTTAAAGTTTTTTCTAATCTTGATTGGTATAAAATGATAGGTTGATATTGTTTTAGTATATATTTCTCTTTGTCTTCTATGAAACGTTTGCTCATGTCCTTTGCCACTTTTTATTGTTTTATTTTGATTTGTAGGAACTCTATACATATTCTAGATACTAAGCATTTGTTAAACATATTGTGTATATCCTCTATCAATCTTTAGCTTTATTTCTTTATTTATGGTGTCTTTTTTCTTATAGTTTTCATGGTTTATAGTTTTTGTATTGTGCTGAAGAAATTCTTCCTTACCTTTAAGACCATAAAGATATTCTACATTTTTCAATAAATGTTAGTTTTCCTTTTCATATTTAGTTCTCTGAATAGGAATTTGTTTATGTATATAGTATGAGGTAGGCTTTCAAGCCTGTTCTGTGTGTCTAGCCCCACAGTCTCTTTATTTGAATAGGATTATAACAAATCTTGATGAATGCTAGAGCAGACCTTATTCTTAAGAATTGTTGGCTGGGCACGGTGGCTCATGCCTGTAATCCCAGCACTTTGGGAGGCCAAAGCAGGTGGATCACCTGAGGTCAGGAGTTTGAGACCAGCCTGGCCAACATGGTGAACTCCGTCTCTACTAAAAATACAAAAAAATTAGCTGAGCGTGTAATCCCAGCTACTCGGGAGGCTGAGGCAGGAGAATAGTTTGAACCCAGGAGACAGAGGTTGCAGTTAGCCGAGATTACGCCACTGCACTCCAGCAGCCTGGCCAACAGAGCAAGACTCCATCTAAAAAAAAATAAAGACTTGTTGTGGCTATTCTTGTTTCATTGTGCTTTCATGTTAATTATAGTATCTTAAGTTCCAGGGGGAGAGAGGATTACATCCTGTTGATATTTTGACTGAAATTGCGATTGAAGATTAATCTGGGGATAATTTACATGAATAGGGTGTATTATAACTCTGTTTATTTGATCTTCTATAGTATCTTTCAATAAAAGAGATACTTATTACTTCCATAGGTCTTATACACCTTTTGTTTAGATTTCATCTCAAATGCCTTATGTTTTTTGTTGTGATCATAAGTGGTATATGTTTAAATTACATTTTAAGTAGGTTGCTAGTGTATAAGAATATAATTTATTTTTATATGTAGACCTTAAATCTAGTAACATTGCTGAATTATTAATTCTGTAATTTGTCCATAGATTTTTATTGGGTTTTCTATGCACACAATTAATGTTGTGAAGAGTAATAATTTTGTTTCTCTCTTTCCAACCTTTTAACTTTTTATTCTCCTAATTTGCTTTGCTATGCTAGCTAGAACTTCCTATAAAATTAAGTTGAATTTACCATGGAGTTTTTTTTTTCTTTTTTATGTATCTGCCAGGTTGTAATACCATAGAGTTTTGGTAAATAACTTTTACCAGATTAGGGAAGTTCCCTTCTCGTCCTGGTACAATAAGAGTATTTGCTTCAGTGCTGAATTTTATCAAATGCTTGCTTTTTGGGGACTGCCATCTATGGAAATGATTATATGCTTATTTCCTGTAACATGTTAATGTAGTATATTTTATTGATAGATTTTTAAAATGTTAAATGTAAACATTTTTCAGTAATAGCTAATTTGTGAAAGGGAAGGAAGGAATAAACTACATATATATGTAGGTTTATTAAATATTAAGAATTCATCCAAGGGACAGAAAAGCAAACATTTGATCATTGAAACATATTCCTAATTCAAAACTATATTTGCTGATTTCAACCCATTCTTTCTGAGTTTTTTATTACTAAATTTAATTTTTACCTCAAATGCCCACCTTCCTGTAGAGAAGATGGTCAATAGTAAAATGATTCAGAGTGTAGTGGAATAAACAGGGAAAAATAGTAGAAGAGGATTAAACAAGAGAAATAACTCTAGCATGTTTGTTTAGTAGTTACAAGTAATTACAACTTTGTGGTATCTGAAATATTAGTTGTGAAGGCTGGTGTTATAGCAATCCAGTGAATAAATT
Source organism: Homo sapiens (assembly GCF_000001405.40). Classification (NCBI taxonomy): domain Eukaryota; kingdom Metazoa; phylum Chordata; class Mammalia; order Primates; family Hominidae; genus Homo; species Homo sapiens. Next base: position 36,000,566 of record NC_000001.11, read on the forward strand.
TTACCTGTAGGATTAAAAGAAAGGCAAAATAAGCATATTATTCACTTTCTATTTATCTTTCATTTACTTTTTAAAAATTAACCCAGATCAATATGTGCTTAAGAACTTAAACATTATAAACATATAACTTAAATTTGATATGTATCCTGTCAGCCTTCCTTTTTGTGCACAATAATATTCCAACATTTTTCAGTAGAAGAATATAATATATATATATATTTAAAACTATTATGGATTTGAGTAAGATACCCAGAATACTGTTACAATCTTAACAGTCTCTCTTTTTTTTTTAATTAGTTAGAAACTGGAAATATTTCTAAAGTTTATTTGGATGGAAGTTTAGAAGTGAATATTGATTTCTCTTATCTTTTCCACAGAAATACTCATGGGCCAGGCGTGGTGGCTCACGCCTGTAATCCCAGCACTTTGGGAGGCCGAGGCGGGTGGATCAGTTGAGGCCAGGAGTTTGAGACCAGCCTGGCCAACACGGTGAAACCCCGTCTCCACTAAAAATAAAAAAATTAGCCGGGTGTGGTGGCACGTGCCTGTAATTCCAGCTCTTGGAAGGCTGAGGCACGAGAATTGTCTGAACCTGGGAGGCAGAGGTTGCAGTGAGCCGAGATCACACCACCACACTCCAGCCTGGGTGACAGAGGGAGACTCTGTCTCAAAAATAAATGAATAAATAAATAAAAATAAAAAATAAGTACTCATGGATGTATACCAAAAAAATAAATACATACACATACGTACACAAACACACACACGTGCACAGGAACATTCATTGGAATATTGTTTGTAATAGTAAAAAACAACCCATAACTCTCCCTCAGAGGACATGAAGTACATTCATACAGTGGGATATCTTGCAGCTATGAGAAGGAATGATATAGTTTCATATTAGTACATACAAGGCACAGTATAGTGTTTCTAATGTTTTACCATTTGAGTTCTTTTTTATTAAGAGGGGAAGGGAGTACCTATTTACTTAATTATCATGCACCCACACTGTAACATAGTGTGCAGCAATTAAAGGGTGTACTGACATGAAAAGATCTCTAAGATGTATTGTTAATTTTTAAAATCATGATAAAATGAGTCATAGAACAGTTATCTGATTTCATCTAAAAAGTTATTCCTACATTTTTATCTTTGTAAATTAGTATTTTTGTTTTTTTAATCACCTTTCTGACAAATCTAAGTGCATATTAAAAGGAGAGGATGTATACATACCTAAGTACTAACAATGGTTACTTATTAGAGCTATTTGGAGCGAGGAGGTTCAGACTGGAGAGGGTCTTTACTTTGTATATCTCTGTATTGTTTGAGTTTTTATGATGAAACTTTATTCATGTATTATTTGTGTAATAAAGAAGTAAAAAACAATATGCACTCAGTACCAAAAAATGAAGTTATAAAGATAAAAATGTTTTCTCGTAGTAAAAAATATGTTAAAAAAAATTTTTTTTTGAGACGAAATGTCTTGCTCTGTCACCCAGGCTGGAGTGTAGTGGCGCAATCTCAGCTCACTGCAACCTTCGCCTCATGGGTTCAGGCGATTCTCTGGCCTTAGCCTTCTGAGTAGCTGGGATTACAGGCATGCGCCACCACACACAGCTAATTTTTGTATTTTTTAGTAGAGATGGGGTTTCACCATGTTGGCCAGGCTGATCTTGAACTAATTTCAAGTGATCAATGCACCTTGGGCTCCCAAACTGCTGGGATTACACTTGTGAGCCACTGTACCCAGCCAAGATAATTTTTTTTTTTTTTTTTTTTTTTGAGACAGAATCTCACTCTGTCACCCAGGGTGGAGTGCAGTGGCGTGATCTCGGCTCACTGCAACCTCGGCCTCCCAGGTTCAAGCGATTCTCATGCCTCAGCCTCCTGAGTAGCTGGGATTACAGGCACATGCCACCACGCCTGGCTAATTTTTTTGTATTTTCAGTAGAGATGGGGTTTCACCATGTTGCCCAGGCTGGTTTTGAACTCCTGAGCTCAGGCAGTCCACCCGCCTCGGCCTCCCAAAGTGCTGGGATTACAGGTGTGAGCCACCGTGCCCGGCCAAAAATATTTTGAAGAAAATAAAATACCCACAGTAGCCTCACCACCCACATTTATCCAGAGATAACTACTGTTAAAGCTTTGAAAATATCCTCCCAGAGGTAAGGAACATTTTATGGAGGACATTTAATGCTAAACCAAGGAAAGCAAGAGAAAGATCCCCACATAAAAAGTTTACGCTCCTGACCTCGTGATCCTCCCGCCTCGGCCTCCCAAAGTGCTGGGATTACAGGCATGAGCCATCCAGCCTGGCCAACGTGGTAAAACCTTGTCTCTACTAAAAATACAAAAATTAGCCGGGTGTGGTGGTGGGCACCTGTAGTCCCAGCTACTCAGGAGGCTGAGGCAGGAGAATTGCTTGAACCTGGGAGGGGGAGGTTGCAGTGAGCCGAGATCGCGCCATTGCACTCCAGCCTGGACGACAGAGTGAGACTCCGTCTAAAAAATAAATAAATAGATAAATAGATAAATAAATAAATAAAGTTTACACTTAGCTGAACAGACAGTGGGCATTTTTTTTTTTTTGGAGTAGAAAAATGACATGATAACATGCAACTTACTGTCTTATGGTTTTACTTTTTGTTGTATCCCCAGTGCCTATATAACACATAATAGCCATTAATAAGTATGTGTCTGAGAAATGAGTGATGGTGATCTGCTAACCATTGGTGAAACTCTTCTAGTTCCAAAACCCATGGTTAAGAAATCATAGTGGTTGACTGTTAAAAAACCACCCACTGCTCAATAATATTGGACAGATAACCCTAAATATTACTATCTGTAGACTGAGCACAGTGGCTCATGCCTGTAATCCCAGCACTTTGGGAGGCTGAGGCAGGCGGATCACCTGAGGTCAGGAGTTCAAGACCAGCCTGACCAACACGGAGAAACCCCGTCTCTACTAGAAGTGCTATATTGGTCGGACGTGGTGGTGCATGCCTGTAGTCCCAGCTACTTGAGAGGCTGAGGCAGGAGAATCGCTTGAACCCGGGAGGCGGAGATTACAGTGAGCCAAGATTGTGCCATTGCACTCTAGACTGGGAAACAAGAGTGAAAGTCTGTCTCAAAAAAAAAAAAAAAATATATATATATATATATATATATATATATGTATATTTGTAGCTTAGATTTAGCACCAATGACTAATACCACTGTTTTTTCAAATCATTACAAGACAGGGAAAACTCTCTTTAGAATAGATAGTCTAGGGTGGCATAGAAAGCCTTGTTTAAGAAATAATACTGGCCAGGCATGGTGGCTAACACCTATAATCCTACCACTTTGGGAGGCTGAGGCGGGAGGATTGCTTGAGCTCAGGAGTTGGAAACCAGCCTGAGCAATATAGTGAGACCTTGTTTCTATTAAAAAAAGAAAAAAAGAAATAATACCTAACCATCTCATCTGCCACGGGGCTCCAGCCTTCTTTGTCTCTTTCAAGCCTTGTCTCACCCAGAACACTTCTCTATAGAGAATGGAATGAATCAGTTACTTACGATGAAAGAGATAGATTATAAAAACTGTAGTATTTGGCCATTTTGTATTTGTGCCTCAGAGGTCAAATTAAAACTGCTTAATTTTGGAAATTTGTATGTACATAAATGTGCATAAAGGATCATTTTAACCCTATAGATAGTTATCCTGGAGCCTAAGATGAAGTTTCTGAATTTTTTAGGGAAACATTAATTTGTATTGTTTGTGTTTTTCTTCTTAGTTTCTGCCACTGCCTTCTACAAAGCACAACCTGTAATTCAGTTCATGTGTGAAGTTCTTGATATTCATAATATTGATGAGCAACCAAGACCTCTGACTGATTCTCATCGGGTAAAATTCACCAAAGAGATAAAAGGTGAATTAATTAGCATTTAGCACAACTTAACTATAAAATGCATGGATATAACAACCTTTTATTAAAATGTTTTCTTATATAATTAAAATCTATGTAACATAACCAGTAAAACTATACATCAATTATAAAATAAAATATTACATTAAATTCATTACTATAACATCTTAGGTGGTATTTGAAAGAAATGCCAAGTAATGGAGTTAGTATCACTACCAGCTAATTTTTTGTTAATACTTTCCCTTACTAGCTGAAGGGATAAGAATGTCTCATGGGAAAATGCTTTAGTAATACTGTTAAAAGTAGGAAGCTCACTCCAAAAATATTTGTTATATTTTATAACTAGAATTATAGAACTAGAACATATTCTAATATAATGACTTCCTTATTTTTCTGAAATGATAGTTATTTATTTTAGTCCTTTAAAAACGTATAAATGTGGGGCTAGCCTGTTTCATGTGTTGTTCTAGAATTATAGTTATTTAATATAAGTTATAGAGTTGACTGTTGATCTTATCTATTATACTTAGTAACTAAAATTTGTACAGTGCTGTTGCATCATATGTACATTTAACTCAGATAAATTCATCTCTATGTGGCTGCCCAAAAATAAAAATAAAAATAATTTTAATAGTGTTCTGAAATCTGTATTTTATATGTATTTAGTCTGATACTCCCTAATCAGAATGAATAGGATAAGTTCTATTTATATTGTTAGATCTTAAATAGCCAGAAATAATTATGTTGTTTTTAAGATTTTACCTATTTATTGCAGATAATTTTCAGCTTGTGGTTTGAATGAAGCATTTAAGTTTGTTCACTGAACATCTTTCAGTTCCCCCAAATCAATTAGAGTAGTTTAATACATTCTGCTTGCTCCAGTAATAATTCATTCTTCGCCATTCAGTAACCAAGAGAGAGATAGTCATTGTAATAAAATATTAAAAGGAAGATCCACCCTGCTTTGAAAATAAGCATCCATTTATCTCAAGTTATTTAAATGCCAAAGTAAGAAACTGTTTATGTAACTGTTTTGCAACCATACCATTGTCCTTTCATGATCTGTATTAACTGCACAGCTAGCATTGTCAGGAGGTTAGTGCATTACCTACCATTAATATGTGATCATCTAAATGCCATGGTTTCCAGTGGAGTTGCTGCTTAGTTACCACCTCTGATATCATGAAGTCACTTACATTATTTTGCGGTAACTATGCAATCAACTCATATCACCACTCTATCACAGAAAATACAAGATGTACAGAACAAGGATTCAACTGCTGCCCGAAGAGCATGGACTCGATCTTAACTTCAACTGCTCAGGGGCCCAAAGAAATGACTGAAAAAATGACTAGAAAGCATAATAAAGTTGATGTTATAGTGAAGGTAAAGCCAAGTTTATAGGTTAAATATTTATTAAAGCCAAAAGTGTTTTTTTGGTTGGATGGAGGGTTTGGGGAGGGACCTGGGCAGAGAATTATCTAGTCCACTTTTTAAAAATTTCAACTTTTTGCTAGCACCTAGATTTTGGTCTAATTCTTAGGTATTTATGATCCTAGTTTGGGGGTGGAAAAATCTGGGTGGGATCCAATTGACAAACTGATTATTTTTTTCTTCATTCCAAGTAAAATAGGGCTTTTTTTTTTTTTAAAGAAGGCTCTTTAAAGTACATCATGTATTCCTACTACAGTAACCCAAGAGAATAAGAGTTTTGTGTTCTCTCCTGTATCTATGGGTTTTTTAGCTGGTATGAAGAATTTGATGCTAGCTGTTAAATAATGACACAAAGTGTGCAATAAAGAATAGATTTTCTTAGTATATTCATCTTTTTCCAGTTGAACTTGTACCTAAATATTTAATAATAACTTTGGAGTGGTTTCTTTATCCAGTAACTCGTGATAGTTAAACAGCAGAAATACTGGGAAAATGTATAAGTACCATATATATATATCTATATATGTGCCAACTTATTTTTAGTAAAAGCTTTATAGGCTTGGAGAACCTTATTAATATTTTTTTAATTCAAGGGGAAGAGTTGAAAATAAATTGCTAAGTGGTGCAAATAACAGAAATTTGTTTTAGACTTTTCTATTGTGTTCTCCCCTGAACATAATATTTTTACGTCTTGTTTCTTCATATTATTAGTATTTCCTTCTTTTAAGATCCTCCTTCGATAGTATTTTATTTTCTAGTCTCCTTTATAATATAAAGACATAGTAATTCTCTAGTTGATCTGACATTTTTGTCTTATAAAGGTAGTTGTAATGAAAAATTACTACTCACTGATTCAAGGAGGAGCACTTCCAAAGAAAAACAAACCCATACCAATCTGGTACAGGGATGGATACCGTGTCCATTTAACATCTTAATTTGTTCTGATCTATCAGAAGAAAATATCATTTATATGATTGAGCTTTGTGTTTGGTACTAATTTTCTTACCTAATTGCAGGTAGCAGTTAGGTAAGAAAATAAATTTTACCATAGCAGGCATTCTCAACCTTAGCAGCATTGACATTTTGGGCTGGATAATTCTTTGTTGGGATAGGGGTAGGGCTGTTCTCTGCATTACAGGATATTTCATACTATCCCTGGCCTCTACTCAATAGAAAGCAGTAGCATCTCTAGTCATGCCTATCAGTTTGTCTCCAGACATTGCCAAATGTCCCCTGGGGGACAGATTGCCCTCTGGCTAAGAACCACTGCAGTATAGGAATCACAAATATGAAAGAGAAATATGACAAAGAGTAATAACCATAAGTATTATCAGGGAACTAAAAGTTGTTCTCCATCTACCCCATTTTGGACTTTATCCCTTGGAGTCTAGGCCAAACTTTAGAAAGGAGTTGCTTATCTGTGACCTCTGTGTACCTGTTAACTCTTCTCTAGGCTAAGACTGCACTAACCACATGTAGCTACTTAAATTTAAATTAATTAAAATAAAGGCCGGGCGTGGTGGCTCACGCCTGTAATCTCAACACTTTGGGAGGCCAAGGTGGGTGGTTCACCTGAGGTCTGGAGTTCAAGACCAGCCTGGCCAACATGGCGAAACCCCATCTCTACTAAAAATATAAAAATTAACTGGGCATAGTGGCGGGTACTGTAATCCCAGCTACTTGGGAGGCTGAGGCAGGAGAATCACATTAACCCTGGAGACAGAGGTTGCAGTGAGCCAAGATTGCATCATTGCACTCTGACCTGGGCAACAAGAGCAAAAAACTAAAAAAAAAAAACCTAAATAAAATTAAATTTTCAGTTTCTTAGGTACACCAGCTACATTTCTTATGCTTAGTAACATGTTATTAGTGATTACCATATTAGCATAAATGTAGAACATTCCATCACCTCAAGAAAATTCTCTTTGACAGCACTGCTTCAGAAAATTCATCTCGAAGAACTTCAGCCAACAGCTTAAAGCCCATTTCTTCACATTCTAGAGCAGGCCTGGGATCCTTGAACCCCTAGAGTCCACAGATGGACGGCAGGGATCCAAGAACTCCTAAAATCATGTGCTAAATTATGTATATGTGCATTTTGCTGAGAGTTTATTGCTTACATCAGATTCTCAAAGGGATCTTGACTCCATAAGAGGGTAGGGATCACCTACTTTAGGAATTATTTTGGTTACATTTGATTTTTAATAGTATTGGAAAAGAGCTGTGTCACTATATTATACCTCTATAAAAGTGTCACTTTGCTTCTGTTAAAAATGCCTGGAATTTTTTTCTCCTGCTTTATAAATCTTTAAAGGACTTCTTTCTTGAGCTTTACAAAATTCTGATCTTCAAGCAGTATGTGATGACTGGGCTAGGTAAATATCACATAATTTGAAATTATGGAATACCTTGAGAATTATTGGATCTCCTCTTTCATTCCTCCTTCCCTCTCCCAGCATAAATACCTGAATTTATTATAAACAGGATTTTTTATTAATGGAAGATTTTGGCCCTTGATCTATGGGCTTTGCAAATTTTATGATTTTATTTTTTAATGTGTAGAGCTTGATGGGGTAAGGAAAAATTTTGCCATTAGGTCTGTCATGACTGTGACCATTATTAGCAATGTTATATGTAAAATCTGGTGTTTATATCATCTTGCCTGTATCACAGAATTTTTTGTCTGTTCAGAATTGAGTTTTTATGGTAATGAACAGGCTTTATAAGTATAAATATTTTACATGTGACAGTTCTGTAACCTCCATTTTTCTTGTTGGGAACAGGTTTGAAGGTTGAAGTGACTCATTGTGGAACAATGAGACGGAAATACCGTGTTTGTAATGTAACAAGGAGGCCTGCCAGTCATCAAACGTAAGAAAAGTTTGTCAGAGCAGCGATGGTGTGAGGCAGCTTGCTCTAGTTAGTGGGGTTGGGAGTTTTTCTGGCTCATAATGGGCAAGAATTGTTCATGTGTACTTTTTTTTCCTCAGCTTTCCTTTACAGTTAGAAAACGGCCAAACTGTGGAGAGAACAGTAGCGCAGTATTTCAGAGAAAAGTATACTCTTCAGCTGAAGTACCCGCACCTTCCCTGTCTGCAAGTCGGGCAGGAACAGAAACACACCTACCTGCCACTAGAAGTAATGCCTTCACACTGCTAATTAATACCCTGTTGTTCATGATTCTTTTGGGGTCTTTTATGGCCGATAACTTACCTCATACAGAACATTTATTTTGGAATATGAACTGTTTTTAAGTTTTAATTTATTCTAAATTTTCTGTAATGAAATAACACGAAACAAGTTCATCCATAATCCTACCACTCTAATGTAACCACTGTTAACATTTTGGTATACTATACTTCTTTCAGTCTTCATCTGGTGTACATTTTACTTAATTATACTTAATTACTGTAGAGCTGTCTTGTTTACTACTTTTTTACTTAACATATTGAAAATAAGTGGTTTAATGAAGTTGATTTTAAATTTTTATTTACATGTAATTGGCACTAAGTAAGAGCTAAAAAAAAAAGATATATACATGTAGTACAAAACTTTTTTCCATTTGTAGGTCTGTAATATTGTGGCAGGGCAACGATGTATCAAGAAGCTAACAGACAATCAGACTTCCACTATGATCAAGGCAACAGCAAGATCTGCACCAGATAGACAAGAGGAAATTAGCAGATTGGTTAGTACTTAACCTTAGAAATGAGAATTTAAAACATATTAGGGTGAACTGTAATACTAGAGAACCATGTCCTTATCAACCCATACCTTATGACCATTTCATGGACTGTCAGAATTAAAAGCAATCATGGAAGTAATCTAATGTTCTTGATACAAGCCTTGGTGGGCTATATGAGAAGGGTTAGGTCCTTCTCATTTAACCCTGAGCTTTTTAAGTAGATCCAGGGAACAGATCCTCTCAGAAGAAATGTTTCCATTTAGTAAACTGGAACCTCCACCTAAAAGAGGTGGGAAATAGGAGGAAAAGTCAAAGAATTATGACTAGCAATACTAAAATTCTTTTTTTTTTTTTTTTTTTTTTTTGAGACGGAGTCTTGCTTTGTCACCCAGGCTGGAGTGCAGTGGCACGATCTTGGCTCACTGCAAGCTCTGCCTCCCAGGTTCACACCATTCTCCTGCTTCAGCCTCCCCAGCAGCTGGGACTACAGGCGCATGCCACCACGCCTGGCTAATTTTTTTGTATTTTTAGTAGAGACAGGATTTTACCATGTTAGCCAGGATGGTCTCCATCTCCTGACTTTGTGATCCGCCCGCCTCGGCCTCCCAAAGTGCTAGGATTACAGGCGTGAGCCACCGCACCCGGCCAATACTAAAATTCTTAACACTCAGTCTAAGATTGCTTAGTCCCCAGTATCACAGTGGCAGCTGTACAGTCTGAATAAAGAAATGGCTGGGCTCAGTGGCTCACATCTGTATTCCCAGCAGTTTGGGAGGCCAAGGCGGGTGGATCACTTGAGGCCAGGAATTTGGGACCAGCCTGGGAAACATGGCAAAATGCCATCTCTACTAAAAACGCAAAAATCAGTGGGGCATGGTGGCATGTGTCTGTAATCCCAGCTAGTCAGGTGGCTGAGGCATGAGAATAACTTGAACCTGGGAGGCAGAGGCTGCAGTGAGCCGATCACACCACTGCACTCCAGCCTGGACAACAGAGTGAGACTCTGTCTCAAAAAAAAAAAAAAAGAAAAAGAAGGTCGGGTGCGGTGGCTCATGCCTGTAATCCCAGCACTTTCGGAGGCCGAGGGGGGCGGATCACCTGAGGTTGGGAGTTCAAGACCAGCCTACCAACATAGAGAAACTCCGTGTCTACTAAAAATACAAAATTAGCCAGGCATAGTGGCGCATGCCTATAATCCCAGCTACTCAGGAGGCTGAGGCAGGAGAATCGCTTGAACCCGGGAGGCGCAGGTTGCGGTGAGTCGGGATTGTGCCATTGCACTCCAGCCTGGGCAACAAGAGCGAAACTCTGTCAAAAAAAAAAAAAAGAGAGAGAGAGAGGGAGGGAGGGAGGGAAAGAAAGAGAAAAAGAGAGAGAAAGAAAAGAAAGAAAGGAAATAGAAGATAGCTTTAACCACGTAAGGTCTCTGTGCTGTCTCATTGTTCTAAATGAGGGGAAGGAAGGCGTTACCAATACCGCTTTATAAAACTCATAGAGTAAGGCAAAACTCAAGATTAAAGGGCATCTGAATCTTATCTGGCTCTGTTCTCGAATACCATTTTAACTGCCCAAGCAAAGAGAAAAAAATCTGGAAATATGAATATTTCCCAAAACAACTTAATAATACTTCCAAAAGCAATTTTAAAGATTATTGAAAATAGGGATGCAAAACTGGCTCTTTTAATTTATTTTTTAACCTTAGTAATTTCACCTTTGGCAAAAACTGGCTCTTTTATTTGGTAAGCCAACTGCAGAAAAAATACTTTTTTTTTTCCTTATTGACTCTTCTGTAAAGAGTCAAAGAAAGTTATTACATGATATTTAATTAGGAAAATATATGCTGGTTTTCATCTTGGATTTTTCTCTGATTCTACTATAAGATTTTAAAAACTCTCAAAATCAGAGACTAAGACCTCTTACTTTGTCTATAAAAGTCTCAATAACTCACTGTTCTAATTCATTTATTACAGCTTAACTGTTCAGAAAGTATCATATGGTAGTTTAAAAAAAATAAAACAGACTTTGGAGTCTAACAACCCTGGGTTGGAAGTCTGGCTTCTCCACTTACTTACTGTTACTGTTACTATTATTATATTTATAGTATCTGGAAAGATAATGCAGTGATTAAGAGTAGACACTCTAGAATCAGAATATACATGGTTTCACATTCTGTCTACATCACTTACTTAGCTGTGCGGTTTTTGGCAATCATTTTACTTTACTGAGCTTTAGTTGTATCCTCTGTAAAATACAGATTATAAAAGAACTGTTTTTGTAGCTATAAAATACTTGTGAAAATGTATCATTAAGCACTTAGCACCAAGTACATCATGCAGCAAGTCATAGTATATTAGTTGTTATAGTATAGTCGTCATTATTCGCTGTAACCTTATTACAGGATACACTGAAGTACAGAAATGCATGGCAAATAAGATTGAAAGAGATGCCCCATTGGTGCCTAATTTAGAAAATGGGGCTTACACCTGTAACCCCATCACTTTGGGAGGCCGAGGCAGGACTATCAGTTGAGCCCAGGAGTTCAAGACCAGCCTAGGCAACATAGTGAGACCCCATCTCTACAAAAAAAATGTTAATTAGCCAGGTATGTGGCATGCACCTATAGTCCCAGCTACTCAGGAGGCTGGGGTGGGAGGATCGCTTGGGCCCCAGGAGATTGAAGTTGCAGTGAGCTGTGATTGCACCACTGGATGACAGAGCGAGACCCTGTCTCAAAAAAAAAAAAAAGAAAAGAAAAGGAAAAAGAAAAGAAAATGACTTTTCCTGCTTATTGTGGAGAGATTCTATATAGCAGCATGCTTTAAGCATGAATTTCAGTGAGATTCAACACTGAATTACATGAAGTTCTTTGATTATATGTATGGGAATATATAAAAATTATAACCTGTGACTCATACTGGCTTTCTTATCTGTCTTTAAGTGTATTCCATTAAATAAATTTTATAATATGGCACTGAAAATAGTCAAGTAAATTTTATATAAATTATAAATCAAATAATTTTTAAAAGCTTTAAGATTTTTAATATTTCCTATCAAACTCTACACAAAATAAATTTTAATAGAATGTATCCAGATCTCCCATAGTCAGAGGTTCTTAACCTCTTTTTAGGTGAGATATTTCTTTCTCCATCCAAAAGCATATTAGGTTCAATCATACAAAATTAACATTTTCAGCTGGGTAGTACATAGTGGTGCATGCCTATGTTCCCAGCTATCTAGGAGGCTGAGAGAGGAAGATGGCTTGAGCCCAGGAGTTCAAGGCCAGCCTGAATAACATAGCAAGACTCCATCTCTTTAAAAAAAAAAAAGTTTTATTATCATTTTCATGGATTTTTTTTTTCTTTTGAGACAGGGTCTTGCTCTGACCCCCAGGCTGGAGTACAGTGGTGCAATCACAGCCCACTGCAGCCTTGAGCTCCCAGGCTCAAGCGATTCTCTCACCTCAGCCTCCCAAATAGCTGGGACCACAGGCACACAGCACCACACCTGGCTAATTCTTTTTAATTTTTTGTAGAGATGAGGTCTTGCTTTGTTGCTCAGGTTGGTCTTGAGCTCCTGAGCTCAAGCAGTTCTCCCACCTCAGCCTCCCAAAGTGCTGGAATTACAGATGTGAGCCACCACGCCCAGCCTAATTTTTTAATTTTTTTGTAGAGACAGGGTCTCACTATGTTGCCCAGGCTAGTTTCAAGCTTCTGGGCTTGAGCAATCCTCCAGCTTGGCCTCCCAAAATGCTGAGATCACAGGCATGAACTACCATGCCAGGCCAAAATGTATTATTCAACCTAATGCATACATACAAATTTTGTATAAATTACCAGGAGGTCACAGAATTTCTGCAGTCCATTCATGACCCATGGTCCCCAGGTTAAGATTCGCTGTTCTGTAGTTAGAGCACCATTGATTAGACCTGTTGGAAAATATATTATGGACACAGTGAAGAAAAAAAAGAGGGTTCTAATGCATTAAAGTAGGGGATTTGGGGGAATTTTGAGAGTAACTACAAACTTTTTCTATTTTTAGGTAAGAAGTGCAAATTATGAAACAGATCCATTTGTTCAGGAGTTTCAATTTAAAGTTCGGGATGAAATGGCTCATGTAACTGGACGCGTACTTCCAGCACCTATGCTCCAGTATGGAGGACGGGTAAAGTCTCTTGTTAATGTTTTAATCATACACATATTGTCTGTAAGTATGAAGAGAAAGGCATATCAGAAATATTTCAATTCAGCGATTTGAAATGTTTACTTTCTGTTTATTGAAAATTTTTGTTCTTTTTCACCATGTTATTTTTTTCTCCTCGTGTAGAATCGGACAGTAGCAACACCGAGCCATGGAGTATGGGACATGCGAGGGAAACAATTCCACACAGGAGTTGAAATCAAAATGTGGGCTATCGCTTGTTTTGCCACACAGAGGCAGTGCAGAGAAGAAATATTGAAGTAAGACATGTCATTACCTTGGCTTTGGGACTTTTTTGTGTTTAGACTTTAAATTACTCATCTAATGTTCTAACAGATGTTGCCTTAATATGAAGTATATGTAATCACTGAACCATTTTTTTTTTTTTGAGACAGAGTCTCACTCTGTCACCCAGGCTGAAGTGTAGTGGCGTGATCCCAGCTCACTGCAACCTCCACCTCCCAGGCTCAAGCAATTCTCCTGCCTCAGCCTCCCAAGTAGCTGGGATTACAGGTGTGTGCCACCACGCCCAGCTAATTTTGTATTTTTAGTAGAGATGGGGTTTCACCATGTTGGCCAGGCTGGTCTCAAACTCCTGACCTCAGGTGATCTGCCCGCCTTGGCCCCCCAAGGTGCTGGGATTACAGGCATGAGCCACTGTGCCCGGCCTAGTCACTGAACCTTTAAAAATGTTTCTTCTTGACCAGGCACAGTGGCTCACACCTGTAATCCCAGCACTTTGGGAGGCCAGGGCGGGTGGATCACAAGGTCAGGAGATCGAGACCATCCTGGCTAACATGGTGAAACCCCGTCTGTACTAAAAATACAAAAAATTAGCCAGGCGTGGTGGTGGGCGCCTGTAGTCTCAGTTACTCGGGAGGCTGAAGCAAGAGAATGGCATGAACCCAGGAGGCGGAGCTTGTAGTGAGCCGAGATTGTGCCACTGCACTCCAGCCTGGGCAACAGAGTGAGACTCTGTCTCCAAAAAAAAAAAAAAAAAAACTTCTCAATAGTTCGGTGAAAAAATTTGTTAGTCATAGTAAATTCCTTGATTCATTCTATTAGACATCCTTATAGACTACTGTGAATGGAAAAAACACAAGCTCAAACCATGTTTTTTCTCTGCTCTCACACCAGAGCAATCAACACAGAACACTCTTGTGACTAAATGTGGGGAGGGTTTCCCCACACACCAAGCAAACAATCAGTTCTGCAGTGGACACCAGCTGGGTGTCCTCCAATTCAGTTATTACACTATCTTCCTGGAAATAGCATCAGATTCCACAGATTCAGGGTTCACTCCCACAAGGCTGCACTCTGCTTCAGATGCCAGTAGCAAGTCCAGGCCTCTGGTCATGGGTTCCCATGACCCCCTCTTCAAGATAGATTCGTCTGATAGAGCAGCTCACAGAACTAGGGAAACACTTACTATGTTTACTGTTTTATTATAAAAGATATTCCAAAGGATGCAGTAAAGATATCCATAGGGTGAGGTATGGGGACGGAGTGTGGAGTTTACATGCCATCCCTGGGTACACCACCCTCCAGGAACCTTTGTGTGTTCAGCTGGCCAGAAGCTCTCCAAACCCCATCCTTTTGGATTTTTATGGATGCTTCATTACATAGGCCTCATTGATTAAACTGTTAGCCATTAGTTATCAACTTAACCTTCGGCCCCTTTCGCCTCCTTGGAGGTTGGGGATGTGGGGCTGAAAGTCCCAGCCCTCTAATCCTGCCTTGCCTTTCTGGTGACCAGACCCCATCCTGAAGCTACCTATAGGCTACCAGCCGTTAGGCAATCAGTATCATATAAAAAAGATAACACTTAGGAGTTTCTAAGGATTTTAGGAGTTGTCTGCTAGGAAATGGGAATGGCCAACAAATGCATATTTCACAATATCACAACTACTTTTTGTGGGATAGTAGCAGCAAGCATCATTGTCTTTCGATGACAGTTTAGGTATAATTCCCAGATTTGCCACTACCTGGATTTATTACCATGGATAATTTATTTAATCTCATTATTCTTCAATGTTCACCTTTGTAAAATAGAGCTAATCATATCTTCTGTTAAAATAAAAACTTCAGACAAATTAAATTTAACAGAGTTTATAATTGAGCAAAGAATGATTTGCAAATCAGGCAGCTCCTGGAACAAGAACAGGTTCAGAGAGACTTCCAGCAGCCGCATGGTTGAAGAAGATTTATGGACAGAAAAAGGAAAGTGGCATACAGAATATGGAAATGAAGTACAGAAACAGATGGATTGGTTACAGCTTGGCATTTGCCTTATTTGAAGATGATTTGAACAGTTAGCTGTAATTGATTGGCTAAAACTCAGTGTTTGGTACACAAGTAGCTTATCCACTATTTACCCATCCAGTTAGGTTACAGTTTTTTGTTTTTGTTTTGAGACAGAGTCTTGCTCTGTCACCCAGGCTGGAGTGCAGTGGCGTGATCTCGGCTCACTGCAACCTCCGCCTCTCAGGTTCAAGCGGTTCTCCTGCCTCAGCCTCTAGAGTATCTGGGACTACAGGCCTGCACTACTATGCCCGGCTAATTTTTGTATTTTTAGTAGAGATGGGGTTTCACTCTGTTGGCCAGGCTGGTCTCAAACTCCTGACCTGAGGTGATCTGCCTGCCTCAGCTTCCCAAAGTGCTGGGATTACAGGCGTGAGCCACTGCGCCTGGCCTAGGTTACAGTTTACGATGTTCAGAGAAACCTCTAGACTGAACTTAAAAGATGTAAGGAGGTAGCTTTAGGCAAAACTTAATTTAACAGTTATCCCCTTTGATCTATCCCCCCAATTTTTTTTTTTAATGGATTGGCATTGATGTCAGTCACCATCATAAACTTACTTATTTGGTCTCAAATCCCACTGGGAAATAGCAGAACAATGGGTTTTGTAAAATGGGAACAAGGACTTCAGGTTACTTTTTCCTAAGGGTAAGAGTAGAGGGGACCTCCTTGTGCTGAAATTTCCTGTTTTCAGGAGAAAAACAAAACCTGGTCTATTTTAGGATCTATCTCTTTCTTTAATGTTTCAGTGTAATTGTCTCACGCTTAGCATGAGTGACTCCATTTTGGTTTGGTATGGTCTGTTGGGGCCTCATGCATGAGCTTAGTCCAAAACAATGGCCTCCCACAATTTTGTTTAAAAATTCCTCCCTTTTGGTTAGGTCCTCACTTAGGTAAGAGTGTGACCAAAACTTAGGACCTTAGCACCACTCTGTTACCAAGATTTTGGGTTTCTGGTCTCAGTACGTCATTTATAAGTATGGTGTTCCTCATGCTCATACATTTCTTTGAGTTTCTGTTCCAATTCAAGAGAGACCATTTGACATCCTACAGATGGCCATATGCAAACACTTAAAACTTTTGAGAGAATATAGTATCCCAGGGAGACTACTATTATGACTCTCAGGAGAATAACCCTAAGAGTTTGGAGTATGCTCCTTAGCCAAGGTCCCCATGAACCAAGCCACCTAAAATCAAATAGATCGAAGAATAAGCTAGAATAAGAGTCTACTTGTTTCAACCAAGCACCCTGTTTGTTAATCCCCTACGACTGAATCTGTTAATATCCAATGTATTCCTCCATGTTCAATAAGAAGTAGCAGCAGCTGCACAGATACTTCTGTTTAGCCAGTAAGTAATCTAGAGCAATTCTATTATCTAGCACAACTTTAGCAAGATAATTTAAAGTCTCTTGTATAACCATAGTCTTTGCAGTAGAATCTGCTAAAGAGCCTATAAATTTCTAATAGGCTAGAAAATTTAGAGAGATAAATTTCTAATCATTGCCTCATTACATTAACTCCAAACCATAGGCCAGGCGCAGTGGCTCACACCTGTAATCTGCAATCACTTTGGGAGGCTGAGGTGGGCAGATTGCTTGAGCTCAGGAGTTCAAGACCAGCCTAGGCAACATGGCAAAACCCTGTCTCTACTGAAAATTCAAAAATAATCCGAGCACAGTGGTGCACGCCTGTGGTCCCAGCTACTCAGGAGGCTGAAGTGGGAGGATTGCTTGAGCCCAGGAGGCAGAGGTTGCAGTGAGCCGAGATCACGCCACTGCATCCCAGCCTGGGCAGCAGAGCCAGACCCTGTCTCCAAAAAGGAAAAAACACACCATAGAAAAATAAACTAACAAATAATGCCCATCCAGAAGAGTGAAGGCCTCCTGGCACTATTCTCTTTAACCTGTATTGACAATGTTCTCTTTTTTTTTTTGAGGCTGGAGTGCAGTGGCATGATCTCGGCTCACTGCAGCCTCTGCCTCCCGGGATCAAACAATTGTCCTGCCTCAGCCTCCCAAGTAGAACAGGCACGTACCACCACGCCCAACTAATTTTTTGTATTCTTAGTAGAGCGGGGTTTCACCACGTTAGCCAGGATGGTCTCCATCTCTTGACCTCGTGATCTGCCCACCTCGGCCTCCCAAACTGCTGAGATTACAGTTGTGAGCCACCATGCCTGGCCGACAATTTTCTCTTTAAATTATGATGTAGGTTAAGAGGAGTTGACCAGTGCTCTGTTTCTGACTGATTATGAAGCAAAAAAGGTACCATTAAAATTTCTCACCCACATTGGCCCTTCATCTTCCCTCTATCAAGGCGTAAACTTCTCTGTGTGTGAGGGTTTTTGTTTTTTTTTGTTTTTTGGTTTTTGTTTTGAGACGGAGTCTTGCTCTGTCACCAGGCTGTGATCTTGGCTCACTGCAACCTCCATCTCCCGGGTTCAAGCAATTCCCCTGCCTCAGCCTCTTGAGTAGCTGGGACTACAGGCATGTGCCACCATGCCTGGCTAATTTTTTGTATTTTAGTAGAGATGGGGTTTCACCATGTTGGCCAGGATGGTCTCGATCTCCTGACCTCGTGATTCACCCGCCTTGGCCTCCCAAAGTGCTGGGATTACAGGCATGAGCCACCACACCTGGCCAATATGAGGTTTTTTTTATCCTTCACAAATAAAAGTATACCTTGTGAGTGTACACAAGAGACCCCTTTTTCAGTTTAGTTGTTCATAACAGGCATGAACTTGGAAAAAATTGAGAGCCAAAAGCCTCATGATAGCAGAGAAGTCTTGATCCACAATCTTGGGAAATCTGTCCACATCTAGGAGGCCATCTGCTTCTCGGGAGAAACTTACCTCATTAGCTTTACCTTAAGTTCTCCCTCTGATGGGTGTGTGGTTCCAAGAGTCTGGGTGGGCCTTTCTAAGTTGTGAGATTACAAACCCAAGCTTCAGGGTCCTGAAGTTTCGCTGCAGTGTGGGTGACAAGGGGAGTCTTTCTCTGATGTGTTTCCAAAAGATCCAGCCTCTGAATTCTATATCATGAAGGGTTTGCTTGTCCTGAGTCAGTGGTCCATGAAAAGCTTTCTTTACCTGGTGAAAATACACTTTGGCATAATACATTACAGCCTTGCAGCATTTAGTCACGTTAAGGTTTAGGAGCATAAGATACAGAAGGTTCTGTTATTAGGAGCATAAGCCTTCCAGTGACTATTTCATAAGGGTTCAACTTTTGTTTTCCCATGGAAGTGGATCTGTTTGTCATCAATCTGAAACATCTTTGACCAAGGCAATCCAGATTATTCAGTTAGTTTTGCCTAATGCTCTTATATCTGTAATACCTTATTTAACTGTTTTACAGCCAGTCCAGTGAGGCAAGTATCTCTATCACTGGAGATTTCTTCAGCAATGTTCTATGAGAGAAACACATTTCCTAATAACCTTTTAGCTGCTGTTATAGCATCAGCCCACTTGTATGAGAAAGCTCCTGTACAACCAGAAAATATGCACTGAAAATCACAATTGAATGAAATCCCTCTGTAAAGTGTTCAGATGTAGCAGAAAGGTACCTGAAGTTTTGGTTGTCTTCTCAAGATTATGGGTTTGACAAACTATACATTGGTCATAAACCATTTTAGCAATTTAGAACAGTCACAACACCAATATATATGTAAGGTGTTTGTTTGTTTGTTTGTTTGTTTTGAGACATAGTCTCACTCTGTCACCCAGGCTAGAGTGCAGTGGTGCGATCTCGGCTCACTGCAACTTCCACCTCCCGGGTTCAAGCAATTCTTGTGCCTCAGCCTCCCAAGTAGCTGGGATTGCAAGTACCTGCCACCACACCCAGCTAATTTTTTGTATTTTTTAAGTAGAGACAGGCTTTCACCGTGTTGGCCCAGGTGGTCTAAAACTCCTGACCTCAGGTGATCAGCCCACCTTGGCCTCCCAAAGTGCTGGGATTACAGGTGTGAGCCACCATGCCCGGCCAGTATATACATTTTATCTCTTCCTTGATGAATCATGGAATACAGCTTCTAGTAATGGAATTTTTAAGGACTCAGGAAGGAGCAGGCAGCCGGCTGTCCAGTCTCTCTCCATGAGTCCATGCTTAACACTGGAATTGTATCCTCTTACATAGCAATTTTCTTTCTCCAATGGAGGTGCACAGCACTGTTTATTAGATGGGTTATCATAGGTAGTTTGACCTGGACCATGGAGTTCATTCAAATTATGTATCTTAATAGTTTCAGTACTGACTGAGTTAGCATGAAAATCTGGCCAAGTATTTTCTTGGTATTCATTTAATTCTTGTGCTGCTTGAGTTAGCAGTTTTATATATCACTCTGTCTCTTCAATATGGTTCTGGTAATTCTTACTCAGTCCAAACGATATGATCCTAAAGTTACCAGAAACCTATCTTCAGGAGTGCTTACCAAGGTCCATTTCATCTTTTCCATTAACCTCCTTGAAGACAAAATAGGATTTTATTTGCTTGTGAAGTTATTTTTAATAACTGCCATACATTTATTTATTTATTTATTTATTTATTGAGACGGAATCTCGCTCTGTCATCCAAGCTGGAGTGCAGTGGTGCTATCTCGGCTCACTGCAACCTCCTCCTTCCTGGTTGAAACTATTCTCCTGCCTCAGATTCCCGAGTAGCTGGGACTACAGGCGCATGCCACCATGCCTTGCTAATTTTTTTGTATTTTTAGTAGAGATGGGTTTCACCTTGTTGGCCAGACTAGTCTCGAACTCCTGACCTCAAGTGGTCTACCAACCTTGGCCTCCCAAAGTGCTGGGATTACAGGGGTGAGCCACTTGCACCCAGCCTGCCATTACTTTATTTATTTATTTATTTATTTAGAGACGGAGTCTCGTTCTGTCACCCAGGCTGGAATGCAGTGGCACAATCTCGGCTCATTACAACCTCTGCCTCCCAGGGTCAAGCAGTTCTCCTGCCTCAGCCTCTCGAGTAGCTGGTATTACAGGTGTGTGCCACCATGCCTGGCTAATTTTTTGTATTTTTAGTTGAGATGGGGTTTCATCATGTTGGCCAGGCTGGTCTCGAACTCCTGACCTTGTGATCTGCCCACCTCAGCCTCCCAAAATGCTAGGATTACAGGCGTGAACCACTGCGCCCAGCCGCCATTACTTTGAACAGCAGAAACCGCAATTACTTTTGCACCAACCTAATATTAGAAACTGCTTTAGAATTAAGTAATTAACTGTGGAAATGACTTTAAATGGTCATAAAGACACAATTGAGAAGGAAATTTGGTTATTTCTGTGGCCTACAATAGTTTAACGTAATAACCATAATTATGTCTGATAACATATACTGAGATACATGAGAATTTTCATAATCTTATACAATTTTGGAATATATATTAATATTTATAAAAATATAACTCGATGGAGTTTAAACATCACTTCTTATTTGACACTGTTTCTCATGTAATTTTACGTATAAAATAAGCCTGTTTATTATCTCTTTTGACTGTTGTAGGGGACCTCTGTAACATCCCAAAGTTAATTTGAGGTCAAAAAAAGACTTAATTTTGAATTTGAAATTTGATTTGGGGAAGCTTGTCCAATATGTCAAAGATTGAAAACACTTGGCCCAAATAGGATCACAGGTCACTGTGAAATAAGTCATTCATTTAGCCAAGGTGATCATTAAAAGGTTTTTTAAAAGCAAAACCTTTATTATTTGATAGAGAGGAGACTCAATTTTCTAGTCAACAGACCTGAAAAAGACAATATGATACAGAATCTATCTCTCCTTCTTTCCTCTCTCTTTTTTTTTGTGCAGTTTACTCAAAAGGTGAACAAAAATATTTTGCTGTTACTGAAGCTTTTTATTTGCCTTTTATAGAAAATCTTTTAAAAGAGGGAATAAAAATATTGAAATCTTATTAGAAGCTTCTGCACATTAATAGGCATCCGCATCCTTGGATGAAACTAAGTTGGGGGCCTTTTTTTTTTTTTTTTTTTTTGACATAGGGCCTCACTCTTTTGCCCAGGCTGGAGTGCAGTGGCGTGACCATGGCTCACTGCGCCTCAGCCTCTCAGGCTTAAGTGATCCTCCTATGTCAGCCTCCCAAGTGGCTGGGACCACAGGGACTTGCCACTATGCTCTGCTAACTTTTTTTCTTTTTTTGTAGAGACAAAATCTCACTATGTTGCCCAGGCTAGTTTCAAACTCCTGGACTCAAGTGATCCTCCTGCTTCGGCCACCCAAAGTACTAGGATTATAGGCATGAACCTAGAGCCCTCATTTGTAAATAGACTTCTTAAAGTGCAGTATTATTCATTTTGAATGTTCTACTATAATTTTAAATTACATAAAGTGAGATTTCACCATTTCAGTAAGTGTTTGCTGCTTTAGGGTCCTAACATTTATGAGTGTATAGCTAGGCATAGCTGTAAGGTAGAATACTCAGTTCTTCAGAAATTAAGGATCCCATTTTCCCTTGAATCTTGGCTTTGGCTGTCAGATCCCATTGATCATCCAATGATTTTTCCATGCCTAAACACACAAGAAAAAGAAACAAAGGGCATAGGCTGGGCGCAGTGGCTCACGACTGTAATCCCAGCACTTTGGGAGGCCGAGGCGGGTGGATTACCTGAGGTCAGGAGTTCGAGACCAGCCTGGCCAACATGGTGAAACCCCATCTCTACTAAAAATACAAAAATTAGCCGGGCCTGGTGGTGGACACCTGTAATCTCAGCTACTCGGGAGGCAGAGTCAGGAGAATTGCTGGAACCTGGGAAGCAGAGGTTTGATCGCTCCATTGCACTTCAGCCCAGGCAACAACAGTGAGACTCCGTCTCAAAAAAAAAAACAAAAAAAAAAACAAAAAAAAAAGAGAAACAAAGGGCATAGACATAGAGCACAAAAATCTCTGTGAATTTCCAAAAGCCAAAGTTCACACCTTCTTATTTGCCATTAACTGCCAGTTTCTTCCTGACTCAGTTAAACATCCAAGGCCTCTAACTGAATCCAAGTCAGTTAATTATCAGATCCAGTCTGATTCTGGACCTGGTCCAGTTTCTGTCATGACTTCTGAACCCATTTCAGATTTTAAAATTTGCTCAAACAAATTCAGATAACTCAAAACACAAATCCATGGAGCTTCAGAATCTGAGAGCTTACCCACAATCCCCAGTTGCTGCAAGAGAGGAATGGACACAGAGAGTCTGACTGGTACCATGCTTCGTCACTCAGTGCTTCTGGGGATTGCTAGAGGTTCTACTTCGGATCCCACTTCTGACACCATCTGTTAAAAGAAAAACTAGACAAATTAAATTTAACAGAGTTTAATTGAGGAAACAGTGATTCACAAATCAGGCAGCCCTTAGAACCAGAATAGGTTCAAAGAGACTCTGGCACTACCACATGGTTGAAGACTTATGTACAGAAAAAGGAAAGTGATGTACAGAAAATGAAACTGAAGTACAGAAACAGCTGGATTGCTTACAGCTTGATACTTGCCTTATTTGAACATGGTTTCAACAGTTGGCTGCATTTTATTGGCTGAAACTCAGCAATTGGTACAAGAATAGGTTACAGCTTGTTTACACGTCCGGAGATTACCATTCACTATGTACAGAGAAACCTTTAGGCCAAACTTTAAAAATGTAACGAGACAGCTTTAGGTGAAACTTAATGTAACACTACCTACCAGGTGAGGATTAACTAAGATCCTTATTTTTCTGTTGAGGATGTTGAAGGAGTGGTTAAACTCCTTGTTTCAGTTTCCTTACTTTCCAAAATTTGCCTTTCATCTCCACCACTTTTTCTCTCTTCTTCAGATTCTGTCCTTCAACTTCTAAGTGTGCAAAAATCTTCAGTTCAGTTTCTTTTTAATCAGCAATTTTCACATTACCTAACAATCTCTTAGGCTTCCAGACCTCCATTCTCTCCCCTCCCTTGAAATCATAGTGCTCTGCTAAAACTGGTTCCTGGAAGATTTCCTGTACCTTTATGCTTAGCAAGTTCAATGGTCTCTTCTTAGCCATTATTTTTCTCAAAATTTGACTGACTCCTTTTTTTTTTTTTTTTTTTTGAGATGGGATCTCACTCTGTTGCCCAGGCTGGAGTGCAGTGATACAATCACAACTCACCGCAGCCTTAACTTCCCAGGCTCAAACGATCCTCCCACCTGAGCTTCCTAAGCAGCTGGGACTACAGGCATATGCCACCATGCCCAGCTAATTTTGTTTTTTTGTATAGATAGGATCTCACTATGTTGCCTAGACTGGTCTCGAACTCCTGGACTTAAGCAGTCCTCCTGCCTTGGCCTCCCAAAGTGCTGGGATCATAGGTGTGAGCCACCGCACTCTGCCGACCTTCTTGACATCCTCCTCTCTTGCCTTCTGGTTCTTTAGTTTACGTTTTCTGGCTTCTTTTCCTTTTCATTATCTATCTGCTCTCCTTTGGGATTCTGACACAGTCTCAGGGGTTTCTGCTGTCACGCTTGTTTGAGAAATTCGGCTGTCATGAAAGAACACCACCTCTATTTGTGACGAAAGCTACTCTGAAATGTTTAGTCTTCTCTTTGACTAAGAGTGACATTCAAAATTAGTATGACATTTATTTCTTTATTTTATTGAGACAGAGTCTCACTCTGTCATCCAGGCTGGAGTGCAATGGCGTGATCTCGGCTCACTGCAACCTCTGCCTCCCAGGTTCAAGCGTAAAATCAGTATGACATTTCATATCTTTCACCAGTCTCTTAAGTCCTTTATCATTACTCCATTTTCATATATTCTGGCCAAAGAAACTGAAGCATCGTATTCCTTCTATCTCCCTGGCCTTTTTAACCTGTTTCCACTCATGCTGCCCTTTACTGAGAATGCCTCCTTCCTATCTCTACCCATCAGTATCCTCTCTATTTGTGCTTGTCAGTTTTTGTGCAAAATACAATTGTATTATAATGATTTTGTAAATGTATCATCCCTCTGGAATCTAATTTTCTTGAAGAAATGATCCTTATCTAATTTAAATCTCTACTTATATAAAGTATGTCAACAATGAAACATTCTTGAGTGATACAGAGACCAGTTTACCTCAGGCCATTTCAGAATTTGCCTT
This sequence comes from Homo sapiens, assembly GCF_000001405.40. Lineage (NCBI taxonomy): Eukaryota > Metazoa > Chordata > Mammalia > Primates > Hominidae > Homo > Homo sapiens. Next base: position 36,025,185 of record NC_000001.11, read on the forward strand.
GCCTTCTTCATGGCAAGAAGAAATTAGAATATGAGAAATAAAATTTTTTTCTATTTAATTCTGTTCATCCCTTTTTATTAATCCCAAATCTCTAAATGGATGCTTTAATGATCACTTAATGTATTTTTTTCCTCCAGAGTTTTTATCCCCCTGCTTTCAAGTGAAATGTCACAAGGATGGCTTATTACAATGCTATGATTATCTTATTTGGCCTTGAAAGGCCAAAAAAAAAAAAAAACAAAACCATTTCCAATGTTTTTCAAACTTGAGCTTTTTTATTTTTCATTTTATATTTGTTATTCGCAGCTTGAATAGATGTCTCAGAATCATTGGGCTTGTGGCTCTTGTTAGGCTAAGTGAAAATACTCAATTTCATACTTCTTTAATTAAGCACCGATAAGGAATAGGAGAAACTTCATCTCTATCCTGAAGGAATCAGAGTGTTTTGGGCAAAGATCACTCAGATCCTTGACTTAGGACCTCAATTGTTTTAAAAAACCAGTGAAGCGATTGTTGCTCATTATTGCTTATTTATACTGAATTCAAAATTTTCTATAAATATGAAATTGGTGGCCGGGAGCAGTGGCTCATGCCTGTAATCCCAGCACTTTGGGAGGCCGAGGTGGGTGGATGGCCTGAGGTCAGGAGTTCAAGACCAGCCTGACCAACATGGTGAAACCCCATCTCTACTAAAAATACAAAAATTAGCCAGGCGCGGTGGCACATGCCTATAATCCCAGCTACTTGGGAAGCTCAGGTGGGAAGATCATTTGAGCCTGGGAAGTTGAGGCTGCAGGAGTGAGTTGTGATTGTATCACTGCACTCCAGCCTGGGCAACAGAGTGAGACTCCACCTCAAAAAAAAAAAAGAAATTGGTTTTGGGGGTTTTTCAGTGTAAATCAAAGTACATTAAAATGCTGCCTGCCTCATCTGTTTATTTGGAGACAAGAGTCTCACTCTGTCACCTAGGCTGGAGTGCAGTGGCATAATCTTAGCTCACTGCAACCTCCGCTTCCCAGATTCAAGTGATTCTCCTGCCTCAGCCTCCCAAGGAGCAGGGACTACAGGTGCCTGCCACCACACCAGACTAGTTTCGTATTTTTAGTAGATATGGGTTTTCGCCATGTTGGCCAAGCTGGTCTCGAACTCCTGACCTCAAGTGATCCTCCTGCCTCAGCCTCCCAAATTGCTGGGATTATAGGTGTGAGGCACTGCACCCAGCCTCATCTGTTTTTAAATTTTGTTTTTATATTTTAAAAAAATCCTCTGAGGGCATAATCTTTCCTGCTATCCTAGTGTGAGATAGGTAATACTATAGAAATTCTGGCTCTACCATTTGTCTAATCATTTGAACTTTGGCCAAATATGTAATGTCTATGAAACTATTTTCTGATCTGTAAAACAGGAATAATACCTGCCGTGCCTCTTTCTTATGAATCTTGTGAGATCAAATTAGAAAATAAACAATAGCTAAAATGTATCAAGTTTTTACCATGGTCCTGGATGGTGTGCTAAGTGCTTTACATATATGATCTCATTTAATCTTCACACCAACCCTATAGTTGAAGCAATCCTTTTACAGATGAGGAAAACTGAAGTAAGTGCCTAAAATTTCATAGTAGTATGTAGCAGAACTGGGAATGGAACTCTCCATACTAACTCTAGAGCTGAGCTCTTAACCAGCATATACTATTAGTAATGCTCCTTGTAAACTACAGAATGCCGTATAACTGTATAGAATGTTCTTCATTTGCAAAATGGATTACTGACAGACCATTACGCTTAACATCAGTAGTCTGGTGACCTCTCATATATGAAGCACACAAATCTTTGCTTCATCCTTCCATTCCCTTCCCAAACTTCCCATTACTACTTTGTAGGAATTCATGACTAGACAAAGGTTTTATATTTAGTGGTTTCTCCTTCCAGGGGTTTCACAGACCAGCTGCGTAAGATTTCTAAGGATGCAGGGATGCCCATCCAGGGCCAGCCATGCTTCTGCAAATATGCACAGGGGGCAGACAGCGTAGAGCCCATGTTCCGGCATCTCAAGAACACATATTCTGGCCTACAGCTTATTATCGTCATCCTGCCGGGGAAGACACCAGTGTATGGTAAGGATATCTTAAGACTGCATTTTTCCTCAAGTACTTGATGTCCTTTTAGGATTATACTGAAACATATCCTAAAACTTTCAAATATTAAAATATATTTTATGATACAGTATTTAAAACCATGTATTATTACTTGAAGACAAATTAATATAGCAAACTAAATAGTCCAAGATGAGACATTGTAAAAAGAGTTTCCGGGCTGGGCGTGGTGGCTCACGCCTGTAATCCCAGCACTTTGGGAGGCCGAGGCGGGTGGATCACCTGAGGTCAGGAGTTCGAGACCAGCCTGGCCAATGTGGTGAAACCCCATCTCTACTAAAAATACAAAAAATTAGCTGGGCGTGGTGGTGGGCGCCTGTGGTCCCAGCCACTCAGGAGGCTGAGGCAGGAGAATGGCGTGAACCCAGGAGGTGGAGCTTGCAGTGAGCCGAGATCGCACCGGTGCACTCCAGCCTGGGCGACAGAGCGAAAGTCCGTCTCAAAAAAAAAAAAAAAGGGTTTCAGTAGTGAAAAGAGGCATTACATAACAATGGCTAAAGAAAGAATTATTGAATAAAAATGGCATTGAGATAATTTGAGTATCAGTATAATGTAGTGGTTAAAAGCACAGGCTATCAAATTAAACTGTGTTGCTCAATATTCAGGTACTGCCGGTTCTACTACCTGTGTGATTTGGCTGAATTACTTAATCACACTAGCCCTTAGTTTCCTCATCTCTGGAATTGGGACAATATTTATGTATGTATGTGGTGTGTATGTATGGGATAGGATCTCTCTCACTCTTTCAGGCTGGAGTGCAGTGGTGCAATCATGGCTTACTGCAGCCTTGACCTCTTGGGCTCAAGCAATCCTCCTTTCTCGGCCTCCCAAGTAGCTGGAACTACAGGCATGTGCCACCACACTGGACTAATTTTTTATTTTTTTATTTTTTTTGTTTGTATTTATTTATTTATTTATTTTTATTATACTTTAAGTTTTAGGGTACATGTGCACAATGTGCAGTTTAGTTACATGTGTATACATGTGCCATGCTGGTGCGCTGCACACACTAACTCGTTATCTAGCATTAGATGTATCTCCCAATGCTATCCCTCCCCCCCCCCCACCCCACAACAGTCCCCAGAGTGTGATGTTCCCCTTCCTGTGTCCATGTGTTCTCATTGTTCAATTCCCACCTATAAGTGAGAATATGCGGTGTTTGGTTTTTTGTTCTTGCGATAGTTTACTGAGAATGATGATTTCCAATTTCATCCATGTCCCTACAGAGGACATGAACTCATCATTTTTTATGGCTGCGTAGTATTCCATGGTGTATATGTGCCACATTTTCTTAATCCAGTCTATCATTGTTGGACATTTGGGTTGGTTCCAAGTCTTTGCTATTGTGAATAATGCCGCAATAAACATACGTGTGCATGTGTCTTTATAGCAGCATGATTTATAGTCCTTTGGGTATATACCCAGTAATGGGATGGCTGGGTCAAATGGTATTTCTAGTTCTAGATCCCTGAGGAGTCGCCACACTGACTTCCACAATGGTTGAACTAGTCTATTTATTTTTTTGTAGAGACAGGATCTCACTATGTTTCTCGGGTTGGTCTCAAACTCCTGGGCTCAAGCAATCCTTAAACCTTGGGCTCCCAAAGTGCAGGGATTACAGGTGTGAGCCACTGCACCTAGCCTCTTTCTGGTTTTAATTGAGCATTTTATATGATTCTATTTTCTTTCCTCTTTTAGTGTATCAGTTATACTTCCTTGATATATAGCACACATACCCTGGGATACTAATAATACCTAATCCATATATAGGGTTGTTGTAAGGATTAACTGAGTCTAATATGTAAAGGGCCTAGAATAGCACCTGTCATATAGTAAACAGTCAATGTTAACTGTTATTATTATAAACAAAATTTTGTGAGATTAATAAGCTAAATATAAATCATTGAATCGTAGAAAAATACAAAGAAAATATAATTTTCAAACCACTGAACGGGGTAAAATCATGTAAGTTTAGAAATAATAGAAGAAATCACAAAAGAAAATTGTCAGATTTGACTGAGTACTGAGTAAACATTAAATTTTCTCTTTCTTTCTTTTTTTTTTTTTTTTTTTTTGAGAGAGAGTCTCGCTCTGTCGCCCAGGTTGGAGTGCAGTGGTGCGATCTCGGCTCACTGCAAGCTCTGCCTCCTGGGTTCACGCCATTCTCCTGCCTCAGCCTCCTGAGTAGCTGGGACTACAAGCACCTGCCACCATGTCCAGCTAATTTTTTTGTATTTTTTAGTAGAGACAGGGTTTCACCGTGTTAGCCAGGATGGTCTCAATCTCATGACCTTGTGATCCTCCCGCCTCAGCCTCCCAAAGTGCTGGGATTACAGGCGTGAGCCACCATGCCCGGCCCTTTTTTTTTTTTTTGAGACAGAGTCTCCCTCTGTTGCCCAGGCTGGAGTGCAGTGGCATGATCTCAGCTCACTGCAACCTCCACCTCCCAGGTTCAAGCTGTTCTTCTGCCTCAGCCTCCCTAGTAGCTGGGTCTATAGGCGCGTGCCACCATGCCTGGCTAATTTTTGTATTTTTAGTAGAGACAGGGTTTCACCATGTTGGCCAGGGTGGTCTCAAACTCCTGACCTCAGGTGATCTGCCCACCCCAGCCTCCCAAAGTGCTGGGATTACAGGCATGAGCCACTGCGCCTGGCCCCTAAATTTCCTACATGTCACGGATGTACTAAAATGAAAAGAAAACCAATAGAGTGTGGAAAATATTTGTAGCAAATAGAAACAATAAACAAATAGTTTATTATTAGTTAAATAAAAACCTTCTTTTTTTAGATTAATGAGAAAAGATTATAAACTGAAATTTAGTAAAAACAAAGCAAGTAAATATATGATAAGTTTGTTTTTATTCATAGTTAAAGAAAAATACAGGCCAGATGCAGTGGCTTATGCCTGTAATCCCAGCATTTTGAGAAGCCAAGGTGGGCAGATTGCTTGAGTTCAGGAATTCAAGACTAGTCTGAGCAACATGGCGAAACCTCATATCTGCAAAAAAATAGAAAAATTAGCCAGGCATGGTAGTACACATCTGTGGTCCTAGCTACTTGGGAGGCTGAGATAGGAAGATCACTTGAGCCAGTAGGTGGAGGTTGCAGTGAGCCAAGATCATGCCACTGCACTCCAGCAGCCTGGGCAACAGAGCGAGACCCTTTCTCAAAAAAAAAAAAAAAAGAGAGAAGAAAAGTACAAATCAATAAAGGGAAAAATTTTGTGCTGCTAAATTAGCAAACATATTTAAATATTATAATACCTAGTGCTTGTGAGTATGCAGTGTATTAATACGTTGCTGATGGTAGTATAAATTGATATTACCTTTTTCATCAAAACTGTAAACATGCCTGGGCTGGTCTCGAACTCCTGGCCTCAAGTCATCCTCCCGCCTCAGCCTCCCAATGCTGGGATTACAGGCATGTGCCACTGCTCCTGGCCCCTCCTGGTTTTAATTGAGCATTTTGTATAATTCTATTTTTCATTCTCTTTTAACATATTAGTTAGACTTCCTTTAAAAATTTTTGTAGTGTTTTCCCTAGACTTTTTAATATATATTTACAACTAATCTGAGTCTACTTTTAGGTAACATTATACCACTTCTTAGATAGTATAGAGATACCTTGTAACAGAATACTCCCAATTTTTCCCTTCTGTACCTTATATTTCTGTCATTTATTTCACTTATCCATAAGCTATAACTACCCAATACACTGTTGCTATTACTATTTTGAACAAATAATCATCTATTAGCTCAATTAAGAATATGAAAATACAAGATTTTATTTTACCTTTATTTATTTGCTGACCTTCAACCTTCCTCCTTACTTTTGTTTTGTTTTGTTTTTTAGAGACAGGTCTTGCTATGTTGCCCATGCTGGTCAGTGGCTATTGTCAGGCATGACCATAGTGCACTGCAGCCCCAAACTCCTGGGCTCAAGTACTCTACCCACCTCAGCCTCCCCAGTAGCTGGTACTACAGGCATGACCCACACTGTACCCTGCTTTTCCTTCATTTATGATTTCTGATCTGTATCATTTTCCTTCTCTCTGGAAAATTCTTTTAATATTTCTTGCCAAGCATTTCTACCAGCAACAAATACCCTGTTTTTATTTGTTTGAGAAACTCTTTATTTCTCCTTCATTTTTTTTTTTGAGCCACATAATGATTTAATGTTTACTTGCAAATCATTCACTCACATAATTTCAAGTACTAAGTCATTCTGGAATTCTTACATTCTGACATTAAGAACATTCACATGTTGTGCAGCCATCATCACTATCCATTTCCAGAACTTTTTTCCATCATCCCAAACTGAAACTCTTTATCCATTAACCAATAACTTTAATATCCTATTAAACCTCACGTAACCCCTGGAAAGCACTGTTCTACTTTCCGCTTCCATGAATTTGACTATTCTAGTTTCCTTATGTACATGAGTCCTACAATATTTGGCTTTTGGCATAATATCCTCAAGGTTCATCCATGTTGTACTATATGTCAGAATTTTCTTCCTTTTTTGGGCCAAATAATATTCCATTGTTTGTATATGTGTGTGTGGGGGGGCGGGGGGTGTGTGTGTGTGTGTATACACCACATCTTGTTTATTCTTCTGTTGATGGACACTTGGGTTGCTTCTACACTTTAGCTATCATGAGTAATGCTGCTATGAACATAGGTGTACAAATATCTCTTCACAACCCTGTTTTCAGCTATTCTGGGTATACATCTAATAAGTGTCATTGCTGCATCATATGGTAATTCTATTTTTAATTTTCTGAGGAACCTCCACAGTGTTTTCCACAGTGGCTGCACCATTTTACATGCCCACCAACAGCGCACAGGAGTTCCAGTTTCTCCACATCCTTGCCCCAATGTTTGTTATTCTCTGGCTTTTTGATAGTAGCCATCCTAATGGGTGTGAAGTGGTATCTCATAATGTCTTTGATTTTGCATTTTCCTAAATGATTAGAGACGTTGGGCATCTTTTCATGTGCTTATGGGTCATTTTTCTGTTTATCTTCTTTAGAGAAATGTGTATTGTCATTTGTCCTTTTTTTTAAGGCAAGGTCTCACTCTGTCACCCAGACTGGAGTGCAATGACACGATCATAGTTCACTGCAGCCTCCATCTCCTAGGCCCATGCAATCCTCTTGCCTCAGCCTCCTGAGTAGCTAGAACTAAAAGCACATACCATCATGCCTGGCTAATTAAAAAAAAAATTTGGCAGGGATGGGGTCTTGATTTGTTGCCTAAGCTGGTCTCTAACTCCTGGGCTCAAGCAATCCGCCTCAGCCTACCAAAGTGCTGGGATTACAGGTGTGAGACATTGCACCCATTTTTCTATGTTTTTTATATATAAGAAGTTATGCTGGGTGCAGTGGCTCACACCTGTAATCCCAGCACTTTGGGAGGCCAAGACGGGTGGATCACTTGAGGTCAGGCGTTCAAAACCAGCGTGGCCAACATGGCAAGACCCCATCTCTACTAAAAATACAGAAATTGGCTGGGCGTAGTGGCTCATGCCTGTAATCCCAGCACTTTGGGAGGCCAAGGCGGGTGGATCACCTGAGGTCAGGAGTTCAAGACCAGCCTGGCCAATGTGGTGAAACTCCATCTCTACTAAAAATACAAAAAAAAAAAATTATCAGGGCATGGTGGCAGGTGCCTGTAATCCCAGCTACTTCAAGAGGCTGAGGCAGGAGAATCACTTGAACCCAGAAGGCAGAGGTTGCAGTGAACCGAGATTGCGCCGTTGCACTCCAGCCCTGGGCAACAAGAGCGAAACTCTTATCTCAAAAATAAAAAATAAAAACAAAAAAAATAAAAAGTAAATAAAAATACAGAAATTAGCTAGGTGAGGTGGTGCACACCTGTAATCCCAGCTACTCGGGAGGCTGAGGTAGGAGAACTGCTTGAACCCAGGAGGCAGAGGTTGCAGTGAGCTGAGATCGCGCCACTGCACTCTACCCTGGGTGACAGAATGTGACTCCATCTCAAAAAAAAAAAAAGAAGTTATGGCTGGGTGCAGTGGCTCTTGCCTGTAATCCCAACACTTTGGGAGGCTGGAGCAGGAGGATCACTTGAGCTTAGGAGTTTGAGACCAGGCTGGGCACCATGGTGAGACCTCCCTCATCTCTACTTAAATAAAAAAAAAAAGGCTTGGTGTGGTGGTGCATGCCTGTAGTTCCAGCCACTTGGGAGGCTGAGGCAAGAGGATCGCTTTAGCTCAGGAGGTCGAGACTACAGTGATGCATGATCATGCCACTGCACTCCAGCCTGGGTGACAGAGTGAGATCCTCTCAAAAAAAAAAAAAAAAGTTATATACACCGAAATATTTATGATGGTTATAATGGCAGAGGAGAGGAAAGGAACAGGGGACTTTTGTTCTTTGCGCTATAATACCTCTGAATTTTTAAATTAAAGATAAGAGAATAGGATTGAAAGCTGTAAGTGTACTGTGATTACAAGTACATTAAAATAATATAAATGAGAAAATTATTGGAAGAGAGTACTATAAAACGATAACAAGGGATTATGTGCATGTTTCACTTTATGCTTTTCAGTTATTGCAGTTATGCTATGGCAAAAATATACCTTTTTATACAAAGAAGAAAACAACTAGAAAAATTGTCACTAAATACTTAAGCTAGTCTTCAAAGCAGTATACTTTCAATTTTAACAGCATCGCCTTAGTACTGTATTGGCATAATTTTTGGTATCCTGTAATACAATGATGGATTTTAAGGGGGAAACATAGTAGCTTTATTTTCAGTATGTAAAATTATTTTCAGGTCTTTTTTTCTGACTAGAGGTTTTGCATCTATTCCATAGCGGAAGTGAAACGTGTAGGAGACACACTTTTGGGTATGGCTACACAATGTGTTCAAGTCAAGAATGTAATAAAAACATCTCCTCAAACTCTGTCAAACTTGTGCCTAAAGATAAATGTTAAACTCGGAGGGATCAATAATATTCTTGTACCTCATCAAAGGTAAGATATGCTAATCGCTTATGAAAATATTATTTTTATATCTTCATTTGTCTATATATGACCATATCTAACTACTATAAGGGCTGTGTAAGAGACCCCCTTAATAATTCCTACTATGGGAGATTCGTAGACATTTTGGTAAAAAAATAATTTGGATTGGCAAGGTTCAGAGATTCTCTTGTGAAAATGCCCCCCACAATTTTATTTTATCTTATTTTTTAAGGAAAGAATGAAGCAAAGCAACAAAAGCAGAGATTTACTGAAAATGAAAGTACACTCCAGAGGGTGGGAGCAGGCTCAAGCCCCAAAAATTTTCATTTAGTATGCAAAGTACCTCTTACCTAGCCAGAAAGTATCCAGTGCTTTATTTCTCACTGGAGAGCCCAGCTTGAAGAATTTTCACTTTATTTGGTAATCATCTTCAACCTGGTTTCATGAGACTACTCACCTACCTGGAATGTGAAGGAGAGAAGGAACTGGGAGCCCAGATTAGTCAATTAAGTAAGCCATATCAGCCTTCCTGCTATAGTCAGTGAGAAAACACATTACTGTTAGATCACCCTTCTTAGAGCTGGAGCTCTTAGGAAGTAAGAGACAACATGACCTAGAAACAGGAGGTAGCTTATTGTGCAAGTCACTGAGGAAGAGGTCATTTTTCAGAGAATTGAACAAGTTCCCTTTTAATAGTTGAAGCAATTAGGCCTCAAAAAAGTTAACTGTACACCACAAATAAACATTAGAATAAGAATTGGCCCATGTTTGTTTGACACAAAAGTCCTTTTTTTCCTGTTTTTCCATGCCATCTCTACTTTCTACCCCTGTTAAATATGAGATGAGATCCGTAAATGAGATAAATAAAGAATTTTATCAACAAGCCCAACATGGTGAAACTTTATCTCTACAAAAAAATAGAAAGATTAGCCATGTGTGGTGGCATGTGCCTGTCGTTCCAGCTACTCCAGAGGCTGAGGTGGGAGGATTACCTGAGCCCAGGGAAGTCAAGGCTGCAGTGAACTGTGATTACGCCACTGCACTCCAGCCTGGGCAACACAGTGAGACCCTGTCTCAAAAAAACAATAATAACATAAAGTAAAATAAAAGGAAGTCCTAGCTTCCTTTATGACCATTGAATATATGTTACTCAAATTTATACTTTTGGCCAGGGAGTGGGAGTAGTGGATTCCCAAAATCCCTTCCAGTCTGAAGTGTAATGATTCCTTTTTCCCTTGAGAGATTACATAGGTTTAAAATATAAGTCTTTTTTTAAAGAGTGATAAAAATTTGTGGATCATAAGGAAGTTTATAATTTTGTGCCCATGTTGGAGAATACTAGCATCTGTTAATATTAATACAGCCCTTTTCAACCACCAGCACCACTATTTTAGATAAAATTCTGCTGTGAATAAAACTTTGGATTGGCCGGGTGCGGTGGCTCACGCCTGTAATCCCAGCACTTTGGGAGGCCAAGGCAGGTGGATCACAGGGTCAGGAGATCGAGACCATCCTGGCTAACATGGTGAAACCCCATCTCTACTAAAAAATACAAAAAATTAGCCGGGTGTGGTGGCGGGCGCCTGTAGTCCCAGCTACTTGGGAGGCTAAGGCAGGAGAATGGCATGAACTTGGGAGGTGGAGCTTGCAGTGAGCCGAGATCGTGCCACTGCACTCCAGCCTGGGTGACAGAGCGAGACTCCGTCTCAAAAAAAAAAAAAAAAAAAAATTTGGATTACATAGGACTTCCTCTGTGCTGTCAATAACTTGAAGTTACGTTGCAATTGTGTGAAACAGATAAATGGATACTGAAAAAATGAAATATCTAACCCTTTTTCAAAATGTGTTTAAGACCTTCTGTGTTCCAGCAACCAGTGATCTTTTTGGGAGCCGATGTCACTCATCCACCTGCTGGTGATGGAAAGAAGCCTTCTATTGCTGCTGTGAGTGTTAGCCAGGTTTATCTTACCTAAGGTTGACAGACCAGTATCAATTTTGCAGTTTCAACTTTTTGAATTTTAATATTTTCTTTGTAGCCAACTTTCATAAATGTTCTTTGGGTTTTTGAAAAGAATGATTATTCTCTGGTTTGGAGTTTGGAAGTTCCATATGTATCTATTAAATCAAGTTTGCTAGTTATATTATTCAAATCTTCTGTATTATACTTTAATTTGTCTACTTGACCTCTCCATGATTATGCATTTTTAGTTACTTTTTGTTGTTTTGAATAGTTTGTTTGTATATTTCAGTAATGTCTTTGTCATAGAAAGATACACTACATATAAGCTTGGTGGATTACATTTTTTATATATAAAATGTCTCCCACCTTCATCCAGGTCAATACTTTGCACCTGAATTCTTTTATTTTATTTTATTTTATTTATTTTTTTCAGACAAAGTTATCTTGTTGCCCAGGCTAGAGTGCAATGACACAATCTCGGCTCACTGCAACCTTCATCTCCCAGGTTCAAGCGATTATCCTGCCTCAGCCTCCCGAGTAGCTGGGATTACAGGCACCTGCCACCATGCCCGGCTAATTTTTTGTACTTTTAGTAGAGACGGGGCTTCACCATGTTGGCCAGGCTGGTCTTGAACTCCTGATCTCGGTCAGTCCACCTGCTTCGGCCTCCCAGAGTGCTGAGATTACAGGTGTGAGCTACCGTGCCCAGCCAAATTCTTTATTTTACTACTGCCACTCCTGTTTTTAACATCTGCCTGTTATTTCTTTGCTCTCTGTGTTTGTAACCTTTTTGTCTCAGTTTAAGTGTATTTCTTATAAACTTGAGAAAGCTTGATAATATTTTACCTATTTTGAAAATCACTTGATTTTAACAAATAGCCAACATTTCGAAAATATGAACATCTTTTAGGCATATTTAATAAACTTCAGAAATTAAACTGTAAGATTTAATTGGCCAGGCGCGGTGGCTCACGCCTAGAATCCCAGCACTTTGGGAGGCTGAGGCGGGGGTGGATCGCTTGACGTCAGGAGTTCAAGACCAGCCTGACCAACATGGTGAAACCCCATCTGTATAAAAAATACGAAATTAGCCTGTCGTGGTGGTGGGTGCCTTTAATTCCAGCTATTCGGGAGGCTGAGGCAAGAGAATCACTTGAACTCGGGAGGCGGAGGTTGCAGTGAGCTGAAATCATGCCACTGCACTCCAGCCTGGGTGACAGAGGGAGACCCCATCTCAAAACAAAAAAAAAGATTTAATATTTTTTCTATGATACATTATAATCTTCACATAAATCTTGTTTTATGAATCTGATAAATCTAATTCATCCCTGAAAATGATAGTAATATTTAAATTTCCACTTCATGATTTCAAAACTATTTTCATTAGTAAAGGAAATTAATTTTTATCTATTAATTCTCTTGCTTTTGTATTTTTAATGTTATACATGAATTATTTTCTTTAAATGTTCAGTGGTTGTATTGAGTCATCTCTAACATTCATTAAAGTGTTCTTATAGATGATAAAATGATAAAGAAAGGAACTCAAAAGACTTCCTTGGATTTGCTACTTTGGGTCATTTTCCACAAAGGTTTAAGCATATTTTAATTCCTTTGGACTTCTGGTAGTCATTGTCTTTTTCTACTAAATCCGTTTCTACCAAATACCCACTTTCTTTTGTGGTTCTCAGAAGTCTTGTAAATAGAATTTATTGGTTGATTCTTTTTCACTATATGGCTTCTATCTCCAAGAACTTAGAGAGTAGTGTGAGAAACTAAGTAAGTAATGAGTGCCACATAGTATAATAGGTGTTATCATGATAACGAAGTAACAACATTTAAGTTGCAAGAACCTGGTGTGTTTTGGGAATGTTGAGAAATACAAGGAATTGGAACATAGTATACTGCAGGCTATGAGGCTAGGAAGCCTTTGTGAGGCATTTTGTTCCATCCGAGGGTCTGGATTTATTCTTTTTTTTTTTTTTTTTTTTGAGACAGAGCCTCGCTCTGTAGCTCACGCTGGAATGCAGTGGGCGCGATCTTGGCTCACTGCAAGCTCCGCCTCCCGGGTTCACGCCATCCTCCTGCCTCAGCCTCCTGAGTAGCTGGGACTACAGGTGCACGCTGACACACCCGGCTAATTTTTTGTATTTTTAGTAGAGACGGGGTTTCACTGTGTTAGCCAGGATGGTCTTGATCTCCTGACCTTGTGATTCGCCCACCTCGGCCTCCCAAAGTTCTGGGATTACAGGCGTGAGCTACCGTGCCCGGCCTGGATTTATTCTTAAGTAGCGAGATACCTTTCAAGGGAAAGAAATGGTCAAAGTTCCATTTTTGAAGCATGACTTTGGTATAGGTTAACTGGAAGAAAGGGTCTGGAGGCAGTGACCAGCTCTAGGCTCTGATCAGAATAATGTTATAAGTTCATGCTTTGAGGTCTCTTCTCCAAAGACATAACAATATTAGACACAGAAAGAGAAATTAATATAGCTAGTTTCAAAACCAAGATTAACTTCTCTGAGGACCAGATACAGAACACAAATGCAGCTCAATAAGACTGTATAGATTCAGGCCAAGAGGGAAAATTCTGATTTTAAAATTTATGAAGCGTAACAGTTCTAAGATGAAGCTAAAGTCTTAAGTATGGCTTCTGAGATAGGTTGCTAAAGTGGAAGAGATAGGAAGAAAAATCAGTGGTTTGAATTGGTCCTTGTTTTTTCTTATTTCTTTTCTCTTATTCTCTTATACACATCTTTTTGTCTTTTTCTTTCCTTACTAATCTTTAAGTCTACCAACAACACAAAGAATCTAATTGTTAAATGTATAGTTCAGCCTAGTTATAGGAAAATAGTTTTTTACCCTATACTAGGTGTTTTATTCTGTTCTTCAACGGGAAGTACTATTCTTTTTAATTTTTTAAAAAGATGGGGTAGGCTGGGTGCGGTGGCTCATGCCTGTAATCCCAGCACTTTGGGAGGCCAACGCAGACGGATCACGAGGTCAAGATATCAAGACCATCCTGGCCAACATGGTGAAACCCCATCTCTACTAAAAATACAAAAATTAGCTGGGGGTGGTGGTGCACACCTGTAGTCCCAGCTACTCTGGAGGCTGAGGCAGGAGAATCGCTTGAACCCAGGAGGTGCAGGTTGCAGTGAGCCGAGATTGTGCCACTGCACTCCAGGCTGATGACAGAGCAAGACTGCGTCTCAAAAAAAAAAAAAAAAAAAAAAAAGAGAGAAAGAGAGAGAGATGGGGTCTTGCTATTTTGCCCAGGCTGGCCTTAAATTCCTGGGCACAAGTGATCCTCCTGCCTCAGCTTCCTGAGTAGCTGGGACTATAGGCACATGCCGTCATACCCAACTCAGAATTACTATTTTTGATTACTTTCAAAGTAAACAGTGATGAACAGGTTACAGTAAAATAAAAATGTAAATGAAATTCATGTAATTTTGATTATCATTTATTTTTATTTATTTATTTATTTATTTTACTTTTTCTAACCTAGGTTGTAGGTAGTATGGATGCACACCCAAGCAGATACTGTGCCACAGTAAGAGTTCAGAGACCCCGACAGGAGATCATCCAGGACTTGGCCTCCATGGTCCGGGAACTTCTTATTCAATTTTATAAGTCAACTCGGTTCAAGCCTACTCGTATCATCTTTTATCGGGATGGTGTTTCAGAGGGGCAGTTTAGGCAGGTTGGTTACCTAGAATCTCATCAGACTATGGTGAAATCAGATATTGTGTTTATAATATGGTGTCTAGTTCTAGAGTTAAAAACCTTGTTAGAGTTCCCCAAGTCAAAACTTGGTGTTTTGTTAGATTGTCTTTTTGAAAATGTTCACTACGAATGTGTATGCCTTGCTTGCTAAGACCATGTTCTAATAATCGTTAAAATGGAATCTATTAGCTATAGAGTGGTGAAATTAAGGAATCCTGAGATTAAATCATTATCCTACTTTGAAGTATATAAAAACAAATAGCTGACTATATTGAATCTTTCCATTTCATATTCTCTAGGTATTATATTATGAACTACTAGCAATTCGAGAAGCCTGCATCAGTTTGGAGAAAGACTATCAACCTGGAATAACCTACATTGTAGTTCAGAAGAGACATCACACTCGATTATTTTGTGCTGATAGGACAGAAAGGGTAATCTCACCTCTGTTGTAATACTGTTATAAACCAAGCTTATCCAACATAGTTCATAGAGCATTCAACAAGGGCCCTCTGCCAACAGCAGGATTTCCAATATATAGTAGCAAATTTCAACAATTACATTATGAGTATAGAAGCATCAAAATAGATTATTTTTAACTTTCTAGAATTTCTAGTCACACTCCAAATATTCAAAATCTCATTCTACTTTTTTGTTGTGAAGAAACTCATGGTTTTAAAATTATTCTTCTATTCATATTTTCCTAAAATCTTCAGAAAAAACAGTACATTCTCTTTTTAAAATATCTCATACAAATTAGTTTTTTAAAAAAGTGGAAATTCAGGCCAGGCACAGTGGCTCACACCTGTAATTCCAGCACCTTGGGAGGCCAAGGCAGGCAGATCACTTGAGGTCAGGAGTTCAAGACCAGCCTGGCCAACACGGTGAAACCCTGTCTCTACTAAAAATACAAAAAATAGCCAGGTGTGGTGGCGCACATCTGTAATCCCAGCTACTCGGGAGACTGAGGCAGGAGAATCACTTGAACCCAGGAGGCAGAGGTTGCAGTGAGCCGAGATGGTGCCACTGTACTCCAGCCTGGGCAAGAGAGCAAAACTCCATCTCAAAAAAAAAAAAAAAAAAAAAAGTGGAAATTTATACAAACTAACTTTTAGCCATGTTTCCTTTAAAGTTCACAGAATTATTTTATGCATTTTATAATGTGAATGTATATTTTTTATAATTAGGAAGGAAAGAGAGGTATAAATACCTAAGGAAATATGTTTTCTTTTTTTTTTTTTTTTTTTTTTTTGAGACGGAGTCTCACTCTGTCGCCCAGGTTGGAGTGCGGTGGCGCGATCTCAGCTCGCTGCAAGCTCCGCCTCCCAGGTTCACGCCATTCTTCTGCCTCAGCCTCCTGAGTAGCTGGGACTACAGGCGCCTGCCACCATGCCCGGCTAATTTTTTGTATTTTTAGTAGAGACAGGGTTTCACCGTGTTAGCCAGGACGGTCTCGATCTCCTCACTTTGTGATCCGCCTGCCTCGGCCTGCCAAAGTGCTGGGATTACAGGTGTGAGCCACTGCGCCCGGCCAGAAATATGTTTTCTTATCTGTGTGCAGCAAGACAGCAGTCTTACTGTCATTTTCAGTGCTCTGATCACATCTGCCCCCATCCTGTAAATCTTGGAGCAGAGAAATCTAATGATACCAAGTGTTGTTTCCCCTTGAGAAAGGGATTTGATAGAAAGGACTAAGAGAGGGGTGTTTTTCTTTGCCATACATACTCACTGTATTCCTTTGGGCAAGCAACTTAACATCTCTGTGTCTGTTTATTTCTTAGCAAGATTGGATAATATTAATATCTACCTTATTTGGGTTGTCGGGAGAATTAAATAAAATACGTAATGCACTTAGAACAGGGCTTGGCCCACACTAAGTACTCAGTAAAGATTGGCTAGCTCTCATTAGTAGAGTGATGAGAACAAAAAAAAATTAATAAATAAAGTTTGGCTAGCTGCAGAGTGGTGGTGATAGTGGTAGAATAGAGAAGAAGAAATAATAATAGATATTGTTCTAAGTATTGCTTATAAATTTCATCAATTTAATCCTCACCAACAAGATTATGAGATAGTTGTATTTTTTTGTTTTTGTTTTTTTTGACAGTTTTGCTCTGTTGCCCAGGCTGGAGTGCAGTGGCATGACTTTGGCTCACTGCAGCCCCCACCTCCTGGGTTCAAGTGATTGTCAGGCCTCAGCCTCCTGAGTAGCTGGGATTACAGGCATGTGCCACCACACCCGGCTAATTTTTGTAGTCTTATTAGAGGCAGGATTTCACCATGTTGGCCAGGCTGGTCACAAACTCCTGGTTTCAAATGATCCGCCCACCTCGGCCTCCCAAAGTGCTAGGATTATAGGTGTGAGCCATCACACCCAGCCTACAACTTTTTGTATATATTAATTAGAAGATTTACGTGTTGCTAATTTATTAGAGTTAAGTATTTTTTTAGGACCAGGCATAATTTAGTAGATTATGAACTGTTTTGTTTTGTGCTTGGTAAAGTGAAGCTGGTTGGTCCACACCACTATAATTCAAGGTACTACCTTATAACAGTCACTCACGTGGCAAAAATATTATCTGAGTCAGTAAAATAGTTTCTGATTTGCTAGCCTTGTAAACCTAGACTTACAGTTAATGATTTTAAATGTGTTGGGATAAGGCGGTGGAGGTGGGTATAATAAACATTTTTAAGTGTTTTATAAGGAGCTTGTATCATCAAGAATTTTGGGTCATTTCAGTTATATTATATCCACTCAGAGAAAATCATGGTGTCCTCTTACAAGATGTTGAAACTGATAGTATGAAATAAAAGGAATAAGGCCTTTGCAATTATTTCATTGTTTGAATCCCAGTTCTGCCCTTTATTGTGTGCTATTGAGCAAATTATTTTGTATTCCTGAGCCTTTATTTCCCTAAACAAATGGAAATAATCCCTAACTTGCAGGATTGTTACCAGGTTTTAGAAATAATGTGTTCAAAGTGCCTGATCCATAAATGGTTAACAAATGGTGTGACTGTTGTTGATCTTGTCAGCATTCTCTCTCTCTAAACATCTAGTTTTCTCCAAGGTAAATGCTGATCTTCATAAATCACACGTTCAAGAATACCTACTATGCACAGGTACCATAAATTGGAGCACTTTAAGTTAATTTAAAAAAAATTTTTTTTAGTGTCTTCCACCCATAGTGGGGTCAACTATCAGCTAAGCAGTAGTAGAGACTGTATTAGGTTTTGTTGTGTATCAGCGCTCACTTTCAGCAACATGTAAGAATAGGAACTAGGACCTGCGTAGTCTGCTCTGAATGACTGCTTAAGTCATATTTCAAGGTGAAAGTAGTGAAATGTAGGATCAGCCTATGTATTCATACATTTTTTAAAGTGCTTTCAGATATATTTTTACCTTTTTCTTGTTTGTTTAAACTTTAACCAAACAAATCTAGGTTGGAAGAAGTGGCAATATCCCAGCTGGAACAACAGTTGATACAGACATTACACACCCATATGAGTTCGATTTTTACCTCTGTAGCCATGCTGGAATACAGGTAAGCCTACACTTTGGGTAAAATATTTTAATTCAAGAACTGTCATTCTTACGTGTATTTTTTAAATCTCAGAAAAAGGATAAAGAAATACTCTTTGCATTCCAAATTGTTTCCACATGAAATTAGATGAAACTTTCAGTAAACAAATGTCTTCCCTTTCCTTACCTTGAGAGGGGCTTAGGAACTTATTTTTATGAAAATACCAGAATATAAGTAGTTTAATAGAATGAATCTCCCTAAAACAGGCCCTTAATTTCACTAAAATGTTAAAAAATGTGAAAGTACCTGATTGTTCCTTTAGCATATGCATCTTTAAAAAAAAAAGAGAGAGAGAGAAAGAGAAAGCACTATTTTGCTCAGGCTAGACTAGAACTCTTGGGCTCAAGCAGTCCTCCCACCTCAGCCTCCCAAGTAGTTGGGACAACAGGCCTCCACACTCAGCTAATGACGATAACATTTTATAGAAAACTTTGACATGTACTAGTAGTATTAAGCATGTGAAAGAGTTTAATTGGGCTGGGCATGGTGGCTCACGCCTATAATTCCAACACTTTGGGAGGCTGAGATGGGCAGATTGCTTGAGTTCAGGAGTTTGAGACCAGCCTGGGCAACATAGAGAAACCCCGTCTCTACAAAAAATATAAAAATTAGCCAGGTGTGGTAGCACGTGCCTGTAGTCTCAGCTATTCAGGAGGCTGTCGTGGGAGGATCACTTGAGCGCGGAGGCAGAGGGAGGTTGCCATGAGCCAAAATCATGCCACTGCACTCCAGGCTAGGTGACGGAGCCAGACCTTGTCTCAAAAAATAAAAAAAAATTTAATTGTAGAATTACAGCTTTAGTTTTTTTTTGTTGTTGTTGTTGTTTTGTTTTGTTTGTTTGTTTGTTTGTTTTTGAGACAGAGTCTCACTCTGTTGCCCAGGCTGGAGTACAGTGGCATGATCTCGGCTCACTGCAAGCTCCGCCTCCCAGGTTCAAGTGACTCTCATGCCTCAGCCTCCCTAGTAGCTGGGATTACAGACTGAGATTACTGGGTGCCACCACACCCAGTAATTTTTTTATTTTTATTTTTTCTAGTAGAGACAGGGTTTCACCATGTTGGCCAGGCTGGTCTCAAACTCCTGACCTCAAGTAATCCGCCCACCTTGGCCTCCCAAAGTGCGGGGATTACAGGCTTGAGCCACTGCACCTGGCCTTAAGTTTCAGTTAAATAATTTAAAAAGTTTTTCTTATTCTTTCCAGAAAACCTTTTCATTAATGTGTTAGCTTTACTTGGTGGAACATAAGCTTTAAATCAGTGCATCTCAAACTTTCCAACAACAAAAAGTAAACTGACATTCCCAGGATGTCTGAGAGTCTATAACCCAAAACTATTTTAGGTTACTTGCCATTATTGATTAAGATAGAAATTTCCAGATGTACCTTACCATACAGCTCTGTATCTTATAGCTTTATATGTCCCACATATACGAACCTGTTTCAGATTCATGGCTTTAAATTATTGTCTGACTCATTTATCCATGTTCTTATATCAGCTCCTCTTTACAATTAATGTTGTACATTTTCAGGGTTGGTGGTTAATGGGAGGTCCAGAGGAAGTGATGTCAGCAAGATGGCTGACTAGAAGCCCCTAGTGCTTGCTCCCCTCACAAAGAAAGCCAGAAAAACAGATAAACAACTACATTTTTTTTTTTTAACGGAGTCTCACTCTGTCACCCAGGCTGGAGTACAGTAGTGTGATCTTGGCTCACTGCAACCTCTGTCTCCCAGGTTCAAGCAATTCTCCTGCCTCAGCCTCCCAAGTAGCTGGGACTACAGGCACCCACCACCATGCCGAGCTAATTTTTGCATTTTTAGTAGAGATGGGATTTCACCATGATGGCCAGGCTGGTGTCGAACTCCTGACCTCAGGCAATCCGCCCACCTCAGCCTACCAAAGTGCTGGGATTACAGACATGAGCCACCATGTCCGACCTTTTTTTTTTTTGAGATGGAGTTTTGCTTTTGTCGCCCACGCTAGAGTGTAATGGCGTGATCCCAGGCTAGAGTGTAATGGCGTGATCTCAGCTCACTGCAATCTCCACCTCCCAGGTTCAAGCGATTCTTCTGCCTCAGCCTCCGGAGTAGCTGGAATTATAGGCTTCTGCCACCACACGCGGCTAATTTTTATATTTTTAGTAGAGATGAGGTTTCACCATGTTGGCCAGGATGGTCTTGAACTCCTGACCTCCGGCGATCCACTTGCCTCAGCCTCTCAAAGTGCTGGGATTGTAGGCATGAATCACTGCACTGGGCCAAACAACTATATTTTAATGAAAATAACTGAGGGAGAGCCCTGGAGTGCATCAGAGGAGTAACAGAAACCCTGGTGAGCACAGAAACTCGGGATGACCACACAGAGAACAGAAAGAAACACTGAGCCTCCACTACTCCATCTCCAAATCAGGATCAGCTGGGAACCAGGAGGAACTTCTCCCTGCAGTGAACAGATAAGCAAGAGGATCCCAGCAATCCCCATCAACACCTTGGACACCTACACTGGGGTCCCCAGCACTGTTCTTAGGCACTAATCCCATCTTGGGGAGTTGCCTGGAGTCCACATAAGTGTACCCTCCCAACCCGAGAAAAGGAGCTGATACTGTGCTCCACCCACTGTGGTCCAAGCAGCTACTGCACTACTCCATCTTGGAAGTGGAACTATAGCTGGGATATGTCTTGCTCCAGGGGCAAGTAGCCATGACTCCTCTTTATTGTTAAGGCTATGCTATCACCAAATTACTCCAGCCCAGTGGCCTGACAGCCCTGTCGAGCTGCAAGCACCTGTTACACCTTGTGCCTTGGCCATTTAAAGAGATCATACCTCGGCCAGGTGCGGTGGCTCACACCTGTAATCCCAGCACTTCGGGAGGCCGAGGCGGGCATATCACCTGAGGTCAGGAGTTTGAGAACAGCCTGGCCAACATGGTGGAACCCTGTCTCTACTAAAACTACAAAACAAATTAGTTGGACGTCATGGCGCGCGCCTGTAGTCCCAGCTACTCCAGCCTGGGCAACAGAGTGAGACTCAGTCTCTATTTAAAAAAAAAAAAAAAAAAAAAAAAAAAAAAAAGAGGTCATACCTCTCCAGTGCCTAAATTGAAGGAGTACATTGCATCTCAATGTACTAAGCAGTGCCTTAGTCATCCAGAGCAGTCACACACTCCAGTACCTAAGCTGAAGCAGTGCCCTGCATATCAGGGAAACCATGTCTGGGCCACCCAGAACAGGCATAGCCCCATGCCTGAGCTGAACTGGCACTGGGGAATTGGTGCCCTGGAAGATCTGAGCAGCTCTGTATCCCATAGATATTGGGATAGCCCAAATATATTGAGATACAAGAAAATACCAATAGACAACTCAACAAAATCGGGAAAGCAGGCCGGCCGCAGTGGCTCACGCCTGTAATCTCATTACTTTGGGAGGCCGAGGCAGGCAGAACACCTGAGGTCGGGAGTTCAAGACCAGCCTGACCAACATGGAGAAAACTTGTCTGTATTAAAAATACAAAATTAGCTGGGGTGGTGGCACATGCCTATAATCCCAGCTACTCGAGAGGCTGAGGCAGGAGAATTGCTTGAACCTGGGAGGTGGAGGTTGCAGTGAGCCGAGATCACGCCACTGCACTCCGGCCTGGGCAACAAGAGCGAAACTCTGCCTAAAAAAAAGATCGGGAAAGCAATTCACAATATGAACAAGAAATTCAACAAAAAGATAGAAATTTAAAAAGAACCAAACAGAAATCTTCAGCTGAAGAATTCAATGGAAAATACAAAATATAATAGAGAGCTTCAACAGCAGATTTGATCAAGCAGAAGAATCTCTGAACTTGAAGACAGGTCATTTGAAAAAAAAATCGGAGTCAGAAAAAAAAAAGAAGTAAGAATGAAAAAGAGTGAAGAGCGCCTCTGAGACTTATGAAACACCAGTAAGCAAATAAATATTTGTATTATGGGAGTTCCAGAAGGAG
Organism: Homo sapiens; assembly: GCF_000001405.40. Lineage (NCBI taxonomy): Eukaryota > Metazoa > Chordata > Mammalia > Primates > Hominidae > Homo > Homo sapiens. The sequence goes on from NC_000001.11 coordinate 36,047,553, forward strand.
AAGAGAAAGGGAAAGGTGTAGAAAAATCTGCTTAATGAAATATTAGGTTGGGCATGGTGGCTTACACCTGTAATCCCAACACTTTGGGAGGCCAAGGTGGGCAGACCGCTTTTGCTCATGAGTTTTGAGTCCAGCCTGGGCAACATGGTGATACCCCATCCCTACAAAAAATACAAAAATTAGCCAGGCATGGTGGCATGCACCTGTAGTCCCAGCTACTCGGGACTGAGGCAGGAGGATCACTTGAGCCGGGGAGGTTGAGGCTGCAACGAGCTGAGATCACACCACTACACTCTAGCCTGGGATGACAGAGTGAGGCCCTGTCTCAAAAAAAAAAGAAATAATAGCTGAAAACTTCCCAAATCTGGGGAGAAATATAGACATCTAGATCTAGGAGGCTCAAAAGTCTCCAAACAGATCGAACCCTAAAAGGTTCTTCCCAAGGAACATTGTAGTCAAATTGTCAAGTCAAGGACAGACAGAATTCTAAAAACAACAGAAAAGCATCAAGTCACTTAGAATCTTCATTAAACTAACAGCAGATTTCTCCACAGAAACCTTATAGGCCTGGAGAGATTGAGATGATATATTCAAAGGGCTGAAAAAAAAAATTGTCAGCCAAGAATGCTGTACCCAGTAGAGGATCATGTGAGCTCAGGAGGCAGAGGTTGCAGTGAGCTATGATTGTGCCACTGTACTCCAGCCTGGGCAACGGAGTGAGACCCTGTCTCAATCATTCAATCAATCAATCAATCAATCAATAAGAATCCTATTTCCAGCAAAGCTAACTTTTAGAAATGAGGGAGAAATAGTATTTCCGAGACATGCATAAACTGAGGACATTTATCACCACTAGATTCGACCTATAGGAAATGTTCGAGGGAGGCAAAAAGTCAATAATCATTATTATGGAAACAACAGTATAAAACTCACTGGTAGAACAGATACACAAGAAAGAAACAGAAAAGATTCAAACCTTGTTGCTCTACAGAAAACCACCAACCCACCATGATAATAAGAAGAAAGGAAGAAAGGATATAGAAAACAAGCAGAAAACAATTAACAAAATGACAGGAATAGGCCTTCACCTATCAGTAGTAACTCTGAAGGTAAACAAATTAAATTGCCCACTGAAAAGATGTAGACTGGCTAAATGAATTTTTTTCTCACTCTGGTTTCCAGGCTGGAGTACAGTGGTGCAATCTCAACTCACTGCAACCTCTGCCTCCTGGGCTCAGGCGATCCTCTTGCCCCAGCCTCCTGCATGGCTGGGACTACAGGCATGCATCACCACACAAGGCATGCATCACCACACCTGGCTTATTTTTGTATTTTTGTAGAGACGGGATATCACTATGTTGCCCAGACTGGTCTTGAATCCAGAGCTCAAGCAATCCACCTGCCTCATCCTTCCAAAGTGCTGGGATTACTGGCGTGAGCCACCAAGCCCAGCCACTGAATGAATTTTTTAAAAGAATGAAACCATATCCTTTACAGCAACATAGATGGAGCTGAAGGTCATAATCCTAAGCAAACTAACACAGGAACAGAAAACCAAATACTGCATGCTCTCACTTAAAAGTGGGAGCTAAACATTGAGCACACATGGACATAACATGGGAATAATAAACACTGTGGACTACTAGAGAGGAGGGCAGGGGGGATGGGTTGAAAAATTCTATTGGGGCTGGGTGCAGTGGCTCACGCCTGTAATCCCAGCACTTTGGGAGGCCAAGGCCGGTGAATCACAAGGTCAAGAGATCAAGACTGTCTTGGCCAACATGGTGAAACCCCATCTCTACTAAAAATACAAAAATTAGCCAGGCATGGTGGCACGCACCTGTAGTACCAGCTACTTGGGAGGCTGAGGCAGGAGGATCACTTGAACTCAGGAGGCAGAGGTTGTAGTGAGCCGAGATTGCGCCACTGCACTCCAACCTGGCGACAGAGCAAGGCTCTATCTCAAAAAAAAAAAAAAGAAAAGAAAAACTACTGGGTGCTAAGCTCACCATCTGGGTGTAATATACCCATGTAACAAATCTCACATGTACCTCCTATATTTAAAATACTGAATTTTTTAACAATCCAAATATATGCTGCCTATGAGAAATTCACTTCACCTGTAAAGACACATATAAACTGAAAGTGAAGAGATGGAGAAAGTCATTCATTCCATGCAAGCGGAAAAGAAATGCAAGCAGGAGTAGCTGTATTTAAGTTAGACAAAACAGACTTTAAGTCAAAAACTATAAAATGAGACAAAGAAGGTCATTATATAATGCTAAAGGGATCAATTTACCAAGAGGATATAACAGTTGTAAATATATATGCAGCCAACACTGGAGCATCCAGATATATAATATAAAGCAAGTATTATTAGCTCTAAAGAAAGAAGGAGACTCCAATAATAGTAGTTGAGAACTTCAACACCCCACTGTCAGCGCTTGACAGATCATCTAGACAGAAAATCAACAAAGAAACATTGGATTTAAAATACACTTTAGACCAAATGGACCTAACAAATATATACAAAGCATTTCATCCAGCAGCTGCAGAATATACATTATTTTCTCAGCACATGGAACATTCACCAGGATAGACCACATGTTAGGCCACAAAACAAATTTCAACAAATTTAAAATAATGGAGGCGGTCAGGTGTGGTGGCTCATGCCTATAATCCCAGTACTTTGGGAGGCCAAGGTGAGTGGATCACTTGAGGTCAGGAGTTCAAGACCACCCTGGCCAACATGATGAAACCCCACCTCTACTAAAAATACAAAAATTAGCCAGGAGTGGTGGCACATGCCTGTAATCCCAGCTACTCAGGAGGCTGAGGCAAGAGAATCGCTTGAACCTAGAAGGTGGAGGTTGCAGTAAACCAAGATCACGCCACTGCACTCCAGCCTGGGCGACAGAGTGAGACTGTCTCAAAATAAATAAATTAAATTAAATAATTGCCGGGTGTGGTAGCTCACGCCTGTAATCCCAGCACTTTGGGAGGCTGAGGCAGGTGGATCACTTGAGGTCAGGAGTTCGTGACCAGCCTGGCCAACATGGCAAAACCCCGTCTCTACTAAAAATACAAAAATTAGCCGGGTGTGGTGGCGGGCGCCTATAATCCCAGCTACTCAAGAGGCTGAGGCAGGAGAATCGCTTGAACCCAGGAGGCAGAGATTGCAGAGCCGAGATCACACCATTGCACACTCCAGCCTGGGTGACTGAGTGGGACTCTATCTCAAAAAAAAAAAAAAAAAAAGATACTTGATTTGATTTCTTTCGTTTTGTTTTGTTTTGTTTTGTTTTGTTTTGTTTGAGACAGGGTCTCACTCTGGTGAGATCATGGCTCACAGGAACCTTCGCCTCCTGGGCTCAAGTGATCCTCCCACATCAGCCTCCCGAGTAGCTAGGGCCACAGACACATGCCACCATGCCTGGCTAATTTTGACATTTTTTGTAGAGACAAGGTTTTTCACTATGTTACCCAGGCTGAGTTTAAGCAGTCCACCTACCTTGGCCTCCCAAAGTGCTGGGATTACAGATGTTAGCCACTGCACCCAGCCTCAATTATTTTTTTGATTTAATGTTGGCCAGGCTGGTCTCGAACTCCTGACCTCAAATGATCCGCCTGCCTCGGCCTCCCAAAGTACTAGGATTACAGTCATGAGTTACCATGCCCGGCCTCAAATATCTTTTACATGGAAATTAAACAGTATGCTCCTGAACAACCAGTGACTGGTCAATGAAGAAATTAAGAAGAAATTTTTAAAATTTCTTGGAACAAATGAAAATAGAAATACAACATTCCAAACCCTGTGGGATAGAGCAAAAACAGAATTCAGAGGGAAGTTTATAGCAATAAACATTTACATCAAAAACATAGAAACGGCTGGGCACATGGTACATGCCTGTAATCCCAGCTTCTCAGGAGGCTGAGGCAGGAGGACTGCTTGAGCCCACAAGTTCAAGACAAGCCTGGGCAACATAGTGAGACCTCATCTCTACAAAAAATAAAAAAATTAGCTGGACGTGCTGACATGTACCTGTGGTCCCAGCTACTCAGGAGGCAGAGGTGGGAGGATCACTGGAGCCCAGAAGGGCAAGGCTGCAATGAGCCTGGGCAACAGAACAAGACTCTGTCTCAAAAAAACAAGGTATTAATATCCAGGATATCCAAAGAACTCAAACAACTCAACAGCAAAAATAATAATAATAATTTGATTTTAAAATAGGCAAATGTCTCAAGAGAGTAATTGAGACGATCAAGAGGTATATGAAAAAATGCTCAACATCAATAATCACCAGGGGAATGCCAATTAAAATCACAATGAGATATCATCTCACTCAAATTAATATAGTCATTATCAAAAAGACAAAGAATGCAGAGAAAGGGGAACTCATATGCACTATTGGTGGCAATGTACATTAGTACAGCCATTAGGGAAATCAGTATGGAAGTTCCTCATAAAACTGAAATTAAAACTACCATATGATCCAGCCATCCCACTACTGAGTATATATGCAAAGGAAAGGAAACAGTGTGTCAAGAAGATATCTGCATCCCCATGTTTATTGCAGTACTATTACAATAGGCAAGATATGGAATCAACCTAAGTGTCCCTCAACAGATGAATGAAGAAAATATGGTATTTATACACAATGAAATACTATTTAGCCACAAAAAAAGAATGAAATTCTGTCATTTGTGGCAACATGGATGAGTCTGGAGGACATTATGTTACATGAAATAAACCAACCACAGAGAGATATATACTGCATGATCTCACTGGTGGAAGCTATAAAAGTTGATGTCATAGAAGTAGAGAGTAAAATAGTAGTTACTAGAGGCAGGAAAGGGAGGGGGATTACCAAAGACTGGTTAACAGATACAAAATTACAACTAGATAGGAGGAATAAGTTCTAATATTCTATAGCACTATAGGATGGCTGTAATTACCAACTTATTGTATATTTTCAAATAACCAGGAGAGTGGGTTTGGAATTTTCCTGGCACAATGTTTGAGGCATAGATATCCTAATTACCCTGATTTGATCATTATACATTATATATGTGTATCAAAATATTACACTGTACCTCATAAATATGTGTAATTATTATGTGTCCATGAAAAATAACAAAAGCCAAAAAAAGTTAATAGTATCTTCTAGGGATTAAAACCTATATATATCAGGCTCAGGCCTGTAATCTCAGCACTTTGGGAGGCCGAGGCGAGTGGATTGCTTCAGCCCAAGAGTTGGAGACCAGTCTGGGCAACATGGCAAAACCTCATCTCTATAAAAAATAAAAAAATTAGCTGGGTGTGGTGGTAGGTGCCTGTAGTCCCAGCTACTCCGGAGGCTGAGGGGAGGATCACCTGAGCCTGGGAGGTCGAGACTGCAGACCCTGTCTCTAAATAAATAAATAAATAAATCCTATATGACTGGTTTATATATTTTAACCTAGTGTTTCCTCCAGTATTTAATAAATACCACATTGCATCCAGATGACTGTATTTTAAAAATCACAGAGGAGAAAGATTCTCTCTTCAAGTTAAGTTTTAGAAATGCTGTTAAACAGATTTTTTTTATTACGGAACTTTTGAAGACCATTGATATGCAAATGACCATTATGAATCTTCAAGATAGAAATATTTCTCCGATATATTTAATCAGAAACCTTAGGGAACAGTTTTCCTTTTTTTTTTTAACTTTTAAAATTTTTATTTTTATTTATTTATTTACTTTTTGAGATGGAGTCTCGCTCTGTCACCCAGGCTGGAGTGCACTGGTGCAGTCACGGCTTACTGCAACCTCCACCTCCCAGGTTAAAGAGATTCTCCTGCCTCACCCTCCCAAGTAGCTGGACTACAGGCACATGCCACTACACCCAGCTCATTTTTTGTATTTGTAGTAGAGAGGGGGTTTTGCCATGTTGGGCAGGCTGGTCTCGAACTCTTGTTCGATCCACCTACCTTGTCCTCCCAAAGTGCTGGGATTACAGGTGTGAGCCACCACACCCAGCCTATTTTTGTTTTATTATTTATTTGAGACAGGGTCTTGCTGTGTTGCCCAGGCTGGAGTGCAGTGGCACAATCACCACTCACTGCAGCCTTGACTTCCTGAGCTCAGCAATCTTCCTGCCTCAGCCTCCCACCTAGCTGGGACTACAGGTCCACACCACCACACCTGGCTAATTTTTTTTTTTTTTTTTTTTTTTTGAGACAGTCTCGCTCTGTCACCAGGCTGAAGTGCAGTGGTGCGATCTCGGCTCACTGCAACCTCCAACTCCCTGGTTCAAGCGATTCTCCTGCCTCAGCCTCCTGAGTAGCTGGGCTTACAGGCACGCATCACCACGCCTAGCTAATTTTTGTATTTTTAGTAGAGATGGGGTTTCACCATATTAGCCAGGATGGTCTTGATCTCCACCACATCTGGCCCACACCTGGCTAATTTTTTAAATCTTTTTGTAGAGATGAGGTCTTCCTATGTTGCCTAGGCTAGTCACAAACTCCTGGGCTTGAGCTGTCCTCCCACCTCAGCCTCCCCAAAGTGCTGAGACTATAAGCATGAGCCACCATGCCCAGCCTGAACAGATTTCCTTTAGGATATCAGTTTGAAACTTCTGCTGTAGTCAGCAAATAACCAATAATATTTCACAGAGACTAAAAACTGTTCTTTATACATCTTCCCAGCTTTACTTTTCTATTTTATTTTATTTCATTTCATTTATTTATTTATTGAGACAAAGTTTCACTATGTCACCCAGGCTGGAGTGCAATGATGGGATCATAGTTCACTGCAGCCTTGACCTCCTGGGCTCAAGTGATCTGCCTGCCTCAGCCTCCCAAGTAGCTGGGACTACAGGTGCATGCCACCACATCTGGCTAATTTTTTTTTTACCTTTTGTGGAGATGGAGCCTCACTGTGTTGTGCAGGCTGGTCTTGAACTCCTGGCCTCAAGCTACCCTCCCACTTTAACCTCCCAAAGTGCCAAACCTGTTTTTTATGTGACTTGGTATTAAATATTTATTAAAAAGTTCAAAATTGGGCTCAGCACAGTAGCTCACGCCTGTAATTCCAGCACTTTGGGAGGCTGAGGCAGGCAGATCGTTTAAGGTCAGGAGTTTGAGACCAGCCTGACCAACATGGCAAAACCCTGTCCCTACTAAAAATACAAAAAATTAGCTGGGCATGATCACACATGCCTGTAATCCCAGCTACTGGGGAGGCAGAGGCACTAGAATCTTTTGAGCCCCAGAGGTGGAGGTTGCAGTGATCTGAGATCACGCCATTGCACTTCAGCCTGGGTGACAGAGCAAGACTTTGTCTCAAAAAACAAAACAAAACAAAAAGAGTTCAAAATTCAACAGTGTATGTCATTGCCTTCTCTATAGGGTACCAGTCGTCCTTCACACTATCATGTTTTATGGGATGATAACTGCTTTACTGCAGATGAACTTCAGCTGCTAACTTACCAGCTCTGCCACACTTACGTACGCTGTACACGATCTGTTTCTATACCTGCACCAGCGTATTATGCTCACCTGGTAGCATTTAGAGCCAGATATCATCTTGTGGACAAAGAACATGACAGGTAATATAAAAGCATAACAGGTTCTCACCCAAATCCCAATATTGTCTGCATGGTAGGATTTTCAAGTTCCACAAGCTATTAGCGGAGTCAGTGATCCATGTGAAAAATGATGACAGAACTGACTGCCCAAGGTTTCCTATTGAAATATATTGTCTAGGCTCATTAGTAATAGAATCATGTAGTAACTTAGTTGTTTTACTACATTAATTCAAAGGAGAGATTATTGGTAATAAAGTGATACATTCAGACAGATAGACAAAATGATACGATATCTAGGTTTGCTTCTAATTAATTCTGGGGAGGTGAGAGAAGTAAAACAAAATTGGCCTTGAGTTAATAGTGATTGAAGCTGAGTGATGGACACATAGATTGTTACACCAGTCTCTTATTTGTTAATAATTTTGAAATTTTCTACAACAAATAGTATTTTTCGGAATTATTACATCAGAATAGAAAGTTTGTTTTTGTGTTCATTGCCACTTCTCTTACAGTGCTGAAGGAAGTCACGTTTCAGGACAAAGCAATGGGCGAGATCCACAAGCTCTTGCCAAGGCTGTACAGATTCACCAAGATACCTTACGCACAATGTACTTCGCTTAAATAGTCCAAGTATATTCTCTGAGAGGAAGTACTGAAAGATGAATTGACATACAACGTATGTTTCCAGTGAAGTCAATTGAGTAAGGACACCTCCAGCCATACAGAAACCAACACTGTGTGGGGGCCAAGGTCTGATCCTTATGTTAATACAAGGAAGATTGTTTACTTCATCAAGGAACACAGCATCATTATGCAATATGAAACCAGCCAACTGCTTTTTGTGCGGTCTCCTATAGGAAGTATCGCAATTGTTTTGTTTTCATTTCTTGTAGTCTAACCCTTTTAATGCCTTTACCTCAAGTTGCTTGGCAGCACAACTATCTTTGCAAAAAAAAGTAAAGAAAAAGTAAATGATGGTTTAAAAAATACACACCTTCATGAATAATCAAAGTGATTTTTCAGAATTATGTGTGCAAAAAATTAATGTGCATTCATATATTCTTGTAAAAGGTGTCTGTGTATTTTTAAAATATATACATCCATACTTCATATGCATATATATCTAGATCTGGATTGATAATAGATATATATGTGTCTGTTATATATTTTAGAGTTCATTCCATTGGGGAATTTTCTTTCCCTTTTATTCTACCCCCACTACCGCCTTTATTTCTCTATTTCCCTTGCCTTCATCACCTACATTTTTTTCCCAGTCCTACCAGTGACATTCAAATGTTGATGTATCTGGTTCGTTTGAATATAAAATATGGCAAACTAGAATTCTACTTTTATTTTGCATACCCTACTCCTGACTCCTATCTCATACACAATTCTGAGTTCTCAACTCTTGATATTGCTGTCTTAAGAAACAAAATTTTATATATATATGTATACATACATACACAGACACAGACACACACATATATATACATAAAATAACTTTCTGTGAGAGTGCGTCTCTCCCCTCCCACTCAGAACATACATTTACCATTTGCGCAATTTGTATATAAGCAGTAGCAACCTGAACTATTCTTTTTCTTTTTTCTTTTTCTTTTCTTTCTTTTTTTTTTTTAATGAGACAGAGCCTCGCTCTGTCACCAGGCTGGAGTGCAGTGGCGAGATCTCGGCTCACTGCAACTTCCGCCTCTCGGGTTCAAGCAATTCTCCTGCCTCAGCCTCCCGAGTAGCTGGGTTTACAGGCATGTGCCACCACACCCAGCTAATTTTTGTATTTTTAGTAGAGACGGGGTTTCACCGTGTTGGCCAGGATGGTCTCGATCTCTTGACCTTGTGATCCACCCGCCTCGACCTCCCAAAGTGCTGGGATTACAGGCATGAGCCACCGCACCCGGCCTACTATTCTTTTTCTTTAGTGAGTTTGTTAAAGCTGCTATAAATATAAAACCTGTCAGAAGTTGTAACTTTCTCTCTGGTAAGTGATGTGTATTCTGAAGCCTTCTGTTTCTATGGGTTATACATGGAAATTCTTTAAAGGTTTTATAAAGGGTAAATATTTTAAAAGATTAGAGCTCTGTAGGGTTGAGACCTCTGAAATTGAGTAGAGAGAAGAGTTTGTTGAGGGATTTTTTTGTTTTGTTTTTTGATAGTTTACTTGCTGCCTCTCATACCTTAATGTGATTTTCATATATTTTTTATATATATATATGTATGTGTGTGTATATAAACACATATGTATGTGTTTGGAAGTATAGCTTCCTTTTCTTTTATATTTATTAGAATAGTGCTTTAATAATTATAGAATTGTATTGGCAGCATCTTTTATAGAAATATAATCATGTTTATTTTAAGAACTGACAACTTGTTTTTGCTATCTTTTAGTGCAATAAGCAGTTTTAAAGGAAAGTTGTGTCTGCATCTTTACCATGGATAGTAGGAGGAACAGGCACCTCCATAGTTTAAAAGGGCAAAGAATACAGCCTTAATTTCAGAAGGAAAGTTTTGTAATTTTCAGTTTTAAAGCATATCTTTTAAAATTCATCATGATAAAAGGCTGGACGCGGTGGCTCATGCCTGTAATCCTAGCACTTTGGGAGGCTGAGACAGGTATATCACCGGAGCTCAGGAGTTTGAGACCAGCCTGGCCAACGTGGTGAAACCCCGTCTCTACTAAAAATACAAAAATTAGCTGGGCGTGGTAGTGGGCACCTCTAATCCCAGCTACTCGGGAGGCTGAGGCAGGATTGCTTGAACCTAGGAGGCGGAAGTTACAGTGAGCCAAGACTGCACCATTGCACTCCAGCCTGGGCAACAAAACCAAAACTCCGTCTCAAAAGAAAAAAAAATCATAATGAAAATGAAGTGAAATTGCCTAAATGAGTCCAACTTGAATATTAGAAATAAAGTTGAACTTTTATATAATTGTGAATAGCTTAACATATTTAAATTATTTGCAAATAGATTGTGTTTATTGAAGAATCATATTGGCTAGATGCCCATTTTCATTTACTAAAATGAATCAGGAAAATGCAAGATGATATTTTAAAACTTTTGCTAATGTATCACCAGTATAACTTTCCTTTTAAAATTAAGGTGATAGTAACAAAGGAAGTTAGGACTTTGATCATTTTAAATCAGTTAAATCACTGAAACGTGGGAAATTGTTTTACAAAACTTTTATTGATTACACTTTAAGGTATTAAAAAGTACTATAAAGCTATCAAAACTGAGTTTATCAGTAACATTGGATTCAGGGGAGCTTTGCACTTTGTAACTCATGAAAATTGCATTTTGATTTTTTTTTTTTTTGCACTGGTTCAGAGTATAGATACTACAGATTGTTTCCAGTGGGCATTGTTGTTAGCCTTTCAGAATTCCATCTGCACGTGAAACCTAATGGATTTAGATCTTTAGTTTCTCTCTTACCTGTAATCCACTATTATTGCCAATTCACTGTATTTTGAGCCTAAAATCTGAGCCCATGTCCTCTGACAGGCATGAAATCTTTTGTCCCTCTGCCAGAAAACTAAGAAAGTACTGTATTTTGTATGTTTATTATTTTGAAGTGTCTGAAATGCAATTTACAACACTGTTGCAAAGAACTTTACAAAAGGTAATATTTGTATCGTATATACATTTTTTCTCCCAGCCTTCTCCCATCTCCTCCAGAAAAATTTCCTATAAAGATGGATTTTTTTACACTGAAATTTTACTGAATATAGTCAGGATCATGGGCAAGAGAAGAAAATAGTATACCCAAGATGATAAAAATTTAATTCGTCTATGCTTGATCAGTGTGAGTAAAACATCTTCCTTTATCATGGGAGCTGCACAGATTCATGTGGGAAACTTTAGGGAATGACTGTAGATACCCTTTCTCTATGTACTCTCTCACCTAATTTTCAGTCACTCATATATGCTAGAGTGGAGCCCTTAATTTAAATCTATTTGGAAGGACTTTTTTAAGAGGAAAAATATTTTTTCTAAATTATAAAGCTTTACCTTTTGAGTGATTTCTTTTTTAGAGTGCTCTTACACTAGTCAGCATTGCTAGTTTAAAGTTGATTAACTTGAAAGAGTATGTATACTATATTTCTATTTTGCTAACAAATTGGTATATTAATTACCATTGGTTCTTAATTACAAGAAAACTTGTGCTTAGAATTTTAAGATAAAAGGCTAAGTGACAAATGCTTCTTGAAATTTGTCCTATTTATTGTTGCATTTCTGGTGTAGAATTTCTAATCTTTTTTATTTTAAAAAAGTTTTTTTTTTTAAGTTAAACATGAAATTCACAGTGACCCTTCTGCTCCTGCCCTTGCTCACTAACTATATCATGAATGCTAGATTTTGGTCTTCTTTTTTCTGTGATGTATCTTACGAGACTGACTGTAAAATATCAGTCTGGCAACTAGATAATTGATTTTCATATGAAGAAGAGTTGGGAGTTTAATGTATATTCTTGATGGTTAATGTGTCTACATAAAGTGCTGATACATGTATTATATCACAGTATCAGGTTACTGGCATGGAGGACCATACACTTACAATATTGTAGCTGCTATATTTATTTAAGTAGATTCTGACAGTTACTGCACTAAACAGTAAGGAGATAAGCAGGATTCAAGGCTAGTGTTAGACCCTTTTTTTTCCTAAGAGTAAGGACACGGAATATCAAAGTAACAAAGGGTGCTGCCATTTTAGTTTCAATTTAATATCAGGATATTCTTTGTTTTAGAAATGTAGATTTTGACTTTTACAGTTTGAAAAAGGGTACCTCAGCCTCTTCAGTACTGGTTTTTTGGCACATTTCAACAGAAATATTAGATTCCCTTTCTTTTTCTTAATAGTGATCTTCTAACAAGTTTCTTGGAAAAACTATCATTCTAAGGGAAATCCCTGTTTATAACCTATTAATATATTTCTATTCCTAGAAGAGAGTCTAGCAGGGATTCTAGTAGGAATTACTGAGTGTTTTGGAAGGCACTTGATAGAGGCATCTCTGCTTTCCAGCACAGGGATTCTCAGCCTTCTAAAGATCTAGACCAGTTTCCAAGCTAGCTTCTCCACAGCCCACCACTGCCTAGTGTTTGCTTGTGTATTCTCTAATGGATTTTAGGAGGATAGGCCTTCTGACAGAGTCATGAAAGACTGAAGGCATGTCTAGGGAAATAAAACCTGACTTGCCCTTCAGCAGGAATGACTGGCAGCGGATCTCTGTGTTCAAGGAAAGGGTGAGCGCTAAGCATGCCAGTGATGGATCCGAAGTATTTAGATGGATTGCAGACCAGGAATTAGAGACCGTTTGTGACTCAAGGAACTTGATGGATCTGTTTAGAGCCCTACATGAATTTGCCAAGGGCAGTGATTTTTATGAAATTCAAGAAGCAAACGACTTCGATACAGCTAGAATATGTTGCAGTCTTCCTATTTCAAACTTGATTTTAATATTTTTACCAAGAAGTTTAACTGACAACTCTGCAAAATTTTCATTCAGTATCATTAAACCTGAGTTAAATGTTTGCTTAGCTTATCCTCTTAGATGTTCTTCTGTTGAACAGGCAGGTTGCCCTTAACAGTAACTTGCTACTTAAATTACCTTTTATTAGTTAGTCAAGCTGCAAAAATATCATTAGTGTGGCGTCTTTATTTTGGCTTTATCCATATGAAGTATTCATTATTTTCATTCTTTTTGAGAATTCATAAATGTCTTAAAGCTTCAGTAAGAATTGTTGGGAGGTTTGACATCAAGTAACGCCTTCCTGTGTAGCAGTATAACCCTAATTTAGAACTCTTGTTTTCCTATTTCAGTCCTCATATTTGATCATAGAAAAGCACTTTTGTGATTCTATAGGAGTCAAAAAATCAGCCAAGAGTAGGTAAGTCAGTCAGCACAGAAATCAGAAAGTGAGAATTTTCTCCAAAAAATCTTTTTAAAAAAGTCCTGCTTATACTAAGAACATTCTTGATCCGTTGCAGTGTTAGAAATGACACTGTGATTAGTGAAAGCCAAGCTGAGTCCCAGGAAGCAGGGAGGGGGAGTGTGTGTGTGTGTATATGTATGAGTGTGTATATATATAATCTCACACACACACACAAAGGGAAAAATTATTTTGACTTTTTTCCTACTTTTAAAATGGTACATTTAAGTTTATAATTTTCCATGTCAGTCAACATAATTTTTTAAACTAAGGTATAATGGTCAAGGCTTGTGCTAATATTACCTACTACTCATTGAAATTTATATTACTTTACCCATCAAAACTAGTACTCCAGATGTTTACATCATTGATTAAATCTCAAGAATCTTTTGTTCTTAAAATATGGAAGTTAAAGATTTTAATTTGAATTAAAGATAGAAGGATGGTAAATTCAATATAGAGGGTTGAGATTTACCAGTGAGAAACCCTGTTGAAGTATCAGGTAAATGGTGTGACAAAATTAGAATCCTGTCAAATCACCTATCCAGCCATCGGGGTCCCTTCCTTTTTTAGACTAATTTCTAAGGTAACCAGAATCTAATGTATCTATGTTAGGGTCTCAGTAAAGCAAAGACGTTTGTCAGGGCGTAGACTCTTGAGTTAAATTTTTTAATCATTTTTTAAAGCAAGGCGGTTCTTAGAAAGTGCCTTTTCAGAAGATGGTGCTGTAGATTTTTATTTTTCAAGTAGCACGAAGCTAAGAATTTTAAAGATAAATTATTTTAGAACTCCAAGAGTGTGACAGTTTCATAAAAATAATGTTAGTTGTTGTCTTGAATCTCGTCCAAGGGAACCAAGGAAAGCTTTTATGCAGTAAAGTATCTAGGTAAATGCTCACCAAATTTATTTTGTAAATTTGAAAACAAAATATTTAGTAGAATTACCTCTTTTAATTCCCAACTGTGTTGGAGGAAATCCATAATGCACATAAAACAGCAAACCTACTTAACTTTTTAACAAGATTATGGGTATAGTACCAATGTCCAAAGGGAAATGTAACTTGCCTGGAATCATAGGCAACATTTTCTAATTAATCTTTTTTTTTTTTTTTTTTTTTGAGACAAAGTCTTGCTCTGTCACCTAGGCTGGAGTGCAGTGGCTCAATCTCAGCTTACTGCAAACTCCGCCTCCCGGGTTCAAGTGATTCTCGTGCCTCAGCCTCCCAAGTAGCTGGGATTACAGGCATGCACCACCACACCCGGCCCTAATTAGTCATTATTAAGGAGGACTGCTCATAAAGGCAGTACCAAATCATCATTCAGATCAGCTTAAGTGAGAAAGCAAAATGATAATCTCTATTGTTAGAGAAATTTTCTTTTCTAGACACCAAGGAATATTTTAAATGATTTTTTATTTTTTCTAGGATGCAGGAACTATGAAAAATGATGACAAGGCATTTAAAAGGGTATGATCAGTTAAATAGAAGTAGGGTCTGCAAATTGTGCTTAAGGGGAAATAAGCAAAAGAAAGGAAAATAGTAGAACCTTTCATACTAATTAGAAATGTAGTTACCTACCAGAGGGCAATTTTGCTCCATACCAGGAAGCAGTAAATAGCAGTAAATGATCACCTAGGCACTTCTTTCCTGTGAATTTGGTGAGCATTCTTCCAGAAAAGAAGACTAAAAGCAAACAACAACAACAACAAAAAATACCACACCTCAGTAACCTTGTATGCTGCATTATATAATAATGATAGTAAAATTATATTGTTTGGAGTGTACTGTGTCTGTTTGCAAATATACATGCACATTAAACTTTTTTGTTTTTATAATGTCTTAATAGCAATTATGAGTTTATTTTTGTTAAGATTAATTTTTCTATTGTGATGTTTATATTTATTGGCAATTTGTATGCAACTTTTATATTTTGCTTGTCGGTTTTAAGGTATTTTATTTTTATAGATATTTCTAGCTTTCCTCATTCTTTGTAATAGCAGCAAAGATTAAGATGGAGTGTTAATATACCAACCAAACTACGAATTCCATAAACTCTAGAGTTTGGATTTTTACCAATAAACCATTAACACTATTTTGTAACTTAGAATATTTAATGTTGTTTATATAGTGGGCATTAAAGACAGTCTTTAGACAGATTTCTACATGTGGAGGGGAGGTGGGGCTTTCCTGTAAGTTTGATCCTTTTTTTCCCCTTTAGTAGCAAACTAACATAACAGATTGGATTTATTTTACCTGACTACAGTTTTGGGGAAACCTGTCAAATAAATAATTGTTACATGCCTTTTTTTTTTAAATTTAAGCACATTGAAACTGCTTAAATGGTCACATTTTTCAGCATTAGGATTAAGATACCATTTTTGTAGGCCTGGAAAACAAATAGCAAATGATTCAAAATTCATTGAATTGACTTTGAAATGAAACTTTTCCCCCATAATTTGTTATATGGAAGATTTGCTACCCTGATCTTTTCCCTAGCATACTTCTAAAGTTGATTGAATCCCTGAGTATCAATGAAGAAATCAGAGTTTAAGTGGCTAGGGAGAGCCAGGTATAAAGACTGATTAATAGAGTACTTCAGCTAATTAAAAATTTAAATAGTAATAATTTATGAATGTGAATAAATTGGAAGGCAGCAAAAAGCATGATTATAGAATATTAAGTTCAATTATATATAGACAGTCCAGTTTCCTAGTGAATAGGTCAAGATTATTTGTTTTGTTTTGTGGCACTATCATAGTTCACTATAACTTCAAACTCCTGGGCTCAGGCTATCCTCCCACCTCAGCCTCTGAAGTAGCTGGGACTA
Organism: Homo sapiens; assembly: GCF_000001405.40. Taxonomy (NCBI): domain Eukaryota; kingdom Metazoa; phylum Chordata; class Mammalia; order Primates; family Hominidae; genus Homo; species Homo sapiens. The sequence goes on from NC_000001.11 coordinate 36,063,889, forward strand.
CTCACATGCGCCACCATGCCCAGCTAATGGTTTTTTTCTTTAGAGATGGGGGTCACTATACTGCCCAGGCTGGTCTTGAACTCCTAAGCTCAAGTGCTTCTCCCACATCAGCCTCCCAAAGTGCTGGGATTACAGCCATGAGCCACTGCATCTGGCCAAGATCAAGATTATGGATATTGGTATGTTAACTTTTAAAATAAAAGTACATGGGCTGGGCGCAGTGGCTAACGCCTGTAATCCCAGCAATTTGGGAGGCCGAGGCAGGCAGACCACCTGAGGTCAGGGGTTCGTGACCAGCCTGGCCAACATGGCGAAACCCCGTCTCTACTAAACATACAAAAATTAGCTGGGCATGGTGGCACATGCCTGTAATCCCAGCTACTCGGGAGGCTGAGGCAGGAGAATCACTTGAACTCGGGAGGCGGAGGTTGCAGTGAGCCAAGATCGCGCCATTGCACTCCAGCCTGGGCAACAAGAGTGAAACTCCATCTCAGAAAATAAAAATAAAAATAAATAAAAGTACATGAAAAAAGTATATTCCCTTAAGCAGGTAAAATACTTGCATTGTATTTTTACATCATGAATTTGCTTGTTAAGAAATTTCTTTTCTGTAAGTGGTTAAAAGATAAACTGTATTCCATCCTCTGGGTTTTCAATTCTAAATTATTGGAGCTCAATGTATGACATTTTACTGTAGTGTATTCCACTGAGAGGCAAGGAAATGGGAAAGTGTCAGGTAATTATAAATGGGAAAATTTTATTTTTATATGATGTAAAGTTTTACAGTTTAAAATAGATCAGCATGTGATTTCTTGTAGAGATTAGCCATTTCATTTCTTTTTGCATTTTTGCCAGTTACATTAGTTTGCCCTATGATATACTATTCTGAGATACTTCAGCCCCGCACACATCAAGTACTAATTGTATACAGATAGTACAGATTTGTACTCTGATTATAAGAATTTGTTACTACTAATTAAAAGCAAATTAATGTGGCTGGGCGTGGTAGCTCACACCTGTAATCCCAGCACTTTGGGTGGGCGGCTGAGGCGGGCGGATCACGAGGTCAGGAGTTGGAGACCAGCCTGCCCAATATGGTGAAACCCTGTCTCTACTAAAATTACAAAAATTAGCTGGGCTTGGCGGTACGTGCCTGTAATCCCAGCTACTGGGAAGGCCGAGGCAGGAGAATGGCTTGAACCCAGGAGGCGGAGGTTGCAGTGAGCCAAGATCACACCACTGCACTCCAGCCTGGGCGACAGAGCAAGACTCCGTCTCAAAAAAAAAAAAAGCAAAATATTTTTGCTGTGATTGTATGTCCCCTTTTAAGGATATTTATTGCGCTTATAACCTTAATAGTTGTATTCATTACATTTCAACATGTCCAAGGTTAGCAGACATGTAGTTCCTGAAAACCAACATTTTAAAAGTTGCCTCTGGGCTGGGCATGGTGGCTCACGCCTGTAATCCCTGCACTTTGGGAGGCCGAGGTGGGCGGATCACGAGGTCAAGAGATGGAGACCATCCTGGCCAACATGCTGAAACCCCATCTCTACTAAAAATACAAAAATTAGCTGGGTGTGGTGGCACACGCCTGTAGTCCCAGCTACTTGGGAGGCTGAGGCAGGAGAATCACTTGAACCTGGGAGGCGGAGGTTGCAGTGAGCCAAGATTGCACCGCTGCACTCCAGCCTGGCAACAGAGCAAGACTCCATCTCAAAACAAACATACAAACAAAAAAAGGTGCCTCTGGTCCTGTGTTTTCTTTTTCCTTCTGAAAGTTCATAGAAACCTGGCATATAGAGCTTATTTTGCTGTTTTAACTGGTTGGCTCCACAAATCCTGCTACCTGACATCAGTACAGCTTGACCGCAGTGAAGTACTTGATGGCTTGTTCATGTTTAGTTCACCTCTTTAGAAAGAAAGCTTTGTGGCCAGGTGCAGTGGCTCACACCTGTAATCCCAACACTTTGGGCAGCTGAGGTGAGCAGATCACCTGAGGTCAGGAGTTCAAGACCAGCCTGGCCAACATGGCAAAACCCTGTCTCTTCTAAAAATACAAAAATTAGCCGGGTGTGGTGGCGGAGGATGCAGTGAGCCAAGATCGTGCCACTGCACTCCAGCCTGGGCAACAGAGTGAGACTCTGTCTCAAAAAAAAAAAAAAATCGTTGTGCAGTAATAGATCATCCCAAAAAAGAATTGCCATGAACAGCGTTATGCGTAGAAAACAGATGGAAGTGTTGGTCATTAGAGCCTTGCTTTTTAAATTTTATTCTTTCCAAAAATTGGCGGTATGCTATCTATAATTTTATGTTTGATGTTGAAGAGGCAACACCAGAGACTAGAGAGGGAGATTACTCTGATATTTAGTGCCTAAAACTTTCATCTTGGCCGGGCACGGTGGCTCACACCTGTAATCCCAGCACTTCGGGAGGCCGAGGCAGGCTGATTACCTGAGGTCAGGAGTTCGAGACCAGCCTGGACAACATGGCAAAACCCGTCTCTACTAAAAATACAAAAATTAGCCAGGCATGGTGGTGGGCGCCTGTAATCCCAGCTACTCGGGAGGCTGAGGCGAGAGAATCGTTTGAACCCGGTAGGCGGAGGTTGCAGTGAGCCGAGATCATGCCACTGCACTCCAGCCTGGGCGACAAGAGTGAAACTCCGTCTCAAAAAATAATAATAATTTTAAAAATAAAAGACAAAACTTTCATCTTTATTTCATGGCTTTATTTCATCTTTATTTCATTTTTGGTTGGGAAAACAAACAAAAATCTCTTAAGTTAGTCCTTTAATAGTCTTTTTAGAACCAAAGAAGGAAAGACTGCAAAAATGTTGCATACGTGACTCTTTATTGTCAGAATCTGTAGAAACTGGAGGTCTTTGTAAAGAAATAGACTAGTAGGATTGTGAGAATATATAGTGAGGGGGGATTTAGGATAAGGCTTCCTTGCTGGGATCCTTGGACAGAAACCTTACAATTGTTTAATATTTGCAGAGTAAAAGAGCAGCTATTGCTATTTGAACCTACAGAAGAGACCTAAGACGAGCGTCTCTGTAATCTAAATTTATATGATAATGTTGTCCCAGACCCAAAGGCACACCTATTCTCAGTAACTTAGAGAAGTCTTGGAAGTTGCTTCTGAATTACAGTAAAGAAATTAAATGAAGTCTTTATCCTTAAATAGGGCCAGGCATTGCTATCAACATAGTGTCTTTGGTTTTCCCCTTTAAATAGAAAACACCAAGCAGGGCCTTTCCAGACAATGTAGTCTTTCCTGTAAAGAAAATGGTTTTGGTGTGGGATTTGGTAAAAACACTGGTTAGTTTGTAATGAAGAAAGAATTTTGGCATAGACAGTCCGACCCAGTTCATGGATACAGTTTGATCCCAGGGAGTTTAACAAAAGGAAGCTTTGGTTTTGCTAGCAACAGACTTGATCTTCTATAGTAATTAATTGCAATTAAGGTTTTCCAGGAGCTTTCTCATTTCTTAGCCCAGGGTCCAACCCCATTCCCTCTTTAAAAAAGAAAGAATAGGCCGGGAGCAGTGGCTCATGCCTGCAATCCCAGCACTTTGGGAGGCCAAGGCAGGTGGATCACAAGGTCAGGAGTTTGAGACCAGCGTGGCCAATATGGTGAAACCCTGTCTCTACTAAAAATACAAAATTAGCTAGGCGTGGTGGCAGGCGCCTGAGGCTGAGGCAGGAGAATCCTGCTAGTCTGAATTACAATAAGGAAATTAAATGAAGGATTTATCTTTAATAGAGCCAGGCATTGCTATCAACATAACATGTTTGGTTTTCCCCTTTAAATAGAAAACACCAAGCAGGGCCTTTCCAGACAAGGTAGTCTGGAACCCAGGAGGCGGAGGTTGCAGTGAGCCGAGATCCCACCATTGCACTCCAGCCTGGGTGGCAGAGTGAGACTCCGTCTCAAAAAAAAAAAAAAGAAGGAATAGGAAAAGGACTTAGAGGCAGTTGATATAGAATTCTACTGGGGGTAAATGACACTCTCAAAATACTTGGGAAAGAAGAATCACATGCCACAAGCTATAGCTTGATTAATATTTTAGCATGTTTTCCATGTTTGTATTCTAAAGTTTGTTTCCTTTGACATTCCATTATCTTACTTACTAGAGTGCCACCATTCTTATTTGTAATACAATCAGTGTTTTATGCCATTTGTGAATCACACAATTGTTCTTTTTTCCCCATCACACACACTCACACACAAACACACACACTGTTAAAAATAAAAGAGGGGAAGGATAAAACAAAAATAGATAGAATGATGATTATTACAATGTAACTTTAACATATATGAAGAGAAATTCTAACTCAGTTAAGTGAGAATTAAGATTGAAAGTATTAATGTTGCAAGTATTATCTCTAGCCATGGAATTTTTTGCTGGCTATAGAATGCTAATGTGAACAGAGTATATATCAGGAATATGATGTATTATGGCACAGTGATAATATTATTGTTGATATTAGCCAGATGTGGTGGTTTGCACCTGTAGTCCGAACTTCTCAGGAGGATGAGGCAGGAGGATAGTTGAGCCCAGGAGTTTAAAGCAAGCCTGGGCAATACAGCAAGACCCCAATCTTTAAAATAAATAAATAAATAAGAATTATTCTTGAAAGTAATATTCTAACCTTCTGCCAACCAACAGAGATCCTCATATTCTTAAAGAAAATTAATATAGCTTATGGTTTTGATAAATTGGACTCTGATTTAAACTTTAAAATGTTATGACTTTTATTCTGATACATGGCTTCTAAAATATGTAAAAAATTATATTGAATGAATTAATACTTAACCTGTTCATTTCTCTTAATTTATGTATTTATTCTGACTTTATTATACAGCTTATGTCTCACATCTGCCTTCTTGATATGTGCAAAATATTGTGTAAAAATAGTTTAAAACTCATCCCAGTTCCTAGTCAAGCGTGGGCTATAAGAGAGAAGGCTTAAGGTGTTCTTTAATGGAGGAACTTTTGAAAGATCACAAATGGAAAAAGCCTATTGAGAATTTATTGCCTTTGAGAGTAGAAAGGGCTCTAGAATATGAGCCAGAGACTTGGAATTTAGTAATAGGTCTCCCACTGATTTGCTCCGTGTCCTTAGGCAATTCGTTTAATCTCTGTGTGCCTAGTTTCCCCTTGTAAATAAGAGTGGTAATACCTGTCCTCACCTACCTCACTAAATTGTTGGAGTTCTTTTGTTCTGAGTCAGGGTCTCACTCTGTTGCCCAGGCTGAACTACAGTAGTGTGATCATAGCTCACTACAGCCTCCAACTCCTGGGCCCAAACTATCCTCCTGCTTCAGCCTCCCAAGTAGCTGGGACTAGAGGTACATGCCACCACACCCAGCTAATTATTTTCTTTTATTGCAGAGATGGGGTCTCACATGTTGCCAAGGCTGATCTCTAACTCCTGAGCTCAAGCAGTCCTCCTGCCTCAGCCACCCAAAGTGCTGGGATTATAGGCATGATCACTAAATTGTTGTAAGAATAAGATAATGTTTGCGGAAGCATTTGAGTTCTCCAAAGGAAAAGCTATTCAGACGTTCAAGATAATAGAAGAGTGTTGTGTGAAGGATTCCTTTCCAGTTTGCCTCTGTGAAAATGTCTTTGTTGTAGATCATTTTATGAAATAGGAATAAGAGAAACATAGGCCTTATCATGGTGTAGTGTTCACTTACAAACATATCCTGTTGTTTCTTCCCTGCAAGATATCCAGCACACAGGCTGAATTTTTCTTTATAATAATCCTTGGCAAAAGCATAACTTTTCAAAAACCAAATGATTTTAGTGGTGCTATGGCAGCTGCAGTTTTGAGTTAGATTAATGTGGTGAAAACCATCAAATACTTAGAAATTGACTGGGTGCGGTGGCTCATGCCTGTAATCCCAGCACTTTGGGAGGCCGAGGTAGGTGGATCACTTGAGGTCAGGAGTTCGAGACCAGCCTGGCCAACATGGCAAAACCCCGTCTCTACTAAAGATACAAAAATTAGCTGGGCACGATGGAGGGTGCCTGTAATCCCAGCTACTCGGGAGGCTAAGGTGGGAGAATTGCTTGGACCCAGGTGGCAGAGGTTGCAGTGAGCCAAGATTGTGCCACTGCACTCCAGCCTGGGCAACAAAGCGAAGCTCTGTCTCAATAAAAAAAAAAATAATAATAATAAAATACAAATACTTAGAAATTAACTTCGCCTTTGCCTTCAGGCACTTTTGCTACATGTTAGCATCAGAGGCTATTGTACAACTAGATGGTTATTCCCTGTTTCTTGGCCGATTTTTGGTACCTTTCTTTGAAGAAGAGGGTTAGATTTTAAGAAAGAAAGTGTGCTTATTTCACTCATGTCTTTGCAGAATTTAACTTTGCTTTACTTTAAAAATTCCAATCATCATGTACCTATAAAGGTTAAAATATAGTGAAAGTTTCTGCTTCATGTGAATTCAATTCTGAGCACCTGCAGGTCATATCAGGTGTCTGATGCAGTTACCTTTATAGATCGTGGCAGGTCCTTACATTTCAACAGGCTTATGCATTTCCATGGGGGGAAGAGATTCTGTTTCTAGGAAATTACAAAGGGCACACCACTGCAGGGAGTGTAAACAATTCTTTGTTGCAACAGACAAGATTTTTTTTAAAAAAAGAAAAAAGGATGCATTTTAGGTACACAGGGTATGGACGCATTCAACATTTACTTTTATCTCCACAGATGCCAACCTCCCCTTGTTGCAGGCAGTTGGGCTTTTCCAACTCATTGCTAACAAAGCTGGCATCTGCATTAATTTCAATGAGAATTTCAAGTACTGAAGATGAAAAGTTGGGGAGATTCATGTTTGAAAAATGAAAAATGAACAAAAAATCCACCTTGTGCAGTGAGATAGCTAACGCTGATATATCAGGAATAATTTTAAACTATTTTTGCTGTAATGTGTAGCTTTAATGTCTCTTTTCAGTTATGGACCCATAAAAGTATTCCTATATCTTGTGAATAAAGATCATTCTTGTGGACTAGTACGTGGATGCATTCATAGGCTTTGGGAAGCAGTGGTGTGCGTATGTGTGTCTATATCAATATTTTATGTTTATAACTCTGCGTATTAAGTTTATATAGAAAAAAATAATGTCTTTCTTTAGTGTTTGGGGGACTCAATGGTAATATGACCATTGCAGTGTAATCTGACTGCTCACTCTAGAGAACACTTCTGTTATACACAATGCACATACAAACATACACCCCTAAAGCGTAGCTAACTGCTCCCACTAGATAATTGCTGCTAAAAACAAAACAAAACAAAACAATACAAAACAAAAAAAACCCTAAGTAATGGAGGAAGAAATAGCATTCTTTTAAAAGGGGCTTTTCTGAAGAGTAAAATGTAAATACAGGACATGTGGGGAGGGTGGGGCCGCCTGCAAAATGTCCTGAAGATGGACAAATAGCCTTTTAAATTCTACTTTTTAACCATCTTTACCGTGTGTGCCTATTTGTATTGCAGATGTGAACTACTATTTTTGGAGGTTGATATCAGTATGTTTTGAAACTGAATTATTACATAAAATCAGAGTAACCTCTTTCTCCATCCTCCTTTTCCACACTATTCTTGCCAAATATTTCTACTGAAACCCAGTTTCAGCAAGGCAAAATGATGGGACTCTCAAACCTCCCTCCTCATCTTCCCTTCCCCTCTGTCTTATGCCTGGCCTGGCCTTTTTTGTTGTTGTTGGCTTTTCATAAGTAAGAAAAATTTATTGTAGTATTTCAAGACTGCAGAATTTCAAGTGTATATCTATAAATCTTTTTTTAAAATCTTCGGCTACACAGTAACATCAATTAAAACAGAAGAGTGAGTCTAAGTCTGTAATATGCTGTAGGACCAGATAAGATTTTGAATGAGACTAAACTTGACTGCCATATTTTAAGAGGAAATTGAAACTTTATGGTGGAGAATGGATGAGAGCAAGTCTATGATATATATGTAGTCATTGTATAATTAGAAACACCAAATGCTGAATCCTATCACTGTGTTCTTGGGGGCCAGGCCTTGGATTTGGTTGTCATTTAAACTCCTTGAAGATTATATGTAATTATAATGAGCAGAAGGCAAATAAAGTTTTTGAACAAAAGTCCTTGTTTTCAGTATTTAAAATTTGGTAATATATTTTCTTTTTCAGTTAAACTATCTTCCCCACAAAAAATATTATACTTCAGTTAAACTATCTTCCCCACAGAAATTATTATACTACGAACAAGTTATGAGTGAGACTGAGAAGCTTGAAGAAGCTGGTTTTTAAGCAGCTCATATAATATTTTGTGTTAAAGAAAGTGTCATTGTTTCCTGTTGGGAGGCAAATAACAACAACAACAAAAGAAATTGTCATGATTCTTTCTGAGCCAAACTGTCACGAAATGTTCTGTGACAGAACCACTACTCTTTTTTCTGCCATTCTGCCTACTGGAGAGTTCTATGTTGTATTTGTTTTTAATCCTTGATTTTAAAAATATTAATGGTTTTAGTGTTGCTTAGCTTCAGTTTGAAGTATAACTTTCACTAATAACTGCAATAAAAAGAAAAGCTTTGCTCTTAAACTTTCTCTTGTGTGGTCATCATTACAGCTCTTCAGACTAGGGAACGAGACCCATGTGATACAGTGGAAGGCACTTAAGCTTTAGTCATGAAGTCCTGGGTTCAAACCTTGATTATGTGACACTCTGAGCAAGTTCCTTGATGCTTCTAAATCTCAGTTTCCTCCAGTGTGAAAGGAGAAAGTAGAACTGTTGGAGCATTAAATGAGACAATGCATAGAATGTTTCCAGTGCTGGGCATGTGGCTGGAGCTCGGGTTTTTCAAAGACTGCCTACCTCCCCTCTACCCCACCCATTTTTCACCTTCTTAAATAAAAGACAGTGAGTGGAGTGAAAATGGGGAGACGACGCTAGGCTTCCAAACTTTGCCAGGAGGTGAAAGAATTAAGAATATGTAGGAAAAAAAGGAACCAAAATGAACTGGAGGAATCTTTACAGGCCCAAAAGTGGATAAACAGCCCCGGTATGCGATGCAAGAAAACACTGGACTAAGATTTTGGAAATCAGCTCTCAACCCTCTTTAACTGCATAATTTCAGGTATAGCTCTTCATTTTATAATTAAAGTTGTTGGACTAATACCAGAAGTTGCAAGTTGGCAGGCCAGTTTCAGTCTGCAAATAATTTTTAATTGTTTAAATTTTTTTCTTTCTTTTCTTTCTTTTTTTTTTTTTTTGAGATGGAGTCTCGTTCTGTCACTCAGGCTGGAGTGCAGTGGCGCGATCTCGGCTCACTGCTACCTCCACCTCCCGGGTTCAAGCGATTCTCCTGTCTCAGCCTCCTGAGTAGCTGGGATTACAGGCACATGCCACCACGCCTGGCTAATTTTTTGTATTTTTTGTAGAGACAGGATTTCACCATGTTGGTCAGGCTGGTCTTGAACTCCTGACCTCATTATCCGCCCACCTTGGCCTCCCAAACTGCTGGGATTATAGGCATGAGCCACCATGCCAGGCCAATTGTTTAAAATTTTTTAAGAGAGACAGTCTCACTCTGTCGCCCAGGTGGAAATGCAGTGTCAGGATCACAGCTCACCTCCTGGGCTCAAGGATCTTCCTGCCTCAGCTTCCCAAGTAGCTAAGACAACGGGTGTACACCACCACATTCGGATAGTTTTTAAAATTTTTGTAGAGATGGAGTCTCACTATGTTGACCAGGCTGGTCTGAAACTTCTGGCCTCAAGCAGTCCTCCCACCCCGGCCTCCCAAAGTGCTTGGATTACAAGCATGAGACACTGCACCTGGCCCAGATTTTATCTTCTCTTTAAAAATAAGAACCAAGTGTGGTGGCATCCCCCTGTAATCCTAGCTACTTGGGAAGCTGAGGCAGGAGGCCTGCTTGAGGCCAAGAGTTCGAAGCTACAGCAAGTTGCGATCATACCACTGTACTCCAGCCTGGACAAATGAGCGAGACCCTGTCTCCAAAACAAAAAATAGTAAGATACGCTAGAACCAAACAAATCACCAGTGACATTAGAGCTCAACTGCTTGAGACTTTCTTCAGAGCAAGGGTGCTCAGAACACCACACTTAAGCATCAGAAATGAGGTGGCAGTCTAAGGTAAAATTCTAAGTGTTTGTTGTTGTTGTTTTGAGACGGAGTCTTGCTCTGTCGCCCAGGCTGGAGTGCAGTGGCGTGATCTCTGCTCACCACAACCTCCACCTCCTGGGGTCAAGCGACTCTCTTGCCTCAGCCTCCAGAGTAGCTGGATTACAGGCGCCCGCCACCACGCCTGACTAATTTTTTGTATTTTTAGTAGAGACGGGGTTTCACCATGTTGGCCGGGTTGGTCTCGAACTCCTGACCTCAGGTGATCCACCTACCTTGGCTTCCAAAGTGCTGGGATTACAAGCGTGAGCCACTGTGCCTGGCCAGTGAGGGGCATACATCTGAATGTAGTTTTCATGTTTAATTTGTCTGGTTATTTGACAGATTTATCTCAGCTGCTGATACTTGCATACCTTGCTTATGTTTTCAGGAAATTAATTAGGTTGATGTGTCAATGCCAGGAAAGGATGTGTACGTTTTCACAATATTTGACTAAATGTTATGAAGGGAACTGAAATCTTTAGTTTTATCTATAGAAGAAAGATGACTGTTTTCCTGTCATTTCTGTTGCTTCCAGTTTCTACAGTCTATGAAGATCTTTATGATGCCTTTTTTTTTCTTTTCTTTTCTTTGAGACAGGGATTTGCTCTGTCACCCAGGCTGGAGTGCAGTGGCATGATCTTGGCTCACTGCAACCTACACCTCCTGGATTCAAGCAATTCTCATGCCCCAGCCTCCCAAGTAGCTGGGACTACAGGCGTGTGCCACCACACCCAGCTAATTTTTGTATTTTTAGTAGAAATGGGGTTTTGCCATGTTGGCTAGACTGGTCTTGAACTCCTGACCGCAAGTGATCCCCTTGCCTCAGCCTCCCAAAGTGCTGGGATTACAGGCGTGAGCCACCGCGCCCAGCTACAATGCCTTTATAAAGTAGTACTTTTCTTGTACTTTTCCCTATTAAAATATCTTTCTTGGGCTGGGTGCAGTGGCTCACACCTGTAATCCCAGCACTTTGGGAGGTCGAGGCAGGTAGATTGATTGAACTCAGGAGTTTGAGACCAGCCTGGGCAACATGATGACATCCCATCTCTACAAAAAATACAAAAAATTAGCTGGGCATGGTAGTGAACCTATAATCCCAGCTACTCGAGAGGCTGAGGTGAGAGGATCACTTGAGCTTGGGAGGCGGAGGTTGCAGTGCATGGAGGTTGCAGTGAGCTGAGATTGCGCCACTACACTCCAGTGTGGTGACAGAGCAAGACCCAGTCTCAAAAAAAGACTTTTTTTCTTAAGAATAACGCTGGGGTTCAAAATTTATAATTATAAACAAAACAGATACCTTAGTGGCTTAGTATCATGAAGTCCAATATGTTCAGTTCTCAACTGAAACAAAATTTTAATAGGCTTTGCTAAATGATTTTAAAAATAGGCCAATTCAAAAGTACCTGAGGCTGGGCATGGTGGCTCATGCCTGTAATCCCAGCACTTTGGGAGGCCAAGGTGGGTGGATTGTTTGAGTCCAGGAGTTCGAGACCACCCCAGACAACATGGTGAAACCCCGTCTCTACAAAAACTACAAAAATTAGCCAGGCATGGCGACATGCTCCTGTAGTCCCAGCTACATGGGAGACTGAGGTGGGAGGATCACTTGAGCACTTGAGCCCAGGACATGGAGGCTGCATGTGCCACTACACTTAAGCCTGGGTGACAGAGTGAGACCCAGTGTCAAAAACAAAACAAAAGCACTTGAAACTATTAAATGTATAATATTACTCTTCCTTTACTGTAACTATGTTGCTAAATAGAATTTGCATATTATATTCCAAAGCAAAAATAAAAAAAAAAAAACCATAGGAATGGTCTGATGCTGCACCAGACAGGATTTCAGTCAGCACCAGCATTCAGATGGTTTTCACATGTATTTTATACACATGTAAAATTAAGATTAACTGGCCAGGCGTCGTGGCTCACACCTGTAATCCCAGCACTTGGGAGGCCAAGGCGGGTGGATCACCTGAGGTCAGGAGTTCGAGACCAACCTGGGCAACGTGGTGAAACCCTGTCTCTACTAAAAATACAAAAATGTATTTGTATAATTATATTTGTATAAAAATACAAAAATGTATTTGTATTGTCTCTACTAAAAATATAAAAATGGCCGGGCACAGTGGCTCACGCCTGTAATCCCAGCACTTTGGGAGGCCGAAGCAGGCGGATCACGAGGTCAGGAGATCGAGATCATCCTGGCTAACACGGTGAAACCCCGTCTCTACTGAAAATACAAAAAAATTAGCCGGGCGTGGTGGTAGGCACCTGTAGTCCCAGCTACTCGGGAGGCTGAGGCAGGAGAATGGCATGAACCCAGGAGGTGGAGTTTGCAGTGAGCCGAGATCCCGCCACTGTACTCCAGCCTGGGCAACAGAGCGAGACTCAGTCTCAAAAAAAAAAAAAGAAAAGAAAAAGAAAAAAGAAAAAAAATTAGCCAAGCGTGGTGGTGCACACCTGTAGTCCCAGCTACTCAGGAGGCCGAGGCAGGAGAATTGCTTTTTGTAGTTTTTGTAGAGACAGGGTTTCACCATGTTGCCTGAGGCAGTCTCGAGAAGGCAGAGGTTGCAGTGAGCCAAGATCGCACCACTGCACTCCAGCCTCGGCGACACAGCGAGACTCTGTTTAAAAAAAAAAAAAAAGATTAACCATCTTTTTATATTTTGTTTTGTAAGTTTAATCTTAATTTTTTCCAATTTATATTTGTGCTTGTATAAAGATTTTAGACTATGAAAGTTTGCCATCTGTGGTATCCCTTTGAATCGTATTTAAAAATACATATTCATAGGTGCTATCTAGACCATTCATAAAACTATTACTGTTGTCTAAGATTCTTTAGATATTAATCTGAAAATCTGCACAAAAGTATATCACTTTACTGAATGCAGCAAAGTTACTTGCCATTTATTTTACCCTGAAGACTTTTCTTTCTTATGGAAAAAGAGTGGGTTTTGAAGATAAGAAGGGCAGATGGGGTGGTAGGAATCATTGTTTTAACCTCCAGAGCAAATCATCTGCAGCCGTGTAGTTGAAGTGGGCCGTTATTTCTCTGACTAGTATGCTATGCAAAATGAGTTAGCCTCACCCAAATCTCGGCCTTGACAATCTCAGCATGAATTTCTTTGGCCTGAGACAAGTACAGGACCAGCAGAAAAGCAAGCTGGAAAAAAGGTCAAAGTTAAGCAATTTCCTATGGAGTAATGAACAACAAAAAATGTCTGTGAGAGAGGTCAACTATTCCCAGTCACCTCCTGCTAAAAATATTATTAATATTTTAATAAAAATATTAATATTTTAATAAAAATATTAAAAATAATAATAATTAAACTCAACTCCCTTGGCAAACACTCACATAAAACCTTCAAATCTTCTACCAGACCTTGAAAGAGGGTTACTTGACTGTAAATAGCCAAGCCAGTCCCAATTTAAGACAGAATCCTTCTAATGTGACATTATATTGTTGTTGCTTGAAAAACATTTTCACGTGGACAGTTCTCACATTTCTTAAAATGGCAGTTTCCAGAGAGAAGGGTGGAGTTTGATTTAATAACAAACCTCAGGTCGGGCACAGTGGCTCATAATTCCAGCACTTTGGGAGGCCGAGGCACGCAGATCACTTAAGGCCAGGAGTTCGAGACCAGCCTGGCCAACATGGTGAAACCTATCTCTACTAAAAATACAAAAAAATTCGCCGGGCGTGTTGGTGCACACTTGTAATCTCGGCTACTAGGGAGGCTGAGGCAGGAGAATTGTTTGAGCCCTGGAGACAGGTTGCAGTGAGCCAAGATCACACCACTGCACTGCAGCCTGGGCAACAACACAGTGAGACTCTGTCTTAAAAATAACAACAGGCCAGGGCCGGGCACGGTGGCTCACGCCTGTAATCCCAACACTGGGAGGCCGAGGCGGGTGGATCACCTGAGGTCAGAAGTTCAAGACCAGCCTGGTCAACATGGTGAAACCCCGTCTCTACTAAATATACAAAAATTAGTTGGGCGTGGTGGCGGTCGCCTGTAATCCCAGCTACTCGGGAGGCTGAGGCAGGAGAATCGCTTGAAGGCAAAGGCAGGGGTTGCAGTGACCCGAGATCACACCGCTGCACTCCAGGCTGGGCCACAGAGCAAGACTCTATCTCAATAAATAAATAACAACAACAAAAAAATCCTCCACTTAAATCTTTGCTATAATTTGCCAAGTATGTTAGTAAGATGTTTAGGACTTTACATATGACAGAAGGAGGATAAAGGGGGAAAACGTCTTTAAATTTGTACTTTGTTTTTCCACTAAGAGGGAAGAAAGGCTGAAATGGAACAGATTTTACTAAAATTACAAAAATACTATTAGGGTGTTCAGCTTTGTATTTCTCCATTTTGGAAATGACTTGATATTTTAGCAGGCTCCTAAATAGAATGGGTGAATGAAATTATTATTTATCTTCTCAATTGTCTTTATACCTATTTTTCTCTTAGATTTAAAGTAAATGGAAAACAACCTCAAGTCAACAAAGTCAACACAGAAATAGGAAATACTATTTTGTTAGAGATTGGCTCCATGAAAGAAAAATAAGAAAAGATAACATATCTGAAATATTTCCAGATAAAAGGTAGTTAATAATCAAAGATAAATTGTAATCTGGTGTTTAACTGGTTTGTAATTTCTACAACTATCAGGAAGCGTAGTAAAAGAGCCAGGCGCAGTGGCTCACGTCTGTAATCCCAGCACTTTGGGAGGCTGAGGCGGGCGGATCACCTGAGGTCAGGAGTTCAACACCAGCCGGGCCAACATGGCGAAACCCCATCTCTACTAAAAATACAAAAATTAGCTGGGCTTGGTGGCGTGTGCCTGTAATCCCAGCTACTTGGGAAGCTGAGGTGGGAGAATCACTTGAACCTGGGAGGCGGAGGTTGCAGTGAGCCGAGATCATGCCACTCACTGCACTCCAGCCTGGGGGACAGAGTGAAACTCCGTCTTAAGAAAAAAAAAAAAAAAAAAAGCACGGTAAAAGAAAAAAACAAAAAGAAACATACTAGTGTATTCCAATAGGAGAGACGGATATGTAGTAGTACTAAGAAGTATGTATTTGCCTCTGAGCTTTGGAAGTGTACTCTAAACATAGGTATTTAAACTTCAGGGGACAAGATAATACAACTGCAAATGTACACTGCCCACAAAACAGACTGCAAATGTACACTGCCATAGAGGGATAATAATTATCTTCAGTGGCCAGGTGTGGGAATACCTTGTCAAGATATTATTTTTCGGCCGGGCACTGTGGCTAATGTCTGTAATCCCAGCACTTTGGGAGGTCAAAGGGGTGGATCACTTGAGATCAGGAGTTCAAGACCAGCCTGGCCAACATGGCAAAACCCCGTCCTTACTAAAAATACAAAAAGGTAGCCGGGCGTAGTGGCACACGCCTGTAGTCCCGGCTACTCAAGAGGCTGAGGCAGGAGAATCGCTTGAACCCAGGAGGCGGAGGTTGCAGTGAGCTGAGATTGTGTCACTGATCTCCAGTCTGAGCAACAGAGGGAGACCTTGCCTCAAAAGAAAAAGAAAAAAGATTATTTTTTGGCTGGGCGCAGTGGCTCACGCCTGTAATCCCAGCACTTTGGGAGGCCGAGGTGGGCGGATCATGAGGTCAGGAGATCAAGACCATCCTGGCTAACATGGTGAAACCCCATTTCTACTAAAAATACAAAAAAATTATCCAGGCCTGGTGGCAGGCGCCTGTAGTCCCCGCTTTTTGGGAGGCTGAGGCAGGAGAATGGCGTGAACCCAGGAGGCGGAGCTTGCAGTGAGCCAAGATTGCACCACTGCACTCCAGCCTGGGCAATAGAGTGAGACTCCATCTCAAAAAAAAAAAAAAAAAAAAGAAAAGAAAAAAGATTATTTTTCATATTAGAATAAGATCAGCTGACCAAATATTAATATTAACTAAGGTACTTTTAAACATTGTAAAACATTGTTCTGATTCGATGAAAGTTGTACTCTCTAAAGATTTTAATAATTGGACTTGAGGTAATCTATAACACTCGGGGAGAAAAATTAAGAACAGAGAAGATACATACCATAATACTTGACAGATTTTGAAAGCACTTAAAGCACTTATGGTCTCTTTTGGTGAAATCTCAATTACTTTAAAAAGCTATGAGTTTGCATTTTTCTGCTTCACATTTTTTTTTTCAAATTTCTTGCTTCATTGTCTATGTCTGTAGGATCCTTTTTAATCCCAGACAAAGCTGTATGGATAGTCAGGTACTTTAAATCTAAAGAGGGAAAGCAGCCGACTGAAGAATATGGCAACAAGACACATACCAGCCAGACACATCATCTTTCTCTTTCTGATGTTCATCGTAGAGGTGGCAGCCTTGTCTAACAGCACCATTCCCAGGCTAACACACATATTAAACAGGGAAATAATGAATGTTTCTGCTGCAAACTGAGCCTGACTAAATTTACTGATATAATGTTTATGTCCTGTGTGAGGGTCCCTTTGGACATATGGTTCTCCTCTTATATAAGTCCACATTTGACCAGACGTCATCACAATCACAAAGCACAGAGTTAAAACTTCGCACAAAATTCTGCAAGAAATAGATTTCCTATTCCATTTCAAGAAATACCCAAGTCCACCAATGAGAGCCAGAAGTATCCCTGGCTTGAGGAGACCATGATAATTTATTTGTAGGCTGTCTGATTCTGACGCTGACATGTGTTCTTTCTGCTACCCATTCAGCCATTTGGTCAGCAACAATATCCCTTCCTCTCAAATTATAAATGTCATCTGTTGTAAATTTCCATTGGGCAGAAAAGTGGAAGAAACTCGGAACTGACGTTACCTGGAGCGCTTCAAAGACCTCAGGGCTTTCATCATAATCCACCATTGCAAAAAATACCTTTGTGGTGAATGCACCAGGGCGTTGATAGGAATTTGCCAAGATCTGAAATTCTTCAGCAGCACCTTTGCACATGACACATGAACTGAACGCGTGGAGAGCAGCAGTAAGCATCACAATAACAGAATAGTTTTTTGGTGCATCTAATACAAAATGATAGAACATGGTGTCACTCATTCTTATCACTCTGTCTTTCTTGGTCCAACCCATCAGCTGGCTGACCTTTTTGGCCAACCCCTTCTTCCATCGGGAAGGATGTGTAGGAACCCCGGGAGCCACGAATAACAGGGCCACCACTATGGTCAAAAGTAGACGCCAAAGCCACCACACTTCTGCCATATTTGCTTACTTCTTTGTGTTATACCACTGTTGCAAAATATGTAAGCCAAAATTTGATCATTTCTTCCTGCAATTAATTTGTCCAAGATTTTTTTCTTTCTATCTTCTTCAATCCTGGTAAAGAGGCTATATCACAAATTCTTGTTCATGTCCAGTTTACAAGTCATATATTAGAGTTTACAAAATAACCTGTGGAAAAAAATACTCTGTAATGAAGGGAGTTTGGGAATTAGTGTTCTGGCTTCAGTCCTGCTGAACGACAGACTTGCAATTAACAAGTCAGGCCGGGCATGGTGGCTCACGCCTGTAATCCCAGTACTTTGGGAGGCCAAGCTGGGCAGATCACCTGAGTTTGAGTTTGAGACCAGCCTGGCCAACATGGTGAAACCCCGTCTCTACTAAAAATATAAAAATTAGCCAGGTGTGGTGGCGCATGCCTGTAGTCCCAGTTATTCGGGAGGCTGAGGCAGGAGAATCACTTGAACCCGGGAAGGAGAGGTTGCAGTGAGCCAAGATCATGCCACTGCACTCCAGCCTGGGCAACAGAGTAAGACTCTGTCAAAAAAAAAAAACCAAATAAAACAAAACAAAAAAAAACAACCCCAATGCCTGCTAGGCAGCAGCTGGATCCACTGTGTACACCTCAAACTGCTCAAAAACTGCTCAAAAGCCAACCTCATCCCCCAATTGCCTACCAAGCCCTTGCTTCTCTACTGTTCTTCCCATCCCCCCAGTGACGTTTTACAACTGAAGGACCCTTCTGGGACTTCTTTCCCCCTGGGCCCAACTGCCTGGGTTTCAATCCAGGCTGTACCACTTGTTAGTGATGTGACCTGGGCACGTCCTCACTGGCCTATGCCTCAGTCTCCCTGCCTATAAAGTGAAGATGGTAACAGTACCCACCTCATAGGATCCGGTTCAGCAGAGTCCTCAGAACAGGACCAGGCCTGCACACCTGTCTTCCTCTCTATCCCAGCCCCCCATGAGAGGCAGTGTGGAGCACAGCAGAGTGTCCTCTGGGTGGGGCCAGAACACCTGGGTTTCCCTCCCTGCTTTTTAGCAGTGTGTCTCTTTTGTTACCTAAGAAAGTGGGGACAATGCCCACCTCACCTATTAGTTGTGAAGATTAAATGTTAATATTTTTCCAACCCCTAGAAATACTAGGCAATACCAGACAATACAGTACTAGACAATAAGACAAACATGATTTTTTTTCCCTTCTTTTTTTAAAGAAATGGTTGAATATTGAGCATTGCTTCTCTGGTTTTTTTGTGTTTTGTTTTGTTTCATTTTGTTTTTTGAGACAGAGTCTCGTTCTGTTCCCCAGGCTGGAGTTCAGAGGCGTGTTATCAGCTCACTGCAACCTCCGCCTCCCAGGGTCAAGTAATTCTCCTGCCTCAGCCTCCCGAGTAGCTGGGATTATAGGCGTGTGCCACCAGAGCATTGCTTCTCATACCCCAGTTACCTCTCTCAGGGTTGTGCCCTCTCCAAACATGATTATCATCCCTTTATCATTCCTTGTATGACCTTCAAGATGGGCAAAGTTGTTGGGCAAGACAGAATAGAAGAAATGTTGTAAACAACATTAACTATCCATCCATTGCTGGAGGGGACCTGCTGGGGAGTGCACCTGATTTTAATTTTAATTAATTAATCTATTTTTTGAGATGGAGTCTCACTCTGTCACCCAGGCTGGAGTGCAGTGGCACCACCTCAGCTCACTGCAACCTCTGCCTCCAGGCTCAAGTGATTCTCCTGCCTTAGCCTCCCAAGTAGCTGGGATTACAGGCACCTGCCACCACACCTGGCTAATTTTTGTGTTTTTAGTAGAAACAGCGTTTTACCACGTTGGCCAGGCTGGTCTCCAACTCTTGACCTCAGGTGATCCACCTGCCTCAGCCTCCCAAAGTGTTGGTATTACAGGCGTGAGCCACCTTGCCTGGCCAAATTTTGTATTTTTTGTAGAGATGGGGTTTCGCCATGTTGCCCAGGCTGGTCTCCAACTCCTGGACTCAAGCGATCCACCTGGTCTCGGCCTCCCAGAGTGCTGGGATCTCAGGCCTGAGTCGCTGCGCCCAGCCTACTTTTTCTATGTACTGTTCGTTTGCTGGCAACTACTATGTTTCTGAGGCTGACCTCGAAATCCTAGCCTCAAGCGCTCCTCCCGCCTGGGTCTCTGGAGTAGCTGGGATTACAAGCGTGAGCCACTGCACTTGGTTTCGTATTTTCTATCATGTCTATGCATACCTTTATCAAAATAAAATTGTTTAGGCCGGGGCAGTGACACATCTGTAATCCCAGCATTTTGGGAGGTTGTGATGGGTGGATCGCCTGAGGCCAGGAGTTTGAGACCAGCCCGGGCAAAATGGTGAAACCCTGTCTCTACTAAAAATTTTTTTTTTAATTTAGCCAGGTGTGGTGGCACGCGCCTGTGGTCCCAGCTAACTCGGGAGGCTGAAGTGGGAGAATCGCTTCAGTCGGGGAGGTTCAGGCTGCAGTGAGCCGAGACTGAGCCACAGCACTCCAGCCTGGGCGACAGAGCGAGATCCTGTCTGAAAAGACAACAAATGTTCATTTAATTTGTAAATCAAGTGAAAGCGCTGCCCTGATGCCCCCCACCTCTCCCAGGCTCGGCCGGCCGCCCCTCGCCTACCCTAAAGGCCTCCGGGGACGCCGCCCGACGCCGCCGCGGTTGCCAAGCGAAGCGCCCAGGCCGCGTTGGCCGCGGGGGGTTGGGGGGGTAGGGGAGGGGTGGTTGCCTAGCAACCGGTGGTGCCAAACACTGGAGCTCAGAGCGGGGGGCGCGGAGAGCGAAGCGGGAAAGGAGGTAAGGGAGCTAGGGAAGCGGGGGCGCCCCCTTCCTCCGCGCTGGACCGGGGTACTGATCTAAACCAAAGGCGATCATCCTGCGGAGGGGAAGAAAGGGGTTTGACGGGGAACCGGACTGACCCCAGCTCTTCCCACGGGGCTCTCCCTGTCCGGCCTTCCCCTCCAACAGTAGGCGAGGGCGGAGGGGCGGGAGGGCGTGGCGGCTACCAGACGGGGAGGGGGCCGCCCCGGGGGCCGCCCCCCAGCTCCCCAGTGCCAACAGGCACGCGTCCCTGGAGACAGAACAGGGCTCCTGCCCTTAGATCCCCCACGGGGACTGGCCCGCAGCCTGGGGAAGAAAGGAAAGGAAGATCAACAAGGCATGGTTGGCTGGGGGCAGGTGTGGAAAATGCATTAAGGGCAATTTTTTTCTGCCATCCGCCTACCCCCCAGGCATTTGGCACTTCACACACACTTCGAGGCTTCCGGGACTCCATTATTCCTTTTTACCTGCTCCAGGACCTGCAAGGTCCAGGGGTTTGTGTCCGCCTGGGGACGGGAGGGAGGGAAACTTAGTTAATACCTCACACAAAGTTGAGTAAAGCAAGGGCTGTCTCCAAGCAGGCTTCCAGCAGGACAGGGCTCAGAGCAAAATGGACAGGAACAAGTCCTGCGCAGGGGGCGTGTGATCCAGGAGGTCTCCGGAAAGGTCTCCCGCAGCAGTGTTTTCCCTCTGCAGGTGGTGTCTGTGAACAGGCCTAGGGGTTTCTGACCCTTCTGGTTTCTGTGCCATGGCCACGCTGAGCGTCAAGCCAAGTCGGCGCTTCCAGCTGCCCGACTGGCACACTAACAGCTACCTGCTATCCACCAATGCCCAGCTGCAGCGAGATGCTTCCCATCAGATCCGCCAGGAGGCCCGGGTGCTCCGCAACGAGACCAACAACCAGGTTGGGGATGGGAACTCAGCTGGGTGGGCAAAGGGATAGCCCCCAACCCCTTGACACCCTCTCTATCTGGCTCTGTCTCTCTCAGACCATTTGGGATGAACATGACAACAGGACTCGACTGGTGGAGAGGATTGATACTGTCAACCGGTGGAAGGAGATGCTGGACAAGTGTCTGACAGATTTAGATGCCGAGATCGATGCCCTGACACAGGCAGGGATCCAGGACTGGGTGCCCGGGGGCTGCTGCCGAAACCTCCCCTCCTTCCCCACAGCTAGGTTGAGAAGCCCTTGATGGGGGGTCATGAGTGGCATGTCCATCCGAGTCACTGGCCCCCTGCTAAAGTGGGGACAAGCGCTACTTCCCCATGGATGGCCCCACCAGCACCCCCGCCCACTCTTTTCTTTTCTTTTTTTTTCTTTCTTTCTTTTCTTTTTTTTTTTTTTTTTTTTTTTTTGAGACAGCATCTGGATCTGTTGCCCAGGCTGGAGTGCAGTGGTGTGATCGTGGCTCACTGCAACCTCCGCCTCCTGGGCTCAAGCGATTCTCCTGCCTCAGCCTCCTGAGTAAAGTAGCTGGGACTACAGGCGTGCGCCATCACTCCCAGCTAATTTTTGTATTTTTAGTAGAGACGGGGTTTCACCATTTTGGCCAGGCTGTTCTCGAACTCCTGACCTCAAGTGTTCCATCCAACTCGGCCTCCCGAAGTGCTGGGATTACAGATGTGAGCCACCGTGCCCGGCCGCGCCCTCTTTTCTAGATGAAGGAGTCAGCAGAGCAAAACCTGCAGGCCAAGAACCTGCCTCTGGATGTGGCCATTGAGTGCCTGACCCTGCGGGAAAGCCGGCGAGACATTGATGTGGTGAAGGACCCTGTGGAGGATGAGCTGCATAAAGAGGTGGAGGTCATCGAGGCCACCAAGAAGGCCTTGCAACAGAAGGTCAGCCAGGCCTTCGAGCAGCTCTGGTAAGGGAGAGGCAGGTCGTCCGCATGTTCATGGGCCCCTGGAGGCTGTGTGCCTTCAATGTGGAACACAGGTATTGTGGATGAGGAGCAACTGGCTCTCGTGCTACATTTTGGCCCTCTGGTGCCTGTGACAGAAACCACTAATCAATTGTAGCACTCTTCCCACTGCCTGGACATGGGCTCAGAATACTTCTCACGACCCTGCCCTGGGCAGCCGGTATCCACTGATTGGAAGCATGAGAGGTGACACCCATTTGCCACCACCCCTGAGTAGCTCCTGTGAGTGTGTGTGTATGAGCCTTTGTGAGCGCAGCTACATCCGTGTGCCCCGCAGGTGTATAGGGCTCATGGGGGTCAGCATTTCCACTCGATTTTCATCCTGCGGGTGTGTAGGACGCGTGGGGTCAGCATTTTCATCCGATTTTCATCCTGCGGGTGTGTAGGGCACGTGGGGGCAGCATTTTTATCCTACGGTGTGTAGGGCATGTGGGGGCAGCATTTTCATCCAGCTGTGCTGCTCTTGGTCTCAGTGGCTGAAGCTCCATTGTCTTCTGCTGGGAAGGGTCACCCCAGCCTCCTCTTCCTGTGGTGTCCCTTTAGTACAGTGAGGCCTGCCTCTGGCCCTTGGGGGATGGTCCTGATGGAGTCTGCGCTTTCCCCAGCCTCTTGCAGGAAGTCCAACAGCAGCTCAACTCCGACCATCGGGGCAAAATGGAGACACTAGAGATCGACAGAGGCTGTCTCTCTCTCAACCTCAGATCCCCAAACATCTCGCTGAAGGTTGACCCCACACGTGTACCTGATGGGTAAGAAGAGTGTTTCAGCCAGTCTCTTCTCCTCCCCTCCCAGGCCACACCCTCATGACCCCCATTTTCCCTGCCACCTGCAGCTCCACCACACTCCAGCAGTGGGATGACTTCAGTCGGTTCAACAAGGACCGAGCGGAGGCTGAGATGAAGGCAGCCACAGAGCTGAGGGAGGCCACTGCTCTAACTATTGCTGAGGTGACAGGCCACCCACAGCTAATGGATGGTCCCAGTGTGCGCTCAGCCCTTATCTTCTGTTCCCTGCTGTGCATGTGGCCCCCTGCCCCTCGCTTGAGTAATATCCTCAGGCAGCCCTGAGTGTAGACCCTCCCCTTGCCCTGTGTTTTCTCCTTCAGACCAACAACGAGCTTGAAGCCCAGAGAGTTGCAACGGAATTTGCCTTCAGGAAGCGGCTGCGGGAGATGGAGAAAGTGTACAGTGAGCTCAAGTGGCAAGAGAAGAATGTGAGCATCTCCAGGGGCCTGGACTTCCTGCTGTGGGATGAGAAGCCGCATGCCCCCGCCAGGAGGCACTGGACCAGGCATGCACGTGAGTCCAGCAGGTGGAAACCAGTCACTCTGTCCCCTGCAGACCTTGGAGGAGATCGCTGAGCTGCAGGAGGACATCCGGCACCTGGAGGAGGATCTGCGCACAAAGCTCCTGAGCCTGAAGCTGTCCCATACCCGGCTAGAGGCCAGAACCTACCGGCCCAACGTGGAACTCTGCCGGGACCAGGTGAGAGGGTGTCCCAGTGGCGCACGGGCCCCCTAGCCAAGGTTTTCTCATATTCCTGATGGAGCAAGGGCACTGCTGTCAAGGGGCAGCACTCAGGTAAAGGACAGTGTGGCTGACTTGGAACTCCCAACCCCTCTGCCTCCAGGCACAGTACGGCCTCACCGACGAGGTTCACCAGCTAGAGGCAACCATCGCTGCCCTGAAGCAGAAGCTGGCGCAAGCACAGTAGGTCTCGGGAGTGGGCGGAAGGAGCAGTGAGACGCTGCCCACAAATGGGGCCTCTTGCTGGCTGCTGGCTCCCTGGGGCTGTCTTCCTGACTGAAGGCTATGCACGCAGCCCAGGCCTCCCAGCCTCATGGGGGCTGGGGGGTTGTCAATGTCCTTCCCTAGGGACGCACTGGACGCCCTGTGCAAGCACCTGGCCCGGCTGCAGGCTGACATTGCCTGCAAGGCCAACTCCATGCTGCTGGACACCAAGTGCATGGACACACGGCGCAAGCTGACCGTGCCTGCTGAGAGGTTCGTGCCTGAGGTGGACACCTTCACACGTACCACAAATAGCACCCTGAGTCCACTCAAAAGCTGCCAGCTGGAGCTGGCCTAGCCTTGGAGGACTGCAGGAGGAGGGCAGGGTTGGGTGGGCAATGGAAGGAGGGAGGAGAGAAATGAATGGAATAAATGCAGAGGATCTCAGGCCGGCTGTTCTCTGCCCCACTGTATGTAGCCAGCAGGGAGAGGGTTCTTGAACACCCTCCTGTCTATGGAGGAGCAAAGATGGGGAACACTATTCCTCCGAACTCCATGTACCAAATCCAGTTCTTTCCCTCCCCTCAGGGCACCCCTCTCTGGGCTGGGTCAGCACTCCTGGGCTGCAGCAGCGCGGCCTCTACCTGGCTGTGTCCCAGTTGGCCCCTGGTCCGCCCTCCTGATGCTTAAGGGAGGCCCACAGGGGGCAAGGGCCCGGTGGGAGGGCTTGGGGGTGGTCCCGGCCTCGGTGGGGAGGGCCGGCTGGGGGTGCGGAGTTAGGGTTGCTCGCCTGCGGAAGGCAGTGTGGGCTGCAGTGATCCAATGGTCTGGCTCAGTGCCCATCCCCCGGAGACCCCATAGTGGCCTTCCCACCCAGTTAGCCCAGTGGTGAGGAGCGGAAAACCGAGACTCAAAGCACAGGCTGGCGGGAAGTGCGCGGCGCCGCGACTCCGGGCCGCTGGGCGGCGCTGTGGGCCTGGCGGCGGAGTGGAAACTCTAGGCCCCAGGGAGCGCTGCGGACGGAAGTAGGGAAACTGTGAGGGCGGCACCGGAAGTGGCGAGCAGTCTGCGCGCGGATGGCCGCAGCGGCGATGGCGGCAGCGGCAGGTGGAGGGGCTGGCGCGGCCCGCTCCCTCTCGCGCTTCCGAGGCTGCCTGGCTGGCGCGCTGCTCGGGGACTGCGTGGGCTCCTTCTACGAGGCCCACGACACCGTCGACCTGACGTCAGTCCTGCGTCATGTCCAGAGTCTGGAGCCGGACCCCGGCACGCCCGGGAGTGAGCGGACAGGTGGGCGGGGCCGGGCGCAAGTCAGAGGCCGTGCGGGAGGGAGGCCGAAGGGGCGCGGAGCCTCCGGGGGCGACGGGTCGGGGGTGCGCGGGGATGAGGCTGCCGAGGGCACCGGGGCCAGAGCCGGATGACCCGCAGACAGCTTGAGCTCAGCGAGTGCCAGTGCGATCTCCGGCCTTATAGACGTCTCGCCCCGAACATCCCGTGCTCGGGGCGTGGCAGCACCGGGGCCTCAACCGTGCAGGGTGTGGATAAACCCATCGTAAGTTGAAAATACCTGAAGTGGAAAGTGCGCTTTCAGCTTAGACGACCGTTTTATCTGGACGCAGCCCCATCGGACGTCGAGGAGCCTATGAATGCGTATCAGCGTTATCAGAAAGCCGAAAAAAACTTAAGTTGAACCATCCTAAGTCGGGGACTGTCTGTCCACCCTTGCCGACTTGACCTCTTTTTCCCGGTTCTCTAGAGTCAGTATACCACCAGCCCGTTCTCCACCCCGCAAGGCGTGCTTTGGAAGCCTGACTCTAATCGCGTCCTCCCCTGCCTAAAACCCTGCTGTGATTTCCCATTACCCTTAGTACAGAGCCACATTCCTTAACGTGTCCGACGTGGTCCGGCCCTCCCACACGTCTGCAGTTTCGTTTTCCGCCAGCCTTGGCCTTGCTTTCTGCTCTTCGGTTCCTCACACCATGATTCCTCTAGGCCAGGCGTTTGCATGCGCTGTCTCGCCTGTAAAACTAACTTCCCTTCCCTTGTGGGCTCAGATCCCGGCTCAGGTAGCAGGTGTGAGGTCAAGCAGAGGAGGTGAATCTTCTTGGAGAGCAGGTAGCATAGTAAGAAGAAAGGGCCATGGTCAGAACCCTGGAGAACACCGGTAATTAAGAGGGAGGGAGGGAGGGAAGGGGATTAGGGAAGGAAACAGTTTGATAGGAGGAGAAGCAGGAGTGGCTATCAACGAAACCTAGGAAAAGAATTTCAAAATGAAGACACTGATCACTGGTGGTGTGCTCCAGAGAAGTGAAGTAGGAGGAGATCTGGATCCAGAAACTATCATTTTCAATCTGGGTATGGTGGCGCACACCTATAATCCCAGCTACTCCAGAGACTGAGGTGGAAGGATCATCGCTTAAGTCCAGGAGTTCGAGACTAGCCTGGGCAACATGGCAAGATCCTGTCTATAAAAAAGAAAAACAAAACAAAAACAAAAAGACTGGAGCTGCAAGGATGGCAGCCACAAGGGGATGGAAGTTTTCTTTCAGAAATCAGAAGATCAAACCATGATGTAGGCTCATAATAAATAAATACATAAAATAGAAAGCAGCAGGACTGACTTGGAATAAAGAATTGCTGAAAATCCCATTGCTGAGATCCTAAGGCTTCCCAGGCCCACGAAAGTGAATGGGAGTGAGAAACTGATTTGAGGTCATTTTAGATGTGGTAACTCTGAAACATGAGTAGAGGCTGGGTGCCGTAGCCACAACTGTAATCCCAGCGCTTTGGGAGAGTCCACTTGAGCCCAAGAGTTTGAGACCAGCCTGGCAACAGGATGAAACTCCATCTCTACAAAAAAAAAAAAAAAAAAAAAAAAAAGCCAGGCGCAGTGGTGTGCACCTGTAGTCCCAGCTACTCGGGAGGCTGGGGCAAGAGGCTCCTTGAGCCTGGGAGGTCGAGATGGAGTGAGCCATGGTCGTACCACTGCACTGCAGCTTAGGCAACAGAGTGAGACCCTGTACCAAAAAAATAATAATATAAACTAAAATAAAAGGTGAGCAGGGCCAGGCACAGTGGCTCAGGCCTATAATCCCAGCTCTTTGGGAGGCCAAGGCAGGAGGATTGCTTGAGCCCAGGAATTCAAGACCAGTCTGGACAACAGAGTGAGACCCTGTCTCTACAAAAAAATAAAAGTAGCTGGGTGTGATGATGCATGCCTATAGTCCCAGCTACTTGAGAGGCTGAGGCAGAAGGATAGCTTGAGCCCAGGAGTTCAAGACTGCAGTGAGCCATGATTGCACCAGTGCACTCCAGTCTGGGCAACAGAGCGAGACTCTGTCTCCAAAAAAAGCAAAAAACAACAACAAAAAAAACAAAGGTGAGCAGGAGGCTCTCATCCTCCCTCCTCTCCCCACAGAAGCCTTGTACTACACAGATGACACAGCCATGGCCAGGGCCCTGGTGCAGTCCCTGCTAGCCAAGGAGGCCTTTGACGAGGTGGACATGGCTCACAGGTGAGGGGGATGGTCCTGGGCTGAGGCAAACCAGGTGGGAAAGTTATTGCACCCCTTGACCAGAGGAATGACATTTGTGCATGTCCACGCCCCCAACCCTCCACAGAAGCCTGTGTCAGGCTGGCACAGCTTCCCAAGCTAAAACAGCAGCACTGCTGGTGCAGGCTCCTTAGGCCCCCGAGGCTTTCTCTTTTTCCAAACTAGCCTCGATTTCTTCTCTCCCAACCCTTAGAGGCATCTTGTAAATCTGAATTCTGTCTCCCCTTCTGTTCCCTAGATTTGCTCAGGAGTACAAGAAAGACCCTGACAGGGGCTATGGTGCTGGAGTAGTCACTGTCTTCAAGAAGCTCCTGAACCCCAAATGTCGCGATGTCTTTGAGCCTGCCCGGGCCCAGTTTAACGGGAAAGGCTCCTATGGCAATGGAGGTGCCATGCGGGTGGCTGGCATCTCCCTGGCCTATAGCAGTGTCCAGGATGTGCAGAAGGTATTCAGGGCGGGCTGGCTTCTGGGCTGTCCCCTTCCTCTTCTGCAGCAGGGCTTCTGTGACAGCAGGTCTCCTCCTCCCTAGTTTGCCCGGCTCTCGGCCCAGCTGACACACGCCTCCTCCCTGGGTTACAATGGCGCCATCCTGCAGGCCCTGGCTGTGCACCTGGCCTTGCAGGGCGAGTCTTCCAGCGAGCACTTTCTCAAGCAACTCCTGGGCCACATGGAGGATCTGGAGGGTGATGCCCAGTCCGTCTTGGATGCCAGGGAGTGAGTATGGGGCTGGAGGTGTGTGGTGTGGGTATGTGGGTGATCCAGGGGGCCTCTGGCATTGCCGCAAACTGTAAACCTTCCTCAATTGCAGACCCTAGGGAGGCATGGGCAGAAGCCCCTTTATCTTGTCTATGTTTCAAGGCTCTCAGGGTCCCAGAGAACGAAACGACCTGCTCACCCCAGCCCTCTCCCACCTCTTGTCGGCACCTGTGCCTGGCTGCC
This sequence comes from Homo sapiens, assembly GCF_000001405.40. Lineage (NCBI taxonomy): Eukaryota > Metazoa > Chordata > Mammalia > Primates > Hominidae > Homo > Homo sapiens. The sequence continues at coordinate 36,092,320 of NC_000001.11, forward strand.
AGCCTGACCACATCCCTGCTCGTTCTCACATGCAGCCCTCTCCCCTGCCCGCGCCACCACCCTGCTAGCTCTGACCTCCCTGAAATCTCCCCTAAACCACAGGTTGGGCATGGAGGAGCGTCCATACTCCAGCCGCCTGAAGAAGATTGGAGAGCTTCTAGACCAGGCATCGGTGACCAGGGAGGAAGTGGTGTCTGAGCTAGGTGAGTGGGTCTGCCTGGGATTGTCTCTCCCTCTGTCGTCCTTCAGGGTCGGTCTTGGGCTCAGGGGAGCATGGAGTCATGCCTGCCGTCGCATTGTACCCTGGGCTGCTGTGACACGGAGTCAATGGCAGGGTTGAGCTCAGCGCTTCTTGCTCTGAAGCTACAGCACCCTCAGCCTTGTGGACCAGTGTCCCCAGAAATGGCAGCTGGCCACTAGTCGTAAAAATGTTGATAATGGATTTTATTTGTCTAGCATCTATACTGGGCGTTGTGCAGAATGCTTCACAGACACGATCTCGCTTCATCCTCACAACAGCCCTGTCAGAGAGTTGCTAACGTTACTCCCTGTCTGCTTAAGGAGTTGAATCTGGGAGCAGGAAGCTTAGCGGTCCCCTAGGTAACTCTCCCAGTCACGCAGCCAGTGTGTGGTGGAGCCAGGATTTGAGCCCAGGTGGTCTAACTGTAGAGCCTGAGATCTTAGTCACAGCCTGCTTGAAGCCGAGAGTGCTGACTTGTGTCAAATGGTAGGAGGCCTGGGGAAGCATGCAGCCCCTCTAACCTGGCTTCCCCACAGGGAATGGCATTGCTGCCTTTGAGTCGGTACCCACCGCCATCTACTGCTTCCTACGCTGCATGGAGCCAGACCCTGAGATCCCTTCTGCCTTCAATAGCCTCCAAAGGACTCTCATTTATTCCATCTCACTTGGTGGGGACACAGACACCATTGCCACCATGGCTGGGGCCATTGCTGGTGCCTACTATGGGATGGATCAGGTGCCAGAGAGCTGGCAGCAAAGCTGTGAAGGCTACGAGGAGACAGACATCCTGGCCCAAAGCCTGCACCGTGTCTTCCAGAAGAGTTGATGAGGGCTACAGCTGTTGGGGCTCTGCCAGGTCCCCTGGGACCAACTACAGCTCCAATCAGAAACCCTGCGCTTCCTTGAGTGTGGCTTCCCACTTTTCCTGCATTGTGGAGCTGACTGAGTACACCGGTGAGGCTGGGGTCTCTGCAGGGGAGGTCACTGGAACAGCGAGCAAGGGACTGGTGCCTCGCTGGTGCTGGGTCTCTGGTTTGCTGCAGAGCCGTAGGACACTCCTGGCTCCTCAGTAGGACAGACAGACGCAGGCGGGTTTATTTTGGAGGGGTACTTGTGGCATTTTCCTGTATTGTCTTGGACATGGGATGTGGGGAGGTGGAAATGATGAGCAGTAGCATCATTTCTCCCTGTTGGGTTTTAGCCAGTTTGCCAGCAAGCGCATCCTAGCAGGGTCCCCGAGCAGCAGGTTGTGTGGATGAAGGGACAGGCACTTGCATCCAGCTGATCTAGGTCACACCTGGCTCTTGGCTGCCATGTGGCTTATTAACAGCTTCCAGTGGAAGTCGCAATAAACAGTTTTTGGTAAATCTCACCACTGTTTCTTGTTTCTCCTGCCCTGAATGGATTCTCCCCTGCCAGCCTGATCTCTGAAGACTAGTGCCTTTGTCTGTGCTGCACTGTCATAGAAGCTGGGGCCCCAAGGCCATGAGCTGCTGTGTTGCCAGGCACTCCAGCTGGCTGCGTGTTCAGCCAGGAAGGGCACAGCAGGCATGGTCTGGTGGCTTTTCCTGTTAGAGATCACTCAAAGTGGCCCAGGCTGCTGGGCCGAGTGCTTTGCCAGAGGCAGCGGGTAGGAACAAGCCAGATTTTTCTGTTCTCAGAGCCTGACTTCCCCAAACAGGAGCTAGGCCCAGCTGGGCCAGGAACAGGAACCCTGTAGAAGGATCCAGAGGGCCCTGCTATCATCAGACTACCAACCTTTGGGTGGGGAGGGCACCATCACGGGGCCCCGGGTGGACTGAGTGCCGTGTGCCTCCTCCTGTATCTTGGGACCAATCAAAAGCCTTTCCCTGCAAGGAAGTTTTACACAGCATGTTTTTAGAGATGGGGTCTCACTCTATTGCACAGGCGATCCTCCCACATGGGTTCCCAAGTATCTGAGACTAGCATCCATTCTGAAGAAGGGAAAATTGAAAGGGGGAAGATGCCTCCCCTCAAACTCCAGGGACATTCTCTGAGCATCCAGCCTCAGTGGCTAGCCGAGCATGTGCAGTCTGCAGCTGCCCTGCGGTTTCAGCACTCTCGGGCAGATCTGTTTTAGTGAAGATAGGGTTCTGGCTAGGCTGAGGACTCTTCAAAACACAGATTGCTTCAGGTCTGCCACCCAGACCCCCAGCGCCAGGGACAGATCTTTCGTGGCTGAGCATGGCAGGCTGTGAGCAGGTGCTTTCCGCCCAGGACAGCTCCCCCAGCCTGTCTTCAGCACTGGGCCTGACACTAGCCCAGCCCTTAGGAGCAAAGATTCATGATTTCATTCATAATTTGTATCAGATGTTGAAACTTGGCCCTCGGACTACTGAGCCAGCTGTCATGCTCCACTAGCCCTGAGAGCTTGCAGGAATATTCCAGTAAAGATTGAGCCATCGCCCCCAGCTCCAGCCACTACCTGCCTTTGGTTTCTTAAAATGCCTCCTGGCATTTGCCTGGCGCATGGCCTCAGCAGCTTACGAGCATCAGGCATTTGTGATGTGGTGGTGACAGAAATCCAGGTTAGGGAGCTGGTGAGGAGTGCATGATCCTTAAGAGCAGGCACACAAGCCCCAGAGAGCTTCCTGGACACCTTACAGAACCCAGAGGCTTGAGATACCTCTGTGTCAGTATCAGTTTCAGCACAGTGCTGTTTTATACAACAGGTTTTATTGAGGATGTGTCAATACAGTTAACATGGTTGCTTGTCTTTTCAAAAAGAAGTTCCATTTTCTTTGATTCCCAAGTGCATTTTTCCTGAATCTTCTGTGATACAGGGCACATGATAGGTATGTAGAGAGCTAAGCTTCCTATACCAAGTTAGAAGTGAAATGACTAGTGGAAAACATTTAAACTTTAATCTTAAAAAAAAAATAGGAATCAATATAAAAATGCACAAGGTAATGTCGTTTTCATAGTTAAAATCTGACATTGTTTATCAAAGCTAGTCAGTTAAGTGGACACCTGCAACTCAAATCCCATAAACATTTTAGAAACGCCAACCACCCCTCCTGAAAGGTTTGAGGAATGAAATTTGGCAGAAGCTCAGCTCTGTGAAATAGCTCCCGTTTTTTTTCTTGGGACCCTACTTAGTTCCGTGGGCTCCCATTGGGAGCTGATTAATTTCTGCCAATCAGAACCCATCCCTAACACATCAGATGATAGTGGCTTTGACCTAGGGAAGAAGAGGTTGAGCGAAGAACCCCCACCAGGTATGGTTTGAGAGTCCTTAGTTGGTTTTCTTGGGCGTTAGGTAGTAAGAAATCCACCAGGAACCCCAGCCAAAACCTTCTCAAGTGTCACTTGGGCAGATTTGGGTTATCATTCCTCCTTTTGAAGAAGTGAGCAAACAGCCTGCTTTGTTTGGAGAAGTTGTGGGCAGGGGAGGAGGGTTGGCAAGGAACCTGAAGGAACCCACTGCTCAGCCAGTCAGAAGTCAGCAGCCATCCTCCATTTTCAACATGGACCGCCTGGACACAGCCAGACTTGGAGCAGTGCAACGAGATCACAGACCGAATGACCCCAGTTCACACTTGGTACAAGGAGTGGGGCTGGCCTGGCGAGGGCCGAGCGCGAGGCCCTGCAGCTGCGGGGAAAGTGGCCATCTTTGCACGAGCAGGAATGTCCACCACTCCCAGCACTCATCTCAGCCTTATCCACTCCGCTTGACGTAGGGACTGAGGGGTTGGGAGGGGCATCCTGCCTGTTTCCTGCAGAGGAGCTCTGATCGGGGAACAGGGCAGAAACGTCCAGAGCCAACTCATTCCCAAGGGACCTGTTGGCACCCTTTCTCTCCCAGCCTTAGCCTCCTGGGCCCTAGTCCTGCTTAGAACAGGAAATTGGAACCAGAGGGTGGAAGGAGAGGAAGCCCCCACAGATGAACCCCTCTTGTACACACATACACCCACCATATGGTTCTTATTAAGGAAAAGGAAGTGGGAGCCGTCTTCATCCCCCAGCTCGCGTGCACCTTGTTCAGAGGGCCAAACGAGAGGTGCTCTGCCTTGGGGATACCTGGCTGGGGTGACAAGGATCCTCTTACAATTTTGTATTGAGAAAACCAGCCCAGCCCGCAGCAGGTGGAAGGGGAGAAAGGGAAGAGTGCTCATGTTTGCTGATGGTCGATTCTGCCTCCGCCACCATCTGCACTAGATACTTCTAGACACTTCACAGAGGTTGATCTTTCTGGCCTGTAGGTGTCCCAGGGGCCTCTGTGCTGCCCTCAAGCTAAACAGCCAGAGCTGGCGGGGGCAGCCCGGGAGAGACAGGGATGAACGTGAAGAGCTGCCTCCTGCCCCAGGTCTGTGCCCCAAGCCCTCACAAACTGCCTTCCCCATGGCTGCCACTGGAGCAGTGAAAGGGAGGTTGCCCTTTCCCAGGGCAACAGGCACTGTGCCCACCACGGACATGTCTGATGCCACAGCATCACCATGGGGGCTGCAGTCCTGGCAGGGTGTCCACACTCGCCACCTCGATGGTCCCCTCTTCTCCCTTCCCCTTGGAGGAAAACCCCACAGTCCTTAGTCCACTGTCATATGCTGGAGGTCCCAGGGGGAGCTGGAGGAGCCCCAGCCAAGGGCTGTGAGGGAGGCCGTGCCCCTTTCCTCCAGCAGGTGCCATCAGGGAGCCAGTGGGAAGGGCTGTCTCCCCACGTGGCGGGGTGGGGAGTTGAGCTCCCTCTCAGCTCCTTCAGGGCCCAGCAGAGGCCAGGACTCACAAGGGGCTGGGCTGTGTGCCTCAGGGCCTATGGGGTGCAGCCCTGACACTGCACAGACATTTGGGGGAAAGAAACTCAGGCCAGCCCCTTCCAGAAACAATCTCAGCCTGCATGCAGGGAGAAAGCAAGTTAGTCTCCTCGGGCCAAGGCCACGGCCGCCTCTGTTCAGCTTTTGTTTTTTTTTCCAGGAGGTTCTTTGTAATTGAAAAGGTCGCTCTACCACTAAAGGGGAGGAGGCCAGGGCAGCAGGACCCCCCCCGCGGGTTATGTGGGGCAGAGCAAGAATCCTGAAAAGGAGGAGTGGATGTACTCCGTGGAGTAGAGGCCGTTGGCCTGGTCCGACGGCATCTGCACCCAGACCTGGTCGTTGGGCCGCAGCTGGAGCACGGCCCCACCAGATGCCTGGTCCAGGTAGCCCTTCTTGTACTCATCGTAGGTATAGGTGGCCGGCACGTTGTTCTTGTACAGGGCCACCCACACGTTGGTGCCCTTGACGTGCACATGGTAAGCAAAGTAGTAGACGCCGCCCACAGGGCAGGTGAAGATGCCAGTGGCTGGGTTGTAGCCGCTGTGGCCATTGTAGAGAGTCCGGTCAAATTTCACGGGCATGCCCGAGGCGGGGAAGGGCGAGGTGAGCACCGCAGTGAAGGCCGGTGTGGCATGGGCAGACAGCTCGCCCAGCCCAAACTGTGGCTTGCCCCCCTTGCCCAGCACGGCACCCTCCACACCGCCGTTGGGCAGGTGCAAGCCTGCGATGCCAGTCTCATCGAAGGCCCCAGGGGCACCAGGGGGTCCCGGGGGCCCGGGAGGCCCCGGAGGGCCCGTGATTCCAGGGGAGCCAGGGACCCCTGGGGGCCCCGTGGGCCCAGCCGTGCCAGGTTCCCCTGCTCTCCCCTCTCCAGGGGGCCCTGGCAGGCCTGGTTCCCCCTTCAGGCCCGGCAGGCCTTGGGGCCCAATAGGGCCAGCTGGACCCTGGAGTCCTGGGATTCCTGAGGGACCCCTCAGGCCAGGCTGCCCAGGGAGCCCCAAGTCACCTTTCTGCCCCAGGGCTCCTGCCACCCCTGGTCCTCCAGGGCGACCCGTGAAACCCGGCTCACCCTTGGGCCCAGTTGGTCCAGGGGGTCCATGGGCCCCAGGAAGTCCCCTCTCACCTGGGACCCCTGGTTTCCCAGCCAGGCCACTAGGCCCCTGGTCACCTCGAATGCCAGGCACTCCTGGGGGTCCTCCAGGCCCTGCCTCACCCTTAGGCCCAGGGGGCCCACGTCTGCCAGGAAGCCCTGCAGACCCAGGAAGTCCAGGGGGACCCCCAAGACCCTGTGGGCCCTGCTCCCCTGGCTCCCCATCCTCCCCTGGCTCACCCCTGTCCCCCAAGAGTCCTGGGACCCCAGCTGGGCCCCTGTCCCCCTTGGGGCCTGGCAGTCCTGGCATCCCATAGCCAGTGGGGCCTATCAGCCCAGGGGGGCCCCGGGTCCCTGGCTCCCCTTTGGCCCCTGATGGGCCCTGTGGTCCTGGCAACCCTGCTGCCCCTGGGACTCCCACACCGTCTACTCCAGGAGGTCCTTTTGGGCCCACAGCTCCTGGCTCCCCCCTGGGGCCTGGAACTCCAGGAGGCCCAGACTCACCCTTGTCTCCTGGGGCCCCAGGAAGCCCATCCAAACCAGGTTTGCCTAAGCCAGCTGGACCAGGGAGGCCGGGGGGGCCGGGGGCACCCCCCTGCCCTGGGGCCCCAGGCAGCCCGGGCTGGCCCACTCCATTATCCCCCTTGAGGCCTCGATCACCTGGGGGCCCAGGCTCCCCCTGGGGCCCTGGTTCCCCCTGGAATCCTGGGGGCCCTGGCACCCCTTGGGCACCTGGTTTTCCAGGGATAGTAATGCCTGAGGGGCCCGGGAGGCCAGGGGGTCCTGGGGGTCCCCGGAGGCCCTGGTCCCCTCGTATTCCTGGCTCCCCCCGAAGCCCCGGCTGCCCTGGTGGCCCGACCTTGCCAGGGAGCCCTGGGGGACCAGCCTTGCCCATCCGGGAGAAGCCAGGGGGCCCAGCAGGGCCAGGCTGCCCATGGAGTCCTGGCTTTCCCATGCCTGGTTTTCCTGGGAAGCCAGGGGGGCCAGGGGGACCCCGAGGCCCGGGCTTCCCAGGGGGGCCGGGCTCTCCCTTCAGGTCCATCGGCAGCAGCGGTAGAGGCATTTCTGAGAAAGAAAGAGAAAGGGGCAGTCAGGGGCCTGAACTGTGGGGACAGGGGACCCCATCTACCCATTCCCCCATTCCAGTATGAGGTACACGGGAGAGGAAGAATGGGGCTGCCCCTTCCTGCTCTCATGGAAGATGGGGTTTGGGGGTGGCCCAGGGGACATCTTGGGGGCAACAGGGTGTCCTCCTTAAGGGCTCCTAACACCCAACCTACCTAGGCTGGGCCTCCTCCATGAGCCTGGCTGATTCTCACCTCTCATCCCTGCATGACCTGAAGGTGGAGTGGCCACCAGGTGGCACCAGCAGCCCACCTTAGAGCCCGTGGGAGCAGAGCCCCACCTCCCAACTTCCCAGTTCATCTCCCCCTTGGAAGACCACCTGTGCCAGCTAACTGCACCGTTTCCAGGCCCTCTGGGGTATTAGGAAAAACACTGAAGGTAGGAAAATTGGTGGGGAATGAGGAGCTGTGGAGGGCGCCTGAGGATCTGATGGCTCTCAGGGAGGCAGGGGATTTGGGGGCTGGGAGCGATTTGAGGCACTGTGGGGTGAGGAGGCTCTCACCCAGGTACTGGCCTTTGCCCTCACGGAAGGGCGGTCCCACAGGTCCTTTCTGCATGGGCTGGATGTACTTCACTGGGGCATAGCCCGCCGCCCCACCGGCCCCGCCACCAGAGGACGCCCGCGGCCCACACCCCAGCACCAGCACCAGTAGCAGCAGCAGCAGCGAAGACAGGGGTGTCAGAGTCCCCAGCATGGCGTCCGTGGACGTGCTGCAAAGAAGAACAGAGAAAGTCATCAAGCCAGCCCTGGGTGGTTTGGCACTAGGCCCGGGGTCACCAAAAGATCAGAATTTAGAGATTACACTGGAGATTTCAGTCAAAAGGCTGAGAAGCAATTCCGAATTTAGATATTATTCACAAGCAATTTTCAAAGTCGCGGGGGTCTGCATAAGCCACCTCCTAAACTTCTTCAGACCCTGCCTGTGGCTGTTCATCACCCCCACCATCTCCGAGAGCCCAGCCTCCCCAGGACAGCAGCCTCCTCAAAACCAGCCAGTCACTCTCTGCAGCCGGGCGTGCCTTTTAGAGCAGTCTGACCTCCCCTGCTAAAAACTCTTGGATGTCAACACCCATTTCCATTGCTGGGCCAGCTCTCTGCCAGGCACTAGGCTGAGCTCTTTAGGGACATGAATTCACTTAATGCTCAGAACACTTTAACAAGTTATTATTATTGTCATCTCCATTTTCCAGATGATAAAACTAAAGCAAAAGTCTTGAGGAAGCCAGAGATGGGATTTGTCTTAGGTCTGTCTGACTGCACCTTCTGCTGATGCCCTTCTGGACTCCCTGCCACTCGCCTTTGGGATCAAGTCTATGGCGCTTAGCATAGCATTCAAGGCTTTTTTTTTTTTTTTTTTTTTTTTTTTTTTGAGACAGTTTTGCTCGCCCAGTGCAATGTGCAATGGCGCCATCCTGGCTCACTGCAAAATCTGCCTCCCGGGTTCAAGCGATTCTCGTGCCTTAGCCTCCCAAGTAGCTGGAATTATAGGTGTGTGCCACCACGCCTGGCTAATTCTTGTATTTTTAGTAGAGATGGAGTTTCGCCATGTTGGCCAGGCTGGTCTCGAACTCCTGACCTCAGGTGATCCGGCTGCCTCAGCCTCCCAAAGTGTTAGGATTACAGGCATGAGCCACCGCGCCCGGCCTGCATTCAAGGCCTTTCTAACCTACTCTGTGCCTGTGTCTCCAACTCTATTGCCTGCTATCCCTTTCTCTGCCCCTCACCTCCCCACACCTCCACCCAGTAAACCAGAACTTGAAGTTCCCAGGCACCGGGCACCTTAACACTTCTGGCCTTTGCGCCTGCTATTTCTCTGCCTGCAATGTTATTTTCCTCCTCTACTCATCTTTTATGGCCCTGGGAGGCTGTCATCCCTTCCTCTATAAAGCCTCATTTCTTTGTGCCCTGACCTATGCCTGTCACAGCATTTGGCTCAACTCAGAGAACAAAGCCTGGGTGAGGAAGAAGCACAGGCTCTGGAACCAGCCAGGCAGCCTTCCCCTTCCCCTTCCCAGCTGTGGGAGCCTGGGCAGGAGGTCTCCTCATCCATGAAATGAGAGAGGATGTCCACACAATAACCTATATGTGAATGTTCATAATAGCGATATTCACAGCAGCCAAAAGTAGAGACAACGCAAATGTCCATGGACAAATAAAATGTGGTATCGCCATACAATGGAATATTACTCGGCAATGAAAATGAATGAAGTACAGGCTGGGCATGGTGGTGTATACCTGTAGTCCCAGCTACTCAGGAGGCTGAGGTGGGAGGATCACTTGAGCCCTGAGTTTAAAACCAGCCTGGGCAACATAGCAAAACCCCAAATTTAAAAATATATCTATAAATAGGCTAAGCACAGCAGCTCACGCCTGTAATCTCAGTACTTTGGGAGGCAGAGGTGGGTGAATTGTCTGAGCCCAGGAGTTTGAGACCAGCCTGGGCAACCTGGTGAAACCCCATCTCTACAAAACAAACAAACAAAAAATTAGCTGGGTGTGGGCGTGCTGTGGTCCCAGCTACTCAGGAGGCTGAAGAGGGAGGATCACTTGAGCTCAGGAGGTGGAGGTTGCAGTGAGCTGCACTCCAGCCTGGGTGACAGAGGGAGACCTGGTCTCAAAATATATATATATAAAAGGAAGGAAGTCCTGACACCTGCTACAACACAGATGAATCTTGAAAACAGTGAAAAGTGAGATATGGAATGTACATGTTGTGTGATTCCATTTATATGAAATGGCCAGAATAGGCAAATCCATAGAGACAGAAAGTGGATCAGTGGTTGCCTAAGGCTGGGGTGGGGAAGAGATGGGAAGTGACGACTAATGGGCACAGCCTCGGCCTCCCGGGCTCAAGTAATCCTCCCACCTCAGCCTCCCAAGTAGCTGGGACCACAGGCACGTGCCACCATGCCTGGCTAATTTTTTCTATTTTATGTAAAGACAGGGTCTCACTGTGTTGCCTAGGCTGGTCTCAAACTCTTTTAGGGAAGATGAAAATGTTCAAAAATTGATTGTGGTGAAAATTGCACAGCTCTATGAACACAGTAAAAAAAAACACTGAATTGTACACTGAATGGGCCAATTGTATGATGTGTGAATTATATCTATAAAGCTGGTTTTTTGTTTTTTTTTTTTTTTTTTGAGATGGAGTCTTGTTCTGTTGCCCAGGCTGGAGTGCAGTGGTGCCATCTCAGCTCACTGCAACCTCTGCCTCCCAGGTTCAAGAGATTCTCCTGCCTCAGCTTCCTGAGTAGCTGGGATTACAGGGGCCTGCCACCACACCCAGCTAATTTTTTGTATTTATAGTAAAGATGGGGTTTCACCATGTTGGCCAGGCTGGTCTTGAACTCCTGACCTCTAGCGATCCGCCTGCCTCAGCCTCCCAAAGAGCAGGAATTACAGGCATGAGCCACTGCACCCAGCCTAAAGCTGTTATTTTATTTATTTTTTGGATACACAGTGTCACTCTGTTGCCCAGACTGGAATACAGTTGGCACAATCATGGCTCACTGCAGCCTCGGCCTCCCGGGCTCAAGTAATCCTCCCACCTCATCCTCCCAAGTAGCTGGGACAACAGGCACATGCCACCATGCCTATGTAAAGACAGGGTCTCACTGTGTTGCCTAGGCTGGTCTCAAACTCCTGGGCTCAAGCAATCCTCCCACCTTGGCCTCCAAAAGTTCTGGGATTATAGGCATGAGCCACCATGCCCAGCCAGAAAGTTTTTTTGATTTTGTTTTTTGAGACAGGGTCTTGCTCTGTTGCCCAGGCTGGAATGCAGTGGTGTGATCTCGGCTCACTGCAAGCTCCGCCTCCCAGGTTCACACCGTTCTCCTGCCTCAGCTTCCCAAGTAGCTGGGACTACAGGCGCCCGCCAACACGCCCGGCTAATTTTTTGTATTTTTAGTAGAGATGGGGGTTTCACTGTGTTAGCCAGGATGGTCTCGATCTCCTGACCTCATGATCTGCCCACCTCGGCCTCCCAAAGTACTGGGATTGCAGGCGTGAGGCCCACATCTGTGTTTTTGTTTTTTGTTTTCTTTTTTTTGAGACAGAGTTTTGCTTCTGTCACCCAGGCTGGAGTGCAATGAATGGCACAATCTCAGCTCACTGCAACCTCTGCTTCCCGGGTTCAAGCTATTCTCCTGCCTCAGCCTCCTGAGTAGCTGGGACTACAGGTGCATGCCACCACGCCCAGCTAATTTTTGCATTTTAAATAGAGATGAGGGTTCACCATGTAGGCCAGGCTGGTCTCAAACTCCTGACCTCAGGTGATCCACCCGTCTCAGCCTCCCAAAGTGCTGGGATTACAGACGTAAGCCACCACACCCAGCCCCCACCTGTTATTTTTTTAAAGTGAGTTAGCTGGGCACCGTGGCTCATGCCTGTAATCCCAGCACTTTGGGTGGCTGAGGCAGGCAGATCACCTGAGGTCAGGAGTTCAGGACCAGCCTGGCCAACATGGTGAAACTCCATCTCCACTAAAAATACAAAAAATAGCCAGGCGTGGCAGCAGGCACCTGTGATCCCAGCTACTTGGGGGGCTGCGGCAGGAGAATTGCTTGAACCTGGGAGGCGGAGCTCACAGTGAGCCGAGATCATGCCATTGTACTCCAACCTGGGCAACAAGAGCAAAACTCCACCTCAAAAAACAAAAAATGGGCCAGGCGCAGTGGCTCGTGCCTGTAATCTCAGCACTTTGGGAGGCCGAGGCGAGTGGATCACCTGAGGTCAGGAGATCGAGACCATCCTGGCCAACATGGTGAACCCTGATCTCTACTAAAAATACAAAAATTAGCTGGGCGTGGTGGCATGCACCTGTAGTCCCAGCTACTCAGGAGGCTGAGGCAGGAGAATCGCTTGAACCAGAGAGGCGGAGGTTCCAGTGAGCCAAGATCGTGCCACTGCACTCCAGCCTGGTGACAGAGTGAGACTCTGCCTCAAATAAATAAATAAATAAATAATAAAATACAAATAGGCTGGACGCGGTGGCTCACACCTGTAATCCCAGCACTTTGGGAGGCCGAGGCGGGCGGATCATGAGGTCAGGAGATCGAGATCATAGTGAAACCCCGTCTCTACTAAAAATACAAAAAATTAGCCGGGTGTGGTGGCACTTGCCTGTAGTCCCGGCTACTCAGGAGGCTGAGGCAGGAGAATGGCATGAACCCGGCAGGCGGAGCTTGCGGTGAGCCGAGGTCGCGCCACTGCACTCCAGCCTGGGTGACAGAGCGAGACTCCATCTCAAAAATTAATTAATTAATTAATTAAATAAAATAAAAATAAAGTGGGTTAAAACCTGCTTCTTGGGGCTGCTGTGATAAGTGGAGATTTTGCACCTGGCTCAGAGTGGGCTCCCATTATTCGAAGGAGGTTCTATTTGGTGTTTTTCATACCCGAGGAAAGTCCCACTTCCCCTCGAATCCCTGCTCTGGGTTCCCCTCACCCTACGCAGGGACCTCTCTGCATCTTTGCCTGGCAACAAGTGGAGTTTGAGGGTGGGTTGTGGGCGTCTGGGGATGTGTGTGGGGAGAAGGCCTCCCTCAGGCCAGGCTAGGTCTGGGCTTGAGGTCCCTGCTCCTCCAAGCTTAGGATCACATGGAGCTTTGCAGGAATTAATGCAGGGCTCCAGAGAAGATCCATGGACCTGTCAGCTCTCATGTTCGAATCCCAGTTCTACCACCAACCCACTCTGTAACCTCAGATGGGCCATTTAACCTTCCTGAGCTTCAGTATCATAGCAACACTTGCCACATCTGTCCCTGTGTGCCAAGGAGTGATCCAGGCCTCAAAGGCCATAGCTCACTTTAATCCCCTCAACAAACCCATGAAGATCCTGCAGTTATTACCCCCATTTTACAGAGGTAGGAAATGGAAGCTCCAACTGTAAGAGTCTAAGTGTCAGCTGAGGCCTCGCCCAGAGCCTCCCCTCAGCACAGGCTGCCCGCCTCACCTTGCTCTGATTGATGGCAGAACCCATCAAGGCCACGTTACGCAGGCCTGACCCACCGGGGAATGCTGCTGGGGTACCTTGCCAGGCACTGGCCTCATGCTTTACACGTAATCCTCATACACGCCTGTGAGGTATGTTATCCCTGTTTTAGAGATGAGGAAACTGGCCAGGCATGGTGGCTCACACTTGTAATCCCAGCACTTTGGGAGGCCTAGGCAGGAAGATCGCTTGAGCCCAGGACTTTGAGATCACTCTGGGCACATAGTGAAACTCTGTCTCTACCAAAAAAATTAAAAAGTTAGCCAGACTTGGTGGCGCGGGTCTGTAGTCCTGGCTACTCAGGAGGCTGAGGCAGGAAGATCACTTGAGCCCAGGAGGTAGAAGCTGCAGTAAGCCAGGTTTGTGCCACTGCACTCCAGCCTAAGCAGCAGCAAGATCCTGTCTCACTTAAAAAAAAAAAAAAAAAGAGAGAGAGAGAGATAAGGAGGAGGCAGGGCGCGGTGGCTCACCTGTAATCCCAGCATTTTGGGAGGCCGAGGCAGGCGGATCACCTGAGGTCAGGAGTTCAAGACCAGCCTGGCCAACATGGTGAAACTCCATCTCTACTAAAAATACAAAAATAAGCCAGGCATGGTGGCTGTGATTCCAGCTACTCAGGAAGCTGAGGCTGGAGAATCACTGGAATCCAGGGGGCAGAGGTTGCAGTGAGCTGAGATGGCACCGCTGCACTCCAGCTTGGGCGACAGAGAGAGACTCCGTCAAAAAAAAAACAACAAAAAAAAAAACGAGATGAGGAAACTGCCTGAGGGGGCCACTCGCCAAGAGCACCACAGTGAGAGCCTAAGCCCAGGCAGTCCAAGTCCCGAGTTCCAGCCCGTAACCACCACACCATCCCCACTCTCCTGTGCAGGGGAGGGCCCTCCTGCACTGGCCACCTGAGCTTGGGGGCTGCCCACATGTGCACAGAACCAGAATGTTCTGCTTGGTGGGTGGACAGGGGGATGGGGGAGCAGATGGAAGGGGCAGAGTGTGTGGCAGGAAGCCGAGGGAGGGGAGGGTCTGCTCTGGCCTGGTTGGCCCATGGTCAAAGTCCTGACACCACCACAAGAGGATCCAGAACAGCCCTGGCTTCTGGGGGTTGGGAGTGATGGAGGGTGCAGCTGGGAGGGTGCTCAGGGCAAAAAGGACTTCGAGGAGCTCAGGCAGCAGGGCGCCAAGGAACAGCCCCAAGTGCAGCCAGGAGCCCAGGCGGCACCCCCGCAAGCTGCCCACCTTTCCTTCCTCCTTGGTAATGGGGGTCCTCCAGCAAGTGTCCTTGACCCACCCTCTTGGCTCCCTGAATTTGCCCCATCCCAGACCCTTCCATCCTGCACTGCGTTCTGCTCGCTGAGGTCAGGTCTGATGCCAGGACTCCAAAGAGGTGTCGCCATGAGTGAGGAGGGTATGAGTGAGGAGGGTCTGAGTGAGGACTGCAGCTGGAAGACCAGGTGTCAGGAACTGCCACAAGGCTTTACACGCAATACGTGACTTAATTCTGACAGCGTCCCTGGGCAAGAGGTGCTAGTTCACAAATGAGGAGACTCAGGGATTTCCAGAGAGGCCCGTTAAGAACCTGAGCTCAGCTGGGTGCGGTGGCTCATGCCTGTAATCCCAGCACTTTCGGGAGGCTGCGACGGGAGGATCACTTGAGCTCAGGAGTTCAAGACCAGCCTGGGCTATGTAGTGAGACCTCATCTCCACTAAAAATTTAAAAAATTACCCAGGCATGGTGGTGCACCTGTAGTCCCAGCTACTTGGAAGGCTGAAGTGGGAGGATTGCTTGAGCCTGTGAGTTTGAGGCCGCAGTGAGCCGTGATTGCACCACTGCACTCCAGCCTGGGTGGCAGAGTGAGACCCTGTCTCAAAAAAAAAAAAAGAACCCCGAGCTCCTAACCACTCTGATGTAGTGCCATGGAGGGAGAGTAAGGCAGAGAGCAACAGCAGAGACAGACGCAAACAGAGGCATCTCTCTTCCAACTCCAAGGGCCTGTGGGCTTGAGAGGAGGCTCACCCTGGCTCTCAGAGCTGGAACCTGGCATGCGCCCATCTGGGTGGAGCTGGGGAGTGCGCACTGGCCACAGCGGTGAGAAGGGTGTGTGCGGCCTATTCAAGGGGCTGCAAAAGAAATGATGCCCCCTGGAATGGTGAAACCGGCAGCCCAGGGACGACGGTTTGCCCCCACCCCAGCACCATCAGAGCCACAGGGGCCTGGGCACCTCTGAGCCCCCTGCCCACCTGCCTCCTTTTCACTGCAATCCCTGCCCCCTGACCTCCCCTGCTTCCTGCACACATGCCGGGCCTCCCTGGGGCTCTCTGGCCTCTGTACATTCTGCCCTCTCGACACCTGGGAAACTGGCTGGACGCCTCCCTTGAGGCCTGCCGATACCCACGGGTCCCCGTCATCGCTCTTGTTTCCCCCCGTAGCTCTCCACCTCTTTCCACCACGCTCCCCCACTCTGCCCTGTACAGGGCTTGGCTGGCACACAGTGATGCTCCAGTGTTTGATGAACTCAATTCACCATCAAATTTAAAGGACACACCAATAACACACTCAGTCCTTTCCTCAGCTTTGCACAGATAAATGTCACATTCACCCAGGGAGTCCATTCCCCAGGTCCAAGGGGCTCATCTGGGCTAGAACGGGAAAAGCAAGGAACATTCACATGGCCTCAATCATAGGACCTCAACTAAGAACCATGTGCTCTGGGATTAGAGGTGTGCAGGGGAGGACACTTCATCTGTGTGTTCCTTGCTCTCCCCATGGGGAACAGTGGCCAAGCAGGGCCGTCAAGGGTCAGGGGCTGGGCCCTGAGGCTCAAGCCTGGCTCTGCCCACGACTGGCTGTGTGACCCTGGGTAAGCCATCACCCTCTCTGGTGACCCCTTGGGAAATGAAGGTAGAAAGACGGCAGGGCTGGCAGGGGCACGGAGCCCGAGGTGGGACGCACACAGGAGACGCTGATTCAGAGGACGGCGCAGTGGCGGCCTCGGGTAGATGCAGTGTTTGGACAGCTGCAAGTCCTTAACGGGGATTTCCCCCCTTTTCAGCAAATCCCCATAAAACAGCATTCTGTCCAAGTCAGCATTTTGTGGCAGCCCGGGCCTCCTCCCAGGGAGGCCAAGGAGACCGGCTGGGAGTGGGGAGTGCTCTGGGATCTTTCAGACCAGTGGTGGCAGAGTGGCGGTGGTGTGCAGCAAATGGGCCCCAGCAGAAATAATTGGCAAGAAGCAGACCCCTTCACTGCTCCCAGAAATGCCTGAAGAGGGGAAAGGACATTAGCTAGCAGGGACCCTTCCCAGCAGTCCTGGTCTCCGAAAGAGTCCTTTCCTAGAGGCGACCAGCAGAGGAGGGCTATGTGGTAGCATGGAATTGAAAGACCTGCCCACTCTCCCATCCCATTTCACAGGTGAGCGATCAGAGGTCTCAATAAAAAAGGGGGGCCTGAGAGTTGGTGCCTCAGGACCCCAGGCACCCGCTAGGTTCCCAACGGACCGGCAGACCCCCACAGGGTGGGTGGATGAAACGCAGCCCTGCGCAGGCCCCTACTGCTCCAAGCCCCCCACCCACCCCAGACAGAGCAACTGCAGCTGAGGGAGCGGTGGGGGCACTCAGGCAGCCCCAGGGCCTGGCCAAACCACAGGTATGTTATGAGACGCTTCCTGTTGTGGAGACATTGCTGTGGGATCCGGCTGCCCTGCTTGCTCACCCGCCCCGCGCTGCTCTCTCCTTGCTCCCCAGCCTTGCTCTCTGCGCTCTTGCTGGGTCTCTACTCCTGACTCCTCTCTCCCCTCCTCCTTCTGGCTCTGTCTCTGTCATCACAACAGGTGAACAGCACTTCTGGCTCAGGCCCTCCCTATCAGGGACCCATCCCTGAGACCTCTAAGGCCCTCCTAGTTCCAGGCAGCCCCTGGACTCCTGTTTCAGCACAGCTACTTACCAGCTGGGTGATCTTGGATGGGTCACTTAAACACTCTGAACCTCAGTGTCCTCATCTGCAAAAGGATTAACTCAGGGGCTGCTCTGCCTATGGAGTAACCACTCTTTTTTTTTTTTTTTCTTTTGAGACAGAGCCAGGCTGGAGTGCAGTGGCACGATCTCAGCTCACTGCAACCTCCGCCTTCCAGGTTCAAGTGATTCTCCTGCCTCAACCTCCTGAATAGCTGGGACTACAGGCACACACCACCACGCCCAGCTAATTTTTGTATTTTTAGTAGAGACGGGGTTTCTACTAAACGGGGTTTCTACTAGGTAGACACCATGTTGTCTAGGATGGTCTCAATCTCTTGACCTTGTGATCCGCCTGCCTTGGCTTCCCAAACTGTTGGGATTACAGGTGTAAGCCACTGCGCCAGGCCTTGGAGTAACCACTCTTTTTATTCCTTTACTTCCTTTTTTTTTTTTTTTTTTGAGACGGAGTCTTGCTCTGTTGCCCAGACTGGAGTGCAGTGGCGCGATCTCGACTCACTGCAAGCTCCACCACCTAGGTTCACGCCATTCTCCTGCCTCAGCCTCCCTAGTAGCTGGGACTACAGGGGCCCGCCACCACGCCCGGCTAATTTCTTTTTGTATTTTTAGTAGAGAGGGAGTTTCACCATGTTAGCCAGGATTGTCTCGATCTCCTGACCTCGTGATCCACCCGCCTCGGCCTCCCAAAGTGCTGGGATTACAGGCGTGAGCCACCGCGCCAGGCCTATTCCTTTACTGTCTTAATGAGCTTGCTCTCATTTAAAAAAAAAAAAAAAAAGGATTAACTGAGATGATCTAAGCCACCAGTCCCTCCATGTGTGCTGCCCAACTTGCTACCCTGATGACCTGGAAGTCCTCTCTTCACTCTAATTTCAATTCATCCTGCTGCAAAGCAACTTCTTTCCTCCATCTCTTCAAAAGCTCAGGTTACTTGCTGCCAAAGGTCAGGATCTTGTAAAGTGAACTTTTTTTTTTTGAGATGGAGTCTCACTTTCTCACCCAAGCTGGAGTGCAGTGATCTCACCCAAGCTGGAGTGCAGTGATGAGATCTTGGCTCACTGGAGCCTCCACCTCCTGAGTGTAAGCATTTCTCCTGCATCAGCCTCCCGTGTGGCTGGGATTACAGGGGTACACACCATCACACCCAGCTATTTTTTGTATGTTTAGTAGAGATGGGGTTTCACCATGTTGGTCAGGCTGGTCTCGAACGCCTGACCTCAAGTGATCCACCTGCCTCGGCCTCCCAAAATGCTGGGATTATAGGCATGAGCAACCGTGCCTGGCCTATAAAATAAACTTCTAAAGTCAATTTTCTGGCTTTCTTGACCTTTTCCCCAACCATTCCTGAGATGAAACTGACCAGGGGCCACAAAGCCTGCTCAGGACTAGGAATGAGTTATGGACCTTGGGGAGGAGCAGAGGAAC
Organism: Homo sapiens; assembly: GCF_000001405.40. NCBI lineage: Eukaryota > Metazoa > Chordata > Mammalia > Primates > Hominidae > Homo > Homo sapiens. The sequence continues at coordinate 36,110,932 of NC_000001.11, forward strand.
CCTCCTCACCCTTTGGGCATGACACCCAGCCCAACTGCCCAGCTTGGCAGCTCCAGACTTCTCCAGGGTTCCTGAGCCCCACCTGCCCCACTACTCTCCCAGCTGGTAGAAACTGGGGAGCCCTTTCCCATCCTCCTTTCCTGAATCTCGGAAGAAGGAGCAAGGCCCAGGCCCCTCCACACCTCTTCCTCGGGGGCCCCTCACTGTCTGCCATTGCTGCCCTTGCCCCCAGTCTCCAGCCTCTCCATCCATATGTCCACACGGGCCTGACCCCTCCCCAGCCACCCTCATCACTCCCCAGCCCTTCTCAGCCAAGCCTCCTGAAAGAATGCTCTCCACCCTCAGGCCCCACTCACTCCCCCTCCACCCTCTCACCTCGGGGTGCTCCACCTTGTCACTCTGCTCTTCTCCTTCTTTGAAAAGCTCCTCCTCAGAATCTTCTCTGCCCACTTCCTCTGCCCACTCTCCAGACCCAGGCTTGCCCAAGGAGCTGGCTCAGGCCTCATCTCTTCTCTCTGGATGTTTCTCCTATAGTGTCTAGCTCCCACCAGCTCCCACAGTGCCAACTCCATCACCGAGGACTCCCACATCTGTCTCCAACTACGATGTCTCCCCTGAGCCATTTTTTTTTTTTTTGAGACAGTCTGCTCTGTCACCCAGGCTGGAGTTCAGTGGTGTACATGACCACAGCTCACTGCAGCTTCAGACTCTTGGGTTCAAGCCATCCTCTTGTCTCAGCCTCCTGAGCAGCTGGGACTACAGGTGTAAGCCACCACGCTGGACTAATTTTTAAGTTTTTTAAGAGACAGGGTCTTGCCACGTTGCCCAGGCTGCTCTAGAGAACTACTGGGCTCAAGTGATCCTCCCACCTCAGCTTCCCAACTGAGCCTCAGACTCTTGTGTTCAACTATCAGCCGAGCATGTCCCCTGGCTGTCCCTCAGAGATCCCACCCAAACTGCTATCATTACCTTCTCCCTCATTACATGCTTCTCCCCAGCCCAAGTGCCCTGTACCTCCAGGTGCCAAGGCCAAAAATCTGAGCATCACTTCTGTTGTTGTTTATTTAATTAATTTGTTTATTTATTTTTTTAGACGGAGTCTCGCTCTGTTGCCCAGGCTGGAGTGCAGTGACGCGATCTTGGCTCACTGCAAACTCCGCCTCCCAGGTTCACGCCATTCTCCTGCCTCAGCCTCCCGAGTAGCTGGGACTACAGGCGCCTGCCACCACGCCCGGCTATTTTTTTGTATTTTCAGTAGAGACGGGGTTTCACCATGTTATCCAGGATGGTCTCGATCTCCTGACCTCATGATCCGCCCGCCTCGGCCTCCCAAAGTGCTGGGATTACAGGCCTGAGCCACCGCGCCCGGCCTATTTTTGTTTTAAGGGTGAACATCACTTCTGACCCTCCTTTCTTACAGGAAACCCTCTATGCCTTGGTGTACCCCTCTTTTCAGCCAACTCAGCTCCTACTCATCACCTTTCTTGGGTGCCTTTGTACAGTAGCCAACCTGCACAACTGTACATGACATCTCTCTTCCTTTCCCCCAAACTTCCAACCTTATCCTGTGGACTCTGCCTGCTCTATTTCTCTCACTTCTGTTCCTTCCCCTGCTTTCCCACAGCCTCACCCTAAGGCAGACCTTGTATTCCCCCAAAACTCAGCCCAGCACCTGGCACACCCCCGTCACTAAGTAAAAGTGTGTTAAATGGCCACATTCTCTCCTGGATGATCATAAAAGTCTCTCACCCAGTCCCCCAGCCCCACTTTCTCTCTGTTTTCTCAACATAGCCTATGGAGACTCCCACAATGCTTCTAACACTTTAGGCTGCATCTGGATGACTGGGACAGCCTATCACCATGCAGGTTCTGGGGCCCCATCGAGATTCGGTTGGTGTGGGATAGGGGCCAACATCTGCCTCTCTAGCGAGCTCCCAGAGGACGCTGACCCTGCCCGTCTGTGAGCCACACGTTGGCACAGTTCTGCCCATGGCTGTCCCCTGCTCTGGATTTTCCAGTGGCTTCCTGGACAAATTCCATGTTATTCTGCAATTCACATGGCTTCCTGGAGGAGGAGGCATGCTTTAGACTCAGTAGAATGTGGACCAGTTAGGAAGGAGGGGGTAGAGAGATGGATGTTGAGCCCAGCAAAGCCCTGAGGTCACGTTTGGAGGCACACACTCTAGGTCTAAGAGTCACGGGGGTAAGGAGAGGGCCAGGGACCAGCTCAACGCAGGAGCCACCGGAGTGTGTGCTGTGCCCTCTGCATCCCTCAGTCCATCGCTGTGTGTCACTGAACCCAGGCCTTTGCCTCCTGTGTGTCTCTGACATCTCTGTCTCTGTGCGTCTCTCTCATCCTGTCTCTGTATCACTATCCCACCTATCCACCCATCTCTGACACTGTTTGTCCTTCTCTGTCCTCTCCCATGTCCTGTGCCTAGGTCACTTTCTGGGTTCCAGGCTCTGTAAATCTCTAGCTGTTGGTCATTGGGTGGGACCCTTGGGAAGGCCAGCACTGACAGTCCACACCTGCTCCTGTTAACGTCAGGTCTGGGTCTGACTTCCCTGGACAATGCCTGAGCAGCTCCGCGAGGTCTGGGAAGGGACTTGGCGGGGGGTCCAGTGCCCACGAGCTGAGCTCTCTATCTACTGTGCAGATAAGGACTGCCCCAAAGCCAAAGAGGAGCTCAGAATCTGGGAGCTGGAGGGTGGAGGGAGGTGGCCAGATCAGGGCAGGACTGCCTGGGGGCCACCTTCTCACCCAGGTTGAAGGCAGGAGAGGAGGGCTGCCACCTGCCCACCTGGTCTGCCCTACCAGACTTCAGTTCCACCTAACAGTCCCAACATCCCTCACCCCTGCAAGTGAGGCTCCCAGACCACAAGTGGCCTCAGTTTCAGAAGTAGCATCGGAAGGAGGCTTGAAGGAGAGATCAGAGTTCAACAGGCCCACGGGGGCAGGTGATGGTGGGACGGTCCAAGCTGAAATCAGAGCAAATGACTGGATGAGGAAGGCTTCCAGGGTAGGGGGGCAACCAAGGAGCAGTGAACCTGGGGCTCTGGAACTCGGGAGAGAGACATGGGCTAGAGGTAAAAATACAGGTTCGTGGCTGGGCGCGGTGGCTCATGCCTGTAATCCCAGCACTTTGGGAGGCTGAGGCAGGCAGATCATGAGGTCAGGAGATCAAGACTATCCTGGCTAACATGGTGAAACCCCATCTCTACTAAAAATACAAAAAAATTAGCTGGGCGTGGTAGAGGGCGCCTATAGTCCCAGCTACTCGGGAGGCTGAGGAAGGAGAATGGCGGGAACCTGGGAGGCGGAGCTTGCAGTGAGCCAAGATCGCACCACTGCACTCTAACCTGGGCGACAGAGCGAGACTCCATCTCAAAAAAAAAAAAAAAAAATACAGGTTCGTTGGCGGGGTTGCTGCAGCCTGGAGGAGGCCCACGGATTCCCCCTTGGGGAACACGCCTACATTTAGGGAGTGAGTGGAGCCCACCACAGCCCTGGGCTCCTCCCCCAACACACTAGGATCCAGACAACCCAGACGTCTCACTGCCTCCCTGTCCCTGCCTTTTCCTGCATGATCCTCTCTGCTGGGTTGCCCTTTCTACCTTTCTCCTCCATGGAAACATATTAGTTCTCATTTAAGACCCAGCTCAAAAGCCTCCTCCTCCAAGCAGCCTTCCCTGCCTCCCTCAGGCAGAACAGCTCCTTCTGGGCACCCACCTGCATGAAAGCACCTCTTCCCCACCCACACCTCCCTCCTGCCTGAGGCGGGCACAGGGCATGTGCTCGATGAAGCCTGTAGCCTGGGGGCTCCAGGTCCAGGCCTCTGAAAAACCCACCTCCCTTGTCCAGCCAAGCCCTCAGGTGGCTTATCACAGGGCCACTTTCTCTTTGTTGCTCTTCCTGAGTCCTTCTTGGTTCTGGGCTGGAGGGGGCTTGGACCGAACTCCCTCCTGCAGGTGACCAAGCCCCTGGCCTCTGCCCATCTCTGAGTCTAGGTTCTCCGCTGCTTCCCTAGGGAGGAGCATCTCAGAATAACAAAGTGCCCAGGAAGGTAAGAACAGCCGGGCAGGGGCAGATGGACTAGAAAAGGCCCGGCAGTGGGCAGACCTGAGGGCAGCCATGTACCCTCAGGCAGGTAGCCAGGCAGCTGGCCCTTCCCCACCCAGGGGCTCCGGCCTCAGCTGGGGCCGTCGCTTGCCTCCCAGCAGAGGCCTTGAGCTTCTGATGGGAACTGGACATCCGAGGGCCCCTACAGACCCAGCCACCCCCAGGCCTCAGGCAGGGGCAGGCGGGGCCTCCTCAGCCTCCAATCCCTCACCTTCTGGTTCGCATTTGCAGCCTTTTCCGGAGCGCCACCCGCCACCCGCTGCCTCCCCACGCCTGCCAAGATTCCTGGGCCTCTGCGGCTACCCTGCGTGGTGGCGGCAGCAGCGGCAGCAGGAGGGGCTGGGCTGGGCAGGGAGGGGGCCTGGCGGGAGCACAGCCAGGCCACTGCACCCAGGCTGGGCCAAGCAAACACGGCCCCGCCAAGGAGCCAGGCGAAATAGTTCACAAATGAGAAAAAGCTGCTTCCGAGTTGGGCCAGGGTTTTAAAGCCCGGGCTGCAGGGAGCTGAGGTCACATACAAAAGGGGTGGCTCACAGGACTCTCTGGGCCTGGGAGGGGCTTCCGGTGCAGCAGGAGGGAGTGAGGTTAGACAGCAATGAACACAGGCCTCATCTGGCCTGAGATATCAGAAAACCCCATCCCCAAACCTAGCTTACCTTTCAGGTCGGAGGGGCCTGGGAAGGTTCCAGCAGAGGCAGGGCCTGAGGATGAACAAGAGAAACAGTGAGGCTATGGGGCAGTGGCTCAAGCTTGTAATCCCAGCACTTTGGGAGGCTAAGGTGGGAAGACTGCTTGAGCCCAGGAGTTTGAGACCAGCCTGGGCAACATAGGGAGACATTGTCTGTACTAAAAATTTTAAAAAATTAGCTGGGCATGATGGTGCACGCCTATAGTCCCAGCTACTTAGGAGGCTGAGGTGGGTGGTATTGCTTGAGCCCAGGAGTTCAAGACTGCAGTAAGCTATGATTGCACCACTGCACTCCTGAGACAGGGCAAGACTCTGTCTCAAAAAAAAAAAAAAGGAGGAACAGTGAGACGATGACATCAGGAGCCTGGGAAGCCTCCTGCCCTAACCCACAGCCACACCAGTGCCTGCCCCGGGCTTCTTACCAGAACCCCCTGCTGGAAACCCGGCCCCAGTCTCAGTCTCTCTTCTCAGTTCCCTCCTCCCCTGAGGGAAGCAGGGTATGTGCCCCATACTCCACAACTCCATTCATTCAGTGCACACTTAGCAATACCCACGGGGTGCCTGGCCCTGGATTCAAGGAGTTCCTACTGTCCTAGGGCCCAGGCTGAGGATGCCCCTTCTGTGTCCCGGGTTCCCATGCTGGAGAAGTCCCTCCCATATGTCAGCTCTGGTTTGGGGTGGCCCCTACTTTGGGTTAGGATCCCTGCTGGGGAAGCTTCTACTATGTGGAGGACCCAAGCCTGGGTCATGGACCACAGAAATGGTTCAACCCCATACCCTGCCCTGCCTTGCCCTGAAGGGCTGGGGGCATCAGACAAGCGGTCATCACACAATTGGCAAAGATCTCTGGGCTGTGGGAGCATGAAGCAGGGAATACTGCCGACTTAAGCTTCCCCTGAAGGCTTCATGGAGAAAGGGACACTGCAGCTGGGTCCTGAAGGATGAGTCGGAGTCTGAAAGGCAGATGAGGTGATAGAAGGAATTTCAGGTAGTAATATACAGGGAAGGTCCAGAAGTGCTGTGGGATGGGGAGGCTGGGGCAACATGGTGAGGAAATCTGAATGCCATGCTTGCATTTCTCTGGAGAGCAATGGGGAGCCATGGAGGGTTATTTAGTGGGGGAAGTGATGTGGTCAGAGCCCTGGATGGCTAGGTCCCCATTTCTGCCTCAATCAGGTGTGGTGCCAGGATCTAACAAAAGTCGTAGTCCAGGTCACATAGCTGTACGCAGAGGATCCAGAGCTAAAGTCCAGACCCAGACATGACTCCGGGGTAGATGGGGAGGGGATGCCCAGCCAGCCCACCTGGCAGGGAGGCCTGCAGGCCGCGTCACTCTCTCCCCCAGCTGCTTGCTTGCCTCTGCCTGCTCCCATGGAAACTCTGACATCCAGTCCTGTCTGTAGCTGCACAAGCAGCCAGATGCTGGAGCCAGCAGCAACTAGGCCTTCTCTCCAACTCAGCTGAGCCCTGCCTCCATCCTGCCACTCTGAACACTATGACCCCAGAGCTGGGTCATGGGGCCACAGCCTGGATGATGGAGCCCAGGTAGGAGGACCCTCCAGCTCAGCTTAGCCCCAGCTTCTCCGGCCCCAGCCCCGTCCCTGCACCATGAGACTCTGGGAGAAGAAATGACTTAAGCTGGCTCTGGGCTTTGAAGGATGAACATGGATTTAACTGGTTGGTAGTGGAGAGAGGTGATCAGTCCTGGGCCAAGGCAACAGCATGTGTGAGAGTGTAAAAGCCCTGAATATATTCAGGGGATGGAGAGAATCCAAATAAAATAGACAAACACATGAACTAACTAATCATAGCTAATATTCATTGTGTACCCACTGTGTGCCAGGTACCGTTCTGGGTGTTCTCATGAATTATCTCATTTAATCCTCACAACAACCCAGTGACAAAAGTATTTCATCTTCCCTTTTTACAGATGAGAAAACTAAGGGACAGAGAGGATAAGTAACTGGCCCAACATCACACAGCTCATGAAAAGTAGAGCCTGGAGCTGGGCACAGTGGCTCACACCTGTAATCCCAGCACTTTGGGAGGCCAAGGCAGGAGAATCACTTGAGTTCAGGAGTTTGAGTCCAGCCTGGGCAACATAGTGATACCCCCATCTCTTAAAAAAAAAAAAAAAAAGTAGAACCTGAATTTGAACCCTGGCTGCAGGCTCCAAAGCCTAGGCTTTTCACCATACAGATGATTTGAGGAGAGGAGACCTGGCTGGGGCCAGACTGAGAAATGCCTTGAATATCAGGATCAGAGATGCGGATCCTACCTAAAGCTGCTTCCCCATTCCCTTCCCCCATGTTAACCGTTAAGAACAACGGTGTCTGCATCCCAAGTTCATTGTATGCACTGGACATAGCACTAGGCACACTCCTGGCACTATTGGCTCCTGTAACCCTGGAAGGTTGGAACTGCTGTCCCATTTTACTGAGGAGGAGCACTGGGTCCCAGAGAGGTCACATCCATTCTCTAAGGAAACCAGGCTAGGAAGTGAAGGAGGTGGGATCTGAACCCAGCTCTGCCTGGCCCCCAGGTGGCTAAAGCCCTGTATACCTGGGCTCCCTGAAGACCTCAGCCACGGGCCCTGCCCCCTACTCCTGCTCTACCCCACCTGTGCTGCCTCAACCTAGATGGCACCAGGGACAGGCAAGGCTGGGAGCAGAGTGGGCAGCTACTATCAGGTGCCTCAGGAGTCCACTCCAGTGGGCCAAGGCCCCCTCTGTCTTACAAATAGGAAGCTGGGGTGAGTGGGTAAGCCAGGGCGGTGCCTGAGCCGACTTCAATGGGACTCTGTTCTTAACCTTCACCCCCAGCTGCCTTCCCTAATCCCCTCCTGGAGCCCCTCCCCTGGCGACGTCTCCCCTTTGCACAGAGCCTGCCGCTGTTGGCTAAATCCCAGACCAGATGTGGGTGGGACAGTCTGCACCCCCCGCCCCCCACCCCCAACCAGCTTCTGAGAGCTGCAGGGTTCCAGGGAGGCTGGCCAGGGCCTCAGGCCCGCTTCCCCATTCCAACTTTCCAGACTGAGGTGCTGATGGCCATGAGGTGAACAATTGGCTCCTGCCAGAGATGGGGCTCATGGGAAAATTTCCCATTTCTGAGCTCCTACTACGGGCAGGCTCTGGACTAAGAGTCTTGCTTTAAAAATCATGTCGGATTAAGAGGACCTCTCTGGAGCCCAGCTGCATGCATCCTTATCTCAGCCCTAGCTCTTACTAGCATGAGACCTCCACCTGGGCCTCAGCTTCTTCATCAATGAAATGGGAACTCCAGGCATTATTTACTCCCGTAACCCTGGAAGGCTGGAACTGCTGTCCCATTTTACTGAGGAAGAGTGCTAGGTCCCAGAGAGGTCACATCCATTCTCCAAGGTAACCAGGCTAGGAAGTGAAAGGGGTGGAATCTGAATCCAGCTCTGCCCAGCCCATATAAAGCTGCCCAGCTCAGCTTCACAGAGCATTTGTGAGGATTAAACAAGTTAATTTTGTGTAACGGACTCAGAGCAGTGCTTGGCATATAGGAATCCTAAATAAATATGCCCTATTATAAATATAATCACTGGCCTGGCACAGTGGTGAACCCAAGTTCACCATTTGCCCAAGTTCCCCCAGCCAGGGAAGGATGGTCCCAGAGCTTGGCCCCAAGCTAAGCAAGTCCAAAGATGAGGACAACCTTCTGGCTCCCCCAAGCTGAGGCATGGTGTGTACTGGGGTGAAGGTCAGTCCCCCGCACCCCCTCAGTCCCTCCTGCCTGACCCCCAGGGGTTCCAACCCCAATCCAGCCCCTGCTGCCGCTGCAGGAGGGGGCTCTGCATTCCTGGCTAAGCAGCTGGATTTGCTGTGCTCCAGGAACTATGAAAAGAATGCTTGCCATGAGCAGAGCCGTGGTCGCCTGTCAGGGAGCGTGGCCTGGAGTGCCCACGCAGAGCTTGGTGGCAGCCAGCACAGTGGGAAGGAAGGAGGCTAGCCAGAAAGGAGAACTTCCGGGTGGTGGGGGCTGTGGACACTGGACGGGTGTGGAGACCAAAGAGTTGGCCACCTGGGATCTTTCAGGAGATAACTGACCCCTCTACCCCGCAATCTAGGTTTCTCCTCACCACAGGTTGTAAGGAGAGGCAGGCTGGCACTGCTGGCCCAGCTCATGGATGGGGTTACACAGACTCAGAGGAAAACTCTCCTGAGGTCACACAGCAGCCAGTGGCAGAATTGAGACCAGAGGCCAGGACCCCCAGCTCAGGCCCCGCCTCTTCACAGAGGCTTCCCTCCCTTGCAGGACCCACCAGGGACCACCAAGGGTTCCTAGATAATAGAAAATACCATCCCAGCCCTCACGGTTCTGGGCTCTCTCTGGGTCTGACCTTCTCATGCCTGCTATTCCTCTTTCCCCCTCCACAAAAAACCCCTTGTGCTATGAAGATGCCCCACACACTGTAGACGTACGACAATTGAGATTCCATTCCTTTTGGGAGGCTCAGGCGGGCGGATCACTTGAGGTCAGGAGTTCAAGAACAGCCTGACCAACATGGCGAAACCCCGTCTCTACTAAAAATACAAAAATTAGCAGAAGTGATGGTACACATCTGTAATCCCAGCTACTAGGGAGGCTGAAGCAGGAGAATTGCTCAAACCCAGGAGGTGGAGGTTGCAGTGAGCCAAGATTGCACCACTGCACTCCAGCCTGGGTGACAGAGACTCCATCTCAAAAAAATAAATAAAAAGAGGACGGGCACAATGGCTCACGCCTGTAACCCCAGCACTTTGGGAGGCCGAGGCGGGCAGATCACAAGGTCAGGAGTTCGAGAACAGCCTGACCAACGTGGTGAAACCCCATCTCTACTAAAAATATAAAAATTAGCCAGGCTTGGCAGCGTGTGCCTGTAATCCCAGCTACTCAGGAGGCTGAGGCAAGAGAATCACTTGAACCCGGGAGGCAGAGGATGCAGTGAGCCGAGATCATGCCATTGCACCCCAGCCTGGGCGACAGAGCGAGACTCCGTCTCAAAAAAAAAAAAAAAAATAGAGAGAGAGAGAGGAAGGAAGGAAGGAAGGAAGGAAGAAAGGCCAGGCATGGTGGCTAACACCTATAATCCCAGCACTTTGGAAGGCCAAGGTGGGTGGCTCACTTGAAGTCAGGAGTTCAAGACCAGCCTGGCCAACATGGTGAAACCTTGTCTCTACTAAAAATACAAAAATTAGCCGGGCCTGGTGGTGCACACCTGTAATCCCAGCTACTCAGGAGGGTGAGGCAGGAGAATCGCTTGAATCCAGGAGGTGGAGGTTGCAGTGAGCCAAGATCGCGCCACTGCACTCCAGCCTGGGCGACAGAGTGAGACTCCGTCTTAATAAAAAAAAAAAAGACCAGGCATGGCACGGTGGCTCACTCCTATAATCCTAGCACTTTGGGAGGCCAAGGCGGGTAGATCATGAGATCAGGAGTTTGAGACCAGCCTGGCCGATACAGTGAAACTCCATCTCTACTAAAAATACAAAAATTAGCTGGGCATGGTGGTGCTCACCTGTAGTCCCAGCTACTCAGGAGTCTGAAGCAGAAGAATGGCTTGAACCTGGGAGGCGGAGGTTGCAGTGAGCCGAGACCATGCCACTACACTCCAGCCTGGGCGACAGAGCCAGACTCTGTCTCAAAAAAAAAAAAAAAAAAAAAAAAAGTTGCTGTTCTAATTCCTTCTTATTGGCCAGGCACAGTGGCTCACCCCTGTAATCACAGCACTTTGGGAGGCCAAGGCGGGCGGATCACCTGAGGTCAGGTGTGCAAGAGCAGCCTGGCCCCATCTCTACTAAAAATACAAAAAATTAGCCGGGCATGGTGGTGGACGCCTATAATCCCAGGTACTTGGGAGGCTGAGGTAGGAGAATCTTTCAACCTGGGAGGTGGAGGTTGCAGTGAGCCAAGATCGTGCCACTGCACTCCAGCCTGGGTGACAAGAGCCAGACTCTGTCTCAAAAAAAATTAAAAAAAAAAGAAAGAAAGAAATCACAAAACCCAGTAAGGTTCCCTCTGCTCCATGTCCTTTGAGGGAGGGCAGCCTTTGTGAGGAAGGGCACCTGGGCCTGGGATCCTGGCCTCTGTTTCGATTCTGCCTCTGGCTGCCGTGTGACCTCAGGTGAGTTCCCCTCTGAGTCTCCATAACCCCATCCATGAGCTGGGCCAGCAGTGCCACCTGGCTCTCCCCATGAGGCACTAGCCCTCCGCCACCCCCACATGTGACCTCTTCTTCCCCTTCAAAAGCCAGGAATCCCAGCCCATCCAGGCTGCATGGGGATAGTCAGCCTCCAATTCAGAACTTTCCAAGAATCTGAATAGAAGCACGGCCAGGTCCTCCCCAGTCCACTCCCAGGGTCCAACCAGAGAGGCGGAATGGACACTGATCGGAAGATCTAGGTGCTGTGCCCCCATTGCATGTGTGACCTGGAACTACTCCTCACCTCTCTGCAGGCAAAACAACTCTGGAGACCAGTACAGCATTCCCATTTTAGAGATGGGGAAACTGAGGCACAGAGCTGGGAAGTCCTAGATCTGTCTGACTCCCAATGCCAGCTCATCTCCACACAGCACATGCTGCCTTACTCAAGATCTGCTGTCCACACTCCACCCACTCTGGAAATGCCCTCAGAACAAAGTGGGCCTGGAATTCTCTTTCTGGGAGTCAGACTTCCATGACTGGTACTTGGGCACATGTGTGTCCACATATGGCCTCGCAAACCCACCCAGGCTTCAAGGCTACACTCAGCCTCCAGCTCCCAGTCATCTCAACTTATCAGACCCCAGCGCCAAACCCACATCTCCCCTGCACCTGCCTTCTCTGGGGACAGGCCACAGCCATCCAGTGCAAGGCTTCTGGCCCCATCGCCAACCGGCTTACTCCTTTCCATCTACTTCTTCCTCTCATCCCCATGGCAACCGCCCACTTCATCCCCCGTCACCTTTCTCCTTAAACTCTGCCCAGCCTCCTCTGTGATCTCCCTTGCCTCGAAGATCCCCCCTTCATCCTTGTTCCCCAGAGCAGCCAGAGTGATTCCCAGATTATATCATTCGCAGCTCACACCCTTTCTCTAGACAGGGCCCTTAGAAATCTGACCTCAAAGTCATGAGTCCCTCCCACTCCCCAGTGTGATCCAACAGTGCCCATTACTCCCATTACTCACTGTCCCTGAGAGAACCCTGAAGCTTCCCCCTCCACACCTCTGCACGAGCTGTGCCCTCAGCCAGGAACACCCTCCCATTCACCCTTTCCACCCCCTGCACCTGTCAAAATTATCATCTTCGAAAGCCCTGGCCAGATTACCTCTTAGGTGCCACCTTCCCTGATCTGCACTTTGGCTTGCATGGTGCCCCTCCTCGGGTACCTAGTAGGGCACCGTGAGACCACAGCCACACCCCAGAGGAGAGGCCGCTGTGTCTCTCTCGTTCCTCCGACCCGACACTATAATTTCCTCCTGCCACGGATGGGACCAGCGCATCTGAGACCCCACTTCCCTGTAAGAGGTGCCCCATCCCTGCCACTGAGAGTTCTGGAGCGGGCTGGGGGGCCAGCAGGGCAAGGAAGCTGGGGCTGTGCGTCCTTTGTTCCGGCTCAGGCAGGAGCAGAGAAGGTAGTGGAGTACAGGGGCTCAGGCTGACAGCCCTGCTTAGTATCTTTCTCCTCCCTCTTGCTAACAGACACATTCACTTCCATATTTTCTTTCCCCTTCCTCTGAGCCAAAGAGCGGAAATTCTCATTTTCACTGTGGTAGACGAAGTGAAACCAGAGAAAGAGACCCTGGTGAGTGTGTCTGGGTGTGAGCGTATGTGTGTGTGTGCCGTCCTGTCTGAGTATGTCTGGCTGGGCCACGTGGGGCCTGCCATGTGTCTGTAGGAGTTTGGGTGTGTGTGCATGTGTCCGCCTGTGTCTTGTGGTGGTGTATGTTTCATTAGAGGAGGGTGTCCGCATGAATCTAATGAATGTTTGGGTCGGTGTGTGACTGTGCATGGCTCTCAGAAGGGTGCAAGGCTGTGTGTGGCTGGGTGAGCATGTCTGTGGTTTCTCCTCATTATCATCTAGGGTCATTGTGTGTCCAAGGGTTTGTAGGTGTTCACCAGTCCACTGGGAAGCCAGTGACAGCACCTGTGCCCTGATGGAGACCACCAACCATGGTGTCTCTCCAGAGATCACCAACTCCTGCCCTGCGGCCCCCTCTGCTTGGGGCAGTAAGGATCAGTCGATCTTAGCTCAGTCCCCAGAGAGGAACCCCAGGCTGCCTGACCCTCCAGCCATCCAGCTCCACGGCCCCCAGATTTTTCAAATGCCCAGTACAGCTGCTGGGAGGCTGTCCTTGCCAAGGGGACTCTGCTAAGAGGAGTGGATGAGCCCCTGCTGCCAGCCTGAGCAAGAGGTACTGATAGCAGACAGGAGGGATGATTTCTGGTTGCTCCGGCACCCCTAAGGAGGTCAGCCGCACGTCTGTGTCAGGAACCCAGCATGGTCTCACACAGGCACACACACGTGCGTGCACACATACAACCAGCAAAGTTTTCCCCGTGGCAATAGCGTTCCTGGGCCCTCTGGCTGAATAGCATTTCTCTACCTGGAGGATTTCCGGGGCTAGGGTGGCTCCAGACCCAGGGCAGAGACACTGGGAGGTTGTTCTGGGGCCCTGGGACCCCAGTCCCTCTTGGCCAGGCAGCGGCCCCTCACCCCCTGCAAGTCTCAGTCTGGAGCTGGGGGGATGCTGAGCCCCTGACAGGAACATTCCTGGGAACTTGTCTTCAGTTTGGGGCGAGGGGACTGACAGGGCACCTAGAATAGGAGGAACCTGGGGGCTAAGGCAGAAAAACCTTATAACTGGAAGGTCTCCAGCAAATCAGCAATGGCAGAGAGATGGGGGCAGGAGTGAGAGCGGGGGGATGCTAAGGCCCCTCACTCCCTCCTCTCTCCTCCACTACCCTGTGAAGGCGGCTTTTTTATCCCCACTTTACAGGTGGGACGGGAGATCGGGAGGTGGTGACGCGCCCAGAGCCACATCGTCGGGGGTTGCACCCGGCACTGTCTTATGCTGGAGCCCTCGCTTCTGGGAGAGGAAGGGAGGAGGGGGCTTTACTGGGATCCTGCCGGGGAGGGAACGGGGCACAGGGAACGGGATGGGCTCCCCCATTCTAAGGCGACCCCCTGGCCCGAGTCCCCCACCGCGTCCCCACCCCGGAGTCCGAGGCGCCGGCCCTGCTATCCCGCATGGTGTTGGGGGAAGCCCAGCCCAGGTCTTGCCCTCGGAGCCCCCCAGCCCGAGCCCCGGTGCCCGCCTCCTGGCCTTTACCTGCGGGCGCGGCCGCCGGGCGCCGCTCCCGGCCCTCGAGGGCGGCCCGGGCGGCGAGGGCTCCGGGCAGGGGCGTCCGCGGCTGGGCGGGCGGCGTTGGGGTCCGGGGTCCGCGCCGGCGGGGTTCCGCGTCGCTCTGCCGGCCGCCCCTCGCGGCTGCCGGAGTGGGCGGGCGGCAGGAGGGGCGCGTCGGGGCGGGGCCTCCGCCCTCCTCTTTCCACAGCCACGGCCAAGGCCCGCGCCCCGCCCGGCCCAGCGCGCCCAGCGCGGACTCGGACGGCTGCCTCCCTCCCCGACACCCACGCCGAGCCCCCTCCACACACGCGCTCCCGGGCGGCCCGCCCCCATCCCTCCCCGTCCACCTGACCCGCGGCTCGGCCGCCGGGGAGTCCGCGCAGCCCCTGCCCTCGAGGGGCCACCTGCCTGTGGGGACGGACGCGGCTGCTGAGAAGGACGGCCAGGCGTGGTCCTGCAGGGAAGGGGCAGCTCGGGCTGGTGGCCCCCAGTGAGGAGTCCCCAGAAGGCTGCCTGCAGACGTGACCTCGGTAGGCTGAGCCCGGAGGACTCACAGGGGCCAGTCGTGACCCGCACATTCAGGCTTTAGGGCATTGAGCCGGGGTCACAGAGGCAGGCGGGAGCAGGCCAGACCTCGTCCCTCGGAAATGGGGAGTCACGGAAGGCTCTGGAGCAGGGCAGTCACGTGGTCAGATGTGTGCTTTGGAAAGAGCCTCCCGAAGCTGTGTGGAGGAAGATAGAGGCAGGCCACCGAGGAGGCTGCGGGAATACCCTGGCATGGTCCCATGAGGTGCACAGTGAGGGGGAAGGAAAGGGAGGGCCCAGTGTGAGGGGAGTGAGGAGGCGAACTAGGCAGAGTTTGGGCGAGGGGCCTAGGAAGAAGCAGTGTCAAGGACAGTGCGCAGGCTTTGGGCTAGGCCTGGGGGCGGCAGGGTCTAGGAGAAGAAGGAGGACGGATGTAATGAATTGGATGAGCCTGTGGGACTTCCATGGATCCGGAAGGGAGGTGAGAGTTCTGGGATAGCGAGGAGGAATCCACGGTTTGCAGATGGCGACTGATGCCATAGAATAAGGAGCGGGCCCAGGGAGGCGGGCAGGGCGCGGGCAGGACACTCATCAGCATTCACGGGGCTGCCCAGGGAGAGGGGTCGGCAAAGGAGACTGAGAAGATGGCAGGGACCGGGAGAGCAGTGTCCCAGAAGGCAAAGGCAGAGTGCTTCTAGAAGGCCAGGGAGGCCCACGGGATGGGCTGTCACAGAAGGACATTCTTAGGGACAGCAATTAAGGGTTGGAGGTTGGGGTGGGGGTAGGGGCAGTAGCCAGGCAGCAGGGGAGAAAGGAGGAGGCAGCAAGTGCAGAGGGAAGGGGAGATGAGGTCAGGAAAGGATTTTGGGGTGTGTGTGTGTGTGTGTCTGTGTGCGTGTGTGCATGTAGGTGAGTGTGGGTGTCTGTGTGTGCATGTAGGTGGGTGTGGGCGTGTGTGTGCGTGCATGTGTGTGTGCGCGTGCCTGTGTGTGTACGTGTAGGTGGGTGTGTGTGTGTGTGTGTGCATGTGTGTGTGTGTGCGTGCCTGGGTGTGTGTGTGCATGCGTGTAGGTGGGTGTGGGCATATGTGGAGGTATGTGTGCTTGGGTGTGCAAGTGTGTGTGTGCGCGCATGGGTGGGGGGTCAGCATGTGTGTAGGTGTGTGGAGGGGTGGGGGTGTGTATTTGTGTGCGTGTGGGGAGGTATGTGCGTGGGGGGGTGTGGGGGGTGTGGCTGCATTTGGGTGTGTGGATGTGGCTATGTGGCTTTGTGTGGGTGTGTGTGGCTGTGTGGGTGTATTGTAGCTTTGTGTGTGTGGCTGTGTGGGGGGGTGTGAGTGGGAGTGTGTGTGGGGGGCTGTGTTTGGGGGTATGGGTGTCTGTGTGTGTGGGTGTGTGGGTGCCGCTGTGTGTTTGTGGGTATGGGTGTGTGTGTGGCTGTGTGTGGGGATGGGAGTGTGTGTGTGGCTCTGTGTTTGTGGGTGTGGGTGTGTGTGGCTGTGTGAGTGTGGGTGGGAGTGTGTGTGTGTGTTTGTGTGTCTGTGGGGGGGTGTGGGTGGCTGTGTGTGGGGGTGAGTGTGGCTGTGTGTGTGTGTATTTTCAGTGGGAAAGAGCAGAGCCCTCACCAGGTCCAGGAAAGGAGCAGGGAGGGCCCCAGGCTGTCTCGGGTCAGGGCCCACCCCCCTCAACCTTCCCCCTTCTGCTGCCTGCCCTCTGAGGGCCTCCCACTTTTCTGTCCCCCTGCCAAGGTACACACCAGCCCCGCCACTCCACAACGGGGCCTCTCACCCTCACCTACCGTCAGAGCCTGGCCCACTCCATCCCACCCGTCAGAATTGGGGGCAATTGCCAGGGGTCTTTGGGTCTGGCCTCCTGGCCTGAACTACAGGGGAGCCAGGCTGGGGCACTGCCCAGAGAAGGGAGGGGGCCTGGCTGGCAGGGTGCCTAGGAGGACACCGACTGAGGGGAGATTGCAGAGTTCTGACCCTGAAGCTGGTGTGGAAACCAGACCCTGCATGGGGATCTGATGGGGGCTGAGTGTGCATGGGGACGGGCTGGGAGGGGGTGGGAGCTAGGCAGCAGGGACTAAAGGTTGACAGCAAAGACCCTGGAGTTAGACTGCCTGGGTTCAAATCCAAGTGCCACCACCTACCAGCCACATGCCATTGGGCAAACACTTAACCTCTGGTGCCTCAGTTTCTCCATCTGGGAAGCTCTCATAGGCATGTTGTGAGGATGACAGTCAATCCATGCAGAGCACTTCACTCTGAGTGTGAGCTGTTTAGAGAGAAGGGAGGGAGCGCTGCATGAAGTGGGGCCTGGTGACACAAACGGGCAAGGGAGGGGCATGCTTTGTGGGAAAGGGACTCCCATGGGCTTCACACCCACATTCAGACACAAATTCAGCTGGTCCCCCACTCAGATCCCACCCCTGGGTCTCCTGACTCACTCCTTACACTTTTCCTGGGGCCCTCAGGCCTGATTCTATGAGGTACACACCTGTCCCCAATCCCCTCCCTTTCCCCCCAACCCCTGCCCCACCTGCCCCTGCCCAGTGCTTTGCAGGGAGGGAGGGCTGCAGCTCCTTCTCCTTTCAACCAGCCCTGGACGCCAAGTCTGGGCCCTGTCCCGTGGCCAGATCCTGTGGCCCTGGTGTTCATTGGCCATCAGGCGCCTCCCCAACCCCAAGGGGGCCTCAGCTCCCCATCCCCCAGTAGAGGCTGACAGCTGTGCCATGATCTTGTGGCCGCTGTCTCCTTATCCACCAGCTATTTGCGCAGAGGTCGTGGACTCTCACACCAAGCCTTATCTCTTGACAAGGCCAAACTCCCAGCCAGACTCCTTACCCGCCCCTGCCAGGGGCTTCCACCTTGGCCTGTCTCTGGTGGTGTCTGGATATCAATGGGTCAGCTCTGCCTATGATCATCTGCTGTGTGGCCTTGGGCAAGTTGCTGCCCCTCTCTGGGATTTAGTTCCCTCAGCCACGACAATCAGAAGCTGGCCAGTGAGGCTTCAAGGACCGTTCTAGGCCTGGGCAGGGGTATCAAATGGGGTGGGTAGTTAAACTGAACCAGACGCAACATGTAACTTTCTAGCCCGGCCCCTGGCAGAGTCATCTCTGGCACCAGCCTAGTGGTTCAGACAGTGGGCTGAGGAGTCCAGCAGACCTGGTTTGGATCCCAGTGCTGCCTCTCTGTAGCTGTGGGCAAGTGACCTCATTTCTCTAAAACCTCAAATTCCTCCTTTATGAAAGGTGGATAACAGCCCCTAATGATGAACAGGAAACACTCACAGGGCTCTTGCCTCATGCCAGGCACTATTCTGAGCACTTTATGTGGATTAACTCATTTAATCCTTATAACAGCTCTTTGAGGTTGGTCTCCTTATTGTCCCCACTTTGTAGATGGGAAAACTGAGGCACAGAGGGCTTAAATCACTCGCTCACTCATGGCCACACAGCTGGGAAGTGAGAGCTGGGATGTGGCTCCAGGCAAGCTGGCTCACCCTCTTCCATTTTCCTATTGTGCTGTCAGCTCTCTTAGAAGAGATATTGAGCTCCGCCTGTAATCATAGCACTTTGGGAGGCCGAGGCAGGCAGATCACAAGGTCAAGAGATCAAGACCATCCTGGCCGATATGGTGAAACCCCGTCTCTACTAAAAATACAAAAATTAGCCGGGTGTGGTGGCATGTGCCTGTAGTCCCAGCTACTCGGGAGGCTGAGGCAGGAGAATTGCTTGAACCTGGGAGGCAGAGGCTGCAGTGAGCCGAGATCGTGCCACTGCACTCCAGCCTGGCGACAGAGCAAGACTCCATCTAAAAAAAAAAAAAAAAAAAGACAAAGAAGAAGAGATAATGAGGCCGGGTACGGTGGCTCAAGCCTGTAATCCCAGCACTTTGGGAGGCCAAGGCGGGCGGATCACGAGGTCAGGAGTTCGAGACCAGCCTGACCAACATGGAAAAACTCCATCTCTACTAAAATACAAAATTAGCTGGGCGTGGTGGTACATGCCTGTAATCCCAGCTACTCGGGAGGCTGAGGCAGGAGAATCACTTGAACCTGGGAGGCGGAGGTTGCGGTGAGCCGAGATCGCACCATTGCACTCCAGCATGGGCAACAAGAGCGAAACTCTGTCTCAAATAAATAAATAAATAAATAAGCTGGATGTGGTGGCACACTCCTGGAATCCCAGCTACTTAGGAGGCTGAGGTGGGAGGATTGCTTGAGCCCAGGAGTTCGAGGCTACAGTGACCTATGATCATGTCACTGAACTCCAGACAGGGTAATAAAGTGAGACCTTGTCTCTAATAATGATAATAATAATGTTAGTAATAATGTTATAATAATAATGTTAATAATGTAATGTTATAATAATAATGTAAATAATAATGTTAGTAATCTGGCCAGGTGCAGTGGCTCACACCTGTAATCCCAGCACTTTGGGAGGCTAAGGTGGGTAGATCGCTTAAGGTAAGGAGTTTGAGATCAGCCTGGCCAACATGGTAAAACCCCGTCTCTACTAAAAATACAGAAATTAGCTGCGCGTGGTTGTGGGTGCCTGTAATCCCAGCTACTTGGGAGGCTGAGGCAGGAAAATCGCTTGAACCTGGGAGGCGGAGGTTGCAGTGACCTGAGTTAGTGCCACTGCACTCCAGCCTGGGTGACAGAGCGAGACTTCGTCTCCAAAAATAATAATAATAATGTTAGTAATCCTTATTACTATTACCTTATTTTCCTATTCCTTCTAAATTTCTACTGATCTGCCAATAAGAAACCCTCTGGGTCCCAACCACCCCAGGTTGGAGCCTGGGAGGTCCTGGATGGGACCCTCCTTTGGCCCCCCTTTCTGTCTGTCTGGCAACCTGAAGGGAGGGATATGTGCACAGATGTGTGGTCCAGGATGTTCAGATAGTCTGGGGAGGAGGTGTGGTGCTGGTGAATTCCTGTTCCACCAAGGCCGGCCCTTCACTCCCCACATCTGCTGGAGGGCTGAACTCCTGCTTCTAAGATTCCTGGGAAGTCTTCCCCTCTGTCTAGCTCTCCCTCCTTCTTTTGAGTTGCCAGCAGCCTCTCCTCTCAGGCAGGGGTGATGGAGACCCCTCCTGCATCCCCCACCATTCTCCCTACCTCCACCCCAGGGGATCTCTTGGCCTCATCCTCAAAAATCCCAGCAATGCAGTGGAAATTAAAGTTACCTTAAATATTCTAATCTTATAATAATTTTGCTTCAATCAACATCTAAATGTGACCACATGTGTCTAGACCACCCAGCAGCCTGGTTGGTGTGGGGGGACAGAAGACAGAGGGCTGCTCTCAGACATGGGCCTGGCTCTGGGGGGCTTCCTGGGAAGAGGTCTGCTGGTCTTTGGGTCCTTCCCTCAGCTTTCTCCAGGCCTGCCCACACTAGGCCATCCTTCCCCTCTTCGCCTTCCCTTAGACAGCCCAGGGAGCCCCAGGCCTTATACTCTCTCTCCCTAACAACTTGGCTGGGGGAGGCCGGGGGGCAGTGAGGCTCCACAGGCAATCGGAGGTCAGGGTTGGCTTCATAGGAGTCACACAAGTCTCCCCACTCCCGAGGGCCTGACTTAACACTCCCCTGGGTTGTCTTGGAATTCATAATAATTTCTGAACTAAGGGCTCCATGTTCATTTTGCACTGAGCCCCATAAAGTATATCCTGTTGGAGGGTTCCCCTGCACTCACACCTCTCTCTCTGTGAGTTCTCCCCACCCTGTACTCACAGTCAATACCCAGTCAAGGCTGGGTTCAGTGGCTCACATCTGTAATCCCAGCACTTTGGGAAGGGAAGGTAGAAGGATCACTTCAGTCCAGGAGTTTGAGACCAGCCTGGGCAACAAAGTGAGACTCTGTCTCTACAAAAAATTAGTCCCAGCTATGGGGCAGGAGGACCACTTGAGCCCGGAGGGTTGAGGCTGCAGTGGGCTGGGATCACACCACTGCCCTCCAGGCTGGGCAACAGAGCGAGACCCTGTCTCTAAAAAAATAATAAAATAAAAATTAAAAACATTTATTTATTTATTTATTTATTTTTGAGATGAAGTTTCACTCTTGTCACCCAGGCCGGAGTGCAATGGCGTGATCTCAGCTCACTGCAACCTCTGCCTCCCGGGTTCAAGCGATTCTTCTGCCTCAGCCTCCTGAGTAGCTGGGAATACAGGTGTGTGCCACCACGCCCAGCAAATTTTTGTATTTTTAATAGAGACAGGGTTTTGCCATGTTGGGCAGGTTGGTCTCAAACCCCTGACCTCAGGTGATCCACCCGCCTTGCCCTCCCAAAGTGCTGGGATTCCAGGCGTGAGCCACTGCACCCAGCCAATAAACATTTATTGAGCACCTACTTTGTGCTGACAAGCTGTGCCAGATGCTTGGGGCTACAGTGAGGAACAACATAGACATGCCCTGATTTCATAAACTTACCCTCCTTACACATTCAGACATTCATCTATCCATCCATGCAGTGGTTTTGCAAGATGTTCCCCAATAACAATCAAGCTAATCATAACTGCCAGTTAGGGAATACTCATCATATGCCATGAAATTTATATATATTATCTTGTTTCATCCTTAAAACAGCCAGCAAGGGAGGCATTATGATTCCCATTTTCCAGATGAAAAAAACTGAGGCTCAAAGGTCAAATCATTTGTCCAGTGTCACATAGCTAATAACTAGAAGAGCCAGGACTTGTCCTATTTCCTCATTTTCAATCTCTCCCCCCGACCCCACATTGCATTCAGCTGCTTCCCCATGGGCAGAAGCTCCCAGCAGGTAGGGCTGAAGTCTAGGTCAGCTCCACGTCCCCGGCCCCTAACACAGAGCTACATTTTTGTTAAATGAAAGAATTCAGGCCAGGTGCAGTGGCTCATGCCTGTAATCCCAGCACTTTGGGAAGCCGAGGAGGGTGGATCACGAGGTCAGGAGTTCAAGACCAGCCTGGCCAAGATGGTGAAACCCCATCTCTACTAAAAATACAAAAATTAGCCGGGCATGGTGGCAGGCACCTGTACAGCTACTTGGGGGTGCTGAGGCAAAGAATTGCTTGAATCTGGAAGGCAGAGGTTGCAATGAGCTGAGATCACGCCACTGCATTCCAGCGTGGGTAACAGAGCAGGACTCCATCTCAAAAATAAATAAATAAATAAATAATTTGGCTGGGCGCGGTGGCTCATGCCTGTAATCCCAGCACTTTGGGAGGCCAAGGCGGGTGGATCACTTGAGGTCAGGAGTTCAAGACCAGCCTGGTCAACATGGTGAAACCCCATCTCTACTAAAAAAAATACAAAAATTGAGGCGGGGCACAGTGGCTCATGCCTGTAATCCCAGCACTTTGGGAGGCTTAGGCAAACAGATCATGAGTTCAGAAGTTCGAGACCTGGCCTGGCCTGGCCAATATGGTGAAACCCCCATCTCTACTAAAAATACAAAAATTAGCCAGGCATGGTGATGCATGCCTGTAGTCCCAACTACTCAGGAGGCTGACACAGAAGAATCGCTTGAACCCGGGAGGCGGAGTGTGCAGTGAGCCGAGATCGTGCCACTGCACTCCAGCCTGGGCAACAGAGCAAGACTCCATCTCAAAAAACAAAACAAAACACAAAAATTAGCTTGGCGTGGTGGCATACGCCTGTAGTTCCACCTACTTAGGAAGCTGAGGCAGGAGAATCGCTTGAACCTGGGAGGCGGAGGTTGCAGTGAGCCGAGATTGCGGCACCACAGCACTTCAGCAGCATGGGTGACAGAGCGAGACTCTGTCTCAAAAAAAAAAAAAAAAAAAGAATTCACACACAGACACAGTCCCTAAGGAACATCAGGAAACAGGCAGACACTGAAACACAAAAACATACATACATAATGTGTAATGTACTGGATAAGAGCTTTGTGTTCAAGTCCTGACTATCTGGGTTCAAGTGCTGAATCCACGGTGTTACTAGCTGTGCTCCTTAGTCTCCTCATCTGCAGATAGTAGTAGGGCTGTGGTGAAGGCTAAATGAGAAATACATGTGAAGTACTGGCATATCACATGACTAGCGCTGGCACATGGCCACTCTGCAATAAAGATTAGCTATTGCTATGACTAACATTCATCCACATTCACTGGCAAATGTCCTCCTGCCCATGCGCACCACCCTCCCACCCCTCCTCTAGCCTAGCTCAGTCATAGATGCCCTCATGGTTGACAGTCCAGGCTCCCAGAGCCAAGAGGAAAGAGCAACTGCTTCTCTGCATCCCCTGGGCTGTACCTGAGCCAGCCCATGTGAGCTCCTCACCAGCTCTGGGTTCCATCAGAGATGGCTTCCTGGAGGAGGCCTGGACCCAAGGTGGGTGAGGGAGCCAGGGCAAAGCAGGAGAGTGCTACTCTGTGTCCTGGCTACCTCCATTGTTCTTTACAACACCCTCTCCCCCAACCTCTGCTGCAGCGGCCTCCCTCCCCCCACTCCCCCTTCCCACAGTAGAAATTTTCCTCTCTCCCCCTGCCAGAGTGTAAATTGCCCCCAGGAATGCAGTGAGTCCCACCGCTCCCCTGGCAGTGGCCGGCGGCTGTCCTGGGGTCAGGCCTGGCCCTACATCAAAGGCTGGGGATCAGTAACAGCAGCTCCTTGCCTGCCACCAGCCTCCCCTCCTCTCTCCTACCCTCCCACCGGCCCTTTGGCTTCCAAAACACAGCACATGGTAGCACTTAAGCTCTGGGAGGGCATTTTTCCTGCACCCCCACCACCTACTAGCCACAATGAACTACTTGTTAGGAGACTATTTTAATTTTACTGAATGCAATTTCTGCTCCTGAGGCTTCTGTTGCCACCCGCTTCTTGGCCTTGGATGCCCAGTACAAATGTAGGGGAGGCCAACCCCCTAGGAGAAGGTGAAACCTGAATATGGAAATTTCACTGGTGTTGGAGGTCTGGGGCAGAAAGGGACAGTGTTACATCAGGGGAATGGGGCTGGTGCTCTGGCCTCCACTCAGGAAGTAAGGGGGGTTGATTAGGGGAGGGCTCAGAGGTAGCTTGTACACAACTCAGGAGGCCAGCATGGGAGTTTGAAGTATGTATGCGGCCAGACATCCTTGGCCAACGCTCTCTTCTAATGTTCTGGCTCCAGCAGGCAGGCGCTTAGCCTGGCAGCTATATGTAAGCTTTGCTTTCAGGTCCTGTAGGGGTGGCTGGAGGAGGGGGAGCACTCTCAGCCTCCGGTCAGCCTCTAAGATTTGCTCCATCAGGTGCATCTTCTAGCAAATTCTGAAAACCAGGGGTCCGGTGGTCACTCTCTGGGACAGTACAGTGGTGATTTGGAGACCCCTGGTGGCCAAAGGCTGAAGACCGAGACCTTTCCTTAGAGCTCCACCCAGCCAGCCCCAGGCCCAAAGGCCACCAGCATCAACCCTCCATCTCCAGAACTCTGCCATGAGTCAGACTACCCAAAAATTCTTGTTAGTCAGCCTCTCCCATATAGCCAGGCTCACCTGCCCCATCTTGTTGGGAGGGAATGGCCTAGCTTAGGGGGCTGTCTCAGCCTCACAGTCATAGTAAGAGAGGAATGTGTAATCTACAACCAATCAATGACATGGGTGGGGACCAGGAAGTTAGTTTCCTGGGGATTGCATGTTCCAAATACTTCTGCAGTCCCCAGCTCTTTCTTTCCCTCAGCCCCAATCGTGGGGCTGTAACTGGGAAAAGTCACTAAGGGAGCTTTGTTTCCACAGTTCCCTAATCCTGTAATGTTGCCCAAGTTTAACATTGGGAAAGGAAATATCCAAAACGTCACGACATACAAACCGCTGCTCAAAAGTAGGCTGTGGTACCCGGAGGAGAGGAAGGGCCGAGGGTCCCCCTGGAGAAGGGAAAGGGCGGTGTAGCTTTTTTTGGCAGGGTTCAGACACTACATAAAGCTTTCCACATCTGGGCCCCAACATTCATTCCCTTATTCATTCATTCAGACTCTGGTGTGACTGGACTGAGACCCACACTAAGTGCTAAGGACACAGTTAACCAAAATTGAATCACTGCCCTGGGACCCCAAATTATAATATGGAGGGGGACATAAAGAGGCTCAGAGGATGTTCCTATATTTGGGGACACGAAACTGACCATCCCTCTTTGGTGGCCTAATCCAGCTAGAGCCGGTAAGTCCTTGCAAACTGCCCTTCTCAGTGGTGTCTCAAAACCCTGGTCCTACCCTTGCACAACCAAAACACATCTCAAGCACAATGCATCTAAAACTGGCTCCCCCCATCTCAGGCCTGCACACATACTTTAGGGAAGGCCTGGGACCCCATTTCCCTCCAACAACCTGAGTGTCTAGACCTCAGGGCCTTAGGCTATCCCCAAGCAGTGCTACCAAATACAGCCTGACACAATCTCTGCTTCCTCCTTTTAAGATCTATCCCAAGCTCTCTAAGCCTGGGAGAGGGAGCTGTGGCCTGTTCCCTTTTTCCCCCATAGTGTTAACCAGGCAGTAAAAGAATCTTCATTAAGAGCATGGGTTTTGCCCTTTGGCCCAGCTTTGAACCCTAACTTTTCCACTTACTCACCATATGACCTGGGCAACTTATGGCCTCCACTCTAAAAATGGAATTCTTGTGAGCTGGCCAATGCATGCAAAGTGTTCAGTAGTGTCTTTCAAGTGGTAAGCACTCAACAAATAGCACCCCAACAACAGGGTTTATATGGCCTTTCTAGCCAGACCTTCCAACTTGGTGGCCAAGTGCCCAGGATAGTTCATTTTAGGTATGTCTGGAATAATGGTCTGCTTCTAGATTTTGCTGCACACACTAGAGCCAAAAGCGACTCTGAAGGGGCTTCAGTTGCTTATACTGGCTCCCAGGTTTCCCAGACACTCTCGTCTGTGGAGAGAAGCCACTGCTAAACCAAGTCAAAGAAAGACAGGGCCCATGAACCTACCTGGTCTCCTCACACCATTGTAACAAAACACCTGGGGATAAGCAGAAAGAAAACAGGACATGATTGGGATTTCACTCAAGAATGTGTCTTTATTGAAGAATTTGTAAGAAAAAAGGATGTACCCTCTGTAAAAAGAGGAGATGTTGCCTCCAACAGCAGGGAGGAATGAGACCTGGGTGGCTTCCCAGAAGTCAGTGTTTCCGGCATGACTGGCTCCTTTCCTGGCAAACACTACAATGTGTCACACTACAGCTAGCAATTCCTCCCCACTCCCTCCCAGCCCTTCCTCCCTCCACCCCACAACCCTATAGCCATTTGAGGCAAATGGCTTTCTAAAGGCCCAGGGATAGATGTGCCAGGCTTGCCTCTTAATGGGGTCAAAGTGAGTTTTGCTTTGGAAAAATTCAAACAGGAATGTAAAATGGTTTGAGCTCTTTCTAGTCCAACCAAAGGTGATTACATCCAGCCCCTCTCAAGGGAATGGGGGCAGAGACTGTCGCTCCTGAATGTGCACACATGGGGTAAATGGACTATATCGCAGTCTGCTCTTTATTTGAATGGAGAATGGAAACAGGTTATAAGAATATATAACATCCATGTTCAAGAGTCACTGAGTTCTGGAGGGCAGAGGGAGCACAGAGGCCTGCTGATTCCAACAGTGCTCCTGATGGCTATCCTCGAGTTGTAGGGATGGTTATTCCTCTCCAGCTGGAAGATTGTCCTCAATCCGCCTGATGAATCTCATCCGGATTTCTGTCACACCGTCTCCTTTCAGGGTGTCCTGGACAAACTTGGCCTCCACAGCCATCTGGACCTGGGGGACAGTGGGAAAACGAAGGGGTAGCTGCCTGGCCACAGCCTCTAGGGAACCAGTGGGGATGGGGCATAACTGACTCATCCACAGCATCCAAAAAAGGGGGGCTGGTTTCCCACAAGGACAAGATTGACAGCGCCAACATTCTGTTGCATAAGACAATGGCTCCAACCCTTAAGGAGAAACTTAGCAAAGAATACCCAAGAATGAGACTGTCACCAAATAAGCCTATCTGAGAATGGATGTTCCTGGGCTTTGGGGACTGACAGCACCACCTTCCACCAGCCTGGTATGGAGGAGTATCACCATGTAAAGATGTCCGACTTGGATCCTACCTCAGCAGCATCACCATCTCAGGCAGTAAAGCGCTGGGGTGAGCCAAAGCCCTTTCTTTTCTCTCTTTCATTCATTTAAACACTTATCAAGTCCCTATTGCATTTCGGGTGTCCCAGAAGATAAAGAGTTGCACTCACCATCTCCAAAGCTCCCCGCAACACCCCACACAAGAGATTGGAATAAATAAGGGATGAGTGGTTATCAGGAAGTTCCACAAAGTCCACCAAGGGGTTATTTTCCAAAATGAGGGAGAATTCATCACCAGCTGGGCTCCAATTAGTAATGCTTGGAGTGATGCCCAAGTACATCTTGAACGCCACCTGTCAGGGGACACACAACAGCACTTTGGGGAAGAGCAGCAGGAACTGTACCACAGGGAAGGTGACAGAACTGGCAAAGGGGAATTAAGTGGCTCAGGAACAAACCTGTGGCCTCTGCAAGATGACACTTCAGATACTCAGGACAACAAAGGAGAAGCATCTGTACATGATGCTGCACCCCTCTCCTTCACGGCATCATACAGTTTTGCCTGTCGCTTTGTTTTGTTTTGTTTTCCCAGAAACATTTTTCTTTCCTAGGCATCATACAAGTAAGCAACAACTCACTCACTGTGTGCTTGTACTTCTCAGTGGAAGGGAGCACTAGTCTTTCGACACGGTGGCTGCCTGAGTGCAGAGGCCCTAACCCACTTCTCTGTCCTCTGTCTGTGCTACCTGAATGCACCTTCTTGAAAGTGAATACACATTACTGGGCAGAGAAAAAGTCCTACCCTATCCACCCTCCTAATTCCAAACTCTCACAAAGCTCCCTCCACTGTCAATCCTCTTTAGGATTTGGGTATGACCAGCAAGCTTACAACAGAAAGACCAACTTTTAAGTAACTGACACCACAAAGTTATGGGTGCTATGTCATTTATTAATACTATAACAGATAGCACTAATACTAGTAATAGTAAACATTTACTATATGCACAACACTATGCTAAACACTAGCATTTTACCTAAATGTTCATGTCCATTATTCATTTACTCCTTAAAACAGCCCTGGGGGTAGCTCTTATTTTCTTCATGTTAAAGATGAGGTAACTGGTGCCGGGCACAGTGGCTCACGCTTGTAATCCCAGCACTTTGGGAGGCCGAGGTGGGCAGATCACCTGAGGTGGGGAGTTCAAGACCAGCCTGACCAACATGGAGAAACCCCATCTCTACTAAAAATACAAAATTAAAATTAGCCGGGCATGGTGGTGCATGCCTGTAATCGCAGCTACTCGGGAGGCTGAGGCAGAAGAATCATTTGAACCCGGGGGGCGGAGGTTGTGGTGAGCCGAGATCACACCATTGCATTCTAGCCTGGGCAACAAGAGTGAGACTCCATCTCAAAAAAAAGAAAAAAAGAAAAAAAAAAAAAGATGAGGTCACTGGTAATTAAAGAAATTTAAAGTAACTTATCTAAAAACACAAAACTAGTAAGTACTGGAGCCAGGTTTGTGAGTCTGTATTTTTTTTTTTTTTTTTTTTGAGATGGAGTCTTGCTCTGTTACCCAGGATGGAATGCAGTGATGTGATCTCGGCTCACTGCAACCTCCGCCTCCTGGGTTCAAGCAATTCTCTGCCTCAGCCTCCTGAGTACCTGGGATTACAGGTGCCCGCCACCACGCCCAGCAAACTTTTGTATTTTTAGTAGAGATGGGGTTTCACCATCTTGGCCAGGCTGGTCTTGAACTCCTGATCTTGTGTTCCACCCGCCTGGGCCTCCCAAAGTGCTAGGATTACAGATGTGAGCCACCACGCCCGACCGAGTCTGTATTCTTTACCCCCATGCTACTCTGCTACACCTTCACAGTGGAAAAGCTCAGGCTTTGATTTCAGTGGGGCTTTAATCCACAGGGATTAAATAATCTATGCTATTCCCTAACGACCTGGAATGTTTTTTTGACCCAAAGAGCTGCCTAGCCAGTCTTTTGGGAGATTAAAGGCCTCTCTAAGGGAGATAGAAAGAGTGGTAAGCAGTGCCTCTCAGCAGCAATTCTTCAGCATGGACAGGTGGCCCAGAATAATGACCTTGGCAATGACATCCGCAGTTTCCCGAAAGTCATGGCACCTCCCAACATTTGACCGAGCCAAGAAATCTTCAATCAGCCGGACTCCAATGTTAAAGCCCCTGGGAAGGAAGTTAGAGAAGAGACTATGATGGAGTCTAAATGTCTTATGTTTGAACATAAGGTTGTTGGTGGTAAAGGGAAAATGGGGATAATCTCAAAAACATCCCAGTAAATGAGTTTAGTGAGAAATGTACCCAAAATGTTGGCTAAGAAAGAGAGAGAACCCTGTTTTAAGCTCTAAAGGACAATGTAGACTCAGTGTGCTGGGAGGCCCCATTTCTGTCTCTCCTATGAAGGAGCTCACTCACATTTTGTCCAGCTGTTTATTCACATCTTCATCATTTTCATAGTCCTTACATAGCTGGGTGACCAGGGCACCATAGGTCAGGGTGAAGAGCTCAGAGCTCTAAAAGAGATTCAAAAGGCAGTCAGGACCAAGCAGCACAAAAGAGAAAGCGTGGTGAGAGTCTGGACCAGCCTTGATGCAACTGTCAGGATTCCCTCTAACTGTGTCTGGAGGGAAAGAACATCATCCCCTTTGGAGGAGCCAGGAAATTTGGCCTGCAAGGTCAAAGCAGCAGGGCTGCAGCCAGAACTACTGCAAAATGGGCTGTAAAAGGCACCTCATGCACTAAGCAATCACTCTTCCAACACACCAAGGTAGGCTTCTGCCAACCCAAGTCTCCACCACAGCTGTCAAGCCTAAGATCAGGTCACCAGAATCTGGTATGGGAGCAACGGTCATTCACTAGATGCTGTGAAACACCTGAAACAGACATTTACAAACTAATCTCTGTTGCTGGCAGGTGTGACCAATGGTTTCCACATGTCTTAGAATGTCCTGGCCTAGAGTAAACTGTACTCCCAAGGCCCCTCCCAGAAGCAACAGAGGACCCAGGGGCCCAGTCCATGGGGAAGGAAGGAAGTCCCAGACCAAGTTCATTGCACTGATGACAACCCCTTTCCAAAGTCACCAGCATGGGAGAAAATAATGTTCCTCTTAACTCACAGCCAAAATATTTCCAGGAAAAGAGGTGACTCTTCAGAATCAACTGGTTTCTATTACAATAGCAGTTAAAATCACAGAAACTCCTTCTCACATAAAGAATTCTGGGGCCAGGAGCAGTGACTCATGCCTGTAATCCCAGCACTTTGGGAGGGCAAGGCGGGTGGATCACCTGAGGTCAGGGGTTTGAGACCAACCTGGCCAACATGGCAAAACCCTGTCTCTACTAAAAATACAAAAAATTTGCTGGGCATGGTGGCGGGTGCCTGTAGTCCCAGCTACTCAGGAGGCTGAGGCAGGAGAATGGCATGAACCCGGGAGGCGGAGCTTGCAGTGAGCCGAGATCGTGCCACTGCACTCCAGCCTGGGCGACAGAGCAAGACTCTGTCAAAAAAAAAAGAAGAATTCTGTCACTTATCTACCAAGAAATTGATGTAAAAGGTGAAATGAGTGACAAATACCAAGACTGAAGAATGAAAGCAGCAGGCAGGGGGAAAGGCATTATCAGGGTTAAAGTGAGAAACATATTAACAGCACATCTGGACCAATGAATTAACTCAGAAATAAGGCTGAAAAATCAGGATAACCACCCACACTCTTCCTTCTGAATGGAGATTTGTCAGATTTGAAGCAAAGAACCTTCCTCTCTTCAAGTTTTCTGGGGAAGAAAGTCTAAGAAATGTAAAAGCCCAGGCTCTGAGGACCCAATGCTCCTCACGCCATCCCCATGGCCTGATGATGGGGGCACTACAAGAATAATAATTTGAATGCCTTTTGCTTAAATACTGCGTTCTACTTGTATCTCATTATCTATCCCATGATAACACAGTAATCCAGGAAAGGCAGGAATTAACCCCACTTTAGAGATGAGGAAACTGAGACCCAGAATGGTTAAAGAATGTGCCCAAGGAGGCTGGGCGCGGTGGCTCACGCCTGTAATCCCAGCACTTTGGAAGTCCGAGGCGGGCGGATCACAAGGTCAAGAGATTGAGACCATCCTGGCTAACACGGTGAAACCCCGTCTCTACTAAAAATACAAAAATTAGCTGGGTGTGGTGGCGCGTGCCTGTAATCCCAGCTACTCAGGAGGCTAAGGCAGGAGAATCGCTAGAACCCGGGAGGAGGAGGTTGCAGTGAGCCAAGATCACGCCACTGCACTCCAGCCTGGGCAACAGAGCAAGATTCCGTCTCCAAAAAAAAAAAAAAAAAAAAAAAAAGAACGTGCCCAAGGACAAACAGCTAATTATTGACAAAAGTAATTTGGGGAGAAAAAAAATCAAAGGTTTCCAAGCCAATGGTCAACCTATCCACTCTTCCCCACAACTGTAGTATTAATAAGCCCTCCTCAATAAAAACAAAAACAGAAGAAAAAAAATACCCAAAAAACTTAGCTGCACTAGAGTCAAAGAAAGTCAGTTTCAGGATCAGGAGGCCCTTTGAACTCAAATAAACAGTCAGATCAGTGTCTCCAAGAGACTATTTACCAAATATGGCAATTAAGGGGAAGCTGTTAAGGAGGGGAACGATTTTTTTAGTAAAGTCAAGGGCTTGGCACTAGAATGGTTTGAGCATGAATGGATGGAAACAATCCAGCAGTTACCAGTCCAGAGAATTGGCACCACTGCATTAAATCAGGAGAGCTTTCATTCCATTATTAATGAGCCCTTGGATGGAGACTCCAAGAGCCTCAGGCCACCATGATGCCAAGTAACAAGCAAATCATGATGTTATCAAGCACCTTATACATGCAGCTACCTCCTATTTACCAATAAGAACAATCAAGGTCCTGGACAGATCTGTTGGTGGTCATGGAATCCATATACCTGGGATCTCGGAATGGGATCCCTGAGTTAGGCTCTCCATACCCTCTCTTGATTTGCAAGTCTATCTTCATCTTCAATTACGAACCAAGCCTCTGTGGAACTGTGAGTGACATAAATGTATAACTTAAAGGCCTTTATGCTTTAAAAATAGAAGGGATGGCCAGGTGCAGTGGCTCATACTGGTAATCCCGGCACTTTGGGAGGCTGAGGCAGAAGGATCACTCGAGCCCAGGAATTTGAGACCAGCCTGGGCAAACACTGAGACCCCCAACTTTACAAAAAAATTTTAAAAATCAGCCAGGCATGGTGGTGGATGCCTATAGTCCCAGCTACTTGGGAGGCTGAGGCGGGAGGATGGCTTGAGCCTGGGATGTCAAGCCTGCAGTGAACTGTAATTGTACCACTGTACTCCCGCCTAGGTAGAAGAGTGAGACTCTGTCTCAAAAAATACAAATAAATATAAATATAAACAAATAAAATAGGAATGGGCTATAGTATAATGAAAACAAATCACTGATTCAACATTTACTGTGTGCCAGGCTATCTAACAGGAGGGGGAGAGACAATACAGCCAAATGAAATACATGATTTGCCAGATGGTGATAGGTGCTATGGAGAAAAATAAAGCACAAAAACAGATTGGGGGCATTTACGTGTGTGTGTTGGGGGGGTGGTTAATTTTAATCGAATAATCAGGGAAGGCCTCACTAAGGTGATATTTGGTAAGCCATGAAGATATCTGGATAGATAGCTGGTCTAGAAAAAATTCTAGGCACTAATTCTAAAGATCCTGAGGTACAAGTATGCCTGGTGTGTTTGAGAAACAGCGGGAGACTCTTGGCCTTAGAGAGGAGTAAGCAAGAGAGAACAGAAAAGGAAATCAGATAAGTGACGGGAGGTTGCAGAGTCTGAAGACCTGGGTTTTCAGCCCTTGTGACTTTTAAAACAAAAGTTCTCATGGGATCATAAAGGTCATAAAGGTCAACCAGCCCAATCTCTTCACTGAACATAAGCACCACATCTCCGCTACCACCAGAAACATGAATCGCTTCTGCAACACATCTATTTTTGTAACAGTTTCTCATAACAACCACGAGAGGTTAGCAGAACAAATATTATTCATCCCCATTTTACAGATGACAGGTTAAGTAACTGAGACTCAACAGCCTACTTATAGTTGAGCATTATCCTGTAAAAAGCTTTGTTATCCTAAGCCACTGCTTAATCTTCCTGAACATTAGTTTTTCCCATCTGTAAAATGGTGACAATGTTACCTGCCTTTCAGAGTTACTGTGTAATTCCAATGAAATTCCAATCAGATAATGTTTGTGGAGCACCTGCTGCACAGCAGGTACTCAAGAAATACATACTTATTTTTATTCTTAAACTGGTTCCATGTGGTGTGGTGCTAGATCACACCCTGAACTAGGTTCAAGGAGGGCAAGTACAGCACTTTGGGAGGCCGAGGCGGGCGGATCACCTGAGGTCAGGAGTTCAAGACGAGCCTGGCCAACATGGTGAAACCCCGTCTCTACTAAAAATACAAAAATTAGCTGGGCGTGGTACTAGGTGCCTGTAATCCCAGCTACTTGGGAGGCTGTGGCAGGAGAATTGCTTGAACCCAGGAGGCGGAGGTTGCGGTAAGCCAAGATCATGCCACCGCACTCCAGGCTGGGAGACAAGAGCGAAACCCTGTCTCCAAAAAAAAAAAAAAAAAAAAGGGAGGGCAAGTCATAAAGAAAGAAGATTTTGAATCAATATAAACAACTTTCTGGCTGGGCATGGTGGCTCATGCCTATAATCCCAGCACTTTGGGAGGCGGAGGCAGGGGTCGGAAGTGGTCACCTGAGCCCAGGAGTTTGAGACTAGCCTAGGAAACACATTGAGACCCCATCTTTATAAAAAATAGAACAAATTAGCTGGGCATGGTGGTACATGCCTGTAGTCCCAGCTACTCAGGAGGCTAAGGTGAGAGGATGGCTCGAGCCTGAGAAGTCAAGGCTGCAGTGAATTGTGATTACACCACTGCATTCCAGCCTGGACAACACAGCAAGATCCTGAAAGCCTGATTCTGAGTCTGGACTTGCTGCTTAACAGCTGTGAGTACTTAGGTAAATCAATTCACTGGGCTAAGCCTCAATCTTCTAACTCAAAAAAAGTAACAGTAAAACAGTAAAATCTGTCATGCCATTCACAGGGTTGTTGGTAGGATCTAGTAAGATAATGGACTTGAATGTGCTTTGCAGACAAGAAACCACAGGATTTATAGCAGCTATGCTAACATGATCTCCAAGTACTTCAGGCACAACCTGAACAAAGTAAATGAAACCAGCTCTACACTCAGGTGAGACACCACTTGACAGTTTTCAGGAGGCCTTTCTTCCCGTTAGTGCCCCAAACAAAATGTCAAATCTCCTTAAGGAGGCTGATCTTTTTTTTCTTTTTTTTTTGAGACGGAGTCTCGCTCTGTCGCCCAGGATGAAGTGCAGTAGCGCAATCTTGGCTCACTGCAAGCTCTGCCTCCCGGGTTCCTGCCATTCTCCTGCCTTGGCCTCCCGAGTAGCTGGGACTACAGGCGCCCGCCACCACACCCGGCTAATTTTTTGTATTTTTTTTCTTTTAGTAGAGACGGGGTTTCACCGTGTTAGCCAGGATGGTCTCCATCTCCCGACCCTGTGATCCACCCGCCTCCACCTCCCAAAGTGCAGGGATTACAGGTGTGAGCCACCATGCCTGGCCAGGAGGCTGATCTTTAGAGCCAATGCTCCAAGACTCATACTATTTTTGTCAAAATAGGTAATCCAGTGTGAATCCCCTCTAGCAGCTGGAGGAGGATCAATAGCAAGACTAAATCCAGCCAACTCTCTTACCCTCCAGCCTTTTGTCATGGAGACTCCAAGTGCTACTACGTAAGTAATGGCTCACCTGAGCTCAGGGGAATAGACACTGGGTTGGGTCACAGTAAGCCAACGCAAGAGAAGGGCAGGTCTCATTGTCCATGGGATTCCAGAGCCAACCCCCGTACAGGCACATGAAGGCTACTAGCTTTACTAATAACACATCTAGAGGACACTTACTGGGTGTCAACTGTGTTCTAAGTGCACCGTTACACTGCTAGCTTTACATGCATTCTCTCAATTAATCCTCAGAACAACCCTATAATATAGGTACTATTATTACTTCATTTTTTTATTTTTGTTTTGAGACAGAGTCTCGCACTGTCGCCCAGGCTGGAGTGCAGTAGCGCGATCTCGGCTCACTGCAAGCTCCGCCTCTCGGGTTCACGCTATTCTCCTGCCTCAGCCTCCCGAGTAGCTGGGACTACAGGCGGCCGCCACCACGCCCGGCTAACTTTTTTTTTTGTATTTTTAGTAGAGACAGGGTTTCACCGTGTTAGCCAGGATGGTCTCGATCTCCTGACCTCGTGATCCACCCGCCCTGGCCTCCCAAAGTGCTGGGATTACAGGCGTGAGCCACAGCACCCGGCCTTTTTATTTTATTTATTATTTTGAGATGGAGTGTTGCTATCGCCAGGCGGGAGTGCCGTGGTGCCATTTCAGCTCACTGCAACCTCCACCTCCCGGGTTCAAGCGATTCTCCTGCCTCAGCCTCCTGAGTAGCTGGGACTACAGGTGTGCACCACCACACCCAGCTAATTTTTGTATTTTTAGTAGAGATGGGGTTTCACCATGTTGGCCAGGATGGTCTCTCTTTTTTTTTTTTTTGAGATGGAGTCTCACTCTGTCACCCAGGCTGGAGTGCAGTGGTGCAATCTCAGCTCACTGCAAGCTCCGCCTCCCGGGTTCAGGCCATTCTCCTGCCTCAGCCTCCTGAGTAGCTGGGACTACAGACGCCCGCCACCGCGACCGGCTAATTTTTTGTATTTTTAGTAGAGACGGGGTTTCACCCTGGTCTCCATCTCCTGACCTCGTGATCTGCCCGCCTTGGCCTCCCAAAGTGCTGGGATTACAGGCATGAGCCACCGCACCCAGCCTACTTCATTAAAAAAAAAAAAAAAAAAAAAAAAGATGATTAAGCTGATGCTA
The DNA here is from genome assembly GCF_000001405.40 of Homo sapiens. Lineage (NCBI taxonomy): Eukaryota > Metazoa > Chordata > Mammalia > Primates > Hominidae > Homo > Homo sapiens. The sequence continues at coordinate 36,146,636 of NC_000001.11, forward strand.
GAACAATGAACAAACTTGCCCAAGGTAACACAGCAAGTAAGTGGTGAAACTAGAACTCAGGTGCAGGCGGTACTACACCTCTGTATGGCAAACATTTCTTTTTATTTTTCCACTGCTAGAAGATACACAGTATATATGGTATACATTTCTGTCTCCCTCACAGAGTATGTGCTTCTCAAAGTTAGGGACTAGGACTTCATCCTTGCATCTCCCACAGCATCTAGCACAGAGCTCTGCATATAGTTGGGGCTAAAGAAAAGTTTATTGGACAAAAGGGCTGTTTCTGTTTGCACAGACTAAAATCTAGTTACTTGGGCATACTAACAATTTAGATGGCTCTTGAGCCGTTTGCTTGAGCCTGCTCCTGCTATGTGGAGTGTACTTTCATTTCAATAAATCTGTGCTTTTGGTGCTTCAAGAAACAAAAAATGAAGGCTGGGTGCAGTGGCTCATACCTGTAATCCCAGCACTTTGAGAGGCTGAGGTGGGGAGATCACTTGAGGTCAGGAGTTTGAGACCAACCTGGGAATACAAAAATTAGCCAGCCGTAGTGGTTGGGTGCCTGTAATCCTAGCTACTCGGGAGGCTGAGGCAGGAGAATCTTTTGAACCTGGGAGGTGGAGGCTGCAGTGAGCTGAGATCGGGCCACTGCACTCCAGCCTAGGTGACAGAGCGAGACTCTGTCTCAAAACACAAAACAAAACAATTTAGGTCTTGGCAAGCTTAAATGGAACACAGATGCAATCCCAGTAATTTGTGAAGCAGAGTTGGAGGGACTGCTTGAGCCCAGGAGTTCGAGACCTCGAGACCAACCTGGGCAACACAGGGAGACCCCTAGCTCTACAAAAAAAAAAAAAAATTAGCCAGGCATGGTGGTGCACACCTATAGTACCAGCTACTTGGGAGGCTGAGGCGGGAGGACTGCTTGAACTCGGGAGGTCAGGCTGGATGAGCCTCAATCATGCCACTACACTCCAGCCTGGGTATATCATTTAAAATTAAATAGACAGTGCTATGAAGACAACCAGCATAGAGTTAGAGGTTAGAGAATTAGGCAGGTAATCAGGAGGGAAGGCCTCTCAAAGGAGGTGACATTTGAGTAACTATGAATGAAGGCAGGAGTGGGCTAAGTGACTATCTAGAAGAAGGGAGTTCCAAGAGCCTTGAGGGCAGGAGTATGCTGCTGCCCCTCCCTAATTACCTTACTTCACTGAAACGAAGAATACTGGGGGCTGGGGGTAGAGTCTGCAGATTTTTGTTAAAGATTTCAATATTGATTTCAGGCTTAAAAAATGGATAAAATGAGAGCAAAGTACAAAAACTAACCAGGAAGACCTCTACTCATCTCATAGGAAAAGGAGAAAGAAACATTTACCATGCCCCTCACATTTTACACCATCCCATTTAATATTAGGTAGACATTACTATCCCCATTTTATAGATAAAGAAATTGAAGATCAATCAAGTAAGTCAGAATTCCAACCAAGGTCCATGTGTTTCCCCTTACCTGACATTGTTTCCTAACAAAATATTCTCGTCTTTTGGCCGGGTGTGGTGGCTCACCCCTGTAATCCCAGCACTTTGGGAGCCTGAACAGGCAGATCACTTAAGGCCACGAGTTCGAGACCAGGCTGGCCAACATGGTGAAACCCCGTCTCTACTAAAAATACAAAAATTGGTCAGGCGCAGTGGCTCACGCCTGTAATCCCAGCACTTTGGGAGGCCGAGACAGGCGGATCACCTGAGGTCAGGAGTTCGAGACCAGCCTGGCCAACATGGTGAAACCCCATCTCTACTAAAAATACAAAAATCAGCCAGGCGTGGTGGTGGACACCTGTAATCCCAGCTACTCGGGAGGCTGAGGCAGAAGAACTGCTTGAACCTGGGAGGCAGAGGTTGCAGTGAGCCAAGTTAGTGCCACTGCACTCCACCCCGGGTGACAGAGATTTCGTCTGGGGGCGGGGGGAGGGAGGGAAGAACGAAAGAAAAATGACCTAAGTCTGCAGCCCCAGCCCCTAGTCCAACTTTATAGGACCATATGGTGTCCAAACTATTCCCTGGGAAAGAAGGGAGCCACCCACTCCATTAGAGGGGCACCACTCACTGCTTACTCTGGCCCATCTCTTATTCCATTGAATAAAACGTTCCTTTCTGGCACGACCAGTATCTGAACATCTCTCACAATACCCACGCCACAGTACGAGACACTGTAGCCTAAGAGTAAAGCCTAACAGTCAGCTCCTAGCATTAGCTTTGGAGTTAAACACGGGTCCAAATCCTAACTTCCCAGGTGTAAATATGGGCAAATTACGTAAGCTCTCCAAGCTGTAAAACGGCAATGTTATCCATCTGATAGGGGCTACTCTGCAGATTAACTGAGATGCTGTAACGTGCGTGGCCCGGTGCCCAACACATAGTAAGAGAGAAGTTAAGTGGCAGTTATTGGTATTTATTACCGTCGTTGTTGTTGGCTTAGCACAGAGCTGCACTCAGGCCTTGGGGGCGGGGTCTCCTCCGGGGAACTTCTCCGACGGTCCCCTCACCTGCCTGGAACGCCCCCGGAGTGACCCAGCAAGAGGCTTCCCCTTGCCAGAGCTCACAGGAAGGCCCTTTTCCAAACGCACCTCGCGCTCGGCGCCGGGCCCCTTCCCTGTACGCCTCAATTTCGCCCCGCCCGCCGAGGTCACGCGCTCCAAGTTACCATTTTCTTGCTCTCGGTGCCACGGTTCGCCTGCCTCGACATGGTGCCGGCCGCCCCGCCCCACTCGCCTAGCCACGGGTTAGCTCGGCGACCCCTGCAGACGCCGGAGCCTAAGCCGCTGCCCCTCAGCCCACAAGACCGACCGGCACTGACTCACTGCGCCTGCGCGGCCTCCCGCGGGGCACCACGGGACTAGTGGTCCGGCCGACGTGGGCAACTCCCGCCCAACAAACGTCAGACTACAACACCCAACAGCCCCTTTGGCAGCACCGCCTCTTAACACAGTCAACTACAACTCCCGGAGTGCTCCGCGCGCGCCTGCCTGGTAGAGCCCAGCTTGCGCTGGGCAGCATCCTGGCCGCTGGGTGGCGTCCGCAGCCTTCGGTAATCCTGGGTCACACACACGCTTCCTCCTTGTCCCCCTCCCCCCGCGCCCGGCTCAGAGATGATGCTCCACAAATTCCTCTCTCGCCGGGGTTGGTCTTGGAAAGTCCCTCTTTCGAGCTAGCGTCTTCCGCTGTTGCGATTCAGCTCCAGAAGCTCCCAAGATGTCCCAGAAAACTAGCAATGACTCACACAGAATTGGCTTCTTCATTAGAAAAATATTTAATGACCTACTATGTGCCAAGCATTTCGCTAGTGTCTTTCTCTTCAGACTGCCAAACCCCAAATGATGCCAGCACCTGCCTTCTACCACCTGTGGCCTCGTGATGGAATATCCAGTCTTTTAGGTAAAGTTCAAGTCACTTTCTCCCCCTCCCTCCCCCTAGAACAGCTACACTGCCTGGTTCCCAGAAAACAAAGATCACTAACTGTCGTGGCCGTCAGTTCTGAGTTCTAATCCCAGCTTTGCCATTTTAGGCAAGTTGCTAAATCTCTCTCAGTTGTTGTAAAGACTGGTGAGCCACGCATGCCCAGCACTTGGGCGCATAAAAGGCATAAAAGAAACGTGTATTCCCTTCCAGCCACCCTCCAAAAACAAGCCAACAAACAGGCACCAGAAACACGAAGGGAATGTGCTGGCTGAACTCTCACCCATCACCAAGGGGAAGTCTATAGTCCCTGACCACAGCTCTTTGGTTTCAGCTCCCGCGGTCTCTCAGCTGGTCAACTCTGAGGAAGCTGGGCTGGGGGGTCCCTGAGCACTCTCTGTTCACTTAGGCCTGGTAGCCTGACTGTAGCAGCTGCATTCTGGCCCCTAGCCCTCACCATGACAACCAGCCTGTCCAGACACGAGCCAGCCAGGCTAGGGAGGGCTGGGGGGCCGCTGAGGCTGCAAGCTGGTGCCCAGGGTTCCCCCAGTCCCTCCCTCAGGGTGCAGGACCAATCATTATTATACCCTTTTCCCCAGACATTCTGTTTCCTCCCTAGAGGCAGTGACCCCTCACTCTCCATCCTGTGTAATGCCACAGGGGAGGGAGCCAAGGGCCGAGGGCTCTGGGAAGGAACTTGAGGGTTGGTTGGGGTTGGGGGAGGAAAGCAGGAGTCAACTAGCCCCCAAGGGCCAGCTCAGCTAGACAAGAGCCCTCTGCATTCCCAGGACAGAGGACAGCTGAGGTGAAAGCTGCAGTTGGCCAGCCGGTCTGTCGGTCTGGGCTCCTCCCTGCCGGCTGCCCTTGGCTGCCCACAGAAACCTGAGTCACACTCACAGCCAGCCACCCAACCCCACCCTGCCTGCTGTCAAGCAGGGCGGTTCTAGAGAGAGTGGAGGTGGAGCCTTTCCCTGCCTGTCCAACAGCCTCCGAGATTTTGCCTCTCTCTGCCTGGGATTCCTCCTCTTGGCGTCTCTTTCTCTTTGGGACTTGCAGTGTCATTAGTCCTGAATGAACAGTGGGGGTGGGGGCCATCTCAGGTTGATCTATATGATCCCCTCCTCACTCAGATAGGTTCTTAAAGGCTTCTTAGGCCGAGCACAGTGGCTCATGCCAGTAACCCCAGCACATTGGGAGGCAAAGGCAGGAGGAACACTTTAGCCCAGGAGTTTGAGACCAGCCTGGGCAACATAGTGAGACCCCCATCTCCATAAAAAATAATTTTTAAAAAGGCTGTTCTGTTATGAAATAGCCACTCTTTTGTTTATTTACTTTTTTAACAAAAATAAATAAAAATTAAAAAAAACAACAACCAGCTGAGCATTGTGGTGTGCACCTCTGGCCCCCAGCTACTAGGAAGGTTAAGGTGGGAAGATTGCTTGAGCCCAGGAGGTGGAGGGTGCAGTGAGCCATGTTTGCACTACTGCACTCCAGCCTGGGTGACAGAACTGAAACCTTGTCTCAAAACAACAACAACAACAACAAAACTCCTTAGACAGCTGTTCCAAGGATTCTCAGTATGGTTTCCATCATTCCCAAATCCCAACCCTCCTTACCACTTCTAGGTGCCAGGACATTTAGGAACACCAGATGTCCCCTCACCACCCTCTTCTCCTTCTCCCTAGAAAACAACACAAGGGATAGCTTTCTGTTCCTATCAGGGGCTCTAGACAAAGACTCTCTCCTGGGAACCCAAAGGGTTGAATCTATTTAGTCCTGTATCTGAGTTCCCCGCCTCCCCAAGAGCTGGACAGGGAGGGGCAGCTGGCATCACCAGCCACAGGGAGTGGGCCCTGGGAGCTGAGGCCCCCCAGGAAGGCCGGTGCTGGTTAGAGACCCCGTGTTGCTGCAGTCCCTTGAGGCTGGGGCAGTGCCTTGAGGCTGGGGTGGGAGTGAGAATGGGTGCCTATTCTCTCCTCTGCCCCCACTGTGAGGCCCCTCCCACTTCCTGCAGTAATTTGTGGGTGTGGGAGCAGCATCCAAGGCCTCAGTTCTGAGAGATTTGTTAATTTTCTTAACTCTCCCAGTGATTTCCTTCATCTCTCCATCAGGTTCATCCTGGATCCTGCCCCACCAAACTAGGAGGCTGAAAATATCCTTGCCTTTCTTCCCCTCGGGGAAACAGGATGGAAACATATTTCTTTTTCTTTTTTTTTTTTTTTTGTCCTCCTTTTTTTTTGAGAGAGTCTTGCTCCGTCGCCCAGGCTGGAGTGCAGTGGTGTGATCTTGGCTCACTGCAACCTCCGCCTCCCAGGTTCAAGTGATTCTCCTGCCTCAGCCTCCTGAGTAGCTGGGACTACAGGCATGTGCCACCATGCCTGGCTAATGTTTTTGTATTTTTAGTAGAGACTGGGTTTCGACATGTTGGCCAGGTTGGTCGTGAACTCCTGACCTCAGGTCATCTGCCCACCTCGGCCTCCCAGAGTGCTGGGATTACAGGTGTGAGCCACCCCCGCCTGGCCAAAAATTTCTTTAGTATACTCTTTTTTTAAAGATTTTTTTTACTATCTTTTCTCTCTTTTTTTAGACAGGGTCTCTGTCGTCCAGGCTGGAGTGCAGTGGCACAAACATGGCTCACTGCAGCCTTGACCTTCCGGGCTCAAGTGATCCTCCCACCTCAGCCTCCTGAGTAGTTCAGACTACAGGCACGCACCACGATGCCTGGCTAATTTTTTGTATTTTTGGTGGAGACAGGGTTTCGCCATGTTGCCCAGGCTGGTCTCGAACTCCTGAGCTCAAGTGATCTACCTGCACTGGCCTCCCAAAGTGCTGGGATTAGGCGTGAGCCACTGTGCCTGGCCAGGATAGGAACATATTTCTGATCCCCATTCTGTGGGCTTCCCCCAGCCCCAGCCCAACCTTGCGGTGAAAGGAACAGCTCACTCATGCCTGTTTCCGTGCAGAAGGAGGAGACTGCCCTGGGCCACGATCTCCTACTGCCCTGGTCCAGAGGTCCCTGTCGCTCGCCAAAGACTGCAGGGAATGCTGTTGGGACTTCAGCCTCTTATGTTAGGGTTTCAGCAAGTACCCTACTTGCTCCTTCTCTGGGATGTCTATTTGTGGTGCCCCATGCAGCGTTACCTAGCCCCAAACTCAGAGAGAGACACTCTTAACCCTCTTGGTTGCTGGGGCCTGGAATCTGCCAGGGATCCTGGCCAGTGAGGAGGAGAATGGAGAGGAGTCCACTTCCTCTGTCCACCAACTGCCTCAATCACGGAACACGGGTGCTCTCCAGGCCCCTCCTCAGCCATCCTCCGCACACTCCCTGTGGACTCATCAGCAGCACAGGAAACCTTCAGGTCTGGCCAGGAGAACTGTCGTTTAAGCTGCCTAACTCCCAGATGCTCTGCTGGTCTCCAGCACCAACATCTTGTGAGTGCCTCACCCTCAAGCTAGGGAAGGGTTCCTCAACCTTAGCACTACTGACATTTTGCACCTGAGAATTCCTTATTGTGAGGATGGTCCTACGCAATGTAGGATGGTAAACAGCATCCCTGGCTTCTACGCGGTAGCTGCCATGTTTAGAGACACACCCCCCGCCCACCGCCGTATGTCTCTAAACATGGCTAAATGTCTCCTGGGGGGCAAAATTGCCCTTGGTTGAGAACCCCCTGATGTAGGCTAATACCAGGGGCTCTTTTTAGTGAGCTCCCCACAGTCAATCCCAAAGACAATAGATTTCCAGTTCTAAAGTCTGCTCACCCTTCCTCTACTGAAAAACCCCATAATCTTCAACAGCTCCCCATGCTTGTTTCCAAGCATTTGGCATTCAAGTCCTCCTACGTGGGCTGTCCCTGGCCTATCTGTTCATTTTTAGCTGCCATTTCCACCTCCACTATTCCTTTTGTTTGTTTGGCTGTTTGTTTGTTTTGTTGTGGCAGGGTCTCATTCTGTTGCTCAGGCTGAAGTGCAGTGGCATGATCTTGGCTCACTGCAACCTCCGCCTCTGGGGTTCAAACGATTCTCCTGCCTCAGCCTCTGGAGTAGCTGGGATTACAGGCACCCACCACCACACCTGGCTAACTTTTGTATTTTTGGCAGAGACAGGGTTTCACCATGTTGGCCAGGCTGATCTCGAACTCCTGACTTCAAGGATCCTCCCACCTTGGCCTCCCAAATTGCTGGGATTACAGTGTGAGCCACCACAGCCAGCCACTAGTCTTGAGCCGTAGCCAATGTGGGTATCTCGCGACTCCCATCCATCCATCCATCCATCTCCATCCCTGCAGTAATCTCAAGACAAGGGGTGGGAGGTGGGAGAAGAACCATTCCAGAGGGCTCTCTCCCCATACGTGTTCCTGAATTCTCCTGAGTCTGGTCACTGCCTGAGTCAGGTCTGGCCTGTCCAGCTCTGGAAGAGGCAGGCTGTGAGGCCCCTGACCTCACAAAGGACTGTCATGAACTCCGTCATCCCCGCAGTCCCCCCACCCTGCAGATAAGATGACTGACACAAAGATGGGGGATCTGCTCCTCGTCCTTCCACTTTTACTCATCAATGCCTTCATCACCATTATACTTGTTTACTGAGCACTTCCTAGATGCCAGGTTCTGTGCTCAGCACTTCATTTCCATTGCCTTATTTAATCTTTACAAAGACCCCAAGATACCTCATGGCACTACTATTTTTCTGATTTTGTAGGAGAGCAAATTAGATTTTAGAAAAGTTAAGTCACTAGCTCAAGGTTACTGGCTCCAGTTGCCGCCCTTCTATCATCATCCTTTTCTAATGTTTTTGGGCCAGAGGGGACACTATTCCCTTCCCAGGCCTTCCCAAGAGTGTCCAAGCCCCCAGATACGCACACATCCCAGGACAGGCTGCTCCCAGGTTGCCTGAGCCCCTGACCCTTTTGTTTCCCACTCTATCCCTCCAAATGGCCGCTTTCTGGAGCTGCTTAAAGGAAGGAGAAACTGGAGGGAAGGGGGGCAAGGGGGACAGTATCTCACTGGGCCTAATCTCTGGACAATGAAGAACTAGAGAACTGACCTTCTAGAAGTCAGGACAAAGGGCAGGGCCAGGGTGGGCAGGGCACAGCTGCCCCTCCTCCTCCCCCGCAACCCAAGTCCCTGCAGCAGCACCACCATCATCCATCCACCTTCCCAGCAAGCTCCCCACTCTGCCCCGGGCTGGGCCTGGCTTGGCTTGAAGCCCTCACCTCAGCTGGCACCAACAAGGGGGCTGGGAGTCCATTCTGGAGGGCTGGGAAGCAGGGCTACTTTGGGGAGTGGATTCTGGAGGGGGTCACCACCCCCTCATCGACAGACCACTGGGAGAAAATCCTTCTGGGGTGATTGGCGGGGTCGTCTGGTGGGGGTGGGGGAGGTCCAGGGCTAGGACCACCCAGTTTGGAGCCGGGAGGGACCCAGCAGATTAGAGACCTGGGTAAGGCAGCTGCGCAGGGCTGTAATTACCCCCAGAGGAGCAGGGAAGACACAAGCGCAGAATGCCGGAGCAAGGGCGGCAGCAAGGCTCCCAGACCTGTCCCCAGCCCAGCCATCAGCAGGGGAGAGAAAGCGAAACCCTTTCAGGGGTCTCCTTGTGACTCTCCTTCATGCCTCCCGACGTCCCCCGGGCCGCTTTGGTTTAGGTGGGTTTGAGCGAGAATTTGGACTCGAAGCTGCCCTCTCAGCCCCAGTGCCAGAGCCCCCAAACTCCAGGGTGGGAAAGGGGAGTCCCAGCCCTGCTCCCCCTCTCCCCCAGTCCCCGCGGCGGGTGAGTCACCCGAGCGCTCCCTACTTAGTCCTCAGGCGCTGCGGCGCGTACCAAGACGCGGACGCAGGGGGAGGCAGCTAGCGCGGCGAACTCCTGGAGCCGTGGAGCCCGCTCGGCCGTGGCCGTGGGAGAGGCGCCGGGAGGCTGCGGGCGCGGGGCTCCGGGGCGGGGGCGGCGCGAACGGCGCGGACGGCGCGGGCGCGGGGGGCTGGGTCCCGGGGCGCTGCTGGGGTGGACCCCCCCGCCTCGAACTTGGTACGCGCCAGCGAGAGGCCAGGCCCAGCCCGGGCGGTACAATAGGGTTGGGCCGAGGCCGGGACTGGGCCGGCGCCGGGCGGGGAACGGGTTCGCGACCGCAGCCGAGAGACCCCGGGCGACCGGCACCTCCGAGACTCGCGGGCCACCTGCCTCGACCTTCCCCGGAGCGCCCCCGCCTCCGAGTCGCTACTTGCCGGGCCGGGCCGGGCCGGGCGTGATGCGCCGCGGGACCCCTGTCCTGGCCACTGGCCGCCGCCGCCGCCGCCGCTGAGACCCCGAGACCCCCAGTGACGCCGCAGCCATGGAGAGCGGCCCGCGTGCGGAGCTGGGGGCGGGCGCACCCCCAGGTATGCCGGGAGCCACGCGGAGGCGAGATGGGGGTAGATGGAGGGGCTGCAGGGCGGCCGAGGATGAGGCCGGCCGGCTGGGCGGGGACCCCTCCGCTGCCGCGCCCTCTGACCACTTGGAAGTTTAAAAATAAAGGCTGCGGCGGCGGCGGCTCCAGGCTCGCGATGCATCCTCTGACAGCTGCCCCCTCCCCCACCCCGGGTGCCGGACGCATCGGGCGTCGGGAGCCGCAGGGACCCCGCGCGGGAGTTGTTGGGGTGACCCTTCTGCCCCAGCTTAGTGCCATCTCAGCTTCCCCGCCCCCACGTCCCTTCCCGATTCACCCCGGGCCTTGAAGATCCTCTTCTACTGAGCTAGGGCTTCCGTCCCCTTCCCCATCCCCCGTGGCACATGTGACCCCAGCCTGAGTGTGTCGGGGGTCCATATTCTCAGGCCTGGGCCCTGCATACCGACGCCTCGGCCTTAGTGCCCGTACCCTCAGGCCCTGGCCCAGACCTCGCCCCCACCCCATCCGTCCAGCTGCCGCGCAAAGGGCCTGTTGCTGCTGCGGGCCGGCGGGGAGGGGAAAGGAGGGAGGGGAGGAGAGAGGGAGGTCTCTAGCCGCTGCTGCCAAGTAACCCGCCGGATAAAGGCGAGGGGGAGGGGGAGGCGGCATTGTTTGGGGTGAGGGCGGGAGCTGGGGAGTGGGCCGCCTCCCCTGCAGCCAGGCCTACTCTGGAGCCCACCCAGCCTGATTCGGGGAGGAGGGGGACAGAAGTAAATCTGCTTCTCCTGCCTGCCCTCCTTCCCAGCCTCTCTGGGCCCCAATCTCCCACTAGAGAATGAGGTAAAGGCTCCAAGCCGGCACTCCCTGGACCTGCCACATCATTCCCCAGCCTGAGGCTTTGATACCTCCCCCCTTACTCTCTTTTTTTCTCTCTTTCTGCCCACACCTTAGACCACCAAAGCTCCCCTCCCCTCCCTCACCCCACCAACCACCAGTGCTCAGGACTTCTGCAAATCCCATTCGGATCTGGGAGCAGCTGATGAGGGGGTGGGGACAGGTTTCTGGTTGGGCTTGGTTTTGGAGGGAGGCGATTTCTCTTTCTTCCTGGAAGGGGAGGGAAGAACATGATTATTGAAGACCCAAGTTCTGTTCCCATTGACTCAGGGGGGAGGTGGCCCCATCCCCACACCCCCATGGAGTCCTGAGCCTAATCCTGTCACCTCCCTGCCCCTTGGGGTGTGGGCACAGGATGAAACAGTTCGTGTGGGTGCGGAGAGCCCAGGATAAGGTGGGGCCAATGGGCTGTGGGTGGGCTCCTCCCCATGCCAGCGAGGATGCTTCTAGGGGACTGTCTGGGTGTGGGACCTGGGAGAACAGGGAGGGGAGGCTACCATCAGACTGGTGGGTTTCAGGAGGCTTGTAGGCTGGGCTGGAAACAAGGGTGGCTGGGTCTGTCCTGGTTTGGCTGAACCTGAGAGGGGACACCCAGGGAGGCCCAGCCTGAGTCCAACCTCAGCTTACTGGCCCTCTGCACCTGAGGGCCTCTGGCACTGGATAGTTGGGGGCCTGAATGGGGGTGGTGACTGGGATACAGAGCCTGAGCTGGTGGCTAGTTTATAATTAGGATACTTGGGTAGGATGCCTAGACTGAATATGAGAGCATGGGTGAGATGCTTGGCTCTCCTAGGGGCAGGGGGGATGTTCGGTGGGCGGGGAGGGCTGCGTCAGGGGCCGGTGGGCAGACTGCATATAGGCTTCTTGCATTGAGAGGACTCTTCTATACACAGGGATCTAGATGGAGTCACATGAGAACCTGGATCAGGATGGTGGCAGTTCCCCACACAGAATAGTCAAAGGTGACAGGAGTCCTCTGTGGGGCTTTCTGGGAGTAAATGTGCTCACAGCATGTGCCCTGTGATAGTCTGAGGCATGGGCCTGACACTCCGAGAGCATGTGACACGAACCCTGCTCCCTCTGAGTTCCTTTTTGCACTTGGACACTGAGCAGTAACAGGGGGTGGTGTGGAGTAGAGGACAAGTGTGGGGACCACTTTCAGGTCAGAAAACCTGGATGGAAATCCCAGTTAGCCATGTACTGGCTACTGGACTGGAGCAAGTGACTTACCTCCTGGAGCCACAGTTTCTGCCCCTGGAAAATAGGGGCAGTGTTGTCAACCTTGTGGGGTTAATGTGAGGGTTAGAGATGATTTAACTCAAGGAATCTGGCACGCAGACACCAGACACCTGCAATAAAGTGTTATTACCATTATTGTGGTTATGCTTCTGCAACCGGTGCCAGCAGGGAGGTATGAAATATAGGGGAGGGTGGGAGCAGGAATTGGAAGTCGATTTGTTTAAGAGTGTAGATTTTGGAATTAAACAGTTTAAGTCTCCACTTCGTAACTTACCTCTGTGTGACCTCAGTAAGTTGCTTAACCTAAGTCTTAAGTTTGCTCATCTGTAAAATGAGAATAATGCTAGAAATTATCTCATAGAGACATTGGCATCCTTAAATTAGATGAAAACAGAAAACACTTAGACTAGGCCCTGGCACATAGCCAGTGCCCAATAAGTGCTAGCCATTTGTTATTTATTTATTTATTTATTTATTTATTTATTTATTTTGAGACAGAGTCTTGCTCTTGTCACCCAGGCTGGAGTGCAATGCCACGATCTCGGCACACTGCAACCTCCGCCTCCCAGGTTCAAGCGATTCTCTTGCCTCAGCCTCCCGAGTAGCTGGGATTACAGGCGCCTGCCACCGCGCCCGGCTAATTTTTGTATTTTTAGTAGAGACAGGGTTTTGCCACATTGGCCGGGCTGGTCTCGAACTCCTGACCTCGTGATCTTCCCACCTTGGCCTCCCAAAGCGCTGGGATTACAGGCGTGAGCCACCACCCCCAGCCTAGCTATTTGTTTTTTGTCATTATTTTTAATTCCGTCAGAAGCCTGAGATGTGATTGATTAGAATTGTAGGAGGTAAGTATAGGACAAGAAGGCAGCGGAGAGGGGAGTTCTAGGCAGACATGAGCTAGGGTGTATCCAGGGAACGGAGGGGCCCCATACCTGAAGTGGAACAGTGGGAACAGGAGAGAAGACCCAAGAAACAGGTGCAACCGGCTATCCAGCACACCCATGCTGATGCCCCACCTTATGCCAGCTCGGTGTAGTCTATGTGGACGGCAGAGAAGTGAATCAGACGGAGTTTTGACTCTTGGGGAGCTCTTAACGCGGCGAGGAAGGCAGATGTGTTCACTGCAGGGAAACCAGGTATAATGGTGTTAGTGTGCAGTGGGCTGTGCTTGTGGAAGGCTTCACGGAGGAGGCAGCATTTGAGGTGGATCTGAAAGGATGAGTAGACGTTGGTGAGACTGGCGCAGTGGGCTGTGGCCATACATCCAGCAGCCAGCTGGCTGGCACCTCCCAATGACAGCTTCCTAGTCCCTTCCTGGGCTGGTGGGCCCAATAATGAGGCCTCTAATGAGCCCCTAATGTGCAGTCACGCATATGCAAATGAGGTGGAAGGGATACTAGGCCAGCTCAGGTCCCCTTTCCTAACATGATAGTGGGGAAGGGCTGAGGGAAGGGACTGAAAGCTGGGCCCAGACTAGAATGGCCATACTTGAGGGCCATCAGGTCAGGTCTCAGGTCTGACCCAGGCTGGAAGTTAGGCCACAGGGCAGCTGGGACCCATGTCCTTAGGTCCCTGCTGGGCCTTGGGGCTAGTGAGGGAGCCAACTAGCCAGACCCAGATAATGCAGCTTTGTTGGCTGGTGGTATCTCTGCCTGGCACCCAGGGGCACAGCCTTCAGTGTTTCCTCCACCACTTCTCAGCTGCAGCTCTGCCCTGAAGGGAGCAGAGAGCCTGGGAGGGTGTAGGGAACATGGTACTGCTGCCCTTACTAGCGCTCCTCAGCAGTTGTAAGAGATGATGTGAGCCAGGTAGAGACTCCCCGGTGAACCAAGTTATTTCCCATTAATTATCTCTGACTTATTATCTCCTATTCATTAAGGGCCTTCTCTGTGCCAGGCACAATGCTCAGCATGTCACGGGCATTGTCTCATTTGTTCCTCACCACAGTCTCATGAGTAGGGACTAGCATTATCCCCATTTTACAGATGAGGCTCAGAGAGATGAAATCACTTACCTAAAGTCACACAGCTAGCAACTGGCAGAGGCAGGATTTGAACTCAAATCTGTCTGACTCTGAAGTCTGTGCCCTAAACCTCTAAGCTGAATTATCATGGCTAAGCTATCCAGTGACAAGGTCTGGCCTGCTTCCCTCCCGTGACTGGCCTGTGTGGGCATCTTGGTCTTGGGGACCCCATAATCTTTTCCCTGGCTGGCAGAGGTAGCCCCAGCAGAGCCCAGGGTCCTCTGGGAAGCCTGCCAGGTTGGAGCCTAAGCAGTTGAACCAGGAGGAAGGCCCCGGACCCAGGTGGTGGTAATAGTCCAGCTGGGGGGGCATCTCCAGGCCTTGGCCTGAGGTTGGGCCTCTGCCTTCAGCATCTGGGCAACAGCCTGGGCAGCCCTGCTGGGGCTGAGGGAGGGATGTGGTGGGGCCCAGGCTGCGGGATGGGGTCATTTCCTGCCGCCTAAAATAACAGGAAGTGGGTGCTCCTGATTGGAGGCTGGGAACAATGGCCGCCAGCCGGGCCAGAGAGCTCCTTCAGATCTGTAGTCTCAGTCGGGTTCCCGGCTTTATCACCCACAGAAGCCGGTGGCCTGGTCCCAGTGCCCCACTGCCCAACTGCTGGAGCACGCTGCCCTCTCCTAGGGCACTCCCTCTCGGAGCCGGCTTAGCTCTGTCCAGGCCAGGGATAATGCTGCCCCCTAAGGGTCCCTCCTCTCCCGGCCCCACAATTAGGCATTCCCCAGAGTTTGCCCTTTCTACTGACCTCCTATTCTCCCAGCCCAGATCTCTCCAGGAGAGGGAACCCAGGAGGCTGTCCCCACTGGGATGCAGGCAGGGTAAAGACCGTCATGCTGATTGGGTCCAAACCCCAGCTTTGCTACTCACTAGCTGTGGAGCTTAAGTAAGTGTCTTAATCTCTGAACCTGTTTCCTCGTTTGTAAAATGGGGTAATAATATCTACCTCATAGGATTATGGCAAAGGTTAAATGAACTAATGAGTTTAATGTGTTTAGCTGTGCCTGACAAAAGCATTAGCTGTTGCTCCTGTTAATCGGACTTTCTCTGGGCCTAGGGAAATAATTTGCTCAGAAGGAGCAGAAGTGACCTGGATGACGCTGTATAAATATTCCGGGGACATTGTGTCTCTGTGTGCTGTGTGTGTCTCTGAGGCTTTGTCTGTTTCTTAGAGGAGGTACCTGGCCCCGTACTCTGTGGGTACATCTGTGTGTCTCAGATATGTGTAGAGTTTTGAATCCCAGTAAGTCTGTTTCCTCTGCATGTGTGTGTGTGTATGTGTGTGTGTGTGTGTGTGTGTGTGTGTGTGTGAGAGAGAGAGGAGAATATGTCTTGTCTCTCGCCATTGTGCAGGCCCTGTTTACATTGTCTGGTGTCTGTCTCTGTTGTGTGCACGTCTGTCTCCCATGTGTCTCTGCCCTCTGCCTGCCTCTGTCTTCGCCTGCTCTAGTGTTGTCACCTAGGAATCTGCAGTGAGGGCCAGGAGGGCTCTTGCTAGAGGTGCTGATCTCTGTTCTGTCTTCTCTCGGCCTCGTGCCTCTGCCTCTCCCATGCTTCCTGCCTGAGGTGCTGTCTGTGCACCCCCCACGCCACAACCAGCCCTCACCCAGGCACTCCCTCTCGCTGCCCCTGGAGGTGGGCTGTTCTCCCCTACCTCACTTCCCGCCTCTTGGGAGCCAGCCTGGGCAGGAGCCTGCCTTCCCTACATTCCTGTGCTCTGAGCTCAGTGCCTGCTTGCCCCACCTGCACCCTTCACTTTTGTGGGGGAAGTCTCCCTGGGGGAACCACGGAATCACTTCCTTCTTCAGAGAACACGCAGGAGCTTCAGGGCGGGGTAATGTGACTGCCTACCAGAAACAGCATGACATAAGGGTTTTAAGGGTTTTGTCATCAGACAACTCTGGATTCAAATCCTACCTCTGACACTGGCATGAACAATCCACTTAATCTGTCTGAGTAAATTCTCTCACCTGTGAAATGGGGGCCATCATAGAACTTTCCTTTTAGGATTGTCATCAGGATCAAATGGGATAGGGAAAGTGCTTGGTTTATGTTAGAGCTTCAGTAAATTAGTTTGGGCCTGGAAACTGGCTGGGGACATGCAGGTTCTGAGATGAACATGACATTTAGTGTTTAGAGAGACTAAGCTTTGGAGCAGCTTGAGGGTCTAAATACACACTAGCTAGGTAGCTTTCTACAGTACCCCCACCCACATATCTACATACCCAGCCACCCACCCACCCATCGGACATTCATTAAACAGACACAGAACTCCCACTCTGTGCCAGGCAGGTCCTGTATAAGACTCTGGGGCTGCAAAAAGGACTAAGACTGAGTTTCTTCTCTTGATAAGCTCTCACACTGACAAGGGCAGGGGGTGGCAGGCAAACAGAAAAGCTAGACTGAGTTATCAGTGTTGTGAGAGGAATATTTGGCCCAACAAGAGTTGTTGGGGTGGGAGGAGGGAGAGACAAAAGGAAAGGACTGCCAGCTCTCAGAGGGTGGAGATGGGGTGTTAGTATTCTGAGACATGTGACAGTCTCTCTGAGGGACTTGGCCCTGATCTTTCTGCAGACCCCAGGCACAGCCCCTCTTGGAGCTCTTAGGAAGACAGGACTTTTTGACCCCACAATGCAACCCACCACTGCACTTTTGCCCTGCTAATGCTCTTTGTGCCAAGAAATAAATACAAATTATTTGTCTCTTATCTCATTCTTAACAAATACTTCTGGTAGATATTAGTGTAGCAAAATAAAACCAACAGTGGCAAAACCTCACAATCTGGCATAGACCAAAAATAAGATAAAATTAAGTAGCCGAAGGATCATATTTGATGGTTAAAAATGAGAATGATCATAAATAGATTAACCATACTGTATAGATAACTAACCAAGGAGTTTTGGCTTAATGTGATTTGCTCCATAACACTGTGCCAATGACATTTCATCAGGGTTGGCATAATTGTGAAGAAAATATTTGTATTCAGGGTCAATAGTGTGCCAGGTCACAAGAGGAGTTCCAAACTTCTTGTTTGCCTCTTGAGAAGTTTTTCTTGTTGAGCTGCTGGAGTAAACACTCATTATTATTTTTATTAACTTCTACCTGTGTGGCTTAGTCCAGGAAGCTGCCCAAACACTATTGAGATGGAGTTGTTTTGCTTCTCTTCAAATGTTTATCTTTTTGCTATAAGTTGCCACATAGATATATACTTTTTTTCTTTTTTTTTTTTTTTTTTTTTTTTTTTGGAGACAGCATCTGATTCTGTCGCCCAGGCTGGAGTGCAGTAGTGCAGTCTCAGATCACTGCAGCTTCCACCTCTGGGTTCAAGGGATTCTTCTCTCAGCCTCCCAAGTAGCTGGGACTACAGGTGTGCACAACCACGCCCAGCTAATTTTTGTAGTTTTAGTAGACATGGGGTTTTGCCATTTGCCCAGGCTGCTCCCGAACTCCTGGGCTCAAACGATCTGCTCTCCTTGGCCTCCCAAAGTGCTGGGATTACAGGCGTGAGCCACTGCGCCCAGCCTAGATCTACTCTTTATTAGAGTAAAAATCTTCTATATGCTTTAGGCTAGGGCAGCCTCATAGTATAGCACTTTATTTGTGTTATACTGTTTATTCAAATATTTTATGACTATCTCCGTATACTTGGCACTGTGGTAGCTGCTGGTGATGCAGCAGTGAGCAAAGTAGACATGGCCAGCTCTTGTGGGGCTCCCTCACCTTCTAGGAGGAGGCTGACAATAAGGAAAGAACCATGCAAGGAAGTTTAAAATCATAACAGTGACAGTGTTCCAAAGGCACATGAAACCATGACTATATACAACAAGGGAATTTATCCTAATCAGAGAAGCCAAGGAAGGCTTCCATGAGGAAGTGATGACTGAACTAACATATGTAGGGCAAATAGGAGTTAGCTAAGAAAAGAGAGTATGTGCAAAGGCCCTGTGGCAGGAGGGAGTGTGGATGGTCATCAGCATTAAAGGAAGGTCAGTGTGGCTGGAGTTCAGAGAGCAAGCGGGGAGCAGGGTAGGAGAGGAGATCCAAGAAGTAGGGGGAGGGAGTCAGGAACTTCAGATTATACTATTATACTGGACTAGTAGGGTGAGTTCAAGAAGGGGAAGCCACTGACAAGTTTCAAGTGGCAAAGAGCACCGTGATCAGATTTGCATTTGCTCTGGCTGCTCAGTGGAGCAGAGAGTGGGAATGGGTACAGGCGAGCAGTGAGAGGACTTTGTAGTCATCCAGGTGAGAGCGATGATGGTGATGATGATATCTGCCTGGGTGTAGTTCATTCATTTCTTCATTCAACAAATAGTTATGGAGCACCTATGTGCCAGGCTCTGTTGGCCCTAGAGATAGACCAGCTAACAAAATAGGCAAAAATTTGTGCCCTCATAGAGATTATATTCTAGCAGTGGGAGACTTAAAATGGTGTTAATGCCTATGGAGAAAAAGAAGACTTGGAAAGAAAAATCTAGTTGGAACTGGGAGGGAGACTTCAACTGCAGTTTGTAGTTTTATTTAATTTTTTTTCTTTTTCTGAGACAGCATCTTACTCTGTTGCCCAAGCTGGTATACAGTGGTATAATCATCGCTCACTGTAGCCTCAAACTCCTGGGCTCAAGGTATCCTCCTGCCTTAGCATCCTAACTAGCTGAGACTACAGGTGTGCACCACCATGCCCAGCTGTTTTTTATTTTTTAGTTGAGATAGGGTCTGGCTGTGTTGCCCAGGCTGTTCTCAAGCTCCTGGCCTCAAGTGATCCTCCCACCTCAGTCTCCCAAATTGCTGGGATTACAGGTGTGAGCCACCTTGCCTGGCCTTTATTTAATTTTATTTAAAATTTTTCTTTTTTTTCTTTTTCTTTTTTTTTTTTTTTAGAGACAGGGTTTTGCTTTGTCACCCAGGCTGGAGTACAGCAGCATGCTCATAGTTCACTGTAACCTCAGTCTCTATTTCAGCATGTCATGATGCCTGGGTAATTTAAAAAAATTTTTTTAGAGATGGAATCTCACTATGTTGTCCAGGCTGATCTCAAACTCCTGGCCTTAAGGGATCCTCCTGTCTGGGTCTCCCAAAGTGTTGGGATTACAGGCATAAGCCACCGCACCACGCCTGCAGTTTGTAGCTTTTTTTTTTTTTTTTTTGGAGACGGAGTCTCACTCTGTCATCCAGGCTGGAGTGCAGTGGCACGATCTTGGCTCACCGCATCCTCTGCCTCCTGGGTTCAAGTGATTCACCAGCCTCAGCCTCCCGAGTAGCTGGGATTACAGGCACATGCTACCACACCCAGCTAATTTTTGTGTTTTTTAGTAGACGGGATTTCGCCATTGTGGCCAGGCTGGTCTCGAACTCCTGACCTCAGGTGATCCACCTGCCTTGGCCTCCCAAGGTGCTGGGATTACAGGCGTGAGCCACCGCTCCCAGCCCAGTTTGTAGTTTTAAATAGGGGCTAAGGGAAGGCTCCATTTAAAAGTGACATCAAAATAAAGACCTGAAGGAGGGGAGGGAACGAGGCACGCAGAATCTGGGGGCAGAGAATTCAAGGCAGAGAAACAGCCACTGAGGAAATATTGTTTCCTCAGTACAAAGCCCTGAGGCAGAAATCTCCCCAACACCCTTAAGGGACAGTGGCTGAAAAACTGAGCAGGGGGAGAAGAGGAGACAAGGTCGAAGAGGTCAGGATCCTGGGGAGTCCTTAATAGGCTATCATGATGACTTTGGCTTTTTCTTCCCCTCAAATGAGGAATCATTGCAGGATTTTGTCAGAGGAGTGACGTGATCTGACCTTTTTTTTTTTTTTTTTTGAGACAGAGTCTCCTTCTGTCACCCAGGCTGGAGTGCAGTGGCGCTATCTTGGCTTACTGCAAGCTCCACCTCCCTGGTTCAAGCAATTCTCCTGCCTCAGCCTCCTGTGTACCTGGGACTACAGGCGCCTGCCACCATGCCTGGCTAATTTTTTGTGTTTTTAGTACAGACGGGGTTTCACCGTGTTGGCCAGGATGGTCTCGATCTCCTGACCTCGTGATCTGCCTGCCTTGGCCTCCCAAAGTGCTGGGATTACAGGCGTGAGCCACCGCACCCGGCCAATCTGACTTATTTTTAAACAGAATCACTCTGGCTACTGTGTTGAGAAAAGACCCAGGGGGAACAAAGACTGGAGCAGGGAGTCTTTTATCAGAGCTGATAGTAGCTCTGATCCAAGTGATAGAAGTGGAGACAGTGAGAAATGATTAGATTTGAGATCTGTTTTGAAGATAAAGGCAGAAGGATTTGCTGAGAGATTAGACATGAGGTGTGATGTAGTTGTCATTAACTGAGATGGGGAAAATGGGGAGAAGCAGGCTTTTGGGGGAAGATCAGCAGCTCAGTTTGGGATGTGTTAAATTGGGGGCATCTTTGAGACACACAGGGGTGTCAAGCAGCTGGGAGTTGCATGAGTGAAACTAGACCTCAAGGGAGAGGCCTGGGCTGGAGACACAAATTTGGTTGTCGTCAGCAGTGATGGTATTTAAATCTGTGAGTCTGGATGAGGTCACCAAGGGAGTGCGTGTGGATAGAAAATAAATGAGGTCCTCCACTCAGCCCTAGGGCACTCCAGCGCTGAGAGGTTGGGAAGTTCAGGCAGGATCAGCAAAGATGACTGAGAAATGACAGTCAGCAAGGTAGAAGGAAAACTAGGAGAATGTGCTGTCTTCAAAGCCAGGTGAAGACAGTGTTTCAAGGAGCAGTCAGAAATCAACTGTGGCAGATGCAGCTGCATAGTGGCCAAGGAAGATGAGGGATGGAAAACTGCCTGCTGGATTTAGCAGCATGGAGGTCACGGGTGTCCTTGAGAAGTGCAATGTTGCAGAGCAGTGGGGGTAAGGCCTGGCTGAAGCATTTCCTCCTGGCAGAGATGAGGAGACGTGGATATATTCTTCGGGGCAGGTGCTGCTTACCAAGCCCCTGCCAGGTGCCACCGATGATGTACCCGTCTGTACCAACTCCCCATGTGTGCCAACAACTCCATGAGGGAACTGTGGTTACACAGGCTCAGGGCTTGCCCGAGGTTCGCCGGGAGCCGAGGTCCTCAGTCAGGCCTGTCAGACTCTGAAGCCTGTGACCTTTCTGCTCCACTGCATCTGATGCCTGGGTGCAGGTTCTTCCAAGCCTCACTCCTCTACCTCCTCCCAGCCTCCTTTCACATAGCGAGTCAGGACCTTGCTGGGGACTCACTGACTGTCTTGCCTGGTGGGTGTGATTTGCCTAGGTGTAGACAAACACCCGCCTACCAGTTTTCCTTGCAACACCTGCAGCACGCACAGGTGCTTGGAGAATGGCAATAAACAGACCTCACCCTCAACCTTCAAGCTTAATACTTACACACCCAGGCTTTGGCTTCAGACAGTCCTGAGTTCAAATCCCAACTCTAGGCTGGGTGCGGTGGCTCACGCCTGTAATCCCAGCACTTTGGGAGGCTGAGGAGGGCGGATCACGAGGTCAAGAGATGGAGACCAGCCTGGCCAACATGGTGAAACCCCGTCTCTACTAAAAATACAAAAATTAGCTGGGTGTGGTGGTGCCTGCCTGTTGTCCCAGCTACTCTGGAGGCTGAGGCAGGAGAATTGCTTGAACCTGGGAGGCAGAGGTTGCAGTGAGCCGAGATCGCACCACTGCACTCCAGCCTGGCAACAGAGTGAGACTCCATCTCAGGAAAAAAAAAAAAAAAGCCCAACTCTGCCACATACTAGTTCTATGACTCTGTGTGGATCACTTTGCAGGTTGGGCCTTGGTTGCCACACTTGTATAATGGGGATAAGAATCTCTGCCTCTCAGAATTGCGAGGACACAGGGTGCACCACTGTTAGTGAGTAGTAAGCACTCACTAGAGTGAGTAACTGGTTTTGTTGACTACTGGAATTGGTAAAGGAGTTTGCAGTTGGCTGGGAAATAGATTAGCAGTGACCAGGCAGCCGTCTCCTGCTGGTATGGGAAGAGATGGGTGGCTTGTCATGTAGCCTAGGAGTTGGTGGAGTTGGTGGAGTTGGAGGGGTAATGGGGAAGACAGGGCCTCAGCTGGGGCTCTTGCCTGGATCCTAGCAAGCTGGATGGGAAGGAATGAGGCGGAAAATAGTGTGAGCCTCAGATAATTTATTGCGTAACACCTATTCCCTCATATTGCCTTCAACAAGGCAGGAGGGTATAATGGGTAAGGACAGGCTCTGATGATGGCTACTGGGTCCAAGTCCAGGCTCCCTGACTGACCAGCTGAATGATCTCAAATTACCTCTTTTTTTTGCTTCATCTTTTTTTACTTTACTGTCCTCATCTATATGAGGACTCCTTCATAACTATTGTCAGTGAGGATTAAAACTAATAACATATAAGGCCGGGTGCAGTGGCTCATGCCTGTAATCCCAGCACTTTGGGAGGTCGAGACGGGCAGACCACCTGAAGTCGGGAGTTCGAGACCAGCCTGGCCAACATGGTGAAACGCCGTCTCTACTAAAAATACAAAAATTAGCTGGGCGTGGTGGCAGGTGCCTGTAATCCCAGCTACTTGGGAGGCTGAGGCAGGATAATCACTTGAACTTGGAAGGCAGAGGTTGCAGTGAGCCGAGATCGTGCCAATGCACTCCAGCCTGGGCAACAGAGCAAGGCTCTGTCTTGAAAAAAAAAAAAAAAGGCCGGGCGCGGTGGGCAGTGGCTCACGCCTGTAATCCCAGCACTTCGGGAGGCTGAGGCGGGCGGATCATGAGGTCAGGAAATTGAGACCATCCTGGCTAACACCGTGAAACCCCGTCTCTACTAAAAATACAAAAAATTAGCCAGGCG
Source organism: Homo sapiens (assembly GCF_000001405.40). Lineage (NCBI taxonomy): Eukaryota > Metazoa > Chordata > Mammalia > Primates > Hominidae > Homo > Homo sapiens. Next base: position 36,169,418 of record NC_000001.11, read on the forward strand.
TGGTGGCGGGCGCCTGTAGTCCCAGTTACTCGGGAAGCTGAGGCAGGAGAATGGGGTGAACCCAGGAGGCGGAGCTTGCGGTGAGCCCAGATTGCGCCACTGCACTCCAGCCGGGGTGACAGAGCGAGACTCCGTCTCAAAAAAAAAAAAAAAGAAAAATGTTTCCTTAGATGAAGCTTCCCACAGATGCCGGCCCTGCTCCCTAAGCAAGTTGGTAGCTGTGTTCCCATTGATCTCCTCAGTGCCTGGATGGTAGCAGCAGATGGCACCAGGGCTCAACATACAGAAGCTTCTGTTTGGGAGACCAGGAGGCTTCATAAGACCAACAGGGAGTGCTGTTTGCTGGCTGGCATGTGGATAGTGCCAGGCACCTTGCTGACATTCCCTACTAGCTTGGGCTTGTTATCCCCATTTTACAGGTATCAAAACTGAGGCTGAGCCAGGCATGGGCCTGTAATCCCAGCTACTTGGGAGACTGAGGCAGAAGGATCTCTTGAACTCAGGAGTTTGAATCCAGCCTGGGCCACATAGCAAGACCCTATCTCTTAAAAAATAAAAATTTAAAAAAAGAGACTTAAAGGAACTAACTAGACCCTTGAAAAATTCACTAGCAGCAAGTAGACTTGGGGGGAAACAAAACAAAACAAAACAAAAAAACCTGAGGCTGAGAGAGGTTGACTGGCTTGTCCATGGTTGTCTGCTGGGGAAACAAGCCCTCTCTTCCCATCTTCCTCATCTGACTGACTCTGAAGCCTGTCTCTCAATTGCCCCACATGTGTATATGTCAAATCGTGTGGCTCCCTTACTTCACTTCGATGTCTTTTACAGGATTCCTACAATAGTCATGTCTTAAAAGCAGAAATTTCGGTGTGGCTTGGGGAAAAAAGATTATAAAGTGGACGTAGCTTGTTGCCAATGGAATCTTCACAGCAAAGCATTCCACTAGAGCCCATACTTACGTCCTTCCTCTTGGTCAGTCCCATGTGCCCAGCACTGGCACCCTCTGTGAACAGACCTTGGGTTGGGCACAGTCACCCAGAAGTAAAGCAGAAAGGAGAGGGAGGCAGACATGGAAACAATCAGTGCATTTGGTGCACGAATAAGTGCTACAAGCTTGTTCTCAGCTTTTCCAACACACCCTGCTCCATTCTGCCCCTTCGCATATACTCTTCTCTGCCAACACCTCTCCTCCTTGCTTTGCTGACTCCAGCTTATCCTTCGGATCTCAGCTTGGTTGTTACTTCTTCAGCAAGCCCTCCCCATATAGGTTAACTATCTCTGCTTTGCTGCCCCAGACATAGTATTTATTCTCTACTGTAGTTGCCTAGCTATTTGTCTGTCTGCCCTGCTAGAGGGTAAGCGCCACAGAGGCAGGGATCATGGCTATTTTCTCACCATTATATCATGAGTATCTGGAACAGGGCCCGGCACATAGAAATAACTCAAACATAAGTGAATGAAGAAGTCGGTTGAACAAGGGAGAGGGCCACATATGGGGCTGATGGCACAGATGAGCAATCTGACCTCTCTCCTCTCTTGTGTTGGTCTTTCAGCTGTGGTCGCCAGGACCCCCCCAGAGCCAAGACCTTCTCCAGAAGGTGACCCTTCCCCCCCACCACCACCAATGTCAGCCCTGGTCCCCGACACTCCCCCGGACACCCCTCCTGCCATGAAGAATGCCACTAGCTCTAAGCAGCTCCCACTGGAACCAGAGAGCCCCTCAGGGCAGGTCGGGCCTAGGCCAGCCCCCCCGCAGGAAGAGTCCCCTTCCTCTGAAGCAAAGAGCAGAGGACCCACCCCACCAGCCATGGGCCCACGGGATGCCAGACCTCCTCGAAGGAGCAGCCAGCCATCTCCAACAGCAGTGCCAGCCTCCGACAGCCCTCCCACCAAGCAAGGTGTGTGTAATGACCCCGGCCTGGGCCTAAACCTCTTGGCTCAGGGTCCTGGCCCTGGATCATGCCAACTGAAAGAGTCCTGTTTGCCCTAGAGGAGATAAAGAAAGGATGGGGTGAGGCCCGGAGGGAGGGATCTGAGGCTGACTCCTCTTTGGGGACAGCCTTTTGACCTGTCTGTTCTTGTTCCCTCTGCTCAGAGGTGAAGAAGGCAGGAGAGAGACACAAGCTGGCAAAGGAGCGGCGAGAAGAGCGGGCCAAGTACCTGGGTGAGTGAGCAGGAAGCCTCATCATCTTCTTCATCGTCATCATCAGCATCCTATTAATAACACCAACAGGCTGGGGCGCAGTGGCTCACGCCTGTAATCCCAGCACTTTGGGAGGCCGAGGCGGGCGAATCACCTGAGGTCAGGAGTTTGAGACTAGCCTGACCAATGTGGAGAAACCCTGTCTCTACTAAAAATACAAAAAATTAGCCAGGCATGGTGGCACATCCCTGTAATCCCAGCTACTCGGGAGACTGAGATAGGAGAACTGCTTGAACCTGGGAGGCGGAGGTTGTGGTGAGCCGAGATTGTGCCATTGCACTCCAGTCTGGGCAACAAGAGCAAAACTCCGTCTCAAAAAAAAAAAAAAAAAAAAAAAACCAACACTTCTGCAACACTTAATTATGTGCACTGTGCTAAGAGCAGGACACACATCTAATTTAATCCTCAACCCATTTTGAGGAGGAAACAGAGGCTCAGAGAGATGAAATCATTTGCTTAAGCCACACAGCTAGTAGAGTAGCTGACATTCAGACCCAGAAGCCTCCTGCCACCCCAAATCCCATGCTCTTAATCACAGTATGTGGACATCTGTCTGGTAGGCCCCCCAGGTCAGATGGGGATCTTGCACTCAAGCATTCATTTCTCCTTCAGCCCTGAGAGCCCATAAGGCCAATGGAGGAGAAATAGGCCTCTCCTGAGTCCTGTCTTCAGTAAGCCTCTCAATTTGAGGGGGTTGTCTCAGACTGAAAGCTCCACCTAAGCAGGCGGGAGAAAGACCCACCCAGGGCATGGGTAGCAGGGCTGGCCACTTGGAGGAAATGTCCTTGGCCCAGGCCTTCTGCAGAACCCTTCACACACGCCACTGGGCTCCTTTGTCCACAGCGGCCAAGAAGGCAGTGTGGCTGGAGAAGGAGGAGAAGGCCAAGGCGCTGCGGGAGAAGCAGCTCCAGGAGCGCCGGCGCCGGCTGGAGGAGCAACGTCTTAAAGCCGAGCAACGCCGTGCAGCCCTGGAGGAACGGCAGCGGCAGAAGCTCGAGAAAAACAAGGTGCGGGATGGGTCTCCGTGAATCCATGTACACGTGTGCTCACCGTCTGCATACTGGTGCAGTGTGTACACACATCCATGTTCACGGCTCTGCCTTATCTGTGTCTATGTGGTCCTATTTGTGTTCACATCTACAGTTGTGTCCCTGTGTTAGAATATCTGGGCACCTGTACAACTGCAGGCACATTTGCTTCTGAATGTGCCACTGTAGGCCCCTGTAACTGTTTACTGTCAGTACCTGTGTTCGTACATGTACCCCATGTGTCTGTATGTATGCAGGTATGCATCTGTGTGAGCGTGCCTAGCTCTGTGACATGGGTAAAGCCCTAGCTTGAGTGCTGGTGAGGAAATGAAGGAAATGGCCACCTGGCCCTACCTGGGAGGGCCTCAGGCTAGAGGGAACACATAGCCCCAAGGTCAGGACCCTCAGTGCCTGAGATGTGGCCTTGCCTGGGAGCCCCAGGTAGGGGGAGTCCACCCAATCCTCAGAGAATCAACTCATGCACTCAGGAAATGACTCAGGAACAGTGAAAAGCTCCCCAAGAACAAGTTGAAAGGGATCTTGGTCCTTAATCATAGCAAGGATTTGGTAACCTTGGTTACCTGCAATGAGTCAGGAAAAGACTCCAAGGGAAGGGAGTGGGGGAGGCATTGTCACAGGAGGAAGAAGGGCCTCTATCCCAAATTCGATGAATGTTCTGAGTCCACATCTCTCTCTTCTCCCCACCTTCCCCCAGGAGCGCTATGAAGCAGCCATCCAACGGTCAGTGAAGAAGACGTGGGCCGAAATCCGGCAGCAGCGCTGGTCCTGGGCAGGGGCCCTGCACCACAGCTCTCCAGGACATAAGACCAGTGAGTAGGCTGGAGGGGCTGGGGAGTGGGTGGGCAAGGCTGGGATGGCAAGTAAGGGAAGGGAACAACTTCCCTACAAAAAGCTGGTGGCTCCCTGCAGCAGGTGTGCCTTGCTTTATGTGACTTGTGTCTTCTAGAATGGTCTGTAAGCCAAACTGTCCCTTCCCAAGGACTTCCACTATCAAATCAGAGATGGATTCTCTCCATTTGGTTTGCTCTTCAAACCTCTGTCATTTTAGGATTAGCCTTCTTTGCGCCTGTCAATTATTATTAGTTGTTGATACATAAAAGACTTTAATGACCTACAGACACTGGATCTTAAAGAAACTGTCACTCCTTGTCTCGGAAGGTAGATTTTTGTCTCTGAGTTTTCTCCGCGTAGGGCCACCATGGATTTTGGTCTGATTCTTTGCTGGCATGTATGTACCACTGTGCTTGGATGTCTTTATGCAATGGCAAGTTTCAGTATTTCTAGCTGTGTATCTTCTGTTTATGTGCTCCTGGACCCGTGCATTGTGTGTCTTAATATGTGTTTGCCTTGGCGTGTTTGTGACCTTGTGTACCTCAGTGAGGGCTCCTAAGTCAGACAGACTTGGGTTCCAGCTCTGGCACTTGCAGCGTAACCTTTAACTTCTCGAAGTCTCACTTTCTTCATCTATAAACTGGGGATAGTGATACTACTTGCCCCTGAGGTGGTAGATAGATGTTTGAAGGATCAAATGAGGTCACATGTGTGTGGTGCCCCACACAGTACCTGGCACATGGTAAGCATCAACAAATGTGAGCTGCTACAAATGTCATGATGAGGTTGCTTCGATCTGTTTGTGGCTTGTGTGCATCTGGGTCTGACACACTATCTGTTAGTGTTTGTGTCTCTGTCCCTGTGCATGTCTGCACACATGTGTGCATGCCGAAGTATCTGCCACTCTATATGCCTGTGTCTGCATGTCTTTTTGTGATTCTGGATGAACACGTGGATTTGTGCAAGTGACTGTGACTGTGTAGGTCCTGTTTAGGAGGGTTTTTGCATTTATCCCAGTACGGGGGTGTTGTATCCAAACGTCTTGGCTGGGCAGTGTCAGCAAGTGCTAATGCTGGGTGGTTATGGGGAGGGGTTGCAGTACTCAGCCGTAAGGAATGGCTTCCTTGGTCTGGCCAGGAAAGCTGTAGTTTCTCTAGTTTTACTCATCTCCTCCCTTTGTTCCTTCTCCGTCGGCTCCCCCAACCCAGGTTGTCTCTGGTCACCTACCCCCCCACCCTCCCTCTCCCAGGGCCAAGGCTGCCTCCTGCTCCTCATCCTAGCCTGCCCACTCCTCCCTCTCCCACCCCGCCCTCGGAGCATCCTGCATGGAAGGCCTCGGTGCCCCCCACTGGCTCCTGCCGGGCCCGGCCCTAATGCCGTGTCTTTTCCCCCTCCAGGTGGGAGCAGGTGCTCCGTGTCGGCAGTTAACCTGCCCAAACACGTGGACTCTATAATCAACAAGCGGCTCTCAAAGTCCTCTGCCACGCTCTGGAACTCCCCCAGTAGAAGTAAGAGAAGGCCCAGCCCTTCCCCCTCCAGAGCCCCTTGTAGCTCCCACCAAGCCTCCTCCAGAGCTCAGCAAGAACACCAGGTCCCTGGAGCCCTCACATACTCCAGGTCCCCATCCCCACTCTACCTTACCCAGGGCTCTGTGCCCCTCGGGGGAGCCGGCATATGGGTCTGGACCCTGAGGACAGAGGTTGCCCTGTAGGAGAGGAGAACAGAGACAAAGCACAATGCCGCAGAGGGCAGGAAGCCTGGCAGGAGCCTCAAGAGCAAGTTGGAGGTGGTGGCTGGGGGTGGGGACAGGCAGGCAGCCTTTTCTGCAACCACAGCCAGCTGGTCTGGGCCAACCTTAGCCAGGTGGCATTGTCCCCATGTGTCAGACTGGCCTGGGTGCTGTGGGGTGGAGGGGTCCCTCATTCTGGCTCCACCCTAGAGGGCCCATGCAATCCTGCCCTCTCTGTCTTCAGAGCCCCAGTCATGGCCTTGGCTGGTCCCAGAGTTGAGCCAACCAAGGTGGCATAGCCCCTGCATTCCCACCATGCCCTGGTGCTCATATGTGAAGGAGCCATGGTGGGAGTTATTTATAAGTTTCTCTTGCATTTGTTTGGCTGCTTTGTTGCCTAGCAACCAAATCAGCTGCTGTACCAACCCCACCTGACTGAGGCTTAAAAATAGCCCAGCAGCTGAGGGGACAGAGCAGGGTGGCCTAGGGCAGGCAGGCACCCTAGCAGCCTCTCCCTGGCACAGGACTGCTAAAAGCTGGGTCAGAGGAGCACAAGGACCCTCACTGTCCTGAATCCATGGGACAGCCTCGGCTGGGTCAGCCCTCTGACAGCAGGAGGGGCAAGACCTTACACTGGGACATGGCAGAGGGCAATTGGGTTTTCTTCCAATCCTGGATGGCTCCTTCCTATATGCGCCGTTCAGGGCCCCTTCACCTGGGGAGCGTTGTAGGCGGGGACCCTCATCCGATGCAGGATGTTGCCCTGGGAAGTGTCTGGTTGCCTGGGTCTGTAGTGGAAGTCCAGATCATAGGGAGGACAAGTGTGGCCCCGGTGTGATTGTGGGGAGAGGACTCCCGGGTGAGAAGCCTTGGCCTTGGCATGGGGATGGTGCCTGGTCTGCTCCCTTGCCTCTTCCTGCCTCCTACGGCCCCCACGGTGACCGGCTTCGCCTGGCCTTCTACCCCCAGATCGCAGCCTGCAGCTGAGCGCATGGGAGAGCAGCATCGTGGATCGTCTGATGACGCCCACTCTCTCCTTCCTTGCTCGGAGTCGCAGCGCGGTCACACTGCCCCGCAACGGCCGGGACCAGGGTAGGGGCTGCGACCCTGGGAGAGGCCCCACGTGGGGCCGGGCAGGGGCCAGCCTGGCGCGCGGGCCGCAACCCGACCGCACTCATCCCTCTGCAGCCGTGCCGGTGTGCCCGCGCTCGGCCTCCGCCAGCCCCCTGACGCCGTGCAGCGTCACCCGAAGCGTGCACCGCTGCGCCCCCGCCGGTGAGCGCGGGGAGCGCCGCAAGCCCAACGCCGGGGGCAGCCCCGCTCCGGTGCGCCGCCGGCCGGAGGCCTCGCCGGTGAGTGGCTCTACTGGCTCGAGTGGCCGCGCAGGTGGGGACAGGCAGCCTGGAACTGGGGTACGCGGGCGCTGCTGACCTCTACTCTCCTCTTCCGTTCCTCCTTCCCTGCCAGGTGCAGAAAAAGGAGAAGAAGGACAAGGAGCGGGAAAACGAGAAGGAGAAGAGTGCCCTAGCCCGGGAGCGCAGCCTCAAGAAGCGCCAGTCGCTGCCCGCCTCCCCACGTGCCCGCCTCTCTGCCAGCACCGCCTCTGAGCTCAGGTGGGCGCGGGCGGTGCGAGGGACCCTGCCCCTCACCGGGTCATTTATTCATCACCCACAAATATTTGTTGGGCAACCACCTCTAGAATGCAACTTCCCTGAGGGCAGATTCTCTCTGTTTTGTTTGAGACAGGATCTCCCTCTGTCACCCAGGCTGGAGTGCAGTGGCACAATCTCGGCTCACTGCAGCCTTGACCTCCCAGGCTCAGGCTATCCTCCCACCTCAGCCTTCCAAGTGGCTGGGGCTACAGGCGCGCCACCACGCTCGGCTAATTTTTTGTATTTTTGGTAGAGTGGGGGTTTCGCTACGTTGTCCAGGCTGATCTTGAACTCTTGAGCTTAGGTGATCCACCCGCCTTGGCCTCCCAAAGTGCTGGGATTACATGTGTGAGTGTAAGCCACCCCGCCCAGCCTCCATTTTTCTTTTTGTTCGTTTTTGTTTTTGTTTTTTTAAGTGTTTTGGTTACTGAAGTACCCCAACACCTAAAATAGTGCCTGGCACCTGGTAACCACTCAGTGAATACCTACTGAAGGGCCAGGGTAGTGCCTCACGCCCGTAATCCCAGCACTTTGGGAGGCCAAGGGGAGGATTGCTTGAGCCCAGGAGGTCGAGGCTGTAGTGAGCTATGTATGATGATGCCACTGCACTCCAGCCTGGGGGTCAGCCAGATTCTGTCTTAAAAACAACAACAACAACAACAACAAAACCTGCTGAATGAATGGACCTGTCAGGTAGCACTCAGGGTGCTGAGGACACGTTGCTGAGCTAACCCAAGCATGGTTTTTTCTCTTATTAAGCTTACAGGCTATTGGCGGGGGACATACAATAATCAAAGAATCCCACAGAAACATGTCATTACAAACTGGGGTGTATGCTCTAAAAGGGAATGGTGTGTTTCTGTGAGAGCAAGGGGGCGGGGGGCGGCGCTGATGTAGCCTGGGGGAGGGGGCACCTCCCAGAGGAAGGAACAAGTTCTCAGCGTGTGGGTGTGTGTGTCTCCTAACCCTTCCCTTTTCCCTTTTCTCTTAGCCCCAAATCCAAGGCCAGGCCATCCTCTCCCTCCACATCCTGGCACAGGCCTGCCTCCCCCTGCCCCAGCCCAGGGCCAGGCCACACTCTGCCTCCAAAGCCACCGTCCCCCCGAGGCACCACTGCATCCCCCAAGGGGCGGGTTCGGAGGAAGGAGGAGGCAAAGGAGAGCCCCAGCGCCGCAGGGCCCGAGGACAAGAGCCAGAGCAAGCGCAGGGCCAGTAACGAGAAGGAGTCAGCAGCCCCAGCCTCACCGGCACCTTCGCCGGCGCCCTCGCCCACCCCAGCCCCGCCCCAGAAGGAGCAGCCCCCCGCGGAGACCCCTACAGGTAGGAATGAAGAGAGGGGAGGGGTGGGCCGAGCGAGAGAAGCCAGCTTCTCCTGTGTGGGGGTGTGGGCCGCCAGAGATGCCTGAGGACTGGGAGTGGGACATGGAAAGAGGAGACTCCTGCCCTCAGCAGTCCCAGGCCCAGAACACAGGCCGCTGGGAGATGACGGCGGTGTCTGCGTGGGTGTGCTGACGCCTGATCCCGGATCCCCCTCCAGACGCTGCTGTCTTGACCTCACCCCCAGCCCCTGCTCCCCCGGTGACCCCTAGCAAACCAATGGCCGGCACCACAGACCGAGAAGAAGCCACTCGGCTCTTGGCTGAGAAGCGGCGCCAGGCCCGGGAGCAGCGGGAGCGCGAGGAGCAGGAGCGGAGGCTGCAGGCAGAAAGGGACAAGTGAGTGCGCCTCGGGGACTGAGGGGGCCCTCGTGGGCGCTGGAGAAGAAGCAGAGGCCGAGCCTGAGCCGTTTGCTCCGTCCCCCAGGCGAATGCGAGAGGAGCAGCTGGCACGGGAGGCCGAGGCCCGGGCGGAGCGGGAGGCGGAGGCCCGGAGGCGGGAGGAGCAGGAGGCACGAGAGAAGGCGCAGGCCGAGCAGGAGGAGCAGGAGCGGCTGCAGAAGCAGGTGCCCCCGGCGGGCGGGAAGCGGCTGGGCGCGGGCGCCGCGGGCCGGGAGGGAAGGCTGGAGTCAAGTGCCCCACGCTCATGGGGGTCTTTGGCAGAAAGAGGAGGCCGAAGCTCGGTCGCGGGAAGAGGCGGAGCGGCAGCGTCTGGAGCGGGAAAAGCACTTCCAGCAGCAGGAGCAAGAGCGGCAAGAGCGCAGAAAGGTGTGCGGACCTGGGCGGGGATTTGTGGGCGGGGCCTGGGCAGGGCGGGCCAGGTGGGCGGGGCCTGGGCTTAGAGCGGACAGGACGGGAAAGCGCTGGGGCAAATTCCAGTTCCTGTCCTGGAGAGGGCTGCTATGAGCTGGGAGGCCCTAAGACTCCGAGGCCGGGTCTGGCTGGTGGGAGGTTTAGGATTAGGGGCGGGGCTCGAGCCTAACTGATCTGCGGCCTCCAAACAGCGTCTGGAGGAGATCATGAAGAGGACTCGGAAGTCAGAAGTTTCTGAAACCAAGGTCAGAATTCCCCCGAAGGGCAGTGCTGGGCGTGGGGGGCAGGGTGTGAAAAGGAGGCTGCGGAAAGGCATCCATGGCCACGGAGAGCGAGGCTGTCAGGGAGGCCGCTGCGGCCCGGGCAAGGGGAGGGCCGAACTCAGTCCGAAGTGGCTGGGGCCGGCTGTCCCTTGAGCCTGACTGCTCTTCCTCTTCAAAGCAGAAGCAGGACAGCAAGGAGGCCAACGCCAACGGTTCCAGCCCAGGTAAAGCCCCCATTCCTCTCGCCTCCCTTCCCTTTGCCATCCTCCTCCTCCTCCATCCTCACCTCTCTTGCCAGCCCCTGGCTGATGGCCCCTCTTTCCCTGTGACAGAGCCTGTGAAAGCTGTGGAGGCTCGGTCCCCAGGGCTGCAGAAGGAGGCTGTGCAGAAAGAGGAGCCCATCCCACAGGAGCCTCAGTGGAGGTACCAGCTTCCAATCCCAGGGTCCCTGAGCAGGGAGGCAGACTGCAGCTGGAGCTGCGGGGTGGCCTGGGCTTTCCTGGGAGGTGAGGTGCTGAGCCTTGGCCTCTGCATCCACAGTCTCCCAAGCAAGGAGTTGCCAGCGTCCCTGGTGAATGGCCTGCAGCCTCTCCCAGCACACCAGGAGAATGGCTTCTCCACCAACGGACCCTCTGGGGACAAGAGTCTGAGCCGAACACCAGAGACACTCCTGCCCTTTGCAGAGGCAGAAGCCTTCCTCAAGAAAGCTGTGGTGCAGTCCCCGCAGGTCACAGGTAGATCTCCTGATTCCTGGACCCAGCTCCATTCCTCCCAGCAGCCTTCCCTGTACTCCTCAGCCCTGCCTTCTCTTCTGGCTCTGCCAGGCACCCTCTCCTGCTCCACCCTGAAGACCCCCAGCTATCTGGGCTTGAGTGCTGTTTGCCCTGACTGTTTCCCTTCCTGTTTTTCCCCAGAAGTCCTTTAAGAGGGTTTGCCTTGGATCCGGGCACAGTTGTGAGGGCTCCTCTGCATCACCTACCAGGATGTCTGGAGGAGAAAAAGACAGAACAAAGATGGAAGTGGCCTGGGCCCCTGGGGGTGGGTCCTCTCTGTTGTTTTTAATCTGCACCTTATAGACTGATGTCTCTTTGGCCGGAGCCAGATCTGCCCCTCAGTGCATTCGTGTGCTCGCACGCGCAGACATCCCTTCTCCCCCATACACACATATACACTCACAGCCTCTCTGGCCTCTTCCCTTGGGGAGGGGCCACCTGTAGTATTTGCCTTGATTTGGTGGGGTACAGTGGATGTGAATACTGTAAATAGCTTGTGCTCAGACTCCTCTGCGTGGAGAGGGTGGGTGCAGGAGGCAGACCCTCCCCCCAAAGCCCCCTGGGGAGATCTTCCTCTCTCTATTTAACTGTAACTGAGGGGGATCCCAGGTCTGGGGATGGGGGACACCTTGGGCCACAGGATACTGGTTGCTTCAGGGGTACCCATGCCCCCTGCCCTCGCCTGGAATCAGTGTTACTGCATCTGATTAAATGTCTCCAGAAATAAAGAATAATTCTGCCAATCCTGCCTGTTCTTGGAGCTGGTGGCGGAGGTGGGAGCAGATGGCCTCCTGAGTTCTAAGAACTGAAGAAGCCTCGGGCTGGTGGTATTAGTCCTGAACTCCTGCCCTATGGTCTTCCAGTTTAGTCATGAATTCATTCATTTATTTATTCAACAAATACTGTTGCATCTACTCTGTGTCAGGCAGTAGGCTATGCACTGGGGATGCAATAGTCAGAAAGGATGTAATCTCTGTCCTTGTGCAGTTTATAGTCTAGTGGGTGAGTGTCGTGGACACTGTGGGCTGCCCACTCAACATCTATTCCCATTGCCCCTTCCTCATTCCAAATAATCTCTATTCAGGTAGCCATCTTTCTTTTAGATGGCACCCTGTGCTTCAGTGGAGGTGGATCTTAGCCGCAGGGGTGAATCGTGATTGTGACTGGGATCAAAAACAATGGTCCCAAACCCCTCATGATTGACTGGTGTAGGCATGGACATGTGACACAGTTTCAGCCAGTAGACATGAAGGGAAGCCTCCTGGGGGCTTCAGGAAGGGTATCCTCATTTTTTTTTTTTTGAGACGGAGTCTGGCTCCATCGCCCAGGCTGGAGGGCAGTGGTGCAATCTCAGCTCACTGCAACGTCCACCTCCCAGGTTCAAGCGATTCCCCTACCTCAGCCTCCCGAGTAGCTGGAACTACAGGCGCCAGCCACCACGCCTGCCTAATTTTTGTATTTTTAGTAGAGATGGGGTTTCACCGTGTTAGCCAGGATGTTCTCTTATCTCCTGACCTTGTGATCCGCCTGCCTCGCCCTCCCAAAGTGCTGGGATTACAGGCGTGAGCCACCGGCATCCTCATTTTTGACAATGTGGTCGTCAGCCTCTGTAATGACCTCTCGATGATGTCCCCTACCTCCTAGTATTCACACCCTTGTGTAGTTCCTTCCTATGTTGTATCAGGGTTGGGTTGAGTGGCCAATAGAATACGGCAGAAGTGATGGTGTGTCACATCTGAGATTAGGTATAAAAAACACTGCACTCATGCCTGTAATGCCAACACTTTGGGAGGCCAAGGCCAGTAGATTGCTTCAGCCCAAGAGTTCTAAGACCAGCCTAGGCAACATGGTGAAACCCCATCTCTAACAAAAATTCAAAAATTAGCCAGGCGTGGTGGCACATGCCTGTAATCCCACCTACTCAGGAGGCTGAAGTGGGAGAATCATCTGAGCCTGGGAAGTCAAGGCTGCAGTGAGCCCTGATTGTGTCACTGCACTCCAGCCTGGGCAACAGAGTGAGACCCTATCTCAAAAAACAAAAACAGGACAGGCGTGGTGGCTCACGCCTGTAATCCCAGCACTTTGGGAGGCCAAGGTGGGCAGATCACGAGGTCAGGAGATCGAGACCATCCTGGCTAACACAGTGAAACCCCGTCTCTACTAAAAATACAAAAAATTCTCCGGGCGTGGTGGCGGGCACCTGTAGTCCCAGCTACTCGGGAGGCTGAGGCAGGAGAATGGCATGAACCTGAGAGGCGGAGGTTGCAGTGAGCCGAGATCGCGCCACTGCACTCCAGCCTGGGTGACAGAGGGAGACTCTGTCTCAAAAAAAAAAAAAAAAAGCAGCAGCATTTAGGCCGGGCATGCTGGCTCATGCCTGTAATCCCAGCACTTTGGGAGGCTGAAGCAGGCGGATCACGAGGTCAAGAGTTCAAGACCAACCTGGCCAACATGGTGAAACCTCATCTCTACTAAAAATACAAAAAATTAGCCGGGTGTGGTGGTGCGCGCTTGTAGTCCCAGCTACTCGATAGGCTGAGGCAGGAGAATCGCTTGAACCTGGGAGGCGGAGGTTGCAGTGAGCCGAGATCTTGTTACTGCACTCCAGCCCAGGTAACAGTGCGAGACTCCATCTCAAAAAAAAAAAAAAAAAAAGCAGCATTTAAACTGGACCTGAAGAAGGATAGGGAGGAGCCAGCCTTGTGAAAGGAAGGAGGAGGCAAGTTGCAGATGGAGGGGTCAGTATGCAGGAGGCTGGGAATTCCAGGGACAAAGGAGCAGGAGCTCCTCTTGCTGGAGCATCAAAGGGGAGAGGTGCTAGATGGGGTTGGAGAGGTGGGCAGGGCTAAGTCACAGCGCTCTAGGGACAGTAAGGGGCAGGAAGGGACTAGCACACTCATTCAGCTCTCTGCTTGGTGAGAGCTCCTATATGTATGCCCCTCCCGGCCTCCCCTCCTCAGCCATCACCCACCAGCTCCTATGTACAGTGAGGCAGAGGTGCCAACATTTCCCTGAAGGGCAGAACTCTGAATACTCTTATGGGGGAATTGTTTACTCATTCATTTAGTCAATCAGTAAATTGCCTGTGGAGCACCAGCTGAGCACCGGAGGGAAACGATGGTAAGCAAAAACCAGACGTAGAAGCTCCTGGCGCTTCCTGGCAAGGAAGATGGGTATAAACCAAATCACCATATCACCACAGGAACAAATGTTAAAAAAGAAAATGTGGTGAGTGCTGTGAAGTCAAACATAGGGAGCAGTTAAGAGCGTATACAGGGGGACCTAAACTAGCTTCAGGTCGGATAAGATATCCCTGAATGAATGGTGTGTAATCAGATCTGATGGGTGAGTAGGTGTTGACTGGGCAAAGTCAGGAAGGTAGAGAAAGAAGGAGAGGGAAAGGACTGGATTCCAGAACAAGGGAAACCACATGCACAGGCTGTGGATGGGAAGGAGGTATGTTCAAGTATCTAGAGGACTAAGCAGAGCTGAAGGAGTCTGTTTTTGCTCACCCCAGAGCCTGGTGGAACAGGCACTCAATATTTGTTGAATTAAGAAATGTCAGTTGAGGAGGTGGAGCTTGGCATGAGGTGAGCTAGACCATGCAAGGCCTTGTAAGGCTGTGGTCAAGAGCTTGGATTTTATTCCAAGGGCCATGGGAAGCCACTGAAGGCTATTCAACAGGGGGTGGAAGGGTGGCATGATCAGATAGGCAGTTTTTTGTTTTGTTTTGTTTTGGTTTTTTGAGACGGAGTTTTGCTCTGTGGCCCAGGCTGGAGTGCAGTGATGTGATCTCTGCTCACTATAACCTCTGCCTCCGGGGTTCCAGCAATTCTCCTGCCTCAGCCTCCCGAGTAGCTGGGACTTACAGTCACACACCACCACCTCCGGCTAATTTTTGTATTTTTTTTTTTTTTTTTTTTTTTTTTGAGATGGAGTCTCGCTCTGTCACCCAGGCTGGAGTGCAGTGGCGCGATCTCGGCTCACTGCAAGCTCCACCTCTCGGGTTCACGGCATTCTCCTGCCTCAGCCTCCCAAGTAGCTGGGACTACAGGCGCCAGCCACCATGACTGGCTAATTTTTTTGTATTTTTAGTAGAGACAGGGTTTCACCGTATTAGCCGGGATAGGATGGTCTCGATCTCCTGACCTCGTGATCCGCCCGCCTCGGCCTCCAAAAGTGCTGGGATTACAGGCGTAAGCCACTGTGCCTGGCCTAATTTTTGTATTTTTAGTAGAGATGGGGTTTCACCATATTGGTCAGGCTGGTCTCAAACTCCTGACCTCAGGGGATCCACCTGCCTTGGTCTCCCAAAGTGCTGGGATTACAGGCGTGAGCCACCGCGCCTGCCAAATAGGCTATTTTATTAGACCACTCTGGCTTTTTGGTGGAAAACTGATCGACAGAAACTTGATTATAAACTGGAAGACAAACCAAGAAGTGATTGCTGAGGTGCAGATAAGAGATGATAGAGGCTCATGCTCGGGAGATAGAGATGGAGAGGAGTGTGTAACATAAATGTACTTATTCATTCAAAGAACATGTATTGAGCATCTTGCTGGTCACAGTAGCTCACACCTGTAATTCTAGCACTTTGGGAGGCTGAGATGAGTGGACTGCCTGAGCTCAGGAGTTTGAGACCAGCCTGGGCAACCAGGTGGAAGCCTGCCTCAATAAAAAATATATACATGCAGGGCTGGGCATGGTGGCTCACGCCTGTAATCCCAGCACTTTGGGAGGCCGAGGTGGGCAGATCACGAAGTCAGGAGATAGAGACCATCCTGGGTAACATGGTGAAACCCCGTCTCTACTAAAAATACAAAAAATTAGCCAGGCGTGGTGGCGGGCGCCTGTAGTGCCAGGTACTTGGGAGGCTGAGGCAGGAGAATGGCATGAACCCGGGAGGCGGAGCTTGCAGTGAGCCGAGATTGTGCCACTGCAGTCCAGCCTGGGAGACAGAGCAAGGCTCCCTCTCAAAAAAAAATAAATAAATAATAAGCCGGGCACGGTGGCTCACGCCTGTAATCCCAGCACGCTGGGAGGCCGAGGTGGGTGGATCACAAGGTCAGGAGATCGAGACCATCCTGGCTAACACGGTGAAACCCCGTCTCTACTAAAAATACAAAAATTAGCCGGGTGTGGTGGTGGGTGCCTGTAGTCCCAGTTACTCCGGAGGCTGAGGAAAGAGAATGGTGTGAACCCGGAGGTGGAGTGCAGTGAGCCGAGACCATGCCACTGCACTCCAGCCTGGGCAACAGACCGAGACTCTGTCTCAAAAAAGAATATACATATATATATATGTATACATATATGCAAAAATTGGTCCAGTGTGGTGGTGCATGCCTGTAGTCCCTGCTACTCGGGAGGCTGAGATGGGAGGATCGCTTGAGCCCAGGAGGCTGAGGTTGCAGTGAGCTGAGATCACGCCACTGCACTCCTTCCTGGGTGACCGAGTGAGACCTTGTCTCAAAAAAAACAAAAAACAAAAAACAAAAACAACAAACAACAAATATCTATTGAGCATCTATTATGTACCAGGCTCAGAGGTGCTGGAGATTTTTAGATGAGCAAAAATTGACATGGTTCTTACCTCATGGAACTTTATTAGTAATTAATTAAATAATATTACAAACAAATGTACAATTACAATTACAATTATGACAAACAGTGGCTCACTCCTACAATCCCGGCACTTTGGGAGGCCGAAGAGCAGGGATCTCTTGAGTCCAGGAGCCTGAGACCAGCCTGAGCAACATGGCGAAACCCTGTCTCTATAAAAAATACCAAAAAAATAGTCAGATGTGGTGGTGCACACCTGTAGTCCCACATACTCAAGAGGCTGAGTGGGAGGATTACTTGAGCCCAGGAGGTTGAGGCTGCAGTGAGCCGTGATTGTGCCACTGCACTCCAGCCTGGGCAACAGAGTGAGACCCTGTCTCAAACAACAAAAAAACCCAAACCAAACTAAAATTTTAAAAGACAGTGAATAAGCTGGACACAGTGGCTCAAGCCTGTAATCCCAGCACTTTGGGAGGCCGAGGCAGGCAGAACACGAGGTCAGGAGATCGAGACCACCCTAGCTAACACAGTGAAACCCCGTCTCTACTAAAAATACAAAATTAGGCTGGGCGCGGTGGCTCATGCCTCTAATCCCAGCACTTTGGGAGGCCCAGGCGGGCGGATCACGAGATCAGGAGATTGAGACCATCCTGGCTAACACGGTGAAACCCTGTCTCTACTAAAAATACAAAAAAATTAGCCGGGCGTGGTAGCGGGCACCTGTAGTCCCAGCTACTCGGGAGGCTGAGGCAGGAGAA
Organism: Homo sapiens; assembly: GCF_000001405.40. Lineage (NCBI taxonomy): Eukaryota > Metazoa > Chordata > Mammalia > Primates > Hominidae > Homo > Homo sapiens. Next base: position 36,186,424 of record NC_000001.11, read on the forward strand.
TGGCGTGAACCTGGGATGCGGAGCTTGCAGTGAGCCGAGATCACGCCATTGCACTCCAGCCTGGGTGACAGAATGAGACTCCGTCTCAAAAAAAAAAAAAAAAGAAAAAAGAAAAACCCGTCTCTACTAACAATACAAAAATTAGCTGGGTGTGGTGGCTCACATCTGTAATCCCAGCTACTCGGGAGGCTGAAGCATGAAAATCACTGGAACCCGAAAGCAGAGGTTGCAGTGAGCCAAGATCATGCCATTGCACTCCAGCCTGCGTGACAGAGCGAGACTCTGTCTCAAAAAAAATTTTTTTAAAGAGGTGTGAGATTCCAGGCAGAGGAAACAGCACACGTGAAGTCCCCATGATGAGCATGGGCAGTGTAGCCGGAACCTAGAGATTGAGAGGGAGCATGGTGTCAGAGAGGTGGGAAGGACCAGACCACGAAGGACCCATGCGCCATGCTAAGTAAGAGTTTATTACAAGAGTGCTGGGAAAGTGCCTGAAAGGTTTCAGCAGATGGGCAACATAGTCAGATTAACAATTTGAGAAAAGATGATCAGGACTACCACCTGGAGAAGGGACTGAGGAAAGGGGAAGAGTGGTAGTGAGAAGTCCAGACAGGAGCACCAATCCTGGTGAGAGATGGGGACAGGCCATGAGTTTGACTTGACTTGGCACTCTGTGGATAGCGATTTCCTTTTTTTTTTCTTTCTTCTTTTTTTGGGGGGTGGGGAGGATGGAGTCTTGCTCTGTTTCCCAGGCTGGAGTGCAGTGATGAGATCTTGGCTTACTGCAACCACCATCTCCCCGGCTCAAACCATCCCCCCACCCCAGCCTCCCAAGTAGCTGGGACTACAGGCACATGCCACGATGCCTGGCTAATTTTTGTATTTTTGGTAGAGACAGGGTTTCGCCATCTTGCCCAGACTGGTCTTGAACTCCTGGCCTCAAGTAATCCTCCCGCCTCAGCCTCCCAAAGTGCTAGGATTAATTACAGGCATGAGCCACCGCACCAGGCCTCTTCTTTTTTTTTTCTCTTTGAGACAGGGTCTCACTCTGTCACCCAAGTTGGAGTGCAGTGGCACCATCATGGCTCACTGCAGCCTCAACCTTCTGGGCTCAAGGGATCCTCCTGTCTCAGCCTCCTGAGTAGCTGGGAATACAGGCACACACCACCATGCCTGGTTAATTATTTTTAATTTTTTCCTGTAGAGACAGGGTCTCGCTATATTACTCACACTGGTCTTGAACTCCTGGACTCAAGTGATCCTCCTGCCTCAGCCTCCCAAAGTGTTGGGATTACAGGTGTGAGCCAGGACAGCAATTTCTTATGCAAATGTGGTGCTCACAGGAAGGGTCTGATCCCACAGCTCAGGAAAGAGGAGCCAGGAGGGAAGGAGGGAAGAACACAGAAGTTCTAGGAGAGACTCAGCCTTTAGGAGCCTGGAGTGTGGCTCCTCTGAGACAGCAGGGCCCTAGGGGGCAGTGAGGGCTTTGGAAGAACTGGCCCAGGCTGCAGGGAGGTAGCCTCCAGGTCTGATTTCCTGGTTTCCAGCTGGAGATTGAGGAATGTCCGGTCTGTTCCAGGCCCTGACTGAGCCTGAAGAGAGCGGAGGTGGAGGCAGAAGCCATCCCCTCTGGAGATCCCTCCCTTTCCCCATCTCTGCCCTTTCCCCAGTAGGGCCAGACTAGGCAGGGCCAGAGGAAGGCAGCAAAATGCCCTTCCCTCCTCCCCTCTTCATCCCAGTCGCCAACGCTCCTGAACTCCAGCTCTGTTACAACACCCCCGCCCCTCAACACACACACAATCTTTCTTTAACAGGACTCCCCAGCTCCACTGTGTGTGCCCGTGGGCCCTCTCAAAGGAACATTCAGTCCAACCCGAAGCCTGTGCCCTGCTTCCCAATGAATGGCGATCTCGCTCCACCTGGTGGTTACATGAGCACATTGGCAAGGCAGTTGAGGTTGGAACTGCCAGGTCCACCATGGACCAGACCACAGGCCTATGGCTGATGTCCTGGCTGCAGGAGATGTGTGCTCTACTCTAGACTTGGCCAGTGACTCACTCTATAACTAGGCAACCCTCCTGACCTCTGTGAGCTTCAATTTCCTCATCTGCAAATTAGGGCTAGTGATATGGGTAAGGTATTCCTTGAACAAACACACAGAATAAGAGTCTTAGTTGCAAGGTCCCCTTCCCACCATGAGGGGCCATGATATCCTGAGGTAGCTCAACATCACCTCCTGTGTACTGCCAGTCCCTTCCCCAAACCACTCCACTTTGGGACAGCCGTATTAGACATGTCCCAATGTGGCCAGAACATTGAGCTCTAATTGACCAACAGGGCATGGAGTGCAATGGCGTGATCATGGCTCATTGCAGCCTGGACCCCTCGGGCTTGAGTGGTTCTCCCACCTCAGCTTCCTAAGTAGCTGGGACCACAGGTGCACACCACCATGCCTGGCTAATTTTTAAATTTTTTGTGGAAACAGATCTCGTTTTTTGTCCACGTTGGTCTTGAAATCCTGGCCTTAAATGATCCTCCTGCCTCCGCCTCCCAAAGTGCTAGGATTACAGGTGTGAGCCACCGCCCTTGGCTGGTAAGGACATGGTCTTTGCCTTCAGTGCATTCAGCCTAGAAGTGGAAGAATACATAAAAATAGAATACAAAGCCAGCGCGGTGGCTCACGCCTGTAATCCCAGCACTTTGGGAGGCCAAGGTGGGTGGATCACCTGAGGTCAGGAGTTTGAGACTAGCCTCAACATGGAGAAACCCCATCTCTACTAAAAATACAAAAAAATTAGCCGGGTGTGGTGGTGCATGCCTGTAATCCCAGCTATTTGGGAGGCTGAGGCAGGAGAATTGCTTGATCCTGGGAGGCGGAGGTTGCGGTGAGCTGAGATCACGCCGTTGCACTCCAGCCTGGGCAACAAGAGCGAAACTCTGTCTCAAAAAAAAAAAAAAATAGAATACAGTGCGAGGTCAGTGACATAATTAAGCACACAGTGCTTTGGGAATATAAAGGATAATTTTTTAAAAAAATCTTTAGAGATGAGGGTCTTATTAAGTTGCCCAGGCTAGACTCAAACTCCTGGGCTCAAGGGACCCACCTGCCTCAGCCTTCCTAGTAGCTGGGACTTCAAGTGTATACCACCATACCTGACAAGGAAAAATATTTGACCTGGGTTCAAGCAGGGAGAGACTGTCAAAGGGAGGCCTCCTGTAGGAGGTAATACCTGAGAATATCCTCTGAATTAAGGGTTAAAAACTTGAACGACTCCCAAGGGGCAGCCCCTGTCACTCCCCTCTGGTCCACAGTTGCCAGGTCGAATTGGATTCCAGTATGGCTTGCGGTGGCCTACCAAGGGTAGGATGATGGGCAGGGTCTGCCCCAGATGTGTGAAATAAAAGTGCATCATGTGTAGAGAATTTAAGAACCAAGATAAAAATGACTAAAAGTCAGTTTGCTTTTTATTATTACCTTGCATTGACATTCTAAACAATGTTAAAAAAATACTTCTTGAAAAAAATATTTCACCGTCTGAGTTCTAAATAGTGGCTCTATTTATTGCTGAATTGTTTGGTTTTTTGTTTTGTTTTTTTGAGACAATGTCTCGCTCTGTTGCCCAGGCTCGGTGTGCAGTGGCACAATCATGGGTCACTGCAGCCTGAACTTCCCAGGCTCAAATGATCTGCCATCTCAGCCCCCGAAGTAGCTGGGCCTACAGGCATATGCCACCATGCCCGGCTAATATTTGTATATTTTTGTAGAGATGGGGTTTCACCCTGTTGCCCAGGCTGGTCTCGAACTCCTGGACTCAAGTGATCTGCCTACCTTGGCCTCCCAAAGTGCTAGGATTACAAGCGTGAGACACTGCACCCAGCCTAGCTTTTTTTTTTTTTGAGACGGACTTTCACGATGTCGCCCAGGCTGGAGTGCAATGGCGTGATCTCAGCTCACTGCAACCTCCGCCTCCCTGGTTCAAGTGATTCTCCTACCTCAGTCTCCCGAATAGTTAGGATTATAGGTGCCCACCATCATACCTGGCTAATTTTTGTATTTTTAGTAGAGACGGGGTTTTGCCATGTTGGTCAGGCTGGCTCGAACTCCTGACCTCAGGTGATCTGCCCACCTCAACCTCCCAAAATGCTGGGATTACTGGCATGAACCACCGCACCCGGAAACAGCTGAGCTTTAATACTATATATGTAAGCTTCAAATTAGCACAGATTGGCCAGGCGCAGTGGCTGACGCCTGTAATCCCAGCACTTTGGGAGGCCCAGGCAGGCTGATTTCTGGAGGCCAGGAGTTCAAGACCAGCCTGGCCAACATGGCCAAACCCTGTCTCTACTAAAAAAACAAAAAGTTAGCCAGGCATGGTGGTGCAGGCCTGTAATCCCAGCTACTTGGGAGGCTGAGGCAGGAGAATCTATTGGACCTGGGAGGCAGAGGTTGCAGTGAGCTGAGATAGCGCCACTGAACTCCAGCCTGGGGCATACAGCGAGACTCTGTCTCAAAAAAAAAAAAAATTAGCACAGATTTATTACTGTTGTCCCACTGTATTCTCAGGGGATTGGTCCCAGGACCCTAGGGATATCAAAATCCTTGGATGCTCAAGTCTCTGATAGAAAATTTATTAATATGCCAGGTGCGGTGGCTCACGCCTGTAATCCCAGCACTTTGGGAGGCCGAGGCGGGTGGATCACCTGAGGTCAGGAGTTCGAGACCAGCCTGACCAGCATGGTGAAACCCCGTCTCTACTAAAAATACAAAAATTAGCTGGGCGTGGTGGCGTGCGCCTGTAATCCCAGCTATGCAGGAGGCTAAGGCAGGAGAATCTCTTGAATCTGGGAGGTGGAGATTTCAGTGAGCCGAGATCGCACCACTGCTCTTCGGCCTGGGTGACAGAGTGAGACTCTGTCTCAAAAAAAAAAAAAAAAAAAAAAGAATTGCTTCATATTTGCATATAATCTATGTATATCCTCCTGTATACTTTGTAATCTCTAGATTACTTATAATACCTAATACAATGTAAATGCCATGTAAATAGTGTATTATTTTTAAAATTTGTATTATTTTAATTGTTGTATCGTTATATTTTATTCAGTTTTTTTCCCCCATTTTTTTTTTTGAGGTGGAGCCTCACTCTGTTGCCCAGACTGGAGTGCAGTGGCATGATCTCGGCTCACTGCAACCTCTGTCTCCAGGATTCAAGTGTTTCTCCTGCCCCAGCCTCCTGAGTAGCTGGGACTACTGGTGTGTGCCACCATGCCCGGCTAATTTTTGTATTTTTAGTGGAGATGGGGTTTCACCATGTTGGCCAGGCTGTTCTTGAACTCTTGACCTCAAGTGATCTGCCTGCCGTGGCCTCCCAAAGTGCTGGGATTACAGGTGTTAGCCATCACACCCAGCCCTCCCCAATTTTTTTTTTTTTTTGAGGAGTCCACCCTGGCCAACATGGTGAAACTCTGTCTCTACTAAAAATACAAAAAATTAGCTGGCCGTGGTGGCACGCACCTGTAATCCCAGCTACTCGGGAGGCTGAGGCAAGAGAATTGCTTGAACCCGGGAGGCACAGGTTGCAGTGAGCCGAGATAGTGCCACTGCACTCCAGCCTGGCGACAGAGTGAGACTCCGTCTCAAAAAAAAAAAGGAGGAGGAGTCTCCCTCTGTTGCCCAGTCTGGAGTGCAGTGGCACTATCTCGGCTCAGTGCAACCTCCGCCTCCTGGTTCAAGCAATTCTTCTGACTCAGCCTCTGGAGTAGCTGGGACTATGGACACATGTCACCATTAGCCTGGCTAATTTATTTGTTTATTTATTTGTTTATTTATTTATTTTGAGATAGAGTCTTGCTGTGTCACCCAGGCTGGAGTGCAGTGGCACGATCTAGGCTCACTGCAACCTCCACCTCCCAGCTTCAAGCGATTCTGTGCCTCAGCCTCCCGAGTAGCTGTGATTACAGGTGCCTGCCACCATGCCCGGCTAATTTTTGTATTTTTAGTAGAGATGGGGTTTCGCCATCTTGGCCAGGCTGGTCTTGAACTCCTTACCTCAGGATCCACCCACCTCGGCCTCCCAATTAAATCCCTTGGCTGGGATTACAGGCATGAGCCACCATGCCTGGCCCTAAATATGTTTTTGTTTGTTGGTTTGTTTGTTTGCTGAGACGGAGTCTCGCTCTGTCGCCCAGGATGGAGTGCAGTGGCACAATCTCGGCTCACTGCAAGCTCTTCCTCCCGGGTTCAAGCCATTCTCCTGCCTCAGCCTCCCAAGTAGCTGGGACTATAGGCGCCCGCCACCACGCCCGGCTAATTTTTTATATTTTTAGTAGAGATGGGGTTTCACCGTGTTAGCCAGGATGGTCTTGATCTCCTGACCCCATGATCCGCCCGCCTCGGCCTCCCAAAGTGCTGGGATTACAGGCTTGAGCCACCGCGCCCGGCTGGCCCCAAATATTTTTTATCCACAGTTGGTGGCATCCACCGATGCAAAGCTCCCGAATACACAATACACAGGGCCAATTGTATTTAGCTTTTTTTTTTTTTTTTTTTTTTTCTGAGATAGAGTCTCGCTCTGTCTCCCAGGCTGGAGTGTAGTGGTGCTATCTCCACTCGCTGCAACCTCCGCCTCCTGGGTTTAAGCGATTCTCCTGCCTCAGCCTCCCGAATAGCTGGGACTATAGGCGCATGCCACCATGCCCAGCTAATTTTTTGTATTTTTAGTAGAGATGGGGTTTCACTGTGTTAGTCAGGCTGGTCTCGAACTCCTGACCTCAGGCGACCCACCCACCTTGGCCTCCCAAAGTGCTGGGATTACACGTATTAGCCACTGCGCCCAGCCCGTATTTAGCTTTTAATAAACATGTGTGCCAAAGTCAGTTGGGAGAAATCCCACTTGTATAACTGGCCTCTTGACACACACAGACTCAGCTACACATATTCATTTTGAAAGTAATTTTTTCATAGTTTGGAATCATTCAAGCTGGCTTTGAGCTCTGTTGGGGTCTCCAACTCCATGATGCAACATATTCCTGAGATTAAGCAGTTATTGCAGAATAAGCAATGATGACACAGTGATTTTAAAGGTAAAGAAACAAAACTTAAGTTACTTCAATTCTATGTGACCACTTGTGCTAATTTATTTATTTATTTGTTTGTTTTTCGAGACAGAGGCTCACTCTGTCACCTAGTCTGGAGCGCAGTGGTGTGATCATAGTTCACTGCAGCCTCAACCTCTCAGGCTCAAGCGATCCTCCCACCTCAGCCTCTCAGGTAGCTAGGACTATAGGCACGTGCCACCACACTTGGCTAATTTTTAAATTTTTTGTAAAGACAGGGTCTCACTATGTTACCCAAGCTGGTCTGAACTCCTGGGCTCAAGCGATCCTCCTGCTTCGGCCTCTGAAAATGCTAGGATTACAGGGGTGAGCCACCATACCTGGGTCTTGTGCTAATTTAAAACTTACAAGTATTATTAAAACTCAATGATGGGCCAGGCGCAGTCGCTCATGCCTGTAATCCCAGCACTTTGGGAGGCCGAGGCAGGCAGATTGCTTGAGGTCAGGAGTTTATGACCAGCCTGGCCAAGATGGTGAAACCCTGTCTCCATTAAAAATACATAAATTAGCCAGGTATGGTGTCGTGGTGTCGCACATCTGTAATCCCAGCTACTCGGGAGGCTGAGGCAGGATAATCACTTGAATCCGGGAGGCGGAGGTTGCAGTGACCCAAGATCCTGCCACTGCACTCCAGCCTAGAAAAAAAAAGATAAAAACAAAACAAAACAAAAAAACTCAATGATGACCAAAAGTTTGTGTTTAAAATTGAAAACAGTGAGAACTGAAAAGTGTAATATTTTTGTTTGCTAAGAGCAAATTTTAGTAATCCCATCACTTTGGAAGGCCGAGGCAGGTGGATTACCTGAGGTCAGGAGTTTGAGACCAGCCTGGTCAACATGGTGAAACCCTGTCTCTACTAAAATACAAAAAATTAGCCAGGTGTGGTGGCACATGCCTATAATCCCAGCTACTCGGGAGGCTGAGGCAGGAGAATTGCTTGAACCTGGGAGGTGGAGGTTGCAGTGAGCCAAGATCGCGCCACTGCACCCCAGCCTGGGCAACAAGAGTAAAACTCAGTCTCAAAAAAAAAAAAAAAAAAGAAAGAGCAAATTTTAATTCAAACATGAAGTGTTTTACCAAATTTAAATAATATATTTAAAAGTTAAAGTTAATGAGCTGGGCGTGGTGGAAGACGCCTGTAATCCCAGCTACTCGGGAGGACTAAGTAGGAGAATCACTTGAACCCGGGAGGCAGAGGTTGCAGTGAGCCAAGATTGCGCCACTGCACTCCAGCCTGGGTGACGAGCAAAACTCCGTCTTGAAAAAAAAAAAGTTAAAGTTATCCTTTTCATTTTTTCACTTTTTTATTTTTATTTATTTATTTTTTTTAGATGGAGTCTCGCTCTGTCGCCCATGCTGGAGTGCAGTGGTGCGATCTCAGCTCACTGCAACCTCCGCCTCTCGAGTTCAAGCGATTCTCCTGCCTCAGCCTCCTGAATAGCTGGGACTACAGGTGCCTGCCGCCACACCCGGCTAATTTTTGTAGTTTTAGTAGAGACAGGATTTCACCATGTTGGCCAGGCTGGTCTAGAACTCCTGACCTCAAGTGATCCACCCGCCTCAGCATCCTGTCTCTATGACTTTGACTACTAATTTGGTAACTCATGTAAGTGGAATCATACAATATTTGTCTTTTTGTGACTGGCTTATTTCACTCAGCATAATGTCCTCAAGGTTTACCGGTGTTGTAGCATGTGTCAGAATTTCATTCCTTTTTAAGTTTGAATAACATTCCATTGTACGTATATATCACATCGTGTTTTCCATTCTTCTGTCTGTGGGGACTTGGGTTGTTTCCACCTTTGGGCTACTGTGAATAATGCTGCAGTGAACATGCGTGTGCAAATATCTGTCCAAGTCCCTATTTTTAATTCTTTTGGGCATCCATCCAGAAATGAAATTACTAGATCATATGGTAATTCTATTTTCAATTTTTTGAGAAATTGCCATACTGTTTTCCATAATGGCTGTATCATTTCACATTCCCACCAGCAATGCACAAAGATTCCAGTTTCCTCACATCCTCAAAAACACTGGTTTTTGTTTCCTTGGGATGATGATAACCATCCTAATGGGTATGAAGTGGTTTCTCATAGTGGCCGTGATTTGCATTTCTCTTTTTTTTTTTTTTCAGGTAGAGTCTCGCACTGTCGCCCATACTAGAGGGCAGTAGCACGGTCTCGGCTCACTGCAACCTCCGCCTCCCGGGTTCAAGCAATTCTCCTGCCTCAGCCTCCCGAGTAGCTGGGATTACAGGTGCTTGCCACCATGCCCGGCTAATTTTTTTTGTATTTTTAATAGAGACAGGGTTTCACTATGTTGGCCAGGCTGGTCTCAAGCTCCTGACCTTGTGATCTGCCTGCCGTGGCCTCCCAAAGTGCTGGGATTACAGGCATGAGCTACCACCCCCAGCCTGTGATTTGCATTTCTCTAACGATTAGTGATACTGAGCATCTTTTCCTGTGTTTATGGGCTATTTGTGTATCTTTTTTGGAGAAATGCCTATTTAAATTGTCATTTGCCTGTTTTTTAATTGGGTTGTTTTTGTGTTGTTGAGTTTCAGGAGTTCTTCATATAGTGTGGATATTAATTGCTTATCAGATATGATTTACAAATATTTTCTCCTACACTGTGTGTTGTCTTTTCACTCTTTTTTTTTTTTTTTTTTTTTTTTGAGACAGTCTTGCTCTGTCGCCCAGGCTGGAGTGCAGTGGCACGATCGCAGCTCACTGCAGGCTCCGCCTCTCAGGTTCATGCCATTCTCCAGCCTCAGCCTCCCAAGCAGCTGGGACTACAGGCACCTGCCACCTCACCTGGCTAATTTTTTGTATTTTTAGTAGAGACAGAGTTTCACCATGTTAGCCAGGATGGTCTCGATCTCCTGACCTCGTGATCCACCCGCCTTGGCCTCCCAAAGTGCTGGGATTACAGGCGTGAGCCACCGTGCCCGGCTGTCTTTTCATTCTCTTGATAGTCCTTTTTTTTTTTTTTCTGGAGATGGGGTCGCACTCTGTCGCCCATGCTGGAGTACAGTGGTGTGATCACAGCTCACGTTAGCCTCAACCTCTCAGGCTCAAGTGATCCTCCTGCCTCAGCCTCCCAAGTAGCTGGGACTACAGGCATGCACCACCATGCCTGGCTAATTTTTGTATTTTTTGTACAGATGGTGTTTCACCATGTTACCCTGGCTTGTCTCGAATTCCTGGGCTCAAGTGATCCTCACGCCTCAGCCTCCCAAAGTGTTAGTGAGAGGTGACAGCGTGCTGGCAGTCCTCACAGCCCTCGCTCACTCTCGGCGCCTCCTCTGCCTGGGCTCCCACTTTGGCAGCACTTGAGGAGCCCTTCAGCCCACGGCTGCACTGTGGGAGCCCCTTTCTGGGCTGGCCAAGACCGTGCGCCCGCACTCCTCAGCCCTTGGGTGGTCGATGGAACTGGGCACCATGGAACAGGGGGTGGCACTCATCAGGGAGGCTCGGGCCACACAGGAGCCCACAGAGGGGGTGGGAGGCTCAGGCATGGTGTGGGACTGGCAGGCAGCTCCACCTGCAGCCCTGGCGCGGGATTCCTGGGTGAAGCCAGCTGGGCTCCTGAGCCTGGTGGGGACGTGGAGAACCTTTATGTCTAGCTCAGGGATTGTAAATACACCAATCAGCACCCTGTGTCTAGCTCAGGGTTTGTGAATGCACCAATCGACACTCTGTATATAGCTAATCTGGTGGGGCCTTAGAGAACCTTTGTGTGGACACTCTGTATATAGCTAATCTGGTGGGGACTTGGAGAACCTTTGTGTCTAGCTCAGGGATTGTAAACGCACCAATCAGCGCCCTGTCAAAACAGACCACTCAGCTCTACCAATCAGCAGGATGTGGGTGGGGGCCAGATAAGACAATAACAGCAGGCTGCCCCAGCCATCAGTGGCAACCCGCTGGGGTCCCCTTCCACACTGTGGAAGCTCTGTTCCTTCGGTCTTTGCAATAAATCCTGCTACTGCTCACTCTTTGGGTCCACACTGCCTTTATGAGCTGTAACACTCACCGGGAAGGTCTGCAGCTTCACTCCTGAAGCCAGCGAGACCACGAGCCCACCGGCAGGAACGAACAACTCCAGACGCGCAGCCTTAAGAGCTGTAACACTCACCGCCAAGGTCTGCAGCTTCACTCCTGAGCCAGCGAGACCACGAACCCACCAGAAGGAAGAAACTCCGAACACATCTGAACATCAGAAGGAACAAACTCCAGACACGCCACCTTTAAGAACTGTAACACTCACCGTGAGGGTCCACGGCTACATTCTTGAAGTCAGTGAGACCAAGAACCCACCAATTCCGGACACGTTAGAATTACAGGCATGAGTCACCATGCCTGGCCTTCCCCTGTTTTCTTCTAAGAGTTTTATTGTTTTAACTCTTAAGTTTAGGTCTTTGATCATTTTGGGTTCATTTTTGTATGGCAATTAATTTTTAAAAATTCACTTCTGTGAAAACTTGTTCAAGAGCAGGATTCATCCTAGCACTTTGGGAGGCCAAGGCGGGCAGATCACTTGAGGTCAGGAGTTCGAGACCAGCCTGGCCAACATGGTGAGACCCAGTCACTACTAAAAAATACAAAAATTAGCCAGGCGTGGTGGCACATACCTATAATCCCAGCTACTCTGGAGGCTGAGGCAGGAGAATCACTTGAACCCCGGAGGCGGAGGTTGCAGTGAGCTGAGATCACGCCACTGTGCTCCAGACTGCGTGACAGAGTGAGACTCCATCTCAAAAAAAAGAGAGCAGAATTCAACCCCTGAGCCACCTGTTTGCCACCTTGGCTTTAGATGCTTTTTTTTTTTTTTTTTTTTTTGGTCTGAGATGGAGTCTTGCTCTGTCCCCCAGGCTGGTGTGCAGTGGGGCAATCTCGGCTCACTGCAGCCTCTGCCTCCTGGGTTCAAGCAATTTTCCTGCCTCAGCCTCCCAAGTAGCTGGGATTATAGGTTCACACCACCAGTCCCGGCTATTTTTTGTATTTTTAGTAGAGACTGGGTTTCCACCATGTTGGCCAGGCTGGTCACAGACTCTTGACCTCAAGTGATCCACCTGCCTCGGCCACCCAAAGTGTTGGGATTACAGGTGCGAGCCACCGCACACGGCTAGATGCTGGTATTCCTCAGGGTTGATCATTTTCTCTTCTTACTCACAGTTCTGAAATTAATCACATCAATTCTGAGGACTTAAATTATTGCCTTGGTGAGAGGCTGTATGGTGTGGTTAAGAGCATAGATCCGGAGCTGGACTACTGGAGTTGGAACCTTAGCTCTGGCACTTAGTTACTGTGTAACTTTGATTACTGTACACAACTGTTTTTTGGTCTTATGTTGTCCAAGGCACTGCCTGGGATTACAGGCATTAGCCACTGCACCCGACCTGCACACAACCTTTTGTTCCCTCATCTGTAAAATGGCAAGAGTGAAGGCACATACCTCATAGGGTTGTTGTGAGGAATCAATAAGTAAATGTACATAAAGATCCAACAGTAAGTTCTCAATAAGTGGTAAATAGCATTCATTGTCTTTTTTTTTTTTTTTTTGAGATGGAGTTTCACTCTTCTTACCCAGGCTGGGGTGCAATGGCATGGTCTTGGCTCACTGCAACCTCCACCTCCAGGGTTCAAGCAATTCTCCTGTCTCAGCCTGCCAGGTAGCTGGGATTACAGGCATGCGCCACCATACCTGGCTAATTTTTGTATTTTTAGTAGAGACTGGGTTTCACCACGTTGGCCAGGCTGGTCTCGAACTCCTGACCCACCCGCCTCGGCCTCCCAAGGTGCTGAGATTACAGGCATGCGCCACCGCACCCAGCCTCATTGTCATCTTTAAGCTGATGTCATCTTAGGCTTTCAAGTAAGAATCCATCCAGTCCAGGCCAGGCACGGTGGCTCACGCCTATAATCCCAGCACTTTGGGAGACTGAGGTGGTGGGGCGGTGGGGGTGGATCACCTGAGGCCAGGAGTTCGAGACCAGCCTGGCCCACATGGTGAAAACCTGTCTCTACTAAAAATACAAAAAATTAGCCGGGTGTGATGGCTCATGCCTGTAATCCCAGATACTTCGGAGGCTGAAGCAGGAGAATCCTTGAATCCAGGAGGTAGAGGTTGCAGTGAGCCAAGATCACGCCATTGCACTCCATCCTGGGCGACAAGAGCGAAATTCTGTCTCAAAAAAAAAGAATCTCTCAGGTCCAGACTTCTTTCCTGAGGTTGACAGCACATCAACTGGATGTCTTGCTAGTGTCACCACTCAACAAGTCCAAAACTGACATCTCTGACATATCTGTGACTCCGTCCCCAGTGCCCTCACCCTAACCCAGGCTGCTATCATTTCTGCCATCCTGAAAAGAGAAACAAGGTCTTCAATCTAGTCTCCGTACAGTAGCCACAAGCCTGTTCAGGACACTCCCCTGCCTAAATTCCTCCCGGGGCCTTCTCATTGCTCTTAGAATAAAAGGCACATTCTGTCTGGCGGCTTCCTGGGGGCTTCCTCACCCTGTCGCTCTCTTCCTCTCTTCTCTGTATTCCCACCCTCCTGGACTTGCCTCCTCACCTCCTCTCCGAGCCTCAGGGCCGTTGCACAAGCTGTTCCTTCTGCCTGGAACGCTCTCTCCTGCTGTCCCACTTTAGTTGGCTGATGACTGTTCAAATCTTAAATATCATGTTTTCCAGGAGACCTTCTTAAACCCCAGTGTTCTTTACCTACCCTAGCACAACAAACACCTCATTGTAACTGTTTATCTATTAAATGCGCCTCTGCCAAAATATGAGTCAGAAGAACAGGAACATTTGTTGTGTTCTCCACTGTGTCCTTCCCTAGCCCAGTGCCTGGCATGCAGTAGGTGCTGTCTGTGTATAATACATAGCTGATGGAGAGAAATGCAAGACGTGGGAGCCAGAATTATCGCAGGAGTTGGGGAGACTAACAGGGAAGAAGCATTTTTCTGGTGCAGTGTGAGGCAGGCAGGGATGTTGCCAAACGTCCCGGAAGCTGGGCAGGAATCAGGCACTGAGGGCTTTGTATCCTGATAGGCTGGGATGCTTGTTCTTCCTCCTGTGGCATGGAAAACCACAGAAGGGTTTTCAGTCGGGAGGTAATATGACTGCAGGTGAAGCACCAGCCAGCCAGGGTGTGGCAGCAGGTGGGCAAGATTGGAGACAGGGAGCCAGTTAAGAAGCTGTGGCAGTAAAAAGTGCCTGGAAGGAAACACTGAGAACTGGGGGCTGAGCGCAGTGGCTCACACCTGTAATTCCAGCAATTTGGGAGGTTGAGGCGAGAGCATCGCTTGAGCCCAGGAGTTCGAGACCAGCCTGGGCAACATAGCTAATCCCTGTCTCTGCAAAAAAATCAGGAAATTAGCCCAGCATCGTGGCACGCACCTGTAGTCCCAACTACGTAGGAGGCTGAGGTGGGAGGATCACTTGAACCACTTGAACCCAGGAGGTCGAGGCTGCAGTGAGCCAAGATCTTGCCACTACACTCCAGCCTGGGGGACAGAGCAAGACCCTTCTCAACAGAAAAAGGGGGGAAAAAAGAGAAACACTCCAATTCCCCACTTAAAGCTACTGGAAAATAACCTGGAAGATATATCTGGACAGTGCTGCTGGATTGCAAACATCAAAACACAGGTCCCTGTTATAAAGGAGGATTTCAGAAAACCAATAAATAATTTTTTAGTATGTCCCAAATATGGCATTGGACATACTTACATTAAACAATTATTTATTGTTTACCTGAAATTCACCTTGCATTGGGCATTCTGTATTTTATCTGGCAACTATACCCACTGACTTTTCTTCTTCTGACTATACTGCTAGACTCTTCCCCAAATTTTATCTTGAATGATTTCTTTTCTTTTATTTATTTATTTTTTTTGAGATGGAGTCTCGCTCTGTCACCAGGCTGGAGTGCAGTAGTATGATTTCGACTCACTGCAACCTCCACCTCCTGGATTCAATCAATTCTCCTGGCTCACTCAGCCTTTGGAGTAGCTGGGATTACAGGCATGCACCACCACGCCTTTTTTTTTTTTTTTTTTTTTTTTTTTGAGATGGAGTCTCACTCTGTCACCCAGGCTGGAGGGCAATGGCATGATCTCGGGTCACTGCACCCTCCACCTCCCAGGTTCAAGCAATTCTCCTGCCTCAGCCTCCTGAGTAGCTGAGATTACAGGCATGAGCCATCATGCCCGGCTGATTTTTGTATTTTTAGTAGAGACGGGGATTCACCATGTTGGCCATGCTGGAGAATGGTTTATATTACTTTAAAAATTTCTCCACTTTGGGAGGCCAAGGCAGGCAGATCACTTGAGGTCAGGAGTTCGAGACCAGCTTGGCCAATAAGGTGAAACCCCATCTCTAGTAGAAATACAAAAATTAGACAGGCCTGGTGGCACAGGCCTTTAATCCTAGCTACTCGGGAGGCTGAGGCAGGAGAATCACTTGAACCTGGGAGGCAGAGGTTGCAGTGAGCCAAGATCATGCCATTGCACTCCAGCCTGGGTGATAGAGCAAGACTCAATTAAAAAAAAAAAAAAAAAAAGGCCGGGTGTGGTGGCTTATGCCTGTAATCCCAGCACTTTGGGAAGCCAAGGCAGGCAGATCACCCGGGGTCAGGAGTTCGAGACCAGCCTGGCCAACATGGTGAAACCCTGTCTCTACTAAAAATGCAAAAATTAGCCAGGTTTGGTGGTGGGCGCCTGTAGTCCCAGCTACTGGGGAGGCTGAGGCAGGAAAATCGCTTGAAGGTGGGAGGTGGAGGTTGCAGTGAGCTGAGATCGTGCCATTGCACTCCAGCCTGGGGGACAGGAGCAAGACTCCGGCTCAAAAAAAAAAAGTCCCTCAATTTAATTATTATTATTATTATTATTATTATTATTATTATTATTATTCTGAGACAGAGTCTTGCTCTGTCGCCAGGCTGGAGTGCAGTGGCGCGATCTCGGCTCACTGCAACCTCTGGCTCCCTGGTTCAAGCAATTCTTCTGCTTCAGCCTCCAGAGTAACTAGGATTACAGGCACATGCCACCACGCTCAGCTAATTTTTGTATTTTTAGTAGAGAAGGGGTTTCACCATGTTGGCCAGGATGGGACTTGATCTCCTGACCTCGTGATCCACCAGCCCTGGCCTCCCAAAGTGCTGGGATTACAGGTGTAAGCCACTGCGCCCGGGCATGCCCAGGTAATTTTTGTATTTTTTAGTAGAGATGGGGTTTCACCATGCTGGCCAGGCTGGTCTCGAACTCCTGACCCCAGGAGATCTGCCTGCCTCGGCCTCCCAAAGTGCTGGGATTACAACACTTTTTTTTTTTTTTTTTTTTTTTTTTGAGACGGAGTCTCACTCTGTCGCCTAGGCTACAGTGCAGTCGCGCGATCTTGGCTCACTGCAACCTGCTCCTCCCGGCTTCAAGCGATTCTCCTTGAATCGCTTCCCAAGTAGCTGGGATTACAGGCGCCTGCCACCATGTCTGCTAATTTTTGTATTTTTAGTAGAGACTAAAACCAACATGATTGGTCAGGCTGATATTGAATTCCTGACCTCAAGTGGTCTGCCCGCCTCAGCCTCCCAAAAGGAATGGAATCTTAAAAAAAAAAAAAACAGTGATGGGAACAGGATCTCACTATGTTGCCCAGGCTGGTCTTGAACTCCTCCTGACTGAACCTCCCAAACTGCTGGGATTACAGGTATGAGCCACCATGCCTGGCCAAAAGTCCCTCAACTTTCTGTTTTAAAAATTGCCACCAGACTTTTCTGCAATGTCACCTGAAGGGTTCCTGGTCTCACACAATGCCCACCCCTAAAACACAGCAGCCTAGGCCACCACGTTCTGCCAGGCGAGGTGTGTGGTAGGAAGAGGGCAGGCAGCTCTGGCCTCAGGCACAAAGGGCTGAGTCCTGGGTCCTGGGGACAGGCACTGGCAATTGAATCTGGACACTGAGCACTGGGTCCTAACACAAGAAATCATTTCCTGGCTCAGGGCAGTGATCTCTGGGTCCTAAAAACTAGGACCAGAGCAGAGACCATAGGTCCCTTATCTCTGGGCGGAGGGTGCTGGGCTAAGTGGCAGTCACCCAAGGCAGGGCCAGGGGTAAGGAGATGCCCAGCCCCCAGTTGTTTTGTAACAGCTGCTGGACTGGGCTGGAGGGGAAATTTAAGGAACCAGGGGGTGAGGTAAGGAGGAAGAGGTCAGTGGGCAGGGCAAGGCCACTCGGGCATGCTGGATTGGTCCCAGGCCCTGGAGGGCGAGAGAAAGACAGTGGCTGGATCTCTAGGGCTCTCATTGGCAGACACTGGGGCCCCAGGAACTAGGGCAAGAAGAGTGGTGAGGATAGCAGGGAGTGTGTGCTACCCCCTACCCCCAACCCCCCTCTTTGTACCCTCCCCCCTTTGTCAACCTCCTGGCTCCGCTCCCAGGCCGAGGCAGCTGGAGTGATTAGTGTGGGTGAAGGAGTACAAATGCCAAAGGCTTGTCTCACGTCTCAGAACACAGGGATCCAGCCAGAGTGGATGGCACAACTGAGTGAGAAATGGAGACCGAGAGATAAACAGAAATAAACAGGGACAACACCAAAGAGATAGAGGAGAGAAGCAGGGCGGGAGACAAAAGAAGAGACCAAAGGCCCACACAGAGCAAGGGGGTTGTGGGGAGGGAGGGTTCAGTAGCTACAGGGCAGGCTGACCTTTTCCTGTCTCTTCTCTGACCCCGTCCTGTCTGAGTTCCCCTCCGCTGTGTCCCTATCCCAGGCTTTCTCAACCTCAGCACTGTTGACATTTGGGGCAGGATAATCTTGGATGGTGGGGGTGGGTGGGTGGGTGGGGGGTGTTCTGTGCCCTGTAGGATGTTTAGCAGCCTCCTTGGCCCTTATCCACCACATGCCATTGGCACTCCCCCAACTCCTCTGCTCTTGTGACAATCCAAACTGCCTCCAGATATTGCCGGATGTTTCCTGGGAAGGGATTGCTCCTGACTGAGAACTGTCCCCAGGTAGGTTCATGTTCTTGAGAAGAGGCTACCCCAGGGTGTCTGGCTGGTTCTCCCTTCGGCCCGTGTGCACAGGGCCCCCTGGCTCTAGCATGGCTTAAGTTGCCCTAAGTCAGAAGCCGGGGAAACTAGGAGAGCCACTGAGACTGAAGAGCAGTCTAGGTACAGCAGTAACGAAGTCCCTGCCCTCATGGAGCTTCTGTTCTTATTCCACCCAAAAGGCATCCCAGGTGTGTTTTGGGATGTGCTAGGGGTGTTTCATGAGTGGGTGTGCACTCTCGTCTCTAAGGGAGGAAGAAGAGATGGGCCCCCAAGTATGTCTGGACAAGATACAGGTAACAAATATGCATTTTATTCCATGATGCTTAGATGTAAGAAATGTCCCATTTATCCAGGCATGGTGGCTCACACCTGTAATCCCAGCACTTTGGGAGGCTGAAGCGGGCGGATCACGAGGTCAGGAGATTGAGACCATCCTGGCCAACATGGTGAAACTCCGTCTCTACTAAAAATACCAAGAAATTAGCCAGGCGTGGTGGCGGGCACCTGTAGTCCCAGCTACTCGGGAGGCTGAGGCAGGAGAATGGCATGAACCCGGGAGGCGGTGCTTGCAGTGAGCCGAGATCGCGCCACTGCACTCCAGCCTGGGCAACAGAGCAAGACTCTGTCTCAAAAAAAAAAAAAAGAATTGTCCCATATATTTAATTCTCTAAACCAGATGATCTGCTCCAAAAACCCCCTGCCAGGCTGGCTGGTGAGAAATTCAATCACAGTCATGTTTTGGGAATCTCTACCCAGTGGTGTGCTGGTGAATGTTTACAAATGGTTTGGGGTGCATTAGGGAGGGACTTGATTTGTCACATTTGCCAACTTCCATGATGTAAACACTCCCACCATGGCCAATTTCAAGCTGCCAACATAATGTCAGTGCAGGTGGAGCAGGGAGGAGTGAGCAATGGCACACTGTCACACAGGGTATTCACCCGGCAGATGCCAACAACTTTAAAAGGATTGATAATAGTAAACTGGGCCAGGTGTGGTGGCTCATGCCTGTAATCCCAGCACTGGGAGGCTGAGGTGGGTAGATCATCTGAGGTCAGGAGTTCAAGACCAGCCTGGCCAACATGGCAAAACCCTGTCTCTACTAAGAATACAAAAATTAGCTGGGTGTGGTGGCACAAGCCTGTAATTTCAGCTACTCAGGAGGCTGAGGCTGAAGAATTGCTTGAACCTGGGAGATGGAGGTTGCAGTGAGCCCAGATGGTACCACTGCACTCCATCCTGGGCGACAGAGTAAGACTCTGTCTCAAAAAAAAAAAAAAAAAAATTAGCCAGATGTGGTGGCACATGCCTGTAATCCCACTTACTCGAGAGGCTGAGGCAGAATTGCTTGAACTCGGGAGGCAGAGGTTGCACTGGGCTGAGATGGCACCACTGCACTCCAGCCGGGACAACAGAGCGAGACTCTGTCTCAAAAAAAAAAAAAAAAAAAAAAAGGCCAGGCTTGGTGGCTCATGCCTGTAATCCCAGCACTTTGGGAGGCCGAGGCGGGTGGATCACGAGGTCAAGAGATCGACACCATCTTGGGCAACATAGTGAAACCCTGTCTCTACTGAAAATACAAAAATTAGCTGCGTGTGGTGGTGTGCACCTGTATTCCCAGCTACTCGGGAGGCTGAGGCAGGAGAATCGCTTGAACCCAGGAGGCAGAGGTTGCAGTGAGTTGAGATGGCGCCACTGTACTCCAGCTTGGGAACAGAGCAAGACTCCGTCTCAAAAAAAAGTAAAATGTAGGAAAGTAATTAGGACATGATGCACTTTGAGTGTTAGTGGCCTTGAATATGCTATATTAAATTTTAAGTTTATAATTAATTTTTTTTTTTTTAGGTGGAGTCTTGTTCTGTTTCCCAGGCTGGAGTGCAGTGGTGCTGAGGCAGGAGAATAGGGTCTAGAGGCAGGAAACCTAAGGCTGATTCACACTGACTTCCTAGAGCTAAATCAAATGGAAACACTTCAGCTATGACAGGAAATATCCTTTCCATTTACATAGGGGTACACCAAGTAACCAATGGAAACCTCTAGAGAGTATTGAAACCCCAGAAAATTCTGTAATAGGGCTCTTCAGCCCCTTTGTCAGCCTGCCCCCACACTGTGGAGTGTACTTTCATTTTCAATAAATCTCTTTTTTTGTTGCTTCATCCTTTCCTTGCTTTGTGTGTTTTATCCAATTCTTTGTTCAAGACGCCAAGAACCTAGACACCTCCAACCGGTAACAGTGCGATTTGGGCTCACTGCAATCCCTGCCTCCCAAGTTCAAGTGATTTTCCTGCCACAACTTCCCGAGTAGCTGGGATTACAGGTGTCCGCCACTACGCCCAGCTGATTTTTTTTGTATTTTTAGTAGAGATGGGGTTTCACCATGTTGGCCAGGCTGGTCTCGAACTCCTGACCTCAAGTGATCTGCCCTCAGCCTCCCAAAGTGCTGGGATTACAGGCATGAGCCACTGCACCTGGCCATAATTAAATTTTTTATATTGCCCCCACCCCTTTGAAGCCCTGAGTATAATTCCTGGGGAGTTATCCAGTCTTGAATATTTAGAGAAAGACTCGCTGGTCTTCAGTCAATTCTATCCTTTTGGATCGGTTTGGCTTAGCCATAGAGGCCTGTTGCTGTGACTCCCAAGACCACTTCGTGCTCCCACATCCGTCCCCTCCCCACAAACAGCAACTTTGTGCCTAGCAGAGGTCCTGGGAGATCTGAATGGGAGTGGTGCAAAGTTGCTATTATTCAAGAAAAGACAACAGCAGCATCAAAGACACCCAGACCCATGTTCACTTTCTCTGGCTTGGGAAGACTCATCAAGGCTTCCTGATGGGTCCCGCTTCCGCCCCTCCCAAGCTGGGAGCCTTGTGCTGTGGAGTAACCCAGCATAGTAACCGGCTCCTGGAGCTGGGCCTTGGTAAACAAGAGCCCTGGCTGGGGGATGTCTTTTGGTGCCTGGCAACCTCTGCTTTTGGCCTGGCAATCCCAAAGCCTGTAACAACCGCAGTCCCCACCCCAGGCAGGAAGGAGTAAACACTCGCAGCAAGGAGACCAAAATGCAAATTACAACCTCAAGACGTTTCTCTGCTGCATTGACAGACCAGGCTAGTAGCAACAACCACCTGAGGCTCTGAACTAAACAAAAAGAGGAGTTCAGGCTAGGAAAGGAGACATTCTGGCTAGACTTCAAGAAAGACTGAAGACTTTTTTTATTTTTATTTTTTTGAGACAGAGTCTCACTCTGTCGCCCAGGTTGGAGTGCCGTGGCACGATCTTGGCTCACTGCAACCTCAGCCTCCCGGGTTCAAGCGATTCTCCTGCCTCAGCCTCCTGACTAGCTGGGACTACAGGCACCCACTACTATGCCCGGCTAATTTTTGTAATTTTAATAGAGACTGGGTTTCGCCATGTTGGCCCGGCTAGTCTTGAACTCCGGACCTCAGGTGAGCCACCCGCCTCAGCCTACCAAAGTGCTGGGATTATAGGCATGAGCCACCGCAGCCAGCCAAGAAAGACTTCTTAGCCTACCTGGAAGGAGACTAAACACAGGCACTGTGAGGGTAAGTCGGCTCCCCTCCAGGCTGCCCATGTGAGCACCCAAAGCTGACAGCCTCCCCCACGCTCTCTGAGCTTCCTCTCATAGTTCCCACTGCCTCAGGATGAAGTCCTGTTAATGGCTGAGTGCCTGGACCTTCCCTGTAAGGTAAGAGTTGTCATATGGATGAGAAAACTAAGGCTCAGAGAGGATAAGTCACTTGCCTGAAGGCACACAGCTAAAGCAGTAGTCAAGGGTGGGAATGTGAAGTCAGATCTGGCATCAAAATCTGTGTGCTTTTCCGGCTGTTTGACCTCACCTCTCATCTCCATCTCACCCCAATCTACCTTTTGCAGCCTCCCCCACCACTATCTCCATCACCCCTCTGCCCCCCGGTGTAAAGAAGGTGGGGGAAGGAAAGCACGAATTTATTGAGGAACTGCAAAACAACAGAATTATGTTAGTTATTACTGAATAAACCATAGTAATATTCTCTTTTTATTGTGTAGTTTTCTTTTTGGCATGTCCATGTAACCAACATAATAATTTTTTTTGTTTGTTTTAAGATGGAGTCTCGCTCTTTTACCCCAGGCTGGTATGCAGTGGCACGATCTCGCCTCACTGAAACCTCCACCTCCCGATTTCAACCAATTCTCCCGCCTCAGCCTCCTGAATAGCTGGGACTACAGGCATGCACCACCATGCCCAGCTAATTTTTGTACTTTTTGTAGAGACGGGGTTTCGCCATGTTGGCCAGGCTGGTCTTGAACTCCTGAGTGCAAGTGATCTGCCTGCCTTGGCCTCCCAAAATGCTGGGATTACAGACGTGAGCCACCATGTCCAGCCTTTTTTTTTTTTTTTTTTTTTTTTTTTTCAGAGACAGTCTTGCTCTGTTGCCCAGGCTGGAGTGCAGTGATGGAATCGTGGCTCACTGCAGCCTCGAACTCCTGGGCTCAAGTGATCCTCCCACCTCAGCCTCTCAAGTAGCTGGAACTACAGGCACACTGATACCATGCCTGGCTTATTTTAAAATTTTCTGTAGAGATGGGATCTTGCTATATTGCCCAGGCTGGTCTCAAACTCCTGGTCTCAAGTGATCCTCCCACCTTGACCTGCCAAAGCACTGGGATTACTGGAGTGAGCCACTGCATCTGGCCCAACATAATCATATTTTAAAGCTTAGTGTTACTGAACTTTTCCTCTCTAAGCAAGATGAAGAGTTTCTCAACCTTGGCACTACTGCTATTTTGAGCAGGATTATTCTTCGTTGTGAGGGATTTGTCTTGCGCATTGTAGGATGTCTAGCAGCATCCCTGGCCTCAATACCCAGTAGATGTCAGCAGTACTCCCCCATGCTCGGGGTTGTGACAACCACAAATGTCTCCAGACATTGCCAAATATCCTCTGGGGGATAGAATTGTCCCTGGTTGGGAAACACTGAATTAGACCAGATAATAAAGTGCCTGTTTCAACAAAGCAGGTCTTAGGAGTAAATAAAACGTGCCAGCAAGTAGCTTGGAGGAGATAGATCAGTGAGGTCCAGGCTCTTGCTTCTGATGCAAGAGGGGCTGGGGAAGCAGCTTCTAAAATCTGAATCCTAGTCCTCAGCAGGGCCTGGATGGATCCTCTGAGGACTGACCTTTGACTTTCCTGGGAATAACTGGCTTTGCAGGGGCCTACCACTATCCAATTTAATTCTGAGAGGAGTCAGTGATGTTACATTCACTGCCACCCCAAAGGGGACATCCCAACTGCAAAAGGAACTTGCTTGGAGTCAAGCGTGGAAAAAGAGTGGCAACAGTTAGTGGGTGCCACATCCTGCTTTTCCACAGGTGGAGGTAGAGAGGGAAGTGGGAGGGGCTGCAAGTATCTTCTAGAACAGTGCTACTCAAAACAAAGTGTGGTCCATACACTGGTTTTTTTCTGGTCCCCAGTGAATTGAGAGTGTTTAAAAACTTCTTTTTGGCCGGGCGCAGTGGCTCACGCCTGTAATCCCAGCACTTTGGGAGGCCGAGGCGGGAGGATCACAAGGTCAGAAGATCGAGACCATCCTGGCTAACACAGTGAAATCCCGTCTGTACTAAAAACACAAAAAATTAGCTGGGCATGGTGGCAGGCACCTGTAGTCCCAGCTGCTCGGGAGGCTGAGGCAGGAGAATCACTTGAACCCGGGAGGCGGAGCTTGCAGTGAGCGGAGATAGCGCCACTGCACTCCAGCTTGGGCGACAGAGCGAGACTCCATCTCAAAAAAAAAAAAAAAAAGAAAAAAATTATTTTAAAATTATAGGCTGGGCACAGTGGCTCACATCTGTAATCCTAGCACTTTGGGAGGCCGAGGTGGGCAGATTGCCTGAGGTCAGAAGTTCGAGACCAGTCTGGCCAACATGGTGAAACCCTGTCTCTACTAAAAATACAAAACAATTAGCTGGATGTGGTGTCGTGCGCCTGTAATCCCGGCTACTCGGGAGCTGAGGCAGGGAAATTGCTTGAACCAAGGAGGTGGAGGTTGCAGTGAGCCCAGATTGCTCCACTGCACTCTAGCCTGGATGACAGAGCAAGACTCTGTCTCAAAAAAAAAAAAAGTATATATATATATATATATATATATATATATATCATATATATAAAGTGTCAGCTTTGGAAACAAAAAGATGGGAGCCTTTGGCAGTGGTTCCCAAATTTATCTGTGCACTGGAATCACCTGAATCAACTTCAAAAAAATAGTGATGCCTGTGATCCATCCAGAGACTGTGATTTGCTTAGTTTGAGATGTGGTCTAAGTGTTGGAATTTTAAAAACATCTTGAGATGGGCCAGGTGTGGTGGTTCATGATGTAATCCTGGCACTCTGGGGGGCCGAGGAGGGAGGATTGCTTGAGCCCAGGAGTTTGAAACCAGCCTGGGCAACAAAGTGAGACCCTCTCTCCACATAAAAAAAAATTAAAAACCCGGGCATAGTGGTACGCTCCTGTAATCCCAACACATTGGGAGGCCAAAGCAGGAGGATCACTTGAGCCCAGGATTGAGCCCAGGGGTTCGAGACCAGCCTGGAAAGCATAGAGAGACTCTGTCACTATTAAAAAAAAAAAAAATTAACTGTGCCTGGTGGCACGCGCCTGTGTTCCCAGCTACTAGGCAGGCTGAGGTGGGAAGATTGCTTGAACCTAAGAGGTCAAGGCTGCAGTCAGTTGTGATCACACCACTGTACTCCAGCCTGGGAGACAGAGTGAGTCCAGGTCTCAAAAAGAAAAAAAAAAAAAATCAAAAAATTAGCAGAGCTTTGTGGTGCATGCCTGTAGTCCCAGCTACTTGGGAGGCTAAGGTGGGAGGATCACTTGGGCCCAGGAAGTGGCGGCTGCAGTGAGCCATATTCGTACCACTTCATTAAAGCTGGGGCAACAGAGCCAGACCCTGTCTCAAAACAAACAACAAAAAAGCAAACATCCTGAGATTACTCCAATATCAAAACAAGCTTAGTAACCGCTAGACTAGGGTATTCCTGAGGGTGGATACCCACTGACTGGTGAGGGAGTAACCATTTTCTGCTCAAGCTCAGCAATGAGGGGCTGCTTCTTGCCAATGATCAGTAGCAAACAAGCCACTGTTCCCCTGACTAGAGTGTTTGGTTTGCTTCTGGAAAGCAGAGATGGAGGTGACGCCCCCTTGGTCAGTCTGAGCAATGGCAAAGTTAACTGCTCCTCTCTTCCATAGGTGGCCCTTCAAGCATAGAGGGTCAGACAATGCTGCCGGTTCCAGTCTCTACTGATTTCCCTTTCCAGCTTCCTTTCTGTCCTGAGAGCCTCTTGTACACAAGAGATAGCTCTAACAACTCCTCTCTTAGTCATGACTTCAGTGTAGAAGAAATCCAACCCCAACCAACTCATTTATTGGCTCATGGCATGGAAAAGTCCATAGGTGCTGCTAATGTCAGGCGTGGCTGAATCCAAGAGCTTAACTGGTATAGCTGGGATTATGTGTTTCTCAACTCATGCTCTGCTCTCCAGCTGTGTTGGCTTAATTCTCAGGATGGCTGCCTCTAAATGGTGGCAGAGATGACCATTAACAAGTCCAGGTTGGTGCTTTTCCAGTTTAGCAATGCCAGGAGAAAGAGAGGGCCCTTTCCTCAGTGGTTCAGCCACGGTCTCAGGCTAATGCTCATTCCATCTGCTATCCCAGTTTAAGCCACCTGCCAATCACTGGGGGCCAAGGAAATGAAATGTACTTATCAGCCAGTCACCTGCTCACCTTGAAGTGAGAGTAGGGGAGGGATAGCTTTTCTTTTTTTCTTTTCTTTCTTTCTTTTTTTTTTTTTTTTTTTTGAGACTGAGTCTTGCTCTTTCGGCCAGGCTGAAGTGCAGTGGCGCGATCTCGGCTCAATGCAACCTCCACCTCCTGCGTTCGAGCGATTCTCCTGCCTCAGCCTCCCGAGTAGCTGGGATTACAGGTGCGTGCCACCATGCTCGGCCAGTTTTTGTATTTTTAGTAGATATGGGGTTCACCATGTTGGCCACACTGGTCTCGAATTCCTGGCCTCAAGTGATCCACCAACCTTGGCCTCCCAAAGTGCTGGGATTACAAGCATGTGCCACCACACCCAGCAGGGACAACTTTACAATGGATTATCAGAGTGCTGCTACCAGAAGAAGAGGAGTGGAAGGTGCTGAACTGGCAGAGCAACAGATGCCACTCTGCTCCTAGGTCAGCAGAGGGATACCATGTGCAGAAATTACAACAATGCAAGGCAGAGTCTGACAAACGCAGTTGGTGTTGGAGTACTCCTAAAAGAAGCAGATTCTGAACTGATGAGATAGGCCTTTGATAGGTGGGGCTGCTGGGGAGGAAGGGCATGAGCAGGAATGAGGAAGCAGGAAGTCCAGAGTATGGTCAAGGCAAGAACACATGACTGGAACACTGTGTATGAAGAAGCTAAGGCTGGTACGACATGGAGGCCAGATGCTAGAGGTTTAGAGCTTGTCTTTCATTCTGATGGCAATGGAGGGCCTTGGAAGGTGATGGTGAAGCTGGTGAGATCATCAGAGGTTATACCATGCAGGGCCTTGTAGATTACACTGAGGGTTTAGGGTTTGATCCTGAGGGCACTGGAGACAGGGGTTGATAGGATCAGAGTTGTACTTGAGGAACAACCCTCTGACTACCTTTTGTAGGATGCCTCTCTGCTTGGATGGAGAGAGAGGCCTGGGAGATCTTATCATAGCCAACACTTCATATTCCTAACTTTGGCCCAGGCACTGTTCTAAGACATGTTCTGTTCTTTGAGACATGTAAAGGCCTAAAACAGGATGGTAGAAGATTCAGTAGATGTTCTGGGGGCAGAATACAGTGGATGTTGTGACTGATGTAATATGGCAGATAAGATAGAAGGAGGAAGCCAAGATTCCTCTGAGATTTTGAAGCTGGGTGATCAGAAAGACAGAAGAACTCCTGGCCGGGCGCTGTGGCTCACGTCTGTAATCCCAGCACTTTGGGAGGCTGAGGCAGGTGGATCGCCTGAGGTCAGGAGTTCGAGACCAGTCTGGCCAACATAGTGAAACCCCGTCTCTACTAAAAATACAAAAAATTAGCCGGGCATGGTGGCGTGCGCCTGTAATCCCAGCTGCTCAGGAGGCTGAGGCAGGAGAATCGCTTGAACCCAGAAGGTGGAAGTTGCAGTGAGCTGAGATTGCCCCATTGCACTCCAGCCTGGGCAACAAGAGCCAAACTCTGTGAAAGAAAAGAAAGAAAGAAAAAGAAAGAAGGAAAGGAAAGAAGGAAAGAAAGAAAGAAGGAAAGAGAAAGAAAGAAAGAAAGAAAGAAAGAAAGAAAGAAAGAAAGAAAGAAAGAAGGAAAGAGAAAGAAAGAAAGAAAGAAAGAAAGAAAGGAAAGAAAGAAAGAAAGAAAGAAAGAAAGAAAGAAAGAAAGAAAGAAAGAAAGAAAGAAAGAAAGAAAGACAACTCCTAACAGAAACAGGAAAAAACTAAGGAAAGTCCATACATGACACACCTACTGCTGTCAATTCCGTGCTTAGCCAACTGCTGGGTTCTAGGAAGACAAAGAACAAACTAGTTGTTGCCTTTCAGGAGTTGGCTCTCCGTAGGTGGCACAGATGGGTGATTTCAACACATTGTGATGAGTGTGGTGAGACCTGTATAAGCAGCATGGGCTAGGGAGGTAGTACCTAGCTGCTCAAGCCAGAAACCTGGGGGTCGACTTTGACTCCTGCCCTTTCTCAGCCAGCCAGTCACCAAGACCAGTAGATATGATCTCCTAAATGTCCTCTGTTTTTTGAATCTTCCCACTTTTCTTCATCCCCACTGAGAATACACTAGACCATGCCATTGTCTCGTCTCATCTGGAATACTGTGATATAACTTCCTCACTGGTCTCCCCACTTTCACTCTGGTTTGCCCTAATCCGTTCTCACACTGTACCATAGTAATCCTTTAAAAAAGGAAATGTGGGCCAGGCTCATTGGCTTATGCCTGTAATCCCAGCACTCTGGAAGGCCGAGGTGGGTGGATCACCTGAGGTCAAGAGTTCAAGACCAGACTGACCAACATGGTGAACTCCATCCTACTAAAAATGCAAAAAAATTAGCCGAGCATGGTGGCACATGCCTGTAACCCCAGCTACTCAGGAGACTGAGGCAGGAGAATCGCTTGAACCCGGGAGGTGGAGATTGCAATGAGCCGAGATCACGCCATTGCACTCCAGCCTGGGCAACAAAGCAAAACTCTGTCTCAAAAAAAAAATAAATAAATAAAATAAAAATAAAAAAGGAAATGAGAATCACGTCCCTCCCCTGCTTATAAACCTTTCAATGGCCTGGGCGCGGTGGCTCACGCCTGTAATCCCAGCACTTTGGGAGGCCGAGGCGGGCGGATTATGAGGTCATGAGATAGAGACCATCCTGGCTAACACGATGAAACCCCGTCTCTACTAAGAATACAAAAAAAAATTAGCCGAGCATGGTGGCGGGCGCCTGTAGTCCCAGCTACTTGGGAGGCTGAGGCAGGAGAATGGCATGAACCCGAGAGGTGGGGCTTGCAGTGAGCCGAGACTGCGCCACTGCACTCCAGCCTGGGCGACAGAGCGAGACTCAAAAAAAAACAAAAACAAAACAAAAAAAACCTTTTAATGGTTTCCCATTGGTCTCAATAAAATCCAATCTCCTCAATCTGGACTGTCAGACCCAGTGGGATCCGGCTCCTTAGGACCTCATTGACATTATTGTGCTTCTCCTCCTATTACACTCCAGAGTCAATGGCAGACCTAACAACATTTAGGATGTGCCACGTTCCTTCAGGCCACAGCGCTTTTCCCTGTGTTTTTCCTTCTGTCTGGAATGCTCTTCCCCAATTCTTGGCCTGGCTAACTATATCGTTTATGGGTCATTCCCTTAAGGAAGCATCTCCTAAACTTCTAGCCTAGAACAGGACCTCCGGATTCTATACCAAGTCAGCAAGCCTTTTCTTAAGGGGTAAATCGTACATGTTGTAGGCTTTGCAGACCACAGTCTCTGTTGCAACCACTCTACTCTGCAGTCAGAGCAGCCATAGGCAATAACATGAATGCATTTATGGATGCTGAACTTTGAATTTCATATACTTTTTGCATGTCACAAAAAGAATATTTTCTTTTTTTTTTTTTGAGACAGAGTTTTGCTCTTGTTGACCAGGCTGGAGTGCAACGGCACGATCTCAGCTCAACGCAACCTCTGCCTCCCGGGTTCAAGTGATTCTCCTGTCTCAGCCTCCTGAGTAGCTGGGATTACAGGTGTGTGCCATCACGCCCGGCTAATTTTGTATTTTTAGTAGAGACGGGGTTTCTCCATGTTGGTCAGACTGGTCTCAAACTCCCGACCTCAGGTGATCCACCCGCCTCAGCCTCACAAAGTGCTGGGATTACAGGCATAAGCCACAGCGCCCAGCCAATAAAATTTTCTTTCTTTTTTCCCAACCATTAAAAAATGTAAAAATAGGCTGGGCACAGTGGCTCACATCTGAAATCCTAGCACTTTGGAAGGCCTAAGCAGGAGGATTGCTTTAGCCCAGGAGTTTGAGACCAGCCTGGGCAATACAGTGAGACCGTGTCTCTACAAAAAATTAAAAAGAAAAAAACAGCTGGGCGCTGTAGCTCACGCCTGTAATCCCAACATTTTGAAAGGCTGAGGTGGGTGGCTCACCTGAGGTCAAGAGTTCAAGACCAGACTGGCCAACATGGTGAAACCCCGTCTGTACTAAAAATACAAAAATTAGCTGTGTTTGGTGGCGTGTAATCCCAGCTACTCGGGAGGCAGAGGCAGGAGAATCGCTTGAACTGGGATACGGAGATCGCGCACTGCACTCCAGCCTGGGTGAAAGAGTGAGACTCCGTCTCAAAAAAAAAAAAAAAAAAAAAAAATGCCGGGTGTGGTGGCTCACACCTATAATCCTAGTACTTTGGGAGGCCGAGGCGGGTGGATTACAAGGTCAGGAGTTCAAGACCAGCCTGGCCAAAAACAACAACAACAACAAAAAAATAGCTGAGCATGGTGGTGCATGCCTGTGGTCCCAGCTACTTGGGGGCTAAGGTGGGAGGATTGCTTGAGCCCAGGAGGCTGCAGTGAGCTGTGATCACGCCACTGCACTCCAGTCTGTGGGACAGAGCCAGACTCTGTCTCAAAAACAAATAAGTAAATAAAAATGTAAAAATAATCCTAGTTTCTGCCCATACGAAAACAGGAGATGGGCCAGAATTGGCCCACAGGTTGTAGTTTGCTGACCTCTGTTCTGTGCTATCATAGCATATACCATATACTCTTCCTGCATTGCACTCATCCATTAGTAATTAATTATGCATGTGATAGACTTCTTAATGCTACCTCCCCAGTTGGAGGTAAGCTCTGTGAGGGAAGGGACCACATCTGTTTTGTTTACTCTTTTTTTTCCTGATCATCATAGTACAGGGCCTGACCCATGGTATGTGCCCACCAAATGAATGAAGTGATACAGTTTTCTCTGCTTTGAGAGGAACTCAAAGCCTCATGGAGAATGCAGACATACAAACAATTAACTACACACTTAACTAGGTAATGCTGTACTGGAGGGAAGAAGAGTTCGGTTTCTGGCAGGGTGGATTTGAGATACCAGTGGGAAATCAGGGTATGGTGGCTCCTATATATCTGGAACTAAGTGAGTTGACTCTAAGATGTAGATAAGGGAATAAGATGCTTAAAAGAGATGTAAAGCTACCTGAGTATGCCAGGTCACTCAAGGAGAGAGGTCACTCAGGGAGAGAGGCTGAATGAGGAGAGGAGAGGGCAGAGACTGGAACCTTGGGGTAAGTTTCTGGGCCAGGGAAGGGGCAGCGGTTGGTAGAAAGGTTGGAAGAGATCCAAGATAGATCTTGTTTTACTGTGCTTTGTAGATATGGCATTTTTTTTTTTTATAAACTGCGAGTTTGTGGCAACCCTGTGTCAAGCAAGTCTATTGACACAATTTTTCCAAAGGCATGTGCTCACTTTGTGTCCCTGTCACATTTTGGTAATTCTTGCAATATTTCAAACTTTTTCATTATTATTATATCTGTTATGGTGATCAGTGATATTCCTATCAATTAACATCAGTTATGTTACTATTGTAATTGTTTGGCAGTGCCACATACTGCACCCATATAAGTGGTAAACTTAGTAAGTGTTGTGTGTGTACTGACTGCTCCACCAACTGGCCATTCCCTGTTTCTCTCCTTCTCCTCCAGTCTCCCTGTTCCCTGAGACACAACAACATTGACATTAGGCCAATTAATAACCCTACAAAACGCTACAATGGCCTCTAACTGTTCATGTCTCTCACTTTAAATCAAAAGCTAGAAATGATTAAGCTTAATGAGGAAGGGATGTCAAAAGCCTAGACAGGCAGAAAGCTAGGCCTGTTGTGTCAATTAGCCAAGTTGTGAACGCAGAGAAAAAGTTCTTGAAGGAAATTAGGCCAGGCACAGTGGCTCACGCCTGTAATCCCAGCACTCTGGGAGGCCGAAGTGGGTGGATCACTTGAGGTCAGGAGTTCGAGACCAGCCTGGCCAACATGGTGAAACCCTGTCTCTGCTAAAAAAAAATATATAAATTAGCCAGGCGTGGTGGCAGGCACCTGTAGTCCCAGCTACTCGGGAGGCTGAGGCAGGAGAATCGCTTGAAATCAGGAGGCAGAGCCTGCAGTGAGCAGAGATTGCATCACGCAGTGAGCAGAGATTGCATCACTCAGTGAGCAGAGATCACATCACTGCACTCCAGCCTGGGCAACACAGCCAGACTCTGTCTCAAAAAAAAAAAAAAAAAAAAAGCCAGGCGCAGTTGCTCACGCCTGTAATCCCAGCACTTTGGGAGGCCGAGGTGGGTGGATCACAAGGTCAGGGGATCGAGACCATCCTGGCTAACACAGTGAAACCCTGTCTCTACTAAAAAATACAAAAGAAAAAATTAGCCAGGCGTGGTGGCAGGCACCTGTAGTCCTAGCTACTCGGGAGGCTGAGGCAGGAGAATGGCATGAACCCGGGAGGCAGAGCTTGCAGTGAGCCGAGATTGTGCCACTGCACTCCAGCCTGGGCGACAGAGCCAGACTCTGTTTCAAAAAAAAAGGAAATTAAAAGTGCAACTCCAGGCCAGGCGTGGTGGCTCACGTCTGTAATCCCAGCATTTCGGGAGGCAGGGGCAGGTGGATCACGAGGTCAGGAGTTCGAGACCAGCCTGGCCAAGATGGTGAAACCCTGTCTCTACTAAAAATACTAAAACTAGCCAAGTGCAGTGGCGGGCGCCTGCAATCCCAGCTACTTGGGAGGCTGAAGCAGAATAATTGCTTGAACCCAGGAGGTGGAGGTGGCAGTGAGCTGAGATCACGCCACTGCACTCTAGCCTAGGCAACAGAGCAAGGCTCCATCTCAAAAAAAAAAAAAAAAAAAAAAAGTGCAACTCCAGGGAATAAATGAATTTGATAAGAAGGCAAAACAGCCTTATTGCTGATACAGAGAGAGTTTTAGTGACCTACAAAGAAGATCAGATCAGTCACAGCATTCCCATAAACAAAAGCCTAATCTAGAACAAGGCTCCAACTCTTGTCAATTCTGTGAAGATTGAAAGAATTGAGGAAGCTGCAGAAAAAAGTTTCAAGCTACCAGAGTTTGGTTCGTGAGGTTTAAGGAAAGATGCCATCACCGTTACATAAAAGTACTAGGTGAAACAGCAAGTGCTGATGTAGAAACTGAATCAAATTTTGCAGGAGATCTAGCTAAAATAATTGATGAAGGTGGCTAAACTAAACAACAAATTTTCTCTTTTTTATTTTTATTTTTTTAGATGGGATCTCACTCTGTTGCCTAGACTGGAGTGCAGTGGAGCAATCTCGGCTCACTGTAACCTCTGCCTCCTGGGTTCAAGCGATTCTCCTGCCTCAGCCTCTCAAGAGGTTGGGATTACAGTCACCCGCCACCATGCCCAGCTAACTTTTTTTTTTTTTTTAAAGTAGAGACGGGGTTTCACCACATTGGAGAGGTTGGTCTCGAACTCCTGACCTTTGGTGATCTGCCTGCCTCGGCCTCCCAAAGTGCTGGGATTACAGGCGTGAGCCTCCGTGCCCGGCCCCTGACAGATTGTCAATGTAGATGAAATAGCCTTCCACTGGAAGCAGATGGCATCTAGGACTTTCATAGCTAGAGAGCAGAAGTCAATGCCTGGCTTCAAGGCTTCAAAAGACAGACTGATTCTCTTTTTTCAGGCTAATGCAGCTGGTGATTTTAAGTTGAAGGCGATGCTCATTTACCATTCTGAAAATCCTAAGGCCCTTAAGAATTACGCTAAATCTAATCTGCCTATGCTCTACAAATGGAACAACAAAGCCTGGATGACAGAACTTTTTTCTTTTTTGGGATGGAGTCCCACTCTGTCACCCAGGCTGGAGTGCAATGGCGTGACCTTGGCTCACTGCAACCTTCACCTCTGGGTTTAAGTGATTCTCCTGCCTCAGCCTCCTGAGCAGCTGGGATTACAGATGCACACCACCACGCCCAGCTATTTTTTGTATTTTTGTACAGATGGGGTTTCACTGTGTTGGCCAGGCTGGTGTCAAAGTCCTGACCTCAAGTGATCTACCCATCTCGGCCTGCCAAAATGTTGGGATTACAGGTGTGAGCCACTGTGCCCAGCCCTAATGTTGTTTTTATGCCTGCTAACATGATGTCCGTTCTATAGCCCATGGATAAAAGAGTAATTTTGACTTTCAAGTCTTATTTAAGAAATACATTTTGTGGCCAGGTGTGGTGGCTCATACCCATAATCCCAGCACTTTGGGAGGCTGAGGTGGACTGATTACTTGAGGTCAGGAGTTCGAGACCAGCCTGGTCAAAAAATGGTTTACGATACAATCAACTCTTGTTGTAAATGTTGTGAAGGCTGGGTGCAGTGGCTCATATCTGTAAATGAATGACAAGAATGAATAAATGAACCCAGCACTTTAGAAACCCAGTGCAGGAAAATCACTTGAGCCCAGGAGTTTGAGACCAGAATGGGCAATATACTGAGACCTCGGCTGGGCACAGTGGCTCACGCCTGTAATCCCAGCACTTTGGGAGGCTGAGGCGGGTGGATCACCTGAGGTGAGGAGTTCGGAACCAGCCTGACTAACATGGCGAAAACCTGTCTCTACTAAAAACACAAAAAATTATCTGGGTGAGGTGGCGGGTACCTGTAATCTCAGCTACTCGGGAGACTGAGACAGGAGGATCGCTTGAACCCGGGGGCGCAGAGACTGCAGTGAGCAGAGATCGCACTACTGCACTCCAGCCCAGGCAACAGAGTGAGACTGTCTCAAAAAAAAAAAAAAAAAAAATATATATATATATATATATATATATAGTGAGACCTCATCTCTACAAAATAATTTTTACAATTTTAGCTCAGCATGGTGGTATGCACTTGTAGTCCCAGCTACTTGGGAGGCTGAGGCGAGAGGATCCTTTGAGCCTGGGAGATGGCGGTTGCAGTGTGCACATATTGTGGGCCACTGCACTGCAATCTGGGTGACAGAGTGAGACCCTATCTCAAAAAAAAAAAAAAAAAAAAGCTGCGAACATTGTTGAAGTGACAACACAGGATTTAGAATATTATGTAAAGTTGGTTGATAAGACACCAGCAGTATGTGAGATGAGTGAGTCCAATTTTGAAAGAAGTTCTGCTGTTAAAATGCTATCAGAGCACTGCACGCTACAGAGAAATCTTTCATGAAAGAAATAGTCAACTTTTCATTTTCTCAGTGGATGAAAAGGGAAAAAAAAAAGAAAGGAAGAGTAAATGGATGGGGCAAACTTCATTGCTCTCTTATTATCAGAAACTGCCACATCCACCCCAACCTTCAGCAGCTATCACCCTAGTCAGTCAACAGCCATCAGCATAAAAGCAAGACCCTCCACCAGCAAAAAGTGACCACTTGCTGAAGGCTCAGATGACAGCATTTTTATTGAGACAGTTTTGCTCTTGTTGCCCAGGCTGGAGTGCAATGGCGCGATCTAAGCTCACTGCAACCTCCGCCTCTTGGGTTCAAGCGATTCTCGTGCCTCAACATCCCGAGTAGCTGGGATTACAGGCATGTGCCACCACGCCCAGCTAATTCTTTTGTATTTTTAGTAGCGACGGAGTTTCACCGTGTTGGTCAGGCTGGTCTTGAACTTTTTTTTTTTTTTTTTGAGACGGAGTTTTGCTCTTGTTACTCAGGCTGGAGTGCAGTGGCACGATCTCGGCTCACCGCAACCTCTGCCTTCTGGGTTCAAGCGATTCTCCTGCCTCAGCTTTCTGAATAGCTGGGATTACAGGTGCCCGCCAGCATGCCCAGCTAATTTTTTGTATTTTTAGTAGAGACCAGGGTTTCATCATGTTGGCCAGGCTGGTCTTGAACTCCTGACCTCAGGTGATTCACCAGCCTCGCCCTCCCCAAGTGCAGGGATTACAGGCGTGAGCCACTGCGCCTGGCCTTGGTCTCAAACTTCTGACCTCAGGTTATCCACCCGCCTTGGCCTCCCAGTGTTGGGATTACAGGTGTGAGCCACCACGCCAGGCTGACAGCATTTTTAAGTAATATTCTTTATTAAAGTATATATATTTTAGGTCATAACACTAGTGCACACAATAGACTACAGTATGATGTAAACATACTATATAACTTTAATATGCACTGGGAAACTTGGACTAACCTTACTGCAATCTTTGCTTTATTGTGGTGTTCTGGAACTGAACCTGCAATATTTGAGATATGCCTGTATTTCTTTTTTTCTTTTCTTTTTTTTTGAGACGGAGTCTTGCTCTGTCGCCCAGGCTGGAGTGCAGTGGCATGATCTCGGCTCACTGCAACCTCCACCTCCTGGGTTCAAGCGATTCTCCTGTCTCAGCCTCCTGAGTAGCTGGGATTACAGGTGCCCACCACCACGCCCGGCTAATCTGTAGTATTTTTAGTAGAGAACGGGTTTCGCCATGTTGGCTGGGCTGATCACGAACTCCTGACCTCAGGTGAGCTGCCCGCCTCGGTTCTCCCAAAGCGTTGGGATTACCGGCGTGAGCCACCGCGCCCGGCCTATGCCTGTATTTCTTAAAAGGGGAGCCAAAATTATGTATTTTGGTATCCATCTAGTTTACTACCGTGTTCCCAGTATTTTACACTGGGCATTGTATACAGTAGACACCCAGAAAATCTTTGAATTTAAAATTACATTGGTTCAGCCCCGTGGCTCACGCCTGTAATCCCAGCACTTTGGAAGGCCGAGGCAGGTGGATCACTTGAGGTCAGGAGTCTGATACCAGCTTGGCCAACGTGGCGAAACCCCGTCTCCACAAAAAGTAGAAAAATTAGCCGGGTGGTGGCATATGCCCGTAAAATCAGCTACTCAGGAGGCTTAGGCAGGAGAATCGCTTGAACCTGGGAGGCAGATGTTGCAGTGACCCAAAATCGCACCACTGCCCTCCAGCCTGGGCGACATAGGGAGAATCTCAATAAATAAATAAATAAATAAATAAAAATAAAATCAATTAAATTAGAACGTTTTAAGAAGCACTGCGCAGTACGTCGACCACAAGAAGTGCTCAAAGAAGGAAGAAAGAGTAAGCCGTGTGCAAGGAATGCTGCCGAAGCCACTAAGGGCAAGGGCTGATGTGGCGTGGTCTGCTACTTGAGTTGAGCCTTGCAGCTTTTCTCTTAGGAAGAGCATTAGATTTCTTTATTAATTGATGTGTACTGTGTCTACTTTTCTCTGGAGGTGCAGAAATCCATCAAAACTGATCTCGGCTCTCAAAGAGCTCACAGTCTTGTCGGGGAAGGCCCCGATACTTACAGAGTAAGATGCAAACTTACTGTGGGAACACAGGCATAGGGAGGAGCTAGTCAACTTTGAAAGCATCACAGATGACCTATGAGATGGGTCTTAAATGTTCAGAGACACTAGAGCAGAAATTCCGGAGGAAACCAGCCTGTGCAAAACTGATAAACGCAGAGATTCTCAAATTTGTAGGTGGGTAAGAATCACCCGAGAGATCGGTTTAAAATGTAGACTGCAGGGAGACACTCCCCGGTAAACTTTTGGTTCAATACCCCAGTAGCACCCATTTTAACAAACTTCCCAGGACGACAGTCAGAAAATCATAGTTACAGAAGGCAGGCTGGGGAGAGGCGGTTTCTGGGTCTCCGAATGAGGTCACACAATTAAAATTAAAAAAACGAAACCAAACCAACCCCTCCATTTGCGTTGCGCTTTCAGGGTGCTTGAGGCTTTCCTGTGCCTTACTTTGTCGGAGCCTGGCAACATCGCTGTGGGGTAGAAATTACAAGTCTCATTTCACAGGGGAGGAAACAAGTTTAGAGAGGAGGGATGAATTTGCTCAAGGTCACAAAGCGGAAGGGAGCGCAGCAGAGACCAAAAACAGGGAGACTCGACTTCCAACTCGGAAGCTTTTCAACAAGGCAAGCTGGCCCGGAGTGGGTGGGGCTCAGACTCTCCCTCCAGGCTGGTTCCAAAATGGTGGGGGCAGTGGCGTCAGCAACGCCCCCGCCCCTTCCGTCCACCGCCCTCCTCCATCTCCAGGCCACCCAGGCGGGGGGAGGGGACGGCCCCGAGCAACCCACGTGACCGCCGACAACCGAGCGCGTGACGCAAAGCGGCGGGCCCAACGCTCGCCTTGTCTTTTGGGAAACGTAGTTCTGATGGCAGCCAAGTCGGCCAGGAGAGGAGGGCGTAGGACTACATTTCCCAGGAGGCAGCGGGTCTACGCCGTCGCCGTCGTCGGAGAGCGGAGACGCTGGGCGCGCTGTGGGGCGGGGGCGAGGTTCGGGCTGGTTGTTCCGTTGCGAGCTGCAGCTGCGATCTCTGTGGTAGGCCCAGGTGAGTGAGCGCCTCTGATGGAAGTTAGGGCAGCTTAACCGGCTCTAGTGGTTTCGTCTCTTATCTTTTTTCCCCAGCTGCTGGTCAGGGGCTCGGGGAAGGCCTGGCGTGGAGTCGCTCCCCCCAGCTTACACCCTGGCCTCTTCTGAGCGGGCTCCGTTCCCTCCGGCTCCTCCCCTTCCCCGCCCTTTAGGTCTTCCCCTGGCCCCGGCCTAGCTCCCAAGGCTCTTGGTCGCCTTCTCTGCAGAGCAGCTCCTACGCCGCTTTATCTTGCAGTCGGCCTGGGGGCGGCCACTCCCTACTCCTCCCGTTTTGGTCGTATGAACCCCGTTATTTGGATTTCTTTTCCCGGAACTCCCGAGTGCCCTTCCCCCCACCCAGTCCCCATTGGCCTGGTTCGGTCTTCTCCTAGGGCGCATGTGGCTGCCACTCAGTAAATGTTAGTACCGCTTCCGTTCTTTCCAGCCTGGTGGCCAAAAACGGGATAGTCCAAATTTGTCTCCTACGGGAATATTAGAGTTCTCACTTTTTTCTTGGGCTGGAGCTGAGGCCGGCTTGCATTCCAGTGGCAATCGGCGTGAGTTCTGCTTATATGAGGTGAATTATTTTGCTTCTCTTAGCACCTAAGCAACTTTTATCAACTGTTGTCTTTGACTTTACAAATCTTAGGGGTGGAGCATGGCAGCAGAAGCTGGGGAGCAGCAATGGTGCACAGAAGTTGGAAGCCATCAGTGGCAGTACAGTGTTTATGGGGAATTTGTTACTTGGGGTGAAGGGAAAGCCTCTGAGAGTATAGAAGGACCTGGCAAGAGAGAGGCAGTGAAGCTTCTGTTGGGAGCATAACAGAAGTATCCTGAACCAGTTGGCTTGGGTTTAAATCTTGGCCCTGCTATCTTTTGATCTTAGGTCAAGAGTCTTCATCTCCAGCTGCCTCAGTTTTCTTATCACTAAAACAGCAGTAAGTAACAGTGACCCCTTTACAGGGTTATTGTGGAGACTAAATGAGATAAAATAAAAATCACTTAGCCACTGTTAAAAAGTAATATCATCATTTATAGGTTTTTTTTTTAGAGTGTGCGCCGAGAGAGATGAGGCGTGTATCACACCGTTATTTTTCTTCTGTTTCAGATGACCCTGACTTTTTTCGTTTGTGGAAGTACTGTTGTAGTCTGTTCTGTAATTCTAGACAGTCTGACGTGTGTATTATGATTTAGAAGCTTGTTAAATAGCCAAAACCGGCTCCTGCCATGAACAACTTGTGGAGCAAATCGGGCTCAGTTTGTTCTTTGCCGGGAGATGTATTTTGTGAGCCAATGTTCATACGTTAATGATAAGTTTTACTGCAGCCATTTGGGCTTAATTGCATTTTGTAAGAGAGTTGTGTTGAGGTTTCTGTAAGAAGTGATTTGATTAAAAACCTCTATATCCAGTGTAATTCCATCTCTTTGTTTTTTAAACGTTTTAACACCAGAGAAAGATCTCCAATTTTGGAGACTGATGTTTTTAGTTTTGTAGACTAGGTACAGTTCAATTTTAGCAGTGGTGATGGTAGTAGTAGTACCACCTTAGTGTATTTATTTAATACCAAATATATAGGTACTTTTAAATTTGGTTTAGCCTGCAAAATATGGATTACAAAAAGAGTGATCTATTTTGTTCCGAGGAATTGGAGGGAGGAAGCTTGGAATATTTCTGAGATTAGCACAGAGATGGGAAATGTTGATGACTGGGAGGGTACACAGACATACGATTTATTATTATTATTATTTTTTGAGACAAAGTCTCGCGCTGTCACCCAGGCTGGAGTGCAGGGGCACAATCTCGGCTCACTGCAACCTCCGCCTCCTGGGTTCAAGCGATTCTCCTGCTTCTGCCTCCTGAGTAGCTGGGATTACAGGTGTGTGTCACCACGCCTGGCTCATTTTTGTATTTGTAGTAGAGACGGGGTTTCACCATGTTGGCCAGGCTAGTCTTGAACTCCTGACTTCAGGGGATCACCTGCCTCGGCCTCCCAAAGTGCTGGGATTACAGGCGTAAGCCACCGCGCCCGGCCACGATTTATTATTTTTAGAATGGATAGTCCTAACCACTAAGCATTTTAGGGCGCTACCCTGTTTCTGTAGGGCATATTGACATCCTGAATGCAAGGAAGTCTGGTTAATGCTATTCTCTCAAATACAGGGTTTTGGTGGATTTTTTCACACATATTCTATAAACATCTAAGATCTGTTCACTGTTTGACTCTGGTTGATTGGGTAATTTATTCAACAAATACTACTTGAGAGCCTGTCATTTACCAGCTTCTGTTGTGGGCCTGTGAATATATTAGGGTGTGATGACAGATGAGGTCTTGTCTTTTGGAAACTTAACAGGATTGTTGGGGGCGGGGAACACAAAAGGTAAGCAAATAAACTACAAATTGAGAAAAGTAACATAGAGGTGTCCAGTTCAGGACTCTGATAGACACTGAAAAGGGGGAGACCTAAGGGTGGTCAGTGAAGTTCTTTTTGGGGAGAGTGAGGAAACCAATTTGTAGGATGTCAAGGAGAGGGTATCCAGGTAGAGGAAACAGTAAGTGCACAAACTGGAAGATGGGAAGAATTTAGTGTGCTTTCAGAACTGAAGGGAGGCCAATTGTGTTTGACACTTTGGAGAGTGATTACAGATGAGTTGGAGAGAGAAGGTTATTAGGGAAGCCATTGAAGCCTTCTGATGGTAGGAAGGATTGCCGTCTCTCTCTTTAATATGTATAGACACATACATATATAACATTATTTACAACTTTTTTTTTTTTTGAGATGGTGTTTCGCTCTTGTTGCCCAGGCTGGAGTGCAGTGGCGCGATCTTGGCTCACTGCAACCTCCACCTCCCAGTTCAAGCGATTCTCCTGCCTCAGCCTCCCAAGTAGCTGGGATTACAGGGATGTGCCACCACGCCTGGCTAATTTTGTATTTTTAGTAGAGACAGTGTTTCTCCATGTTGGTCAGGCTGGTCTCAAACTCCCACGCTTAGGTGATCCGCCTGCCTCGGCCTCCCAAAAGTGCTGGGATTACAGGCATAAGCTACTGCGCCCAGCCTACAACAGATGGAGGGAGGAAGGAAGGGGTTTCAGGGGTGATTTATGTTTTAAAATCATTTCACAGAAGTATGGAAAATGGATTGTGAGGTATGTTAGTTAAGAGACCGAAGATGGTAGTTACCTGACAGAGCAAGAAAATAGAGATGGAAGAGCAAGAAGCAGAGATTGGAGGGTAAGTAGGTTTAATAGTCTCTGTAGGCTGCAGTGAGCCATGATCATGACACTGCATGCCAGCCTGGGCAACAGAGTGATACCTGGATTCGAAACAAGTAAACATATTCTGCATGGCAGGACACTCTTTTTGTTTTTGAGACGGAATCTCGCTCTGTTGCCCAGGCTGGAGTGTGGTGGTGCGATCTCGGCTCACTGCATCCACCGCCTCCTGGGTTCAAGCGATTCTCCTGCCTCAGCCTCCCAAGTAGCTGGGGTTACAGGCACCCGCCACCACACGTGGCCTCTTTTTTTTTTTTTTTTTTTCTGTTGGTGGAGTCTTCCTCTGTTGCCCAGGCTGGAATGCAGTGGCACTATCTTGGCTCACTGCAACCTCTGTCTTCCAGGTTCAAGCAGTTCTCCCTGCCTTAGCCTCCTGAGTAGCTGGGATTACAGGCGCCTGCCACCATGCCTGGCTAATTTTTGTATTTTTTTTTCTTGAGACAGAGTTTCTCTCTTGTCACCCAGGCTGGAGTGCAATGGCATGGTCTCGGCTCACTGCTACCTCTGCCTCCAGGGTTCAAGCGATTCTCCAGCCTCAGCATCCCAAATAGCTGGAATTATAGGCATCCGCCACTATGTCCAGCTAATTTTTGTATTTTTAGTAGAGACAGACAGGGTTTCACCATGCTGGCCAGGCTGGTCTCAAACTCCTGACCTCAATTGATCCGACCGTTTTGGCCTCCCAAAGTGTCGGGAAAGGTGTGAGCCAGCGCATCTGGCCTAATTTTTGTATTTTTAGTAGAGACGGGGTTTTGCCATGTTGGCCAGGTTGGTCTTGAACTCCTGAACTCAGGTGATCCAACGGGCTCGGCCTTCTAAAGTGCTGGGATTACAGGCGTGAGCCACCACGCACAGCCTGCAGCAGGACATTACATCCTTAATCTATGGCCGGTGGACTCCAGGGAGCCCATGAACTCTGTAAAATATTTTTGAATAGGGGTGCATTTTCTCAAGGAAAATGTGTTCTCCTTCTACCATATTCGTTAGAGTTTCAAAAAAGTTAAGAAACAATGTTCTAGACCATATAATGCAGCTTTATAATCCATAAAAATGTAGGCTGGGCATGGTGGCTCATGCTTATAATCCCAGCACTTTGGGAGGCTAAGGTGGGAGGATCCCTTGACCCCAGGAGTTCAAGGTATTAGTGAGCTATGATTGCGGCACTGCACTCCAGCCTGGGCGACAGAGCCAGACCCTGTCTCTAAGGAAGAAAAAGGTAATTGCTCAAGGCTTACCAAGGCAGTAAGAGACATGGGTACCCTTTCTAAAAGATTGACTTTATTAATTTTTCAAGGGAACTAATTTTTTTTTATTTTTTGAGATGGAGCCTCGCTCTGTTGCCCAGGTTGGAGTGCAATGGTGCGATCTTGGCTTGCTGCAACCTCAGCCTCCCAGGTTCAAGTGATTCTCCTGCCTCAGCTTCCCAGGTAGCTTGGACTACAGGTGCCCGCCACCACACCCGGCTAATTTTTGTATTTTTAGTAGAGACGGGGTTTCACCGTGTTAGCCAAGATGGTCTCCATCTCCTGACCTCGTGATCTGCCCGCCTCAGCCTCCCAAAGTGCTGGGATTATAGCGGTGAGCCACCGTGTCTGGTCTACAGTTTTTTTTTTTGTTTTTTTTTTGTTTTTTTTTTTTTGAGAATAAGTAGTATGTTTTAATGATGTGCTGTAGAAATTTTAGTTTCTTTTTGTCTAGAAGATAGGGGCTGGTTTTGCTCATAGTGAGGAAGCTGAAATTTGGTGAGTCCAATTTGACAAAAATTCATTTTCTAATGTTTTCTTTCTTTGAATTTTGTTTACAGTACATATTTTAAGTGTTCCAGAAATGGAGCTTTTTGTTTGTTTGTTTGTTCGTTTGTTTGTTTGTTTTGAGATGGAGTTTCGCTCTTGTTGCCCAGGCTGGAGTGCAGTGGCGCAATCTCAGCTCACCGCAACCTCTGCCTCCTGGGTTCAAGTGATTCTCCTGCCTCAGCCTCCCGAGAAGCTGGGATTACAGGCATGTACCACCATGCCCAGCTAATTTTGTATTTTTAGTAGAGTTGAGGTTTCTCCATGTTGGTCAGGCTGGTCTCAAACTTCTGACCTCAGGTCATCTGCCTACCTTGGCCTCCCAAAGTGCTGGGATTATAGGCGTGAGCCATCGCGCCCAGCCTTTTTTTTTTTTTTTTTTTTTGAGACAGAGTCTGTCTCTATTGCCTAGGCTGGAGTGCAGTGGTGCCATCTCGGCTCACTGCAACCTCCACCTCCTGGGTTCAAGCGATTGTCCTGCGTCAGCCTCCCGAGTCGCTGGGATTACAGGTGCCCATCACCACACCTGGTTAATTTTTTTTCTTTTTTTTTAGACGGAGTTTTGTTCTTGTCCAGGCTGGAGTGCAATGGCTCGATCTCAGCTGACCGCAACTTCCACCTCCCGGGTTCAAGCGATTCTCCTGCCTCAGCCTCCCGAGTAGCTGGGGTTACAGGCATGGGCCACCATGCCCGGCTAATTTTGTATTTTTAGTAGAGATGGGGTTTCTCCATGTTGGTCAGGCTGGTCTCAAACTCCTGACCTCAGGTGATCCGCCCGCTTCGGCCTCCCAAAGTGCTAGGATTACAGGCATGAGCCACCGCGCCCAGCCCTGGCTAATTTTTTTTGTATTTTTTAGTAGAGAT
The DNA here is from genome assembly GCF_000001405.40 of Homo sapiens. NCBI lineage: Eukaryota > Metazoa > Chordata > Mammalia > Primates > Hominidae > Homo > Homo sapiens. The sequence goes on from NC_000001.11 coordinate 36,230,452, forward strand.
GAGGTTTCGCCAAGTTGGCCAGGTTGGTCTTGAACTCCTGACCTCAGGTGATCCACCTGCCTCGTCCTCCCAAAGTGCTGGGATTACAGGCTGGAGCCACCGCGCCCGGCCTAGAAAAGGAGCATTTTAAGTGTGCTTTCCTTCAGTGATTTATTTTGTCAGATGTATACTCATATCTTTTGTAGTGTATTTTTCAGGTAATAGTGTTTCTTTGGAAGCGTAGGATGTGCTTTCTGCCACAGAGTTGAGTTATACCACTGAAAATACATGTATTTAGGCAGATGTTTTCAACCTCTGCCTAAAAAGTTTTATGGACTAAATCCAATCTGCAGATATATTTTCTTTGGCTCATACAGTGTTGTACATTTGAATTAGTTGTCAACATTTAAAAAGGAGATTTTGTGTAAAAATGTGGATTCAGGCTGCTTTTGAAAAAGCAGATCTGGCAGCCATGGATCTGCTTTTCTGTTTTGCAGCAACCATCTTTTATAGTTGGGGCATGTCATTTCCAATTTGCCCTAGACCCTGCCAACAGTCTGACATGTAGCCCTGACCTGGACAGAGTGTTAGTTGGTATTTACTATTTTATACCTTTCTATTACTTGTCTATTTTCCATCTTTTATTACCTGTTCTGGATATATCATAGAGGTCTCTGATACTCCCATTCATAGTCACTTTGCTGTCTTACATTATCATTGACCTTTTTTTTCTGTCTTGGTACCTTATATCCTTCGTTTGTTTCTTCTTAAAAAAAAAAAGATTTTAGGCAGCTTTGAAAGATGGAGTTGAAGCAATGCAGGGGGAACCCCCAAAACACTGAATTACTTTGTTTCCAAACTGAAGAAAAACAGACTTTTGGAGAGCATAGAGGCATTGGTCTCACCCCTGCCGGTGCCTTGTTTAGCTGGTATGTGTTCAGTGTACTCACTTTTGTTCTGCTTGGTTTGCTTTATAGCATCTGGAATGTTGTCACTGCATAGCTTGGCCTGTCTCAGAAGATAGAAGGCCAAGCAGAGTTGTTGAATGTCTCATTAATAAGACTTTTGGCTCTTGTCCTGAGACATAACAACTAAGGTTATTCTATTGTTTTTTAAAATAATATACTGCTGTGAAGTCCATTGTATTGTTTTCAGTAGTGCCATGTGATTTTTTTGTGTGTATGTGAGGTTAACAACTCAATTTCCTTTTTCTCGATTTTAGTAAAAAGGATGGCATGAATAAAGGATTGATAGAGGAATGCATAGAGGTGAGACTGTATTGTAAAGTTAACGAGGAAGTTTCTTTACTCAGGGTCTTTCCTTTATAGCAGGGCTTCACAGAAGATGGTCCCAGTTTATCTAAAGACTATGTCCTAGAGTCTTGACTAATTCCTTTGGCTTGAAAGACTATCGGCTATCAGAAAAAAACTTTTAATATGAAAGTGATTGAGGAATTGGTCAGATTCCGGTGTTGGGTTGCCCAATAGAGAAAAAGATTTAGTGGCTGGGTGTGGTGTGGTTCACGCCTGTAATCCCAGCACTTTGGGAGGCTGAGGTGGGTGGATCACTTGAGGTCAGGAGTTTGAGACTAGCTTGACCAACATGGCGAAACCCATCTCTACTAAAAATAGAAAAATTAGGCAGGTGTGGTGGTGTGCGCCTGTAATCTCAGCTACTTGGGAGGCTGAGGCAGGAGAATTACTTGAACCCGGGAGGCAAAGGTTGCAGTGAGCTGAGGTTGTACCACTATACTCCAGCCTGGGCAACAGAGGAGACCCTATCTCGAAAAGAAAAAAGTTAAATTTTTAAATATAAGAAATTCTTGTTTCAGGCATAAGATGACCCTTTACATAGCCTTGCTTTGTATACTCATAAGTTCTTATTACTTAAGTGTTAAAGAGTTGCTGTATCACCTTGGCTTTGGCAGTTTTGATGTATCTTTGTACACATGTATCTATTACATTGGGAAATGTCCTGAAAGAGGCCTTTCTTGACTCCTCTATAATAGTACTCCTCTTCAAAAACTGTTGCTGTTTCCCTCCCCAACCCTACATTATTACTATATGACATGATATTTATTTTTAATCTATCGTGTTTCATCCTTCACGTCTTTAGAGAGTAAGAGGGATTTGTTTTATTCAATGTTGAATCTAGTCACTACCTAGGACATTGAGTTACGTAGAAGAGGCATAGTAAATATTGAAAAAAGGATGAGTTAATATGGGAATAAGTAAATAACTGGCTTGATGGCATTCTCTGAAGTGCTCCCATTGTCAAGTCCTAGTTCACTCAGGTTCTGTTAAGTTAGCAGTTGAAAATAATTTGTACAGTGGTAGGTGAGTAGATTGCCAAGGGGCAAGAGGGTACTTTCTGGAGTGATAGAAATATTCTGTTTTGGTCGTGGTGGTGGTTACACAGTATGTTTTGTCAAAACTCATCGAACTGTATCTTTTTTTTTTTTTTTGAGACAGTCTCACTCTGTTGCCCAGGCTGGAGTGCTGTGGCGCGGTCTCGGCTCACTGCAACCTCCCAGATTCAAGCAATTCTACTGCCTGAGCCTCCTGAGAAGCTGGGATTATAGGCACATACCACCACGCCCAGCTAATTTTTGTGTTTTTAGTAGGGACAGGGTTTCACCGTGTTGGCCAGGATGGTCTTGAACTCCTGACCTCAGGTGATCTGCCCCCTCGGCCTCCCAAAGTGCTGGGATTACAGGCGTGAGCCACTGCACCTGGCCATCGAACTGTATTCTTAAGATGTGTACATTTATTGTGTGTGAATTAAAAAGTTGATTTGGCCTGGCGTGGTGGCTCACGCCTGTAATCCCAGCACTTTGGGAGGCTGAGATGGGCGGATCACGAGGTCAGGAGATCAAGACCATCCTGGCTAACATGGTGAAACCTCGTCTCTACTAAAAATAAAAAAATTAGCCAGGCATGCTGGTGGGCGCCTGTAGTCCCAGCTACTTGGGAGGCTGAGGCAAGAGAATGGCATGAACCTGGGAGGGGGAGCTTGCAGTGAACGGAGATCGTGTGACTGCACTCCAGCCTTCCAGCCTGGGTGACAGAGTGAGACTCCATCTCAAAAAAAAAAAAAAGTTGATTTAAGGCTGGGCACAGTGGCTCATAGCCTGGGCATGGGCAACATGATGAAACCCCACCTCTACAAAATAAAATAAAATAAAAAATTAGCCGGTGTGGTGGCATGAGCCTGTAGTCCCAGCTACTTAGGGGGCTGAGGCAGGAGGATTGCTTGAACCCAGGAGGTTGAGGCTGTGGTGAGCCAAGATTGCACCACTGCACTCTAGCCTGGGTGACAAAGTGAGACCCTGTCTCAAAAAAATAAAAAATAAAATAAAAATTTGTATTCAAAACCCATTCTATCAAGGCTATTCTGCAGAACTGCAGGTAACTATAGTAAGTAGGTTGTGATAATGATAGTTTTCTGAGTTGTCCTCCTCCTTCAATCAGAACAGTTGTGCATTTATATTTTATACTTTGAGGCTCTGCTTAACATTTCATTTTTTCTTTTTCTTTTTATTTTGAGATAGGGTCTTGTTTTGTCACCCAGGCTGGAGTATGGTGGCGTGATCACGGCTAACCTCAGCCTGGACCTCTTGGGCCCAGGGAGTCCTCCCACCTCAGCCTCCTGAGTAGCTAGGACTATAGGTGCCCACCACCATGCCTGGCTAATTTTTGTAGTTTTATAGAGACAGGGTTTCACCATGTTGCCCAGGCTGGTCTCGAACTCCTTCCTCAGCTTCCCAAAGTCCTGAGATTACAGATGTGAGCCACCACACCCGGCCAACATTTTATTTTTAAAAAGATAAAACTGATAAGTCCCCTAATACCCTTCTACCCTACCCCAGGGTTTATTCAAGCAGAGCACACATTTTGTGAAAGCCCTGGTGGGGCAGGGAGGTGTCTTCATTTCTTCCCCCCTGCTCACAGACAGATGGTGGTTGAAAAAATTCAGACATTACAGAAATAGGAAATGTAGAAAGTAAAAGTTTCTCATAATGTCATTCTTCAGGCCAGTGTTTGGATATATAGAAGAGATTTTTACTGTTATGGTATGTCGTATGTATATATATTTTTTCCTTTGGTACTAGATGAAGGTATTTCTGAATAGTAAAGATAAAGAGGAACCGTGGAGGAGAAATAGGGATGCACTTCTTGGGTTTGTTTATTATGAAAGCTTAATATTTAGCATCTTGCTTCAGAAGAACTTAAATTGTAAAAGCCTGTTCTGATAATTCATCTTTTCCTTGGAAATTTAGAAGGTGACATTAATTCTTGGGTTAATGGTGAATGCTTTGTCTTATTCATTGTGTAGAACCTAGCTTGCCTCTTCTCTTCCTTTATTTCTGTTTCAGTCTTTTTTTTTTTTTTTTTTTTTTTTTGAGATAGAGTCTCGCTCTGTCGCCTAGGTTGGCGTGCAGTGGCACGATCTTGGCTTACTGCAACCTCTGCCTCCCGGTTCAAGCAATTCTCCTGCCTCAGCCTCCGGAGTAGCTGGGATTACAGGCATCCACTACCGCGCCTGGCTAATTTTTGTATTTTTAGTAGATTCGGGGTTTCGCCATGTTGGCCAGGCAGGTTTCGAACTCCTGACCTCAGGTGATCCACCCGCCTTGGCCTCCCAAAGTTCTGGGATTACAGGCGTGAGGCACTATGACCAGCCTGTTCAATTTTAAATGGAGGTAGAAATCTCTGTCTAGCTGCAGGGGGGGTTATTGTGATGGTTAGATGATTAACCCAATGACAGGCACGTGGTAGGTATTCAGCACATGAATATCATTATAATTTTCTTTTTTCTGTGAAGATTTTGACACCATAGATAATAATATTATTGTATATGGAAACAAGAAGATAGATTGTTTGGTAACTATTTGGAAAAGGAAAGTAGTCATAAGAAGTTAAGTCTGAAAAGACAATGAGAAACACTCAGAACCCTCAACCCCACAGCAGTTGGAAAGAACAAAGGATACCAAAAAGGCAATATTTTAAGATAGTGAAGGATGGTGTAATTATTCAGTAAATGGTTCTAGAAAAATTGGTTGACCATTTTGAAAATTAGATTATTAATACTGACAAGTCTCATATGAAAACCAGAGAGATACAGATGAAATTGAGATACCATTTTCTTCCTGAGATTTCCACCGTGACAAAAAAATATGATGATTATTGTTGGTGAAGGTTTGGGGAAATTCTCAAACACTGCTGGTAGCAGTATAAATTGCTGTAGACTTTTCTAGAGGACAACACTATGTACTTCAAGGAACACACCTTAAGGATTTCCTATTGGACAGGTCCTTAAAGATAAGAATAATCATTACAGTATTATTTATGTAAGTGAAAAACTGATAGCAACCTAAATATATGCCACCATGGGACTGCTTATGGTACATTCATATAGTGGAATGCTAGGTAGAAAAGAGATGGAGACAGGAAAGTCATGTTTATTGACATAATACAGTGAGTTTCAAAAAAGTCCAGGATTAATGCTTTTGTTTGGTTTAAAAACCTTTATGTCGGACTGGGCGTGGTTGCTCCCACCTGTAATCCCAGGACTTTGGGAGGCCGAGGTGGGCAGATTGTGAGGTCAGGAGTTCAAGACCAGCCTGGCCAACATAGTGAAACCCCGTCTCTACTAAAAATAAAAAAAAAAAATTAGCTGGGCATTGTGGCAGGTGCCTGTAGTCCCAGCTACTTGGGAGGCAGAGGTTGCAGTGAGCCGAGATCGCGCCCCTGCACTCCAGCCTGGGTGACACAGCGAGACTCAGTCTCAAAAGAAAAAAAAAAAAAAACCTTCATGACAGACTGGGCGCAAAAACCAAACCTTTATGTCTCTCCATTTCCTCCTTGATCAGTGTCTATTAAGTATATGTTGAGCTCTAAAAATTTAGTTCATCAGTCATACTAGCTATATAGAACTACATAGATATAGGACATTTCATTCTCAGAAAGTTCTAGTAGAGAGACAGTGCTGGTATACATTGCCCTTTTTCTTCCTTTCTTCCCTTCCTTCTTCCCCCTTTCCTTTTCCTCCTTCCTTCTCCCCACTCCAGTCTTCCTTCCCCTCCCTTCCCCTGAGCTTAACTGATCCTCCCACTTCCCCCTCCCAAAGTGCTGGGATTACAGGCTTAAGCTACCACTGCACCAGTCTACCTTGCCTCTTCATATCTTTGTCAGCATCTTCTGCCGGGGCCGGCTAGTACATGCAGTTTTCCATCCTTAGATTTCACAGAAGAGTTTCCGAATTTCCTTTGTCATTTATGTATCACCATTTTCATATTAACTAATTAAACTCTACCTCTCAGCCCACAATGGACATGTTCAGAATGCAGAGAGAATGCTGTTACCTCTATGCTGAAAGTAAACAATTTGGGGACAATTTTACTGAACCTCTTAGCTCTGGAGTATGCATATATATAACTTTGAGTTTCTGTTCTTTAAAAACAATGCTGGGTGTGGTGGCTCACAGCTGTAATCCCAGCACTTTGGGAGGCCGAGGCGGGCAAATCACCTGAGGTTAGGAGACCAAGACCAGCCTGACCAACATGGAGAAACCCTGTCTCTACTAAAAACACAAAATTAGCCAGGCGTGGTGGCGCATCCCTGTAATCCCAGATACTGGGGAGGCTGAGGCAGGAGAATCGCTTGAACCTGGGAGGTGGAGGTTGCGTGCCATTGCACTCCAGCTTGGGCAATAAGAGTGAAACTCCATCTCAAAACAAAAAGCAGCTAGGTAGGGGCCGGGCATGGTGGCTCATACCTGTAATTCCAACACTTCAGGAGGCTGAGGCAGGTGGATCATCTGAGGTCAGGAGTTCAAGACCATCCTAGCCAGCATGGTGAAATCCTGTCTCTACGTAAAATACAAAAATCAGCTGGGCGTGTTGGCAAGCACCTGTAATCGCAGCTACTTGGAAGGCTGAGGCAGGAGAATCGCTTGAACCCAGGAGGCAGAGGTTGCAGTTAGCCAAAATTGCTCCACTGCACTCCAGGCTGGGTGGCAGGAGTGAAACTTCATCTCAAAAAAAAAAAAAAAAAAAAGGCTGGGCGCGATGGCTCATGCCTGTAATCCCAGCACTTTGGGAGGCCAAGGCAGGCAGATCACTTGAGGTCAGGAGTTCAAGATCAGCCTGGCCAACATGGTGAAACCCCCTCTCTACTAAAAATACAAAAGTTAGCCAGGCATTGTGGCGGGCGCCTGTAATCCCAGCTACTTGGGAGTCTGAGGCCGGAGAATTGCTTGAACCTGGGAGGTAGAGGTTGCAGTGACCCAAGATCATGCCACTGCACTTCAGCCTGGGTGACAAAATGAGACTGTCTGAAAACAAAACAAACAAACAAAAAAAAACAACTAGGTAGGAAATAGGTTTTTTTTGTGTGTGTGTGTGTTTTTGGAGACAACCTTGCTTTGTCACCCAGGCCTCAGTACAGTGGCATGAACATAGCTGACTGTAGCCTCAAACTCCTGAGCTTAAGTGATCTTCCTACATCAGACTCCTGAGTAACTGGGACTGCAGGTGTGTACCACCATGCCTGGTGATTTAGCAAAATTTTTTTTTCTTTTTTTTAATAGAGACGGGTTTCACCGTGTTAGCCAGGATGGTCTGGATCTCCTGACCTCGTGATCCACTCATCTCGGCCTCCCAAAGTGCTGGGATTACAGGTGTGAGCCACCGCGCCCGGCGATTTAGCAAATTTTTTGTAGAGACAGGGTCTCGTTTTGTTGCCCAGGGTAGTCTTAAACTCCTGACCTCCAGCCATCTGCCCACCTCAGCTTCCTCAGAGTGCTAGGATTATATGGGTAAAACATCGTGCTCAGCCTGAACTAGAATTTAGATTAAGTACCACATTTGATGTTACTTGATTTTTCTGTTTGTGGGAAATTTGGAAATTAGGCATTAAGTACTTGCCTATGAGTGCTAGGCATTTATTGGAATGGAAATATGTGGTATGAAAAATCTTTTTTGATTCGTATCATTTTCAGATTTAATTCCTATCCAGATTATTTTTTTAGGGGTAGACTAATTTATTGCTTAGATTGGGGCTTCAAGTGTTGCCTTCAGGATACTGGATATTTATGATGAGTGAGCTAAAGCTTGTTTAGTGTCTATTTTGGGGCTATGGTAGGCAGATCTCTTCCCACTGGTTAGTGTTATTACAGCTGTTGTGATGATCTCATTGAATGTAGCTAAAATGGACTTTTAGTCAGCAACACTTTTAGAAGATTTAGTGTAATGAGTGAGCTTTTCGGGCTTTTGTTTTGTTTCGTTTTTTTGGAGACAAGGTCTTATTTCATTGCCCAGGCTGGAGTGCAGTGGTGCAGTCATAGCTTACTACTGCCCCTCAAACTCCTGGGCTTGAAAGGTGACTCCTGATCCTGAGAGGATCGAGTGATCCTTCCACCTCAGCTTCACAAGTAAGTAGCTGGGACTGTAGGTGCATGCCACCATGCCCGACTGTTCTTTCTTTCTTTCTTTATTGTTTAATTATTATTATTATTTTTTGAGATGGAGTCTTGCTCTGTCGCCTAGGCTGGAGTGCAGTGGCGCGATCTCGGCTCACTGCAAGCTCCGCCTCCTGGGTTCACGCCATTCTCCTGCCTCAGCCTCCCAAGTAGCTGGGAGTACAGGTGCCCACAACCACACCCGGCTAATTTTTTTGTTAGCCAGGATGGTCTCGATCTCCTGAGCTGGTGATCCGCCCGCCTCGGCCTCCCAAAGTTCTGGGATTACAGGTGTGAGCCACCATGCCCGGCCGTGTTTTTTTATTTTCTGTAGAGGCGGGGTCTCCCTGTGTTGCCCAGGCTGGTCTTTTTTTTTTTTTTTTTTTTGAGTCAGCTTCTCGCTCTATTACCCGGGCTGGAGTGCAGTGGCTCGATGTCAGCTTACTACAACCTCCGCCGCCCCTGCACCGGCTTTCAGCGATTCTCCTGCCTCAGCCTCCCAAGTAGATGGGATTACAGGTTTGCGCCACCATGGCCAGCTAATTTTTGTGTTTTTAGTAGAGACGAGGTTTCACCATGTTGCCCAGATTGGTCTTTAATGCCTGTGCTCAAGTAATCCTCTCACCTCGGCCTCCTAAATTGCTGGGGTTACAGGCATGAGCCACCTTACCTGGCCAAACTGGCTTTTACATTTCATCATCCCTGTAAGGCCTTTGTTTCCCTGGTTCTGGGTAGGTTAATCACTCTGTATCAAGTGTATTCTAGCAGGGATGGCAATATCTTTGATTTCTGTTTTCCTCCAACATTTTATTAGGAAAGATTTCAAGCATACAAAAAAGTTGAAACAATTGTACAGTACAGTGAGACCTATATGTCCATCACCTAGATTTTACATTTGTTAGCATTTGCTTAATTGCTTTGTCACTTCTTTCCACTAATCAACTCATTTTACTTTTTTCGTGGTAAAATATGTATAACATAAAATTTTATCATCTTAATCATTTGTTTTTGTGGCTACATTTCACAATTTATTTACATTTTAAGATAAACCTTGAGCTCAGAATGACATATCCCTATGTGTTTGTTTTTTAGTTGACTTCACGTAAAGGCATGGTTTGTTACACAAAGAATATAAATATTTACCATGTCTGTTACATGTAACACATAAGAACAGCTTGTAACAGAAATTCATCAACCCCCCTACATTAAGGTTCTCCAGAGGGACAGAACCAAAGGGTATATGTATAAATAAAAGTGAGTTTATTAGGAAGAATTGGCTCTCACAGTTACAGGGTGAAGTTCCATGATAGGCTGTCTGCAAGCTGGGGAAAGAGAGAAGCTGGTCACGTGGCTCAGTCCAAGTCTAAAAGCCTCAAAACCAGGGAAGCCAACAGTGCAGCCCTTAGTTTGAGGTGAAAGGGCCCGAGAGCCCCTGGGAGGCCTCTAGTGCAAGTCCTAGAGTCCAAAGGCTGAAGAACCTGGAGTCTGATGTCTAAGGGCAGGAGGAGAGGAAGCCAGGCATCTGTCACAGCATGAGAGAGAGAGCAGACTCAGCAAGCAATCTACTTATCCCCATTGTTTAGCTGTGCTTAAAGCTGATTGAATGGTGTCCCACCCACATTGAGAGTCCAGCTGGACATGTGGGCTGGTTCCTCTCACAGTCCACTCACTCACATGTCAGTCTTCTCTGGCAACACCCTCACAGACGTACCCAGGAACATTGCCTCAGCCATATAGCTATTCCTCTGTCCAGTCAAGTTGACACCTAATATTAACCATCACAGCCCTTAACATTTTTTTTGGTATAAATATAGGTATCAAAATAATCCTGGACATATTTTGGATTTTTTTTTTCTTGTGTATATTTTGGATACTTCTAGAAGTCAGCACCTGCACCGCTTCAAAAATTAACATAATTTGTGATAATATTTATTTTACCTGCTACTTTAAACAATTTTGGCTGCAGTTTTTCACTAAGCAAAATAGGTAAAGTGTGCCATTTCTGTTTTTTCCTTCTTAAGATTTTTACTTTTCGGCCGGGCGCAGTGGCTCACGCCTGTAATCCCAGCACTTTGGGAGGCTGAGGTGGGCGGATCACGAGGTCAGGAGATCGGGACCATCCCGGCTAACACGGTGAAACCCCGTCTCTACTAAAAATACAAAAAAATTATCCGGGCGTGGTGGCAGGTGCCTGTAGTCCCAGCTACTTGGGAGGCTGAGGCAGGAGAATGGCGTGAACCCAGGAGGCGGAGCTTGCAGTGAGCCGAGATCGGGCCTGGGCGACAGTGCAAGACTCCGTTTCAAAAAAAAAAAAAAAAAGATTTTTACTTTTCAGAAATACGTGCCGCTGACACCTGACACCTCTCACCACACTTGTTTTTGTAAACCTGAATTCTCTTTAGAGTACTTCAGGTTTATGTTTAAATGACAGTGCCCTAATGAGAAAAAAAATTGTGCTGTATTTTTCTTCCCATTATCTGAAATGATAATGGGTGTATATATATATATATATATATATATATATATATATATATATATACACATATATAAATAAATATATATTCTTACAAATGTCCAGGTCATGTTTACCAGCAGAAATTCTTAATGTGTGAGTATTTTGCATTGTGATATTTAATTAAGACATTAACATGAGTAGAAGGTTGACTGAAGTTTAAGATCCGCTAAAATTTTTTTTTTTTTTTTTTTCAGACAGAGTCTTGCTCTGTTGCCCAGGCTGGAGTGCAGTGGCGTGATCTTGGCTCACTGCAATCTCCACCTCCTGGGTTCAAGCAGTTCTCCTGCCTCAGCCTCCAGAGTAGCTAGGACTACAGGCACCCACCACCATGCCTGGCTAATTTTTGTATTTTTCTTAGAGATGGAGTTTCACCACATTAGTCAGGCTGGCCTCGAACTCCTGACCTCAGGTGATCCACCCACCTCGGCCTCCCAAAGTGTTGGGATTACAGGTGTGAGCCACCATGCCCGGCCAAGATCTGCTAAAATTAATTGTCATGGTTTTACTTCTGGTGGCTGTGGAAGCTACTTATTTTCTTTGGATGTCATTAGATGTCTTAGCTCTTGAAGTAAGTAGAACTTTAATGTTGTATGGATTTTGCCATTTTGCTAACACTGGTATGCTCCATGCATCCACAGTCCCGCTGGAATTAATTTTTCCATTCATAATAATTTTTGTTATAAACCTAACTGATGGAGCTTCTGGGTATTTAGGTCTACATTCTACTTCAGGTTATATATTCTGCTTTCATTTTTTTGTTTGTTCATTTATTTGTTTTTTGAGACAAGGTCTCACTGTCCCACAGGCTGGAGTACAGTGGCACGAACATACGAACTCCTGGGCCGAAATGATCCTCCTGCCTCAGCCTCCAGAGTAGCTGGGACCACAGGTGTGCGCCATGATGCCTGGCTAATTTTCTTTATATTTTGTAGAGACCAGGTCTTGCCATGTTGCCCAGGTTGATCTTGAACTCCTGGGCTGAAGTGAGCTTCCCAGCTTAGTCTCTCAAAGTGCTGGGATTACAGGTGCGAGCCGTCTGTTTTGATTTTTTTTTTTTTTTTTTTTGAGATGGAGTCTTGCTCTGTCGCCCAGGCTGGAGTGCAGAGACGCGATCTCCGCTCACTGCAAGCTCTGCCTCATGGGTTCACGCCATTCTCCTGTCTCGGCCTCCTAAGTAGCTGGGACTACAGGCGCCAGCCACCACGCTCGGCTAATTTTTTGTATTTTTAGTAGAGACGGGGTTTCACTGTGTTAGCCAGGATGGTCTGGATCTCCTGACCTGTGATCCGCCTGCCTCGCCCTCCCAAAGTGCTGGGATTACAGGCGTGAGCCACCACGCCCACCCTCTGTTTTGATTTTCTAAGGCATATAGATAGATTTGTCAGTCTTTACCTTTATGGTTTGTACTTATAGAATTTTGTTTGAAATCCTTCCTCACCCTGAATTCATACAGATATTCTCTTCTGTTTTCTTCTAAAAATTTTAAAGCTTTTCACAGTTAGTGTTTTTTTTTAATTGCTTATTTTATTTTATTTTGAGATAGACTGGGCATGGTGGCTTGCACATGTAATCCCACCACTTTGGGAGGCTGAGGCAGGAGGATTGCTATGATCATGCCACTGCATTCCAGCCTGGGTGACAGTAAGACCCCATCTCTAAAAACAAAAATAGAATGCTGATTGTGGCAAGCTGCTAATGTTGCTTATAAGTGGTTTGGGAATAAGATGCATTTTGTGAGGAACTTTCTTTTTTTTTTTTTTTTTTTTTTGCTCTGAGCCCAAATGAGGGTTTCTTTTTATTTTTTTATTTTTATTGATCATTCTTGGGTGTTTCTTGCAGAGGGGGATTTGGCAGGGTCACAGGACAATAGTGGAGGGAAGGTCAGCAGATAAACAAGTGAACAAAGGTCTCTAGTTTTCCTAGGCAGAGGACCCTGCGGCCTTCCGCAGTGTTTGTGTCCCTGGGTACTTGAGATTAGGGAGTGGTGATGACTCTTAAGGAGCATGCTGCCTTCAAGCATCTGTTTAACAAAGCACATCTTGCACCGCCCTTAATCCATTCAACCCTGAGTGGATACAGCACATGTTTCAGAGAGCACAGGGTTGGGGGCAAGGTCACAGATCAACAGGATCCCAAGGCAGAAGAACTTCTCTTAGCACAGAACAAAATGAAAAGTCTCCCATGTCTACCTCCTTCTACACAGACACGGCAACCATCCGACTTCTCAATCCTTTCCCCACCCTTCGCCCCCTTCTATTCCACAAAACCGCCATTGTCATCATGGCCCGTTCTCAATGAGCCGCTGGGCACACCTCCCAGACGGGGCGGTGGCCGGGCAGAGGGGCTCCTCACTTCCCAGTAGGGGCGGCCGGGCAGAGGCGCCCCTCACCTCCCGGACGGGCGGCTGGCCAGGCGGGGGGCTGACCCCCACACCTCCCTCCCGGACGGGGCGGCTGGCCGGGTGGGGGGCTGACCCCCCCACCTCCCTCCCAGACGGGGCGGCTGGCCGGGCGGGGGGCTGACCCCCCCACCTCCCTCCCGGATGGGGCGGCTGGCGGGCGGGGGGCTGAACCCCCCACCTCCCTCCCGGACGGGGCGGCTGGCCGGGCGGGGGGCTGACCCCCCCACCTCCCTCCCGGACGGGGCGGCTGGCCGGGCAGAGGGGCTCCTTGTGAGCTTGTGAGGAACTTTCTACTTAAGAATGACCAAGTGGCCTTGTGGGAAGGAAGAGGGTTGCCATTTGTTAATGGTGTTTATAAATTGCTATTGGATTAGTATAAGCTGCAAAGCAGCTACTAATTTATTTTCTTTAACTAGGAGAATCATAATATGGACATTTTGGATAGGCATCTTTTTAATTTTCTAAAGATTTCCAAAATTGGTAATGTTATTTCTAATTAGGAAGTTTGGTTGAAAATAAGTTTCTGAACTCTGTGTCAAATCTAGTAGCTACTTCCAATTTGTAATTAAAAAAAGAAAAAGTCTTCAAAGGTTGAATGTGCCTTCATGGATTCTCCAGCATGAGCAAACTGAAGTATCCAAAACTGAATTAAAAATTTCATCTAAATTATACCTTCTTCTTAGCTTTACTATACTTAGTGTCAAACTGATTTCTTAGATTTCGTAGTCACTTAGTTTTGAAACCTTGATTCCTTTCCTCTTCGTCACTTCTACGTCTAGTCAGTTATTTGTTGAATGCCATGTATGTGTAAAGCAGTTTCAGATTTCACTCCTGTGAGTTCTATTTCCATTGCTATTGGATGCCTAGTGAGGAAAGCTCCTTTTCTCATATCTACCTGTACAATTTTACTTGTGGGTTTTTTTTTTTTTTGAGACAGAGTCTCGCTCTGTTGCCAGGCTGGAGTGCAGTGGCGCAATCTCAGCTCACTGCAACCTCCGACTCCCTGGTTCAAGCAATTTTCCTGCCTCAGCCTCCTGAGTAGCTGGGATTACAGGCACACGCCACCACGCCCAGCTAATTTTGTTTTGTATTTTTAGTAGAGACGGGGTTTCATGATGTTGGCCAGGATGGTCTCAAACTCCTGACCTCGTGATCCACCCGCCTCGGCCTCCCAAAGTGCTGGGATTACAGGCGTGAGCCACCACGCCTGGCCAGAGCCAGGTTAACTACTAAGTCTTCCTCCTGAAAACCTTACTTTGTTCCTCTAGTTGTAAGTGGCCTTTGCCATTGTACCACTCTGGTGGTGCTGAGTTCTGACATGTATTATATAGATCTCTGCATGTGACACCCCCATCCCAATCTTTTTTTTTTTTTTTTTGAGACAGAATCTCACTCTGTTGCCCGGTCTGGAGTGCACTGGCACAATCTTGGTTCACTGCAACCTCCATATCCCAGGTTCAAGCGATTCTCCTGCCTCAACCTCCTGAGTAACTGGGATTACAGGCCTGCGCCATCACACCCGGCTAATTTTTTTGTATTTTTAGTAGAGACGGGGTTTCACCATTTTGGCCAGGCTGGTCTCGAACTCCTGACCTCAGGTGATCTCCCCACCTCAGCCTCCCAGAGTGCTGGGATTTTAGATGTGAGCCACCACGCCTGGGTCCTTTCCCCAATCTTACAGGTAAACAAACTCCTTAAAGACCTTAAATATGATAGGTGCATGTCTTGCTGACTGAATGATTCTGTTCCAGGGTCTGTTCACCTCAAATGTGATAGCTTCCTAACTTTGTCTTGCCCATCCTGATCCATCCCCTTATCCCAACAGTTTGCCTGCTTAGAAACATGCAGTGGCTTCCCATTTGCAGAGATAAAGTTTACTTTTCTTTTTACTTGGCATTTGAGGCTAGCTATGTTTTGGTTCTTCCCCTGGGTAAATGTGTCTCTCATTCCTTGTCTCTTGATCATTGCATTTTAATAGCCCTTGAACAGTTATATTTGCTTTTCCAGCTAGGACTTTTTATTTTTCGCTACTTCCTCCCCACACCCACCAAAATCACGTATTTTTCAGTCAGTAGCAATTTTGAATAAATTTAAGATTATAGTACATCTGATAATAAGAGGTAACCTGAGTGCATATCTGTGCTTACAGTCGTTCTAAGTACATTCCATGTATTAACCATTTAATTATTCCCTACAATCCTAGGGGGAGGTATGATTATAATCTGCATTTTACAGATGTAAGTGAGGCAAGGAAAGATGAAACAGATCCAGGATTGCACAGCTAGTAAAGGGGATAGAGCTGGATTCAATCCCAGAGTCTGGTTGTAGAGCATGTAAATCTTTGTCCATTTTTTCATGGAACTCCAAGGCACCTGGGGCTGGCAGACTGGTGCATGAGAGGATAAACAGTATTATATCTGTGAGAATTTCAAGCACAGTATATAGGAATATGTATAGAGTAAGACCTTGTCATTGGAGAAAAGTGGAGCGATCTTGGCTCACTGCAACCTCTGCCTCCTGGGTTCAAGCAATTCTCCTGCCTCAGCCTCCTAAGTAGCTGGGACTTCAGTTGCACACCACCATGCCAAGCTAATTTTTGTATCTTTAGTAGAGACGGGGTTTCACCATGTTGGCCAGACTGGTCCCGAACTCCTGATCTCAAGTTATCTCTCCGCCTTGGCGTCCCAAGGTGCTGGGATTACAGGTGTGAGCGACTGTGCCCAGCCTTTTTCTTTTTAAAAAATAAATAACATGGGCCGAGTGCGGTGGCTCACACCTGTAATCCCAGCACTTTGGGAGGCTGAAGCAGGCAGATCACGAGGTCAGGAAATCGAGACCATCCTGGCTAACATGGTGAAACCCTGTCTCTACTAAAAATACAAAAAATTAGCCGGGAGTGGTGGCCGGCACTTGTAGTCCCAGCTGCTCGGGAGGCTGAGGCAGGAGAATGGCGTGAACCCAGGAGGCGGAGCTTGCAGTGAGTGGAGATCGTGCCACTGCACTCCAGCCTGGGCGACAGAGTGAGACTCTGTCTCAAATAAATAAATAAATAAATAAATAAAATTACAGGCATAACTGCATATTTATCAAAATTGTATCAACGGTTCTTTTTCTAATTCTCTGAAAAAATTGATAATATACATTGTTCACATTATAACTTTTGCAAAAATATTGAGGGCTTCAGTTTTCTCAAGGGCCTTTCTTAGTCTTTTTTAAAAAATTACTTTTTTGGCCGGGTGCAGTGGCCCACGCCTGTAATCCCAGCACTTTGGGAGGCTGAGGCGGGCGGATCACGAGGTCAGGAGTTCCAGACCAGCCTGGTCAACATGGTGAAACCCTGTTTCTACTAAAGATACAAAAATTAGCTGTGTGTGGTGGTGGGCGCCTGTAATCCCAGCTACTCGAGAGACTGAGGCAGGAGAAGCTCTTGAACCTGGGAGGCACAGGTTGCAGTGAGCTGAGATGGAGTCACTGCACTCCAGCCTGGGCGACAGAGCGAGACTCCGTCTCAAAAAGACAAATTAACTTTTTTTTTTGAGTTGGAGTCTAGCTCTGTCGTCCAGGCTGGAGTGCAGTGGCGTGATCTTGGCTCACTGCAACCTCGGCCTCGTAGGTTCAAGCTATTCTCCCACCTCAGCCTCCTCAGTGACTGGGATTACAGGCGTGTGCCACCATACCCCACTAATTTTTTGTATTTTTAGTAAAGATGGGGTTTTACCATGTTGGCCAAGCTGGTTTTGAACTCCTGACCTCAAGTGATCCACCCGCCTCAGCCTCCCAAAGTGTTGGGATTACAGGTGTGAGCCACCACACCCAGCCTTAAAAATTAACTTTTAATTGTCAAGTATGATATACAAGAAATATGTGTACATTGTGGAATGGTTAAATCTAGCTAATCAACATATGTATTGCCTCATTTTTTTTGTGTGGTGAGAACACTTAAAATCTCTCTTGGCGATCTTTGAATATACAGTACATTATTATTTACTGCACTTACCATGTTGCCCAACTTATTCCTCTTAACTGAAATTTTGTATCTTTTGACCACATCTCCCATCTTCATCTTTTTTTTTTTTTTTTTTTTGGGAGATGGAGTCTTGCTCTGTCACCCCGCCCAGGCTGGAGTGCAGTGGCACGATCTTGGCTCACTGCAACCTCCACCTCCCAGGTTCAAGCGATTTTCCTGCCTCAGCCCCCCGAGTAGCTGGGATTACAGGCACACGCCACCATGCATGGCTAATTGTTGTATTTTTAGTAGAGACAGGGTTTCACCATGTTGGCCAAGCTGGTCTTGAACTCCAGACCTCAGGTGATCCGCCCACTTTGGCCTACCAAAGTGCTGGGATTACAGGCATGAGCCACGGTGCCCAGCCTCCTTCATCTTTTAATATTTAAAAAAATTATTCTTTTCTTTCAGGCCTTCATTTTTGTTCATCTCCTCAGTTGTTAACTGGTCTGACCCTGCCATATCTTTATTTGTTGGTGGCTTTGACTGAGTTTTGAATACTTTTATTGTAGAGATGGGGGTCTTGGTTTGTTGTCCAGGCTAGTCTCGAACTCCTAGCCTCAAGTGATCCTTCTACCTTGGCCTTCCTAAGTGTTGGATTGCAGGCCAGACCCATTGCACCCAGCCTCAGCCTCTTTTTTTTTTTTTTTTTTGTGAGACAGTTTTGCTTTGTCACCTAGTCTGGAGTACAGTGGTGCAATCATGACTCACTGCAGCCTTGACCTCCTGGGCCCAAGCGATTCTCAGCCTCCCGAGTAGCTAGGACTACAGGCATGCTTTATTTTTTTGTAGAGACAGTCTCATTTTATGGCCCAGGCTGGTCTTGAACTCCTGGCTTCCAGCATTTTATATTTCTTTGTATCCTCTGTAGTTGTGCTAGTTTCAGTAAATTCTTATGTATGTGAGGGCTCACTTGATTTATACTTGTGTCTTCACTGTTGCCATGCTTGCTCAGATGTTTATTATCTTGGGGCTCAAACTTACCTATTGAGCAAACATGATGAAATCTACCATGTACCAGGCATTGCGTTAGGTGTTGGAGGAGATACAAGATAAATATAAGGCACAGTCCCTATTCTTTTTCTTTCTTTCTTTTTTTTTTTTGGAGACAGTGTCTTGCTCTGTTTCCCAGGCTGGAGTGCAGTGGCGTGATCCTCAGCTCACTGCAGCCTCTTTCTCCTGGGTTCAAATGATTCTCCTGAGTAGCTGGGACTGTAGGCATGCACCACCACATCTGGCTAGTTTTTGTATTTTTAGTAGAGATGGGGTTTCACCATGTTAGCCAGGCTGGTCTCAAACTCCAGACCACAGGCTGTCCACCTGGGCCTCCCAAAGTGCTGGGATACAGGTGCAAGCCACCGCACCCAGCCAGCACAGTCCCTTTTTTTTTTTTTTTTTTGAGATGGAGTCTCGCTCTCGCCCAGGCTGGAATGCAGTGGCGCAAGCTCCGCTCACTGCAAGCTCTGCCTCCCAGGTTCATGCCATTCTCCTGCCTTGGCCTCCCGAGTAGCTGGGACCACAGGTGCCCGCCACCACACCTTGCTAATTTTTTGTATTTTTAGTAGAGACAGGGTTTCACCGTGTTAGCCAGGATGATCTCCATCTCCTGACCTCGTGATCCACCTGCCTCTGCCTCCCAAAGTGCTGAGATTACAGGCGTGAGCCACTGCCCCCAGCCCCACAGTCCCTATTCTTAAGGGACCTTCATGTTTAGTGGGAGAGACAGTTAATTACAATACAGGATGATAAGGGCAATAGTAGAACCTGGAATGAGATGCTCACTGACTCCTTCTGGAGAATTAGGGGAAGGTTTTACAAGAATTTACATTTGAGCTGTTGCTGGAAGGTTTCGAATAAGCGAAGCAGGTGGTGAGTGTGTGTGTGTGTGTGTGTGTGTGTGTGTGTGTGGTGGAGGTTGAGACAGGAGTGGTGGTTTGGTGAGAGGAGGCTATTCAAGGCAGTGGGACGAGCATGTCTAATGGTGTGGAACAGGAAAGTTCATTCTAAAAATGTAGTTTGATTAAGGGTAGAAGCATAGGAGTCAGTGGTAGAAGGTGGAGCGAGTAGAGCAGGATTGCAGTGTGCTTGTATTGAATTTTATGCAGTAAGCAGGAAGGACCTTTAATTGGAGGAATGACATGATCATATTTGTGACAGGTTATTCTGGCATCAAATTTGGTCTCTTGTTTATAGACGAAAGCAATCTAGAGAAGTTGGTTATCCTGGTGTAACGCCTTGGGTTAAATGGGTTATTAATCAAGTTTGGATGAAAATTTTTACAAAATTCGGCAATTACATAAGGTAGACTCTGGATATATTATCGACATTTCCAACTCTAAAATTAATAATTTTTTACTGACTGAAATTTCCTTCCAAATAGGCCCTTAGTGAATTAGGCATACTTTTTTTTTTTTTTTTTGAGACAAAGATTTGCTCTGTCGCCCAGGCTGGAGGGCAGTGGCGCGATCTCAGCTCACTGCAACCTCCGCCTCCCGGGTTCAAGCAATTCTTCTGCCTCAGCCTCCCAAGTAGCTGGTACTACAGGCGCCCGCCACCACACCCAGCTAACTTTTGTATTTTTAGTAGAGACCAGGTTTCACTATGTTGGCCGGGATGGTCTGGATCTCCTGACCTTGTGATCCGCCCGCCTTGGTCTCCCAAAGTTCTGGGATTACAGGCGGTATATTCTTATAATCAGAGATTTAGCATCCTCTGTGTTCTCTAGTAGAGTACAATTTAGCCACGTAATAGTGAGATTATTTAGGAATGTTTTCTAAGACTGACTTTATAAGACACATTAAAAAAATATACCTTAGAGGCTGGGCACAGTGGCCCACGCCTGTAATCCCAGCACTTTGGGAGGCTGAAGCGGGCGGATCACTTGAGGGCGGGAGTTCGAGACCAGCCTGGCCAACATGGCGAAACCCAATCTGTACTAAAAATACAGAAAATTAGTTGGGCGTGGTGGTGCGCGCCTGTAATCCCATCTATTGGCGCAATCTCAGCTCACTGCAACCTCCACCTCCTGGGCTCAAGCGATTCTTGTGCCTCAGCCTACTGAGTGGCTGGGACTGTAGGCGTGTGCCACCACGCCCAGCTAATTTTTGTATTTTTAGTAGAGATGGGGTTTTACCATGTTGGTCAGGCTGGTCTTGAACTCCTAAGCTCAAGTGATCCGCCCACCTTGGCCTTCCAAAGTGCTGAGATTACAGGTGAGTCACCGCACCTGGCCTGAATGTTCTTAATGTCACTGAACTGTACATATAAAAATGGTTAAAATGGGCAGTTGTATGTTATGGCACTGGAGATATAAAAAGGAATTTGATCTGATACCTGCCCTCAAGGAGTAGTTTACTTTAGTAGTAGTGCATGACCACTGGTTTTCAAGGAAATAGAGGCTCAAGTGATAAGGAAATGCTGGTAGCTTATAAAAGTTTTGTAATGTGATAAAAAGATAAGTTCTGGGAAAGTAGTCATTATGAGTTCTTGACAGTTCAGTCTGATCTACTGGACCGGGATAACTCAGATGGGAAAGTTACTTTTCCCCAACCTCTCTGCACAGCCCGAGAGCATGAGTTTAAAAACCATTGGTCTAGGTAGAAACGTTCAGGTGCATCAGTTGGCATGTTTGATTCCTCTCTGTGTTGTACATTGAGACCTTGAGGCACAGAATGATAGGGTTATTTAAGGAGCAGACTCATTCAACCTGGAATTAGGCATAGGCTTGGGTTTGTCGTTGACAGAGCCTACTGCTCTTTTTACAGGTTTTCAAGATGGAATTAGTGTCTTATGTTCCGAGTTTGCTATAAAGCTAAATTCTGAATTCGCATGAGAATGTAATTGTTTAATGACCACATGACTACCCAAACCAGCTTGTTGAAGTCGTGTCTTTTCACTGTCATTTTGATACTGGCCCAATTAACAATATTTATTGAGTACTCCTTTGTGCCAAGCACTTTTCTGAGAACTTTATACATATATTAATTTATTCGGTGTTCAACAACACTGTGAAGTAGGAACAGTTTTATAGATAAGGGACCACAGATAGTGAGATTTAATTAAGTCACTTATCCGGGGTCTCACAACTAGTAGTTGGTGGAGTTGGGAATCAAACATAGGCTTCAGAGCCAGATGTGCTCTTATTATTTATTGAGGAGTTCAGTTGCTTTGGAAATTGCTTTGGGATGACTAATTACTGACTTTTATTTGTTTTACTATGAGTTGCTGGGCATAAATATTAAAAAATATCAGTTCCTACCATTTGGGAGTCTTACAGTTTTGAGAATTACTATTCATGAGGGTTTATTTTTATTTTTATTTATTTATTTTTGAGACGGAGTTTTGCTCTTGTTGCCCAGGCTGGAGTGCAGTGGCGCTATCTTGGCTCACTGCAACCTCCGCTTCCCGGGTTGAAGCAATTCTCCTGCCTCAGCTGCCCAAGCAACTGGAATTATAGGCATGTGCCACCATGCCCCGCTAATTGTGTGCTTTTAGTAGAGACGGGGTTTCACCATGTTGGTCAGGCTGGCCTGGAACTCCTGACCTCAAGTGATCCACCTGCCTTGGCCTCCCAAAGTATATGTTTACAGGCATGAGCCACCGTGCCTGGCCAAGGTTGATTCTTAGTGGCCATCTGCACTAAATGCATTTGTTAGACAAATGATGAAGAAAAGGGGTTGATAACCTTTCCAAAGGGTCAGATACTTTAGGCTTTGCTGGCCAAGAGGCAAAGTTGAGGCTACTCTGTGGGTACTTACATGACAAGAGAGAAAACAACTTTGCACAAAGTTTTTATTTCAAAATACAATAATCAGGCTAGGCACCGTGCCTCACACCTGCAATCCCAGCGCTTTGGGAGGCTGAGGCGGGCAGATCACCTGAGGTCAGTTCGAGACCAGCCTGGCCAACATGACGAAACCCTGTCTCTACTAAAAATACAAAAAAATTAGCCAGGCATTGTGGCGCAAGCTTGTAATCCCAGCTACTTGCAAGGCTGAGGCACAAGAATCTCTTGAACCCGGAGGACAGGGGTTGCACTGAGCCAAGACCATGCCACTGCACGCCAGCCTGGGTGACAGAGTGAGACTCTGTCTCAAAAAATATATATAGATAGGCATATATATATATATATATATATATATATATATATATATATATAAATGTAAATAATGAGTATAATTTTTGTAGTAACAGGGCTATAAGAATGGAATTCTGCTTTTGGGGAGTACAATTTCACTTAATTGGGTTTCCAAGTTAGCAGTGCCTTTCAAAATTGATGGCAAATATTTATTTGTTAATGCTGATCTGTCGTGAAGTTTTATGTGTGTCATCTTTGAAAATGTCTTCACACAGATTGGGTACTGCCAAATACATTAATCATTGAGCATGTGATTTTAATTGAGCAGATTTATCTTTTGGAAGGCACAGAAATGTGTTAGATTCTTGATATTTGTCTTTTAGCATACCATAACATTGCAGATAAATCGCTTCCAATTGAAGATTAGATGGAAGCTCCTTAGCTGCACAGTTAGACAGATTTTGAAATATGGAGATTTAGTTTACACATGCATTAAGGTTGGAAATATGCTGGAACTGTAGTTTGAGCTCAGAAGATCTGCTTCAGATTTGTGTGGGTATGGAGATATCACTTCTTGTTCAACTTTTGACAGTATGAGAAGTGAATAAAGTAATTTGACATTTCTTGAAATTGAAACATTTATTGTCATTAGTATTATTTTATTACAGTATGTGTTTCCCATAGAAGTGCTGTTTTGACTTCTAATTTTGTTTTATTTCTTTGAGACAGAATCTCCCTCCGTCAGCTAGTCTGGAGTGCAGTGATGAGATCATAGCTCACTGCAACTTCAAGCTCCTGGGCTTAAGCGAGCCTCCTGTCCCAGCTTCCTGAATAGCTGGGACCACAGGCGTACACCATTGAGTCAGGCTAATTTTTTTTTTTTTTTTTTTAGTTTTTGTAGAGACGGATCTTGCTGTGTTCACTAGGCAGGTCTCAAACTTCTGACCTCAAGCTGTCCTCCTACCTTGGCCTCCCAAAGTGTTGGGATTACAGATGTGAGCTACTGTGCCAGGTCTTTGTAATTTTAAACTGTATTCATTAAGAAACATTATCAACTCTGCAGCAAAAGCTAACTTCAAAGCTATTTGGTATCCGCAACAGTAATAGTGGTTAAGGGTGGTTCTTGTTGAAAAATTTCATACTCAGCCCTGAGCTTTTCAAGAAACATAAAATTTTTCTGCTTCTAACTCATCAAACTGCCGTGTGGTAGGGCAAGTCAGGATATTCACCTTCTTTTTCTCAGCACTGCACTCCAGCCTAGGTGACGGAGACCACGTCTCAAGAAAAAAAGTCTGCAGAGAAACTGCTGATAAATAACCTTACATTTTCACAACGTTTGCCAGTTTTTCCAACTAAGTCCTTTTCTTCTCCACAGATATTTTTTACCGTCATTTGCTTTCTTGTAAGTTGGGAATATTGGTAAGATCAATGTATGTTATATTCTTGGCATATCTGTGGTGTCATTTCATAATAAACACAATGATTTGCTATCAAATTCAATAACAAAATGATTCACACTTCACACTGTGCCTTAAAAGGGTAACATCAACATCTGCTTTTCTTGTTTTGATGTGATGGATATGCACTGGTAATTAAAAATAATAATAAAATGTGATACTGCCTATGCATGGTATGTGAAATGCTGTTGAGTTATAACTGTGTCACTGCAATTTGTAGCAGAGCAAAGCAGTGAGACCACTGAAGGCAGTCCCTGTTGCAGCTACTCAGATCTCCTGTCTTAGTGTGCAAGTAGCCATATGTAAATGAATGTGACTGTTCCTATAAAATTGTTTATGGGTGTGTAAATTGGAATTTCCCCAGCCCAGCAGCTAATCTGGGGGAAAAAAAGAAGTTGGAATGTTGTATAATTTTAACCTCTAATGAAGTATTTTTTTGATAAAAAAAAATTTTTTAAAACAGAAACCATTCTTAGCTCATGGATGGTACAAAACCAGACAATGGGCTAGATTTGGTCTGTGTGCCTTAGTTGCCATCCCATATTACAGAAGGCTCTGTATACATGACTTATTTGGAAGTGATCTGTTTTCTCTCCAAACCCATTTATAGTAATTTCACCAGTCTTGGATCAATCTTGGTTTCCACTGATACCATGAAACCTACTTGGAGCAGACATTGCACAGTTTTCTGTGGTAAAAACTAAAGGTTTATTTGCTAAGCTGTCATCTTATGCTTAGTATTTTTTTTTTACAGTGGGGAATTGCTGAGATTACATTTTGTTATTCATTAGATACTTTGGGTTAACTTGACACTGTCTTCTTTTTTTCGCTTTTAATTGCTATCATCATGCTTTTGAAACAAGAACACATTAGTCCTCAAGTATTACATAAGCTTGCTTGTTACGCCTGGTGGTTTAAAGGACTATCTTTGGCCTCAGGTTCACAAGAGTGGGCAAAGTGTTTCCTTATGTTCTGTAGTTCTCAATAAAAGATTGCCAGGGGCCGGGTACTGTGGCTCGCACTGTAATCCCAGCACTTTGGGAGGCTGAGGCTGGCGGATCATGTGAGGGCAGGTGTTCGAAACCAGCCTGGGCAACATAGTGAGACCCTGTCTCTATTTAATTAAAAAAAAGAATGCCAGGCCAGGCGCGGTGGCTCATGCCTGTAATCCCAGCACTTTGGGAGGCTGAGGTGGGCGGATCATTTGAGGTCAGGAGCTTGAGACCAGCCTGGGTAACATGGTGAAACCCTGTCTCTACTAAAAATACAAAAAAAAAATAGCTGGGTGTGGTTGTGCATGCCTGTAATCCCAGCTACTAGGGAGGCTGAGGCAGGAGAATTGCTTGATCCCAGGAGACGGAGGTTGCAGTGAGCTGAGATTGCACCATTGCACTCCAGCCTGGGTGAGGGAGTGAGACTCTGTCTCAAAAAAAAAAAAAGAAAAGAAAGAAAGATTGCCAGGGGTACTTGAGGTGAGATAAGGAAAAAAAAATTCAGTCTTGTGTACCATAGGAGATACAAATGGTATGGTCCTAGAATGTTAGCGTTTACCCTTTGTTTGGATTTGGAAACTATATCGTCGTTTAAGGTCTACTAATGTGTGGAACATGGGAGCGTTCTGAGTGACACGCTGGTCTAAGGCACTGTTGTCCTTTATCTGGATCATTATTATTATTTTATTCTTTTTTGAGACAAGGTCTTGCTCTGTCACCTAGGCTGGAGTGCAGTAGTGTGAACATGGCTCATTGCAGCCTCTGTCTCTTGGGCTCAGGCAGTTCTCTTGCCTCAGCCTCCCATAATGTTGGGGTTATCGTTGTAAGCCACCACACCTGGCCTGCCTGGATTATTATTATTATTATTATTGTTATTATTGTTATTATTATTATTATTACTTTTTGAGATGGAGTCTTGCTCTGTCCCCCAGGCTGGAGTGCAGTGGCGCAATCTTGGCTCACTGCAACCTCTGCCTCCTGGGTTCACGCCATTCTCCTGCCTCAGCCTCCTGAGTAGCTGGGACTACAGGCGCCCGCCACCACGCCTGGCTAATTTTTTGTATTTTTAGTAGAGACGGGGTTTCACCATGTTAGCCAGGATGGTCTCCATCTCCTGACCTCGTGATCCGCCCGCCTCGGCCTCCCAAAGTGCTGGGATTACAGGCATGAGCCACTGCGCCCGACCCTGCCTGGATTATTTTGGGCATTATCTACTAATTTCTTCTATTTGTGACCCATTAAAATCTGTTCTCCACGCAGCAGCGAGCATGTATCATTGCAGTTTGTGGTATTTTGAAACATAATTATGCTCCTATTTTATGCTCTAAACACTCCAGTGGCTGCCCTCATTACCCAGAGGAAAACCAAAGTCCTTACTTTGATTGCAAGGCCCTGTCCATTCAGCTGTGTTTCTGACCTGATCTACCAACAGCTCATTGGTAACCGTTTGCATTGCAGACATTCTTTTTTTTTGAGACAAGAGTTTCGCTATTGTTGTCCAGGCTGGAGTGCAGTGGTGCGATCTCGGCTCACCACAACCTCTGCCTCCCAGGTTCAAGTGATTCTCCTGCCTCAGCCTCCTGAGTAGCTGGGATTACAGGCACCAGCCACCTCGCCAGGCTAATTTTTTGTGTTTTTAGTAAAGACGGGGTTTCTCCATGTTGGTCAGGCTGGTCTTGAACTCCCGACCTCAGGTGATCTGCCCGCCTCGGCCTCCCAAAGTGGTGGGATTACAGGTGTGAGCCACCGCGCTTGGCCAACATTGCAGACATTCTTATTTTTGTCTCTTCCTCAGACAGTCAGGCATGTTTCCTCCCCAGGGTCTTTGCATTTGCTGTTTCCTCAGATAAGGCCCAGTATACTCTTTTTCTTCCGTCTCTGCTCAGCTGTCTCATGAGAGAGGCCTTCCCTTAATGCGTGATATAAAATTGTATAACTTTTACTCCTCCAGGTGCCCTCATCTGCTCACTAGAATGTCAGTTCCAGGCATGAAGGGACTTTTAAATTATTGAACCTCCAGTGTTTAGAATAGTGCCTGGCATGTAGTCAGTACTTAATAAATTATTTGTTGAATAAGTGGACAATTAGTAATGTGTAGAAGGGAAGAGGGTCTATTGTGGAGTCTCCTTGCTAATACACTGCTGTTTGGCCAAAGGAGGTTCAGGAGATAGAGGCTGACAAGTATGCCTGTGGCTGGCCAGATGACATGCAGGACAGGCTAGGCAGGAGGAGGGCAACTGTGGTGGCAGGGGGTGACTCAGGGTTTCAGGTGTCTCTTCGCTGTCACAGAGTAACTAAAGGCCAGAGCCTCAGATTTGCTTATTCACTCATCGCAACAATGGGGAATTGAAGACTTGTTGGAATGATAAAATTCTTGCCAATATCCAAGAAGAGGTTAATTAATAGGAAATATGATGGAGTAATAAAATGGGAGATTTATGTGTGTGTACTTTTGCCATCTGGTTAGAATTAGAGGGAAAGATGGATGTATTGGAATAGATTGTGTTTTTTTGTTGTTTTGAGACAGAGTCTCGCTCTGTCACCCACGCTGGAGTGCAATGGCACGATCTCGGCACACTGCAACCTCTGCTTCCCGAGTTCAAGGGATTCTCCTGCCTCAGCCTCCCGAATAGCTGGGATTACAGCCATGTGCCACCATGCCCGGCTACTTTTTGTATTTTTAGTAGAGACATGGTTTCACCATGTTGTCCAGGCTGGTCTTGAACTCTGGACCTCGTGATCCGCCCGCCTCGGCCTCCCAAAGTGCTGGGATTACAGGCATGAGCCACCACGCCCGGCTTGGAATAGGTTGTTTTTTAAATTCAACATGTTACAGCATAAGAGCAGTTTGCAGTCCTGTAGCAGACATGGGATTTCCCTCACTAGCTAGGCAGAGCTGACTGATGTGAGCCCTCTGTGCCTCTGGAGTGAGGAATCAGGGGAAGAAGTTTTGGCTGATGTAACCTAGGCTGAATTAGAAGAATACATAGCGAGAAGACATGAAAAAGTATTTTGAGTGAGTTTTTTAAAGTGCTATATTTGTACTTACATTAATAAAGAAACACATACCGACATTGTTATTTGGTAAAGGATCTGAATACTAAGCCTCATCTGGATAAAACAGTATTATCCTGTTAGTAATTTTTTTTTTTCTTGAGGCGAAGTCTCACTCTGTCCCCCAGGCTGGAGTACAGTGGCGCGATCTCGGCTCACCGCAAGCTCCACCTCCTGGGTTCACGCCACTCTCCCACCTCAGCCTCCTGAGTAGCTGAGACTACAGGTGCCTGCTGCCACGCCTGGCTAATTTTGTTTTTGTATTTTTACTAGAGACGGGATTCCACCATATTAGCCAGGATGATCTCGATCTCCTGACCTCGTGATCCGCCCGCCTTGGCCTCCCAAAGTGCTGGGATTATAGGCGTGAGCCACTGCCCCTGTAATAAGAATAACAACAAAGTTTTGATAAGGCAGGAGTGAGGACATCTAATTACCTACATGAGCTTGCTGGTCTTGGAACTTGTTTTTCCTGTTTGTTTTGGAAAACGCTGGACATAGCTTTGATGTATGACCATGTTCATAGATCTGGGAATAGACAACTGGAGCAGAAGGGAATTTTTGTGCTTTTATGGGTAGGTACGGAGAGTTACTTTACCTTGAAATGCATTTGTTAAATTCATTTTAATATACTTCTGTTCATTGCTTTCTTATTTTAAACATCTGATTTTTGTCAGGTTCACCAGGTTGAGTTTTGTGGAGCTTGTGAATTAGTCTTGCATAATGAAAACCTTAGCACCTGAAATATTGCCAGTGAAAGTATCAGGTTACAGTAAGGAAGGCTTTTGCTTTCCATACTGTAGGAGGTTAGATGAATGAAAACCTGTCAGACAGAGGCAGACCATCTCATACTTTGAGAGAAAAGCTTGGGTCCTTTTGGAGTAAAGCTGAGGGCTAAAGTAGGGTTTGTGTTTATAGATTTTGAGCATCAGTAACAGAATCTGCATTTGGGTAGCCATTTTATCACTACTTATTTTCTCTCATTTCAGAAGTGTATGCTGACTTGTAAAGTGAAGAAGCCAGTGGTGCTGCGGGTGTTCTTTTGGGGTAGTGTCTGGGATCCAGTACGAGTTGAATCATTGTTCAAATAAGGTAAAAGCATGGTGGTAAAAGAAACTAATAACTTCACTAATTTGTAAAACCAATCTTACGTTAAGAATTGATTATTTCGAGACCAGCCTATGCAACATGGTGAGATCCTGTCTCTACAAAAAATAAAAAAATTTAACCAGGCCTGGTGATACACATCTGTGGTCCCAGCTACTTGGGAGGCTGAGGCAGAAGGATAGCTTGAGCTCAGTAGTTGGAGACTGCAGTGAACCATGTTCATGCCACTGCACTCCAGCCTGGGTGACAGCAAGACCCTGTCTCAAAAAAAAAAAAAAGAAAAGAAAAAGAATTGATTATCCAGATGATTCGTTAATGGAAGTTCTGGGTTCTTATGAAACAGTATTCGTTTGAAAAAGGCTGTCGGTAAACTTGACATCTGTAATCATTAATATTTTGGGAAGCAGTCCCTTTTCATGCTTATGTTACTTGGATATATACTTGTTTTAATTAAAATTGGGGGCCAGGCGTGGTGGCTCCTGACTGTAATCCCAGCACTTTGGGAGGCCAAGGCAGGTGATCACTTGAGGTCAAGAGTTCGAGACCAGCCTGGCCAACATAGTGAAACCCCGTCTCTACTAAAAATACAAAAATTAGCCAGGCATGGTGGCAGGCACCTGTAATCCCAGCTACTTGGGAGGCTGAGGCAGGAGAATCACTTCAATGCAGAAGGTAGAGGTTACAGTGAGCCGAGATCTTGCCACTGCCCTCCAGCCTGGGCAACAGAGCAAGACCTTGTCTCAGAAAAACAAAAACAAACAAAAGCTGTATATATTTGCAAAAACACTATAGTAGACATACCAGACCATCAGCTCCCTAGGGCTCTTTATGAAAAACAGCAGTCCTTCCCCACTCCCCTTCCCAGCCCCTTAGAAGCAGTCATTTTCAACTCTCCAGTTCCTTTTGGTATATCTCTCTAAATAATAAGCCTCTTTTGCTTTACAGTGTTTGTTATTATTTATTAACTTCACTCCTTAAATAGTGGTCGTTTTTGGTAGGCTTACCTGACCACCTCACATGCCAACATTAATTGTCACTCTGGGGCCAGGCACCTGGCTCACGCCTGTAATCTCAGCACTTTGGGAGGCCGAGGCGGGCGGATCACAAGGTCAGGAGATCGAGACCATCCTGGCTAACACGGTGAAACCCCATCTCTACTAAAAATACAAAAAATTAGCCGGGCGTGGTGGTGGGCGCCTGTAGTCCCAGCTACTCTGGAGGCTGAGGCAGGAGAATGGTGTGAACCCAGGAGGCGGAGCTTGCAGTGAGCTGAGATCGCACCACTGCACTCTAGCCTGGGCTACAGAGCAAGACTACGTCTCAAAAAAAAAAAAAAAAAAGGCACTCTGGTTATAATATAATTTTAGTCATGGCAGTATCATGGTTTACAACATTATTATGATTACGTAGCGCTTATTCACAGCCCAGTCATTTTACATGTTGTGTTTACTTTTCCTTTTTTGTACAACTATTTGTTTTCTGTTTTTAATAATCTTTTTGTCTATTTTGCTTAGTTTCTATGTCTTTATCAGTAATTTCTCCCTAAACTCTAACCATAAGTGTAAATCTTCCACAATACATTTAAGCATTTTGGCTATATTATAAATTTTATCTTGGGCTAAGCGCAGTAGCTCACACCTGTAAGCGAAGCACTTTGGGAGGCCGAGGAGGGCAGATCACTTGAGGCCAGGAGTTCGAGACCAGCTGGCCAACATGGTAAAACCCCATCTCTACTAAAAATACAAAAATTAGGCCGGGTGCGGTGGCTCACGCCTGTAATCCCAGCACTTTGGGAGGCCAAGGCGGGCAGATCACGAGGTCAGGAGATCGAGACCATCCTGGCTAACACGGTGAAACCCCATCTCTACTAAAAATACAAAAAAACTAGCCAGGCACGGTGGTGGGCGCCTGTAGTCCCAGCTACTCGGGAGACTGAGGCAGGAGAATGGCGTGAACCCGGGAGGCGGAGCTTGCAGTGAGCTGAGATCGCGCCATTGCAATCCAGGCTGGGCGACAGAGCGAGACTCCATCTCAAAAAAAGTAAAAATAAAATAAAAAATTAGAGCCATTTCTGTAAGCAGTTCATATGCTATTCCAAAAGGAAATCCCAGAGAGACGAACTACACTGATCACATGTATCTGGACTAAGTTCTGGTTGAGTGTGTGGATCTACCTGAGGTGGAGTTGGTGTCTCTAGATAGCTTCGAGTAGTATTTTAAATAATTTTAAGTGGAAGCAACCGGTCGGGTTCTCCTTGATTTCTTTTGTAAACTTAGATGATTAGTATGATCCAAAATGGTAGTAGATCTTTAAATCATTTTTGGTCTCTTACGTAGAGTTGTGTTTGTATTTAAGACATCTCCGCTGCTCCCCCAAACTCATGTGGAGAGTTACTGCAACAGGAAAGGCTTAGTGGGTAGAGACTAGAAATGGCAAGTATAAATGACAAATCTAAAAGTGACTGGACAGTACTAGATTGGGTTCTCAATTTGAAGATATAATCATCGTTGTTCTCAAGGACAGTGCTGCTCAAAAGAAGAATGTGAGCCACATGTCATTTAATACATTTTAGTAGTCACATTTAAAAAAACAGATGAAATAAATTTGAACGATATGTTTTATATAATTCAATATATCCAGTACATTCTTATTTCAACATATAAGTGATATAAAGAATGGTGAGATATTTTACTTTCTGTTTATACCAAGCCTTAGAAATCCCATGTTTATTTTATACCTGTAGCTCATCTCAGTTCAGATCAGCCACATTTCACGTGCTGAGTCTACATATGTATTGGATGGTACAGTTCTAAGAGTTCATACTTCTGAAGGAACAGATAAACTAGTATGATTAAGTTAATGAATGATGGCCTGCCACATTCCAAACATAATACAAAACAGTGATATAGTAATATAAAACAAAATAAATCTAACACACACGTTTTTTTCCTCCTCTAAACCTCCATGTGATCATCTTTGGGAAGATGATTTGATCTTAAAAAGACCATTGTCTGTAAAAGCTGTCAAACAGCTTATTTCTCCTACTGTAGTTCTATCCAGGCTTTATGTAGAACTCTTTGTAAACAGTGGATGTCTGTATATCAGTATGGGGGTGATCTGCAAAGAATGTCCATGGCCCACTGGCTCTGAATCCCATTCTCAGTTTCTTCAATTAGAATCTTGATGGATGGATATTTTTTTAAAGTTCTGTAGGTGATTACAGTATTTATCAGTGTTTAGCCCAAGGCTTTAATAGTAATGCTTCTATTTTATTTTATTTTATTTTATTTATTTATTATTATTATTTTTTTTGAGATGAAGTCTTGCTCTGTCTCCCAGGCTGGAGTGCAGTGGCGCGATCTCGGCTCACTACAAGTCCACCTCCCGGGGTCACGCCATTCTCCTGCCTCAGCCTGCCAAGTAGCTGGGACTACAGGCGCCCGCCACCAGGGCCGGCTAATTTTTTTTTTTTTTTTTTTTTTTTGTATTTTCAGTAGAGATGGGGTTTCACTGTGTTAGCCAGGATGGTCTCTATCTCCTGACCTCGTGATCTGCCCACCTTGGCCTCCCAAAGTGTTGGGATTACAGGCGTGAGCCACTGCACCCGGCCTATTTTATTTATTTTTTGGAGGCTCTGTCGCCAAGGCTGGAGTGCAGTGGCTTGATCACGGCTCACTGCAACCTTGACCTCCCAGGCTCAGGTGATCCTCCTGCTTCGGCCTCCTGAGTAGCTGAGACTATAGGCACAAGCCACCATGCCCAGTTAATTTTTGTATTTCTTGTAGAGATGAGGTCTTACTATGTTGCCCAGGCTGGTCTCAAACTCTTGGGCTCAAGTGATCCACCCGCCTTGGCCTCTCAAAGTGCTAGGATTTCAGGGGTGAGCTACTGCACCTGGACAATAATTCCATTTTTAAAAATAGTTAAGTGTCATGATTGGCTGCTTAATTTAGCTTAGAAAAGATTTATCATAATGAGAGCTGGAAGGAAACCACAGGTCGTTAGTTAATATAGATTATAGTGTCTTTATTAAGTTAGGAAAGCTGAGAATTTCTCTTAAGAATTGAGAAGAAAATATTCCCCAATGGTAACATACTCATTTAAAATGGGGGCTAAAATTACTGTTACTGTCCCTGAGAGACATAGGAGAGGAGCCTCTGGGGTGAATTGAATATTTTTTTTAAGCCGCCAGCTGTGCTATTCATTTTGTTTCCCCAATGATTAATTGCATAGATGATCCTGAGCTTAATAGACACGCATTGACTGAATTCTCAGAGGAGTATCTCAAGTTGCTTACACTGGGGATGTTTTGATGAAAAAGTTCTAAGTGAACTTTTAGCTTGCTGTTGATTTTCCCTGCTAACATCCAGCATCGAAGAGATTTGTCTTCCAAAGGTGAATGTGACCTTTTGACTTAGGTCTTTCTTGATAATACGACCTTTCCTTCTAGCACACCTCTTCAGTGTGACACATGCTAATTTAGCCAGGAAAGATATAAAATGCTTTATTGCTGTGTAGGAAGATACCTGATCACTTATTACTTGTAGGCAGATTTGGTTTTTGTTTGTTTGTTTTTTTGAGACGGAGTCTCGCTCTGTCGCCCAGGCTGGAGTGCAGTGGCGCAGTCTCAGCTCATTGCAAGCTCTGCCTCCCAGGTTCACGCCATTCTCCTTCTTGTAGGCAGGTTTTAATAAATAGCAAGAAAATAGAATCAGTTATGAAATCTGTTTACTCCCAGGGAAGTTCCTAAATCTCTCCCTCCAACCACTCTGGTTCTGTGGCTAAACATAGTTTAAGGTGTTTACTCACTTGTGTGTCAGGCACTGTGTATGTGCTTCCTTAATTCTCCTGGCAGTCCTGTAAGGTGTAGGTCACATTTGGAAGATGGAGAGAGTTAAGTATTTTGTCCAGGAATGGGTGGCAGAGCCAAGATTGAACCCAGTTCGTTTTTGCTACCAAAGCCTCTACTTACTGCCGAACCTGGCCCAGTATTACAAAGTGACTTGTCCATTTAGGACTGAGCATTTTAGAATGATAATTTGCTTTAGTGTATTTCCTCACCTAACACCCACCTTAGTGCCCCTCTTGAAGTAACACTGTATTATGGACATATGGACAGCCCAGAATGGAACGTGGATTCTAGTCTCAGTTGCTTATTGTGTGTTGAGATTATGCGCAGATTTGCTAGTTATCTATCTCTTTTGGTCTTAACTGTGAAATATTGGTAACATTACCTTTATCTTTTTTTTTAATATCTATTTGAGAATAGTTGAAGATTTATTGAAAATTGTGAAGATATACAGAGTTTATATTTGCTAGGGCTGCTATAATAAAGTACCACAAATGGAGGCTTCAACAACAGCAGTTCTATTGTCTCACAGCTCTGGAGGCTAGAAATTCAAAATCAAGGTGTCGGCAGGATTGGTTCTTCTAGAGAGCCATGACAGAAGGATCTGTTCCAGGCCCCTCTCCTTGGCTTCCCTGTGTCTCCGCATATCAGGTTCCAAATTTCCCCTTTTTATAAGCATCGTATACCTCACTAAAGACCCTTAACTTCAAATGAGGTTACATTCTGAGGTACTAGGGGTTAGGACTTCCCATATATGATTTGGATGGGTAGATGGGTCACAACTGGACCCATAACAGTTCCTATGTACCCCATGCCCAGTTTCCACTGTAAATAACATCTTACATTAGTATGGTACATTTGTCCCAATTAATGAACCAGTATGAAACTTTATTATTAACTAAAGTATCATCCTTGTTATGAGCACATAAGAAAACTTTAGTTCAAAGAGAAGCAACTTGGAAAAGGTCTTACTAGTAATCTTTTTGACTTTACTCTGGTGCCTTTTTACACTGTTAACCAATACAAACGAAAACCTCCAAAGTCACAGTATGAGCCTGAAAAGATTAAAAAATAATTTTCTACTTACAGTTAGGTGTACAAGACAGGAAACTTTTTTTTTTTTTTTTTTTTTTGCTGCATCTAGTGCACATGGCATGCATGGCACAGTAAGTGTTCAGTAAATCTTGATAAGATGAGCAGAAGAATGCCCTTGGTACTTGTTGGGCCATATTTTTGAAGCATAAACTCCAATTTTACCAAATAACTGTAAAGTATAGCAATTGTGAAATCTGCTTTAATGAGAAAGCAAAAATTATTTATTTTTTAAATTTTAAGTTCTAGGATACATGTGCAGAAAGTGCAGGTTTGTTACATAGGTATACATGTGCCATGGTGGTTTGCTGTACATATCAACCCGTCATCTAGGTTTTAAGCCCCGCATGCATTAGCTGTTTGTCCTAATCTAATGCTCCCCATCCCTTTGCCCCCTACCCCCTAAAAATTATTTTTAAAATTGTGAAATGGTCCAGATGTGGTGGCTCACACCTGTAATCCCAACACTTTGGGAGGCTGAGGCGGGCGGATCATTTGAGGTCAGGAGTTTGAGACCAGCTTGGCCAGCATGGTGAGACCCCGTCTGTATTGAAAATACAAAGATTAGCCAGGCATGGTGACATGCACCTGTAATCCCAGCTACTCGGGAGGCTGAGGTAGGGGAATTGCTTGAACCTGGGAGATGGAGGTTGCAGTGAGCTGAGATTGCACCACTGCACTCTAGCCTTGGTACAGAGTAAGACTCATTCTCAAAAAAAGAAAAAAAAAAAAAAGCCAAGCATTGTGGCGTACCTGTAGTCCCAGCTACTCAGGAGGCTGAGGTGGGAGGATTGCTTGAGCCCAAGATGCAGAGGTTGCAGTCACCTCTGCAGTAAGATTGAGCTACTGCACTCCAGCCTGGGCAACAGAGCCAGACTCTGTCTCAAAAATGACAAACAACAACAACAACAAACAAGAAAAATTCCAGTTCCTGTGTGGAAATCATCCTTGAGATAAGCAGTGCCCCTCTGCCTGCTGTATTTTGGAACCCATGGAAAATACATTTCTCATTGAATTTTCTCCACCTCTCTAAGTTACTGAGAAGTAATGTGGTCCTGTTCCTTTAAAAAGTAAATGATGGAAGGAGTGGAATTTGCCATATGATATGAGCAGAAACTAATTCACTCGCTGAAAAGGGGGAAGGAAATGTGATCTCTTGCTGGTTCTGATGGAAAGAAGCCAGCAGCACAGTGTCCCTCACCCCAGTAGGATTCTGTAGCCAAGCTCTAACTTGCTCTGGAACCTCTCATTTCCAAG
The DNA here is from genome assembly GCF_000001405.40 of Homo sapiens. Lineage (NCBI taxonomy): Eukaryota > Metazoa > Chordata > Mammalia > Primates > Hominidae > Homo > Homo sapiens. The sequence continues at coordinate 36,266,698 of NC_000001.11, forward strand.
TGAGGTTGGTACTACCTGAATTTGCATTGTCTCAGATGCAAGTGATAAGTTTAAGTACAGTCAGAGAAGGTAGGTGGCCAAGTCCCTGGACAGTTGATACCTATTTTCAGGCAGATTGGCTTGTTGTAAAAAAGGAGTAGATTATAATACGAATATTTATTTATTTATTTATTTATTTATTTATTTATTTATTTATTTTTGAGATAGAGTTTTACTCTTGTTGGCCAGGCTGGAGTGCAGTGGCACGATCTTGGCTCACTGCAGCCTCCGCCTCCTGGGTTCAAGCAATTCTCCTGTCTCAGCCTCCCGAGTAGGTGGGATTACATTTGCATGCCAACACGCCCGGCTAAATTTTTTTGTATTTTTAGTAGAGACGGGGTTTCATCATATTGGTCAGGCTGGTCTTGAACTCCTGACCTCAGGTGATCCACCCGCCTCGGCCTCCCAAAGTGCTGGTATTACAGGCGTGAGCCACCGCGCCCTGCCTATAATAAGAATCTTAAATAATTTCTTCTGCAATTAATTTCAGAGTCACAGTGTATGTGTATGTGTGGGTGAGGGTGATTCTCCTTTAAAAGCAAAGTTTCTTTACCACCTAATTCCATTTTTTAGGACATGGCTGAAGTAGTAAAAAAGGAATGTTCCCCTCTATTCGTGTATAATTTTTAAGTTTTTTTGTCAGCAATACAGCTGTTCCGAATCATCATTTTACTGATGAAAAAATAGAGGTAAAAACACATGCACCAAATAAGAGTTTGTGGTTTATTCAGTAGGAGCCTTAGTTTTGGTAAATTTCTCTCATTTAGGGACCCTGAACACTTGTTTGGCAGCGGTTATGTTTTTCAGCTTCTTACCTACTAGTGTAGTGAGATCAGTTCCACCCAATTCCAGGGGTATTGATACTTTGTGGGGAGAAGAAAGAGGGAAGAAAGCAATTAGTAATAGTCAAACAGGAGGCCAGAGCAGATTCTTTTGTTATTTGTTAACTGATACTAGGGCTTGAAAGGAGGTAAGTCAAGAAGAGGTAGGATGGGCTCCCTGCTGGATAGACGGGAGCCCATATTCCCCGCACCCACTCACAGAATACGGGGCATCCGGGGGCTTTCGGAGACTGAGTTCTGTTAGAAAAGGTCTGTTTTACAACTGGGAATCCAAAACATCCAAAGTGAATAGCAGTACTTTTAGAAAGGAATTACCCTAGGCCGGGCACGGTGACTCACGCCTGTAATCCTAGTACTTTGGGAGGCCGAGGCAGATGGATCACTTGAGGCCAGGAGTTCAAGACCAGCCTGGCCAATATGGTGAAACCCCATCTCTACTGACAATACAAGAATTAGTTGGGTGTGGTAGCACGCAGCTGTAATCCCAGCTACTCGGGAGGCTGAGGCAGGAGAATCACTTGAACCCAAGAGGTGAAGATTGTAGTGAGCCGAGATCATGTGCCACTGTACTCCAGCCTGGGCAACAGTGCGAGACTCTGTCTCAAAAAAAAAAAGAAAGGAATTACCCTTTTTCTTGCACTGAAGGTGACAGAAAAAAGGTCAGCATCATTTTTTTTTTTCTGTGCAGTTTAGTATGAATTTTCTGAGAATCAGATGACTCAGTGTGTTTTTTATCATCCAAAGAAATACTAGACTAGAAAAGGAAGAACAGAGATTGACATTTTGGACATTTTGGAGGGCTTGGAATTGAACCTCCATGGATAAGAGCCGGTCCAGTATTTGTTACATTGGCAGTGTTACACCAGGCTTGCCATTCCTTAATTGCTGTACTTTAAAGTACTTCAGAGGTTATTTTGGGGGAAACTGTTTTGTTTTTAAGGATAGACCCACCTTGCTGTGTCCTCCAGGCTGGAGTGCAACGACACAGTGGTAGCTCACCTGCAGCCTTGAACTTCTGGGCTCAAGCGATACTCCTGTCTCAGCTTCCATAGTACGAGGGACCATAGACACAAACCACTGTGCCCAGGAGAGAAACTTCTTAATGACTACTTAGAAAAGTAATCCATGTGTCCAATATGAGTTAATTTTTTTTTTTTTTTTGAGACGGAGTCTCGCTCTATCTGTCACCCAGGCTGGAGTGCAGTGGCACATTCTCAGCTCACTGCAAGCTCCACCTCCCAGGTTCAAGCGATTCTCCTGCCTCAGCCTCCCGAGTAGCTGTGACTACAGGCGCCCGCCACCACGCCCAGCTAATTTTTCTATTTTTAGTAGAGATGGGGTTTCACCATGTTGGCCAGGCTGGCCTCAAACTCCTGGCCTCAGGTGATCCACCTGCCTCGGCCTCTGAAAGTGCTGGGATTACAGGTATGAGCCACCGCGCCCAGCCGAGTTAGTTTTTTAATCTGGAGAAAACAATACACAGAATTGGGTATTTTGTCTTGGCAGTTACCTTGACAAGAGCTAAGGACCAAGTATTGTTTTTCCTGAGGGCATGGACTTTACTGGCATCCCTTAACCCTCCAATTTCTGAACACACAGGAGTGTTTTTGCTGATTTTTGTTGGTGGTGATGGTGAAATTTGCCAGGCTGGTTCCACTGGTTCTGCAGATGCCAAACAAACAGTTGAAGCGAGCTCACTTTTTTTTACAGTGGATTTCGGACACCATAGAGTTAGAAGCTGCAGCCTTTTGGGGTTGCTAATGAAAAAAAGTAGCTTACTATGTATTTTCTCCCCTCTCGTGATACTTTTCTCAGTGGTTATGAAGTATTCTCATGTCTAAAAACAAGTTGATGGAAGAGCCTCCACTGGGAATGACATTTTGGACTACTTCATGTCCTGTAATTGGGGGAGAGTTTAAGGTTGTACTTTGGAGTTTACTTTAGATGTGTTTGAGTTTGAGTTAGAATGTTATTTGCTGTAACTGATTCTCTTTTTAGATGTATTTGCAGAGCACACACGTGGAAAAGCACATAACCCAGGCTGTTGTGCAGTGGAGCAATCATTGCTCACTGCAGCCTGGACCTGGGCCCAAGCCATCCTCTTACCTCAGCCTCCCAAGTAGCTGGGACTGCAGGAGCTCACCATCATGCCCAGCTAATTTTTTTTTTTTTAAATCTTCTGTAGAGACAGGGTCTCACTATGTTGCCCAGGCTGATTCGACATCCTGGGCTCAAGCAGTCCTACCCCTCAACCTCCCAAAGTGCTGGGATTACAGGTGTGAGCCACTGTTTACAGCTGCATGTCTCTTTTTTTAAATAAAGTCTTTTTTAAGGAGGAAAATACACAAAAGGAGCTGCAGAAACTGGCTTTATCTATCCACACTTGTTCGGATTTTGACCAAGAATACAGTCTGCCTGCAGAGTATTGATAATGTTTGAAGCTGGATGATGGAAACACTTGGGTTCCCTATACTGTTCTTTCTACTTTTGTGTATGTTTGAATCAATACTTCTATAATAAAATAAACAGGCTGGGCACATTGGCTCATGCCTGTAATCCCAGCACTTTGGAAGGCTGAGGAGGGAGGACTCCTTGAACCCAGGAGTTTGAAACCAGCTTGGGCAACATGGCGAGACCTTGTCTCTACAAAAAATACGAAAAGTTAGCCAGCTGTAGTGGCACATGCCGGTAGTCCCAGCTACTCAGGAGGCTGAGGTGGGAGGATCGGTTGAGCCAGCCAGGGAGGTTGAGGCTGCAGTGAGCTATAATCGAGCCACTGCACTCCAGTCTGAAACAACAGAGTGAGACCCTGACACACACACACACGCACACAGGCACACGCACACGCACGCATGCCTGCTCTCGCAGCTATAAGACAGGCCCTTTTAAACCTTCTTTAAAGTCATAAAAAGGCAAAGTAGATTTACTGTGAGAAGATTTCCAAAATGGACATGGACTCTAAATAATTAAAAATACAGTTCTATTTGTTTAGGTTTTTGTTTTTTTTTTTTTTTTTGAGACGGAGTTTCGCTCTTGTTGCCCAGGCTGGAGTGCAGTGGCGCAATCTTGGCTCACTGCAACCTCTGCCTCCTGGGCTCAAGTGATTCTCCTGCCTTAGCCTCCTGAGTAGCTGGGATTACAGGCATGCCCCACCACGCCTAGCGAATTTTGTATTTTTAGTAGAGATGAGGTTTCTCCACGTTGGTCAGGCCGGTCTCCGACTCCCGACCTCAGGTGATCCGCCTGCCTCGGACTCCCAAAGTGCTGAGATTATTACAGGTGTGAGCCACTGCGCCCAGCCAGGTTTTTTTAATATCAGAAAAAAGCAGGTAGATGTTTGATTTCATATTAAAAATAAAATAATGTACACAACTCATGGAATGTTAACTTTTTTTTTAGAATAATGGGGGAGAAATCTCTGCCTAAAAAAATTAAAGTAAGAAGCAAGTGCTCCTGCCCTTTCTTCCCGTCTCATATCCCTCCTTCTCCTGTTCCCTTCCTGTTAGCTTCTTTCTGCTCTGCAGAAATAATCACTGATAACAGTTTGCTGTATGTCCTTATATAGATATGTCTTATATGTATGTCTGTAACTACAGATTTCATATTTTTAAAGTAAGTTCTACCAAATTCCACAGAATTCAGTATTTAAAGTTTTAAGAATTTCAGTACCAAGTTCCAGGATAATTTTGTTTTCATAACACAGGCAAATTTTTTTTTCCCCCAAGATGGAGTCTCATTCTGTTGCCCAGGCTGGAGTGCAGTGATGCGATCTCTGCTCACTGCAACCTCCGCCTCCCGGGTTCAAGCGATTCTCCCGCCTCAGCTTCCTGAGTAGCTGGGATTACAGGTGCATGCCAACACACCTGGCTAATTCTTGTATTTTTAGTGGAGACGGGGTTTCACCATGTTGGTCAGGCTAGTCTCGAACTCCTGACCTCGTGATCTGCCTACCTTGGCTTCCCAAAGTGCTGGGATTACAGGCATGAGCCACTGTGCCCAGGCTTTTTCTTATCTTTTTTTTTTTTTTTTTTTTTTTGAGATGCAGTCTCTTTCTGTCGCACAAGCTGGAGTGCAGTGCAGTCTTCGCTCACCACAACCTCCACCTCCCGAGTTCAAGCAATTCTCCTGCCTCAGCCTCCTTAGTAGTTGGGATCACAGACGCATACCACCACACCCGGCTAATTTTTGTATTTTTAGTAGAGAAGGGGTTTCTCCATGTTGGTCAGGCTGGTCTTGAACTCCCAACCTCAGGTGATCAGCCCGCCTCGGCCTCCCAAAGTGCTGGGATTACAGGCGTGAGCCACCGCACCCGGCCTAATTTTTGTATTTTTAATAGAGATGGGGTTTTCCCATGTTGGCCAGGCTGGTCTGGAACTCCTGACCTCAAGTAATTCACCCCCTTTGGCTTTCCAAAGTGCTGGGGTTACAGGCCTGAGCCACTGTGCCTGGCCCTGGATAATTTTTTTATTTTTTATTTTTTTTGTAGAGACAGGGTCTTGCCATGTTGTCCAGGCTGGCCTTGAACTTCTGGACTGAAAAGCAAGCCTCCTTCCTTAGCCTCCCAAAGTGCTGGGATTACAGGTTTGAGTCACCACGCCCAGCCTGTATCTTTAAATGTTTTAAACAGTTAAATTAAATGACCATTCTCCCCAGAGGGACATCACCCCCACTTTTTAGGAGAGTACCCAATGCACATTTGGATATTCTTTTCTATAAATTGAAGACCTTAGAATTGAAATTAGTATTTACTGATTTACCTTACTTAATAACTTGAGAGCCACTTAATAGCAGAGTACATGTCATGAAGGGGTCTCTGATTTGATTTATTCAGGGATGGGGTGGAGTATGAGGCCTTGGCAGAGTGTTACTCTAGAGATATCACAGCTGCCCTCTATTCTGTTTCTGTGTCTTTTACTCAGGAGATGATGACCTCCAGAGAAAAGAGTAAAATAGTAAACATGTTTCATATTTCACCTGAGCTCAGCTTTCCTCCCATAACTGTCCAGAGGCATTCAGAACGCAAGTCAGGCCCACCCCACTGCTTTGTCTAAAACGCTTTATGGGTGGTGGTATTTCTTTCTTGGTATTTTTGTCTGTCTTATCTCTATCAGTTGATGGCTTGTTCACCAAGAATTTCCTACTTCTTCCCTTTAGTGACTGTTGAAAGCATGGCTCTCCTGACTGGATGTTGGTGGCAGTGAAGTTTTGTTCAAACGTGGCACTAGTAAATGAAGTGTGTCTCCCTAACGAGATCAGTTTGGTCTTATGTGCCTTTGAATAAGGTGTAGAAGGGATGAGAATGATCTCAATTTCTAGGTTAGCAGAACTGTGATACATACATAATTTTATTCCTTGACTGTATTGTTAATATTTGATAAACTGATTTTTAAAATTATTGTTCCTTCTTGTGAAGAGAATGGAGATTGAAGAGGAAGCGTGAAAGTGTGTTTATTCATTTAACAAGTACAAAGTGTCCACTCTGTGGCTAAACGCAAAGCACTGAAGATGAAATGGAGAACAAATCAGATGTGGTCTCTGGTTCATTTTGTAGCCTCCTGGGTTTGGTATCCTGAATTGTTAAACTTATTTAGTTAACTCTTTTTTGTTACCTAACAGTCATCGAATGTAGCATTATCTAATCTGGAAAAGCATGCTGTCTTCTCAGCAGAGTAGAGACTTCGTCCTGAGGCCTGGTTAGAGGGATAAGGAGCGCAGGCTCACATGGAGTCAGTTCTCGGGAACTTTTCCCATTCTTTTAAGACAAGAAAATCTCAGTAGACACATTTCAGTGAAGTCCAGCACCTTCTCATTATAAAAATAGTCAACAAAGTAGAAGGGAATTTCCTCAATATGATAAAGGGCATCTATGAAAAATTTACAGCTAACATCATACTTAAAGGTGCAAGACTGAATGCTTTCTCCTTAAGATGAAGAACAAGACCAAGACAAGGCTGTCCACTCTCACCATTTTATTTACCATTGTGTACTAGACGTTCCAGCCAGAGCAGTTAGGCAAGAAAATGAAACACGAGGCATCTAAATTGGTGAAGAAGTAAAATCATCTCTTTTTGCAGATGGTGTAATCTTAAATAGAAAAACCTAAGGATTCTACTAAAAACCAATTAGAGCTAATAAATGAATTTAGCAAGGTTGCAGGTACAAGATCAGTATACAAAAATGAGGCCAGGCATGGTGGCTCACACTTGTAATCCCAGCACTTTGGGAGGCCGAGGTGGCAGATCATTTGAGGTCAGGAGTTTGAGACCAGCCTGGCCAACATGGCGAAACCCCATCTCTATTAAAAATAAAAAAAAATCAGCTGGGCGTGGTAGCACATGCCTATTATCCCAGCTACTGGGGAGGCTGAGGCAGGAGAATTGCTTGAACCCAGGAGGTGGAGGCTGCAGTGAGCCAAGATCACGCCACTGCACTCCATCCTGAGCAACAGAGCAAGACTCCACCTCAAAAAAAAAAAAAAGACTGTGTGTGTGTGTGTGTCACACACACACACACACACACACACACACACAGACAAAATGAGCTGTATTTCTATACAGTAGCAATGAACAATAAGAAAATGAAATTGTTAACAAGTGAAAATCAATCGTAAGTAATTTCATTTGCAGTAGCAACAAAATAATATATTTAGGAATAAATTTAACAAAGGCCAGTGTAAAACTTATATTCAGAAAACTGAAACATTGTGGAAAGACATTTCATGTTCATGGATTTGGAAGACTTACTATTGTTAAGATGGCAGTATTCTCCAAATTGATCTACAGATTCAGCACACACACTGTCAAAATCCCAGATGGTCTTTTTGCAGAAATTGGCATGCTGATTCTAAAATTCATATGGACATGTACCTAGAATAGCCAAAACTATTTTGAAAAAGAGAAAAGTTGGAGGACTCACTTTTTTTTATTTAAAAATGTACTATAGCTACACTAATTAAGACTGTGGTGTTGACATAAGGAGAGACAGACAGGTCAGTAGAATAAAATTGAGAGTCCGGAAATGAATCCTTACATTTATGATTAATTGGGCTTTTTTTTTTTTTTTTTTTTTTTTGAGTTGGAGTTTTGCTCTTGTCACCCAGACTGGAGTGCAATGGTGCGATCTTGTCTCACTGCAACCTCTACCTCCCGGGTTCAAGTGGTTCTCCTACTTCAGCCTCCTGAGTAGCTGGGATTATAGGCACGCGCCATCACGCCCAGCTAATTTTTGTATTTTTAGTAGAGACGGGGTTTCACCATGTTGGCCAGGCTGATCTCAATTTCTTGACCAAGTGATCCACCCGCCTTGGCCTCCCAAAGTGCTGGGATTACAGGCGTGAGCCACTGTGCCCGGCCAATTAATTGATTTTTGACAAGGGTGCCAGGACAATTCAGTGGGGAAAGAATAGTCTTTTTTGGCCGGGCGCGGTGGCTCACACCTGTAATCCCAGCACTTTGGGAGGCTGGGGCAGGGGGATCACGAGGTCAGGAGATCAAGACCATCCTGGCTAACACGGTGAAACCCCGTCTCTACTAAAAAATACACACACACACACACACACAAAATTAGCTGGGCATGGTGGCAGGCACCTGTAGTCCCAGCTACTTGGGAGGCTGAGGCAGGAGAATGGCATGAATCTGCAAGGCGGAGCTTGCAGCAAGGTAAGATCGCACCACTGCACTCCAGCCTGGGCGACAAAGCGAGAGTCTGTCTCAAAAAAAAAAAAAAAAGTCTGGGTGTGGTGGCTCACGCCTGTAATCCCAGCACTTTGGGAGGCCGAGGCAGGTGGATCACGAGGTCAGGAGATTGAGACCATCCTGGCTAACATGGCGAAACCCTGTCTCTACTAAAAATACAAAAAACTAGCCAGGCGTGGTGGTGGGCACCTGTAGTCCCAGCTACTTGGGAGGCTGAGGCAGGAGAATGGTGTGAACCCAGGAGGCGGAGCTTGCAGTGAGCTGAGATGGCACCACTGCACTCCAGCCTGGGTGACAGAGCAAGACTCTGTCTCAAAAAAAAAAAAAAAAAAGTCTTCTTTTTTTTTTTTCTTTTGAGATGGAGTTTCACTCTTATTGCCCAGGCTGGAGTGCAACAGCATGATAAGAATAGTCTTTTCAACAAATGGTGCTAGATCTAGATAGCCACATGCAAAACAACAAAGTTGGACTAGGTGTGGTGGCTCATGCCTGTAATCCCAACACTTGGGAGGCCGAGGTGGGTGGATTGCTTGAGCCCAGGAGTTCCAGACCAGTCTGGACAACATGGGGAGACCCCGTCTCTACAAAATACAAATATTAGCCAGGCATGGTGACACATGCCTGTAGTCTCTGCTACTCAGGAGACTGGGGTGGGCGGATCACTTGAGCCCAGGAAACTGAGGCTGCAGTGAGTTGAGATTGCACTACTGCATTCCAACCTGAGTGACAGAGTGAAACCCTGTCTCTAAATAAAGTTGGACCCATACTTGACAACATTCATAAAAATTAAATCATAATGGATCATAGACCTACATAGTGCTAAAACTAGAAAACCCTTACAAGAAAACCTGGGAGTAAATCTTTGTGACCTTGGGTTAGACAAAACCTGCTTAGACATGTCACACAAAGTACAAGCAACAAAAGAAAAACAGAGTTCAGCAGAGTAAAAAAAAAAAAAAAATGTGCTTCAAGGCTGGGTGTGGTGGCTCACACCTGTAATCCCAGCACTTTGGGAGGCCAGGCAGGCGGGTCATGAGGTCAGAAGATTGAGACCATCCTGGCTAACACGGTGAAACCCCGTTTCTACTAAAAATACAAAAAATTAGCCAGCTGTGGTGGTGGGTGCCTGTAGTCCCAGCTACTCGGGAGGCTGAGGCAGGAGAATGGTGTGAACCCGGGAGGCGGAGGTTGCAGTGAGCTGAGATCGTGCCACTGCACTCCAGCCTGGGCAACAGAGCCAGACTCTGTCTCAAAAAAAAAAAAAAAAAAGGTGCTTCAAAGGACAGCATCAAGAAAGTGTAAAGCTGGGCATGGAGGCTCATGCCTGTAATCCCAGCACTTTGGGAGGCTGAGACAGGCAGATCACCTGAGGTCAGGAGTTTGAGACCAGCCTGATCAACATGGTGAAACCCCGTCTCTATTAAAAATACAAAAATGAGCTGGGTGTGGTGTTGCACCAATGTAATCCCAGCTACTCGAGAGGCTGAGGCAAGAGAATCACTTGAACCGGGGAGGTGGAGGCTGCAGTGAGCCGAGATCACGCCACTGCACTCTAGCCTGGGAAATAGAGGGAGACTCCATCTCAAAAAACATAAATAAAGAAAAAAAGTGAAAAGAAAACCTACAAAATGGGAGAAAATACTTGCAAGTCATACATCCAATAAGGGACTTGTATCCACACTTTTTTTAATTTTTATTTTATTCTTATGTTTTGAGATGGAGTTTCATGCTTATTGCCCAGGCTGGAGTGTAATGGCACGGTCTTGACTCACTGCAACCTCCGCCTCCCAGGTTCAAGTGATTCTCCTGCCTCAGCCTCCTGAGTAGCTGGGATTACAGGCGCCTGCCACCACGCCTGGCTAATTTTTGTATTTTTAGTAGAGATAGGGTTTCACCATGTTGACCAGGCTGATCTCGAACTCCTGACCTCAGGAGATCTGCCCACCTCTGCCTCCCAAAGTGCTGGGATTGCAGGCATCAGCCACTGCACCCAGCCTCACATTTATTTTATTTTATTTTTTGAGATGGAGTCTTGCTCTGTCACCCAGGCTGGAGTGCAGTGGTGTACAGGCAGCTGCCACCACACCTGGCTACTTTTTGTATATTTAGTAGAGATAGGGTTTCGCCATGTTGGTCAGGCTGGTCTCGAACTCCTGACCTCAGGTGATCCACCCACTTCAGTCTCCCAACGTGCTGGGATTACAAGTGTGAACCACCACGCCTGGCTCACATTTATTTATTTTTTATTTTGGAGACAGATAACGTGCTTTGTCACCCAGGCTGGAGTGCAGTGGCACAAACATGGCTCACTGCATCTTCAACCTCCCAGGCTCAAGCAATCCTCCTGCCTCAAGTCTCCCAAGTAGCTGGGACTGTGGGCATGCACCACCATGCCTGGCCTTAAATTTATGGTCAGTTGGTTTTTGAAAAGGGTGAAAAACCAAATGAGTTTTTAGATGTATGGTCAATTGGGTTTTTTAAAAAATTATTATGATTATTATTTTGAGACGGAATTCAGCTTTTGTCACCCAAGCTGGATCGCAATGGCACAATCTAGGCTCACTGCCACCTCTGCCCCCCAGGTTCAGTCGATTCTCCTGCCTCAGCCTCCCAAGTAGCTGGGATTACAGGTTCCTGCTGCCACACCCAGCTAATTTTAGTATTTTTTTTAGTAGAGAGGGGGTTTAACCATGTTTGCTGGGCTGGTCTTGAACTCCTGACCTCAGGTGATCCACCTGCCTTGGCCTCTCAAAGTGCTGAGTGGGGTTACGGTCGTGAGCCCAGCCCCCCTTTTTTTTTTTTTTTTTTTTAAGACGGAGTCCTGCCTTGTTGCCCAGGCTGGAGTGCACTGGCGTGATCTTCGCTCACTGCAACTTCCACCTCCTGGGTTCAAGTAATTCTCCCTGCCTCAGCCTTCTGAGTAGCTGGGATTACAGGTGCCTGCCACCACATTTGACTAATTTTTGTATTTTTAGTAGAGACGGGGTTTTGCCATGTTGGCCAGGCTGGTCTCAAACTGCTGACCCCAGGTGATGTGCCTGCCTCGGCCTCCCAAAGTACTAAGATTACAGGCGTGAGTCACTGCACCAGGCTTCAATCGGGTTTTGACCGTAAATGTAAGGATAAATTTTTTTAAACACAATTGTGTTTTAAGTAAAACGCATCTGTTTTCAAGATCAAGGACCATTGATCTGCTTGGTAATTAGACAAGTAGTTTGAGTCAAGAAGGCTTGGGCTTCTGAAAAGGATGATGGGCTTGTGCTACCCTCTCAAGTGTCTCTGCAGAACAGTTTGAAAACAAATTCTTTCTCCTAGTGACAGAATTATATCTGAAATCAATTCAAAAGGCTGTTTGAAATTCTGTCCTTGTGCCAGGCGTGGTGGATCACGCATGTAATCCCAGCACTTTGGGAGGCCGAGGTGGGCGGATCACGAAGTCAGGAGATCGAGACCATCCTGGCTAACACAGTGAAACCCCGTCTTTACTAAAAGTACAAAAAATTAGCTGGGCATGGTGGTGGGCGCCTGTAATTCCAGCTACTTGGGAAGCTGAGGCAGGAGAATCACTTGAACCCAGGTGGCAGAGGTTGCAGTGAGCTGAGATCATGCCATTGCACTCTAGCCTGAGCAACAAGAGCAAAACTCTGTCTCAAAAAAAAATAAATAAATAAAAATAAAATAAAATAAATACATAAATAAAATAATTAGTTTCAATTCATGTTAAAGAGGAGGCTCCGGGAATGGGAGTCGGGGGGCGTCACAGTATTGCAGCTCTTGAGTGCACTTGTCAATTCTGGTAAGCTTAATATGTGCAGAATTGTTAAGTTTGGCTCTGTTTGTATTTACATGGCAGCTTTTCTTCATCTTAATGAAAATTAGCTTCTTAGTTTTCTAGTTTCTGAGTGTTGAAATGAGTGTTTCCTTTTCCACTAACTTGTTGCCCTTTTTTATTCTTTTAAAGTCTGATAATATCCACCTGTTGTGTAAGTCATCTGGATGGATTTTTATTTCTGACCCAAGTTAAAATAGAATGTTAGACAGTCTGTTACTAGGCAGACATAGATAGATATCCCTGAACTTGTGACAGAAATAAAGGTCTCCATTTGGCAAGAGTGAACCCAGAGAACCCCAAAATAATGCTTAAGAACAACCAAAAAAACAAAATGTATTTTTATTTTTAATATTCTCATTGTAAATTGTTTGTTTATACCTCCACCTCCCACTCCTGAATAACTTACTCCTTTATTCTGACTTCATATAGTGACACTACTGCCAAAAATAGCTCCAAATTGAAATATCTTTGACCTTGCTAGAGCTTGCAACAGTGTGATCTTTTTGGCAGGATTAAAACCGTGGGTTCTTGGCATCCTCATCTAGCAGTCTTTTACTCATCACCTTTTGTCTCTGACTTCTTATTAGTTTCTCAGTTCTCCTCTAAATTATGTCTCTAAGATTTTGCTTGTTTCCCCTGTGAGATGGAGCTATAGCAGCTTCCTAGGCGTTTTTTGTCTTTTGGAAAGTTCTTGAAATTCAAGTATTTTATTTGAATATAACAAAAATAAATACTACCTTTCAGTTTATCTATATCTTGTCACCTTTATCAGATTGTAAACTTGGTAAGGGTGGACACTTGGCATTCATTGGTTCCATAAGTTCGTTAGTACCCCTTGTATGCCAGACACTGCTCTAGACAGGCAATATAACATAGTGGTTAAATGTGCCAACGGTGAGGCTGGGCGGGGTGGCTCACGCATGTAATCCTAGCACTTTGGGAGGCCAGGGCAGGAGGATCCATTGATCTTAGAAGTTTGAGACCAGCCTGGGCAACACAGGGAGACCCCATCTGAATGAATTAATGAATGAGCAAGTCGATCGTGGTTTGGATTTTGGCAGTATGACCTTGGGCAAGTTAATTACTTTCTCTATGCCTCAAAATTCTTATCTGTAAAACGGGATTAAAAATGCCCTCCTCAAGGATAAAATGAATTAATAAAAACACTGGTTAAGCATTTGCTATTCTGGGCGTTGGGTATACAGCACTAAATAAAGAAAGATGAGGTTTCTGTTGTTATAGAGCTTACATTCTAATTAAAGACAGAATAACAAGTAAACAAGATAGTTTCACATACTGAGTTTTGCTCTGAAGAAACAAATAAGATACATACTGGACCTAGAGAATGACTGGTGGCTATTTTTGACTGGGTGGTCAGGGTGAACCTCTGAGGAGATAGCTTTTGAGCTGAGATCTTCAAATTCTGAGGGGTAGGAGGGGAGAAATATTTGATTATTATTTTCCCTTCACAGACAAGAGGCAGCATTACTTGGCAGAATCTCGCTAGGCAGCAAAGTGTGATAGAATAGGCCCTGGAGTTTGGGCCTGGTTTGGCTATTAATTAGCTTTGTGATCTTTGATAGATTCCTTACTCTTACTGTCTTTGATAGACATGTACTTTAGCACTTAAAGTTTTTACTGCTGGGAAGATGTCCAAGGCGCTAATAGAGTATAAAGGAGAGAAGTATACCTTGTAGACCAGGCGTTAACCTCTCAGGGCAACTTAGAGGCGCTCTTCTTTCCTGGAGGGGGAAAAAAGGAAAAAGACTATTTGTTTCTTGGTGGGAAAATGACCCTGAAAGAAAGTTGACTCTTTATTTTTATTTATTTTTTTTTTTGAGACGGAGTTTTGCTCTTGTCGTCCAGGCTGGAGTGCAATGGCGCGATCTTGGCTCGCTGTAACCTCTGCCTCCTGGGTTCGAGAGATTCTCCTGTCTCAGCTTCCTGAGTAGCTGGGATTACAGGCACCCGCCACTACTTTTAGTAGAGATGGGGTTTCACCATGTTGGCCACGCTGGTCTTGAACTCCTGATCTCAGGTGATCAGCCCACCTCAGCCTCCCAAAGTGCTGGGATTACAGGCGTGAGCCACCGCCCCCAGCTGACTCTTTTGTAATAAAGAGCTGGAACAAATTGATGGTTCTTTATGACTAGATGTGCCACATACTCTGTAACTAAGTTAAATTGCATGCGGTTTCTTCTCTTGGAACTAGGAAACCTGTCTCACATCTCCTCATTACTTTTATTAACAGCTGACTTTAGTCTCAAAGCTTCTTTGCTTACTGAGAAAAGACTGCATGCACCAAAATTAATAAGCACCCTCATTCTTGGTCATCTCTTACAGTATTACCCAGTTAGGGTTACATGTCAGGTTTTCCATTTGCTGCTGTGGCTTGGTCTGTTTGGGATTTGTACTACTAAGAAATTCCTTTTGATGAAAGAGCAGAGTGGTTTTTAAAAATCAGTCATTTCATCTTTTTTTTTTTTTTAATGTTACTTTCTGTTTTTAAAGTTTATTTTATTTAAACAGTTGTTTTTTTTGTAGAGGTGGGGGAATCTTCCTATGTTGCTTAGGCTGGTCTCAAAATCCTGGCCTCAGGCCATTCCCACCTTAGCCTCTGGAGTAGCTAGGACTACAGGCCCTTACCACTACATCCAGCTAATTTTAAAAGTTTTTACTTTGTAGGCCAGGCACGGTGGCTCACGCCTGTAATCCCAGCACTTTGGGAGGCCGAGCCGGGCAGATTACCTGAGGTCGGGAGTTCGAGACCAGCCTTACCAACAAGGAGAAACCCTGTCTCTACTAAAAATACAAAAAAATTAGCCGGGCATGGTGGCCCATGCTTGTAATCCCAGCTACTTGGGAGGCTGAGGCAGGAGAATTGCTTGAACCCGGGAGGCGGAGGTTGTGGTGAGCTGAGATTAAGCCATTGCACTCTAGCCTGGGCAACAAAAGCAAAACTCCTATCTCAAGAAAAAAAAAATTTTTTTTTTAACTTTGTAGACACGGGATATTGCTATGTTGCCCAGGCTAGTCTTGAACACCTGGACTTAAGCAGTCCTCCTCCTACCTTGGCCTCCCAGTGCACTGGGATTACAGGCGTGAGCCACCGTGCTCAGCCACTTTCTCTCTTTTTTTTTTTTTTGGAGATAGGGTATTGCTCTTTCCTCCAGAGCTGCAGTGCAGAGGTGTGATCACAGCTCACTGTAACTTTGCACTCCCTCCTGTCTTAGCCTCTCAAATAGCTAGGACTACAGGAACGCACCACTGTGACTGGCTAATTAAAAAAAAATTTTTTTTTTTTTTTTGTAGATATGGGGTCTTCTCAAGTTGCCCAGATTAAAAGAAATGTGTTTCTAAAATGTCCAAAGAGGTTCACATTTGCAAAGGAACTCACTCATTTGTTCTAATGCATTTTCTTACATTAGGTGTAATTGAAAAGTGATCCTCTCTTCAGAGATGTCAAAAACAAACAAATCCAAGTCTGGATCTCGCTCTTCTCGCTCAAGATCTGCATCAAGATCTCGTTCTCGTTCATTTTCGAAGTCTCGGTCCCGAAGCCGATCTCTCTCTCGTTCAAGGAAGCGCAGGCTGAGGTAAGGGGGTGTGACTTTGTATATTGAGATAATCATTGCATCAGTCGATGTGGATGTTTGAAGATCTTTTGTTAGACTTTTCCTGTGAGTGTCAAATGGACTGGGGGGTTGGCTTGAGGTGCAGGGTTGGGCTATAAGATATTCCAGGTCTCTTTAAACTACAAATCCAGATCAGCTTTGACTGCCATGCTGATTGCCTGATTCCTTTCCTCTGCCAGCACATAGTATTTCCCACCCACTTTGGAAGAAAGAACATTTTATTTTTATTTGAGCTGCTTGCTTCAAATCTCTATAGCTGATTATTTTTCACCAAATTATTTTTGAAGGCTTGAACCAAAGTTTATGTGCATCACTGCAAAGAAAGGATAGCTAAGAGGATTAATAATATGAACAACATGGCAAGGAAAAGAAGCTTCAACTCACTAAAATAAACTTACAGAAACTTATCAGGAGTAATTTGTATACAATGTGCCAATTACTAACAAGCTGCATCTGTTTAGTAAATGTATCTTAAAACTTTTTAAAAATCGCTATTGAAAACATCACTTTATCTTACTGAATATGAGCACAGTTCTTTTGAATTTATTGCCAGTATTTCCTAATTCAGTCAGTTTTCACACCTTCAGGTGGATTTCCCTATTTTAATTATGTCTTGGAATAGGATGCCAAACCTCCAGCGTCTTTCCTCTCTTGGTGTGTTGTGAGTTGGATTTTTCATTCTTTAAAAGTGTTTAAACTTTCTTTTGTGGATAGATAAGAAGCTTTCAGTAAATAACAAGTTTCTATATGTGAGTTTGGGAAATATTGGTGTATTTAAATTGGTGTGCTGAAGAGGAATCTTTGTACATTTTCATTCTTTTTCCCACAAGTACATTAGCAAGGAGATGATTTGTCATGTTTGACACTTGGAACCCCTGCTGTTTATTTCAGATGAGTATCTAGAATCCTTGTCTTAGATGAATTGATTAGCTGTTTATTTCAGATGAGTATCTAGAATCCTTGTCTTAGATGAATTGATTACGACATTTAAAATAAACCTCAGAAGTCAGTGATTAAACTTTTACTCTTGATGATTTCCAGAGCCCTATAGTACTTCTAAGGGGTCTATTAAACAAAGGATTAGTAGTTTTGTTTTTTTACCATTTAACAAAAACAAGGTAGATATTAAATGGAGTCTATGAGAAGCCAGCCTGAAAAAGCAGGTATGCATAAATATTGAAAAGGGAAACCCTAAATTTATTTACCTCAGGAAATTGCTTTTAAAGCCATGGGACCAGCAAGACTCTTAGTAACTCCTACCCTGTACCCAGAATCTTGATTTAGGGAGTTTAAACCTCAGTTTTAGCTCATTTGGTTATGAAAGATACCTTTTTAAAATTTAATCTAGTAACTAGAAGAAACTAAATAATTGGTTCAACACCAAGAGGCTATGCAACCAAAACTGAGAGACAAAATTGAATTGAAAAATGTTAACCAACTCTGAAGTATTTATGACAGCTGGAATTCCGGGCAGTTCTTTTCTCCTTGTTCTGCAAATCATTTGGCACTTGCTCACTGACTTGGCAAATGAGGAAAAAATATTTTAGGAAGGCAGTATGTGCTGGGGTAGGTCTAGAGACACTTTACATGCTATCATATACCTAGAAGAGACTTTTCTGGAGGAATTTCTCCACTAGAAAGTATGCTTTTATAATTGATTGTAATCTGACTTCTCTGTTTTTAGAAACAGATAAATTTGCCACTGGATGTTCAGTTTTTATTTCTGGCTTATCTGTTTCATGGTTTTTTCTTTTGTTTTCCCTCTCCTGCAAGGAAAGTATCTATCCAGAGAGTTTGAGAAACCATGCCTTTAAATTAACTAACTGCTGAGTTCTACAGAATTGGAGAAAATTGATTATTTCCTTGTATTTCACAGACTGTATC
Source organism: Homo sapiens (assembly GCF_000001405.40). Taxonomy (NCBI): domain Eukaryota; kingdom Metazoa; phylum Chordata; class Mammalia; order Primates; family Hominidae; genus Homo; species Homo sapiens. Next base: position 36,284,624 of record NC_000001.11, read on the forward strand.
CTTTTAAGTGACATCTCTTAAATAACTTCATTTGCAATCTGCAGAGACTCATTTTCCTGCATCTGTGCAATGACTGTGAGTTTTGGATGCAGTATGCCCAGGGCCCTCACTAGTAATTGGTAACAGAAGCAGCAGTAGCCTGTGAGGATGGGAACATGAATTAAACCCTCCTTAGTGCTGGTGGTGGATCACCTCCCTCAAGCATAGCCCTTTAATCGGGTTGTATTCACTTTCATAATCTGCATCTGCCTCTCCCTTCTTTTCTTATATTGTTACTGTTTTCAAATGAAAAGTGTGGAAGGTAAGTTTTTTTTTAATTGTACTTAATTACAATAACAACCAGCAGTAAGATATATCTTTGCCAGTTGCTCTTATTCATGGTGTAGATAAAAAAATCTGAGTACAGTGGGCAATAAATAGTGGAAAACCAATCCCACTTTATCTTTAGATTAAATTGAATGTACTTTCTTCTTAAAAATACTGTTTTGTTTAGTTGTTAAATCCTGAAAAGAAACTAGTATATTTGCTAACTGGAGTTATTTGGAAAAAACAAAAATGCATCTGTTCCCAGTCAGATATGAGAAAGCCTGCTGATTAACTGAAGAGTTTTTATTCTATATGTAAAGAAAATATTATTTGAAAGAGTTTTCTAGTAAATTTTACTTATTTGTAGCCAGCTGCTTAGGAGTAGTGGTTAATGTCAATGATCTATATCATAGTAGATAGGAAAAGTGGATCCAAGAACCCCAATGGGTTTTTACACCAACATACGTAATTTTTGGCTTTTTGATGGAAACAAAGTTTCTCATCATTGACAAGCCTGACACTCAGGAATGTACAGTTAGGTTACTATCAAGTCTCTGTGGTTCTGGAAATTCATCTTGCTCTACCAGAGTTATATATTGTTAAATGGAGAAGAACACAACACTAGCCTTCTGTGCACACCGGGGTGGGGGTGTTTTTTAGTTACTCTTTGCTAACTTCATGCGTCCTTGGGTACTTTATGGTCCGATAGTGCCCTCTTGTGGCACCTAGTTAAGATCATGTAGCTCAGCCACAGAAATATGACCTAAGTAGTCAGACCATTTCCATTTTAAAAAACAATATTTTATGTTTTGCTTATGTGATTTTAGTAAGTTCTTTTAAGCTTTGAGCAGATGCATTCTCCCAAGTTTTCTTTGGTGTGTACCTGTTGTAACTATACTTTTAACGATCCCAAGCCTTAGTGGTATCTTAAGAAGTTCATCCCGCACAAGGGGGAGAGAGCTGACTAGGATAGGGTGTGGAGTGTTACCACATTGTAGATAGGGGTCAGAGTACCTGTCTAGGTACCACAGCTCACAGTTTTTCTCTCGTTTCCAATGACCTGGAGCCCTGTTAAAATCCCCGTGCCTGTGAAACTGTAAGCTATTATTATGGTATATTAAAATGGTCTTTGTGTGGTTTACTACCTTAAGAAAATGTTGATAGTTTTTCAGTCACTGTAGAAGTACACCTCCATTTTAAATGTGCTGCAATATGAATGAAGTGACCTGTGTTTCATCACTTGTTCAAATGATTCTTATCCATGTTTTTGTACTTAGTAAGGGCCATACGTAGTGGGATTAAATATTTGTGCCCTTGCTTTGAAAACAAAACTGAAAGTGAATGACACATAAGGGCAGGGATTTCAGAACAGATTTTTCTTGAATAAAAATGCTTGTGTCAAAAATTCAAACATTTGTCTCTTTCCTTTCCATTCCAGTTCTAGGTCTCGTTCCAGATCATATTCTCCAGCTCATAACAGAGAAAGAAACCACCCAAGAGTATATCAGAATCGGGATTTCCGAGGTCACAACAGAGGCTATAGAAGGCCCTATTATTTCCGTGGGCGTAACAGAGGCTTTTATCCATGGGGCCAATATAACCGAGGAGGCTATGGAAACTACCGCTCAAATTGGCAGAATTACCGGCAAGCATACAGTCCTCGTCGAGGCCGTTCAAGATCCCGGTCCCCAAAGAGAAGGTCCCCTTCACCAAGGTCCAGGAGCCATTCTAGAAACTCTGATAAGTCGTCTTCTGACCGGTCAAGGCGCTCCTCATCCTCCCGTTCTTCCTCCAACCATAGCCGAGTTGAATCTTCTAAGCGCAAGTCTGCAAAGGAGAAAAAGTCCTCTTCTAAGGATAGCCGGCCATCTCAGGCTGCCGGGGATAACCAGGGAGATGAGGCCAAGGAGCAGACATTCTCTGGAGGCACCTCTCAAGATACAAAAGCATCTGAGAGCTCGAAGCCATGGCCAGATGCCACCTACGGCACTGGTTCTGCATCACGGGCCTCAGCAGTTTCTGAGCTGAGTCCTCGGGAGCGAAGCCCAGCTCTCAAAAGCCCCCTCCAGTCTGTGGTGGTGAGGCGGCGGTCACCCCGTCCTAGCCCCGTGCCAAAACCTAGTCCTCCACTTTCCAGCACATCCCAGATGGGCTCAACTCTGCCGAGTGGTGCCGGGTATCAGTCTGGGACACACCAAGGTCAGTTCGACCATGGTTCTGGGTCCCTGAGTCCATCCAAAAAGAGCCCTGTGGGTAAGAGTCCACCATCCACTGGCTCCACATATGGCTCATCTCAGAAGGAGGAGAGTGCTGCTTCAGGAGGAGCAGCCTATACAAAGAGGCAAGTATCTCATTTCCCCTGCCTGGTTGTGTTTTTATCTCACTAGCTGGCAGTTTAATTGTAATGTGATCTAAGTTAGAGCTCTGATTAATGGTAAAAGGTAATCCCTATTTCCTAGACTTTTCGTTAGTAAACATTAAAAGCATCACCCAAGGAAACCTTTAGGTTAACTCTAGCTTTCCTACCTTCCTGAATTTGTATTGCAGCATAAACTTTCTTTAGACTACTCTGCAATGATGTTTTCACATTTAAAATTTGCCTTGGATTCTACCAATGTAAGCCAAAGAACAGTAGAGATTTGTGGGTCAGCTATCAAAAAAAAGTATGGTCTTTGCCAAAATGAATGGCCATTGGAGCTCTTAGACCCTCTAGCACCCACCATCTACTATGTTCGATCTGCATCAGCCTATCATGGTGAAGAGCTGCACCCTCAATACCCTCCAGTTGAGGAGACTGGGCAGAATGGGAAAGGCCAAGGCATAGTCCAGGAAGGCCTTGTTTTAAAACCACAAGGTGGGTGTATGTCCCAGTAGAAGCCAACACGGCTGCGTGTTAGGAGAGGACATGACAGTGCTTCCGTCTTTCTCCCCTGGGGGACACGGTGAGTTGGAACATGAATCTTTGTTTGTATGGTTGGATGGATTGGGATGGCAGAGAGGTTACAGGGAAGTTGCACTGGGACCAGGTTGTGGTCAAGAGGGACTAACCCAGCAAGTGGCTCCCCCTTTTTTTTTCTTTTATCGTATTTAGCATGTTTTTTGATCCCTTGATTCTTCTTGGCTGTATTAACACGACTTTGACTTGATTAAGCTTTCTGCATTAATGGTACAGATGAGATGTTTTGAATCTGTACTTGCCTTCAGTAAGTCTGTTTTATTTTATTTATTTATTTATTTATTTCAATAGGTTTTTGGGCGAATAGGTGGTGTTTGGTTACATGGATAAGTTTGTTAATGGTGATTTCTGAGGTTTTGGTGCACCCATCACCTGAGCAGTGTACACTGTACCCAGTGTGTAGTTTTTTATCCTTGCCCCCTCCCATCCTTCTCCTTGAGTTCCCAAAGTTCATTATGTCATTCTTATGCCTTTGGGTCCTCATAGTGTAGCTCCCAAGTAAGTCTATTTTAAAACATAAGTTTTGTTCCATGCCAGGACTGTGAATCTCTTTAGAAGACTTGAGCATGAGCTCTGCTTTTCCATAAGAAAGAGAATGATGATTTTTGCTGCTGTCACCCTCTCCCCCATTAACATGTATTTTGTTTTTATTTGTGTTCACAGTATATTTCGTATTTAGATCTTCTAGGTGACTTGAAGCAAATTTGAAGTCTCTTTTTAGACTTGTATTTCCAAATGTGAGTTGTATAAAAGCAAAACAGTCCAAGGTTGAACATTCTATGTTAACTTTGCTGAAAGCAGATTTTAAGTGACTGAGTGAAGGTTGGGTAAGACCTTAAGTTATTTTTTGCCCTAGATCACATTACAGGTAAGTAGGTTTTTGTTTTTGTTTTTGAGTATCCTAAAAATAACTTTTGTTGTTCTCTTTGGTTGCTTTTGTAAGACACAACTCCATGGATCATATATTTTTCTCTTAATTGGCAAGTTCATAGAACTGTGAATGGCAGTTTTCAGAAATTATTACGAAGTAACCGCCTAGAAAGTCCTTTGGTAATACAGGAATCCATAAGACATGTTTTTTTCAGAGAATCAAAAACCAAAAACGGTAAGGCACTATTTTAGAGCATGCTGTTAAGAAGCCTCTTGTGTCTCTCTCTTGTGTTTTTATAAATAGGTATCTAGAAGAGCAGAAGACAGAGAATGGAAAAGATAAGGAACAGAAACAAACAAATACCGATAAAGAAAAAATAAAAGAGAAAGGGAGCTTCTCTGACACAGGCTTGGGTGATGGAAAAATGAAATCTGATTCTTTTGCTCCCAAAACTGATTCTGAGAAGCCTTTTCGGGGCAGTCAGTCTCCCAAAAGGTATAAGCTCCGAGATGACTTTGAGAAGAAGATGGCTGACTTCCACAAGGAGGAGATGGATGATCAAGATAAGGACAAAGCTAAGGGAAGAAAGGAATCTGAGTTTGATGATGAACCCAAATTTATGTCTAAAGTCATAGGTGCAAACAAAAACCAGGAGGAGGAGAAGTCAGGCAAATGGGAGGGCCTGGTATATGCACCTCCAGGGAAGGAAAAGCAGAGAAAAACAGAGGAGCTGGAGGAGGAGTCTTTCCCAGAGAGATCCAAAAAGGAAGATCGGGGCAAGAGAAGCGAAGGTGGGCACAGGGGCTTTGTGCCTGAGAAGAATTTCCGAGTGACTGCTTATAAAGCAGTCCAGGAGAAAAGCTCATCACCTCCCCCAAGAAAGACCTCTGAGAGCCGAGACAAGCTGGGAGCGAAAGGAGATTTTCCCACAGGAAAGTCTTCCTTTTCCATTACTCGAGAGGCACAGGTCAATGTCCGGATGGACTCTTTTGATGAGGACCTCGCACGGTGAGATATGCTCCTTCTTGATCCTCAGTGCTTTAGTGGCCTAAGTGGTGTCGCCTAGCCTTTCTCCCTGGGGACATTCTGCTGTATTCCCCCTTCTGTCTTAAGCTTCAGTGGTGATACTTTCATGTCCACCTGTGTTCACTGGAGAGTATGTGTCACAGAGTGATTGTGTGCTTTTGAAGGGGGGCAGTATCCCTGGGGTGATGAAGTATCTCTTCAGTCCTTAGTGACTGGCTCACTCTCTGTTCATCACTGCACCCCCAAGTCCAATGCTGTTTCTTGTATTTAAGATAGCTTTGCCTGTGAAGCCATCCTGGATCCACTTCTTCGTTCCTAGCTGGGTTGCCAAAGTCTATAGTACGGCCCTTCCCCATCAAATAACGTAGCAATTTTATTGTATTGTATTGTATTTTTGAGATAGTCTCTCTCTCTCTCTTCTTTTTTTTTTTGAGACGGGGTCTCCCTCTGTCACCCAGGCTGGAGTGCAGTGGCGCGATCTCCACTCACCGCAAGCTCCGCCTCCTGGGTTCACGCCATTCTCCTGCCTCAGCCTCCCGAGTAGCTGGGACCACAGGCCTCCACGCCCAGCTAATTTCTTGTATTTTTAGTAGAGATGGGGTTTCACCGTGTTAGCCAGGATGGTCTCGATCTCCTGACCTCGTGATCCGCCCACCTTGGCCTCCCAAAGTGCTGGGATTACAGGCGTGAGCACCGCACCCAGCCCAGAATCTCTCTCTGTCACCCAGGCTGGCGTGCAGTGGTGCACTCTCAACTCACTGCAACCTCTGCTTCTCAGGTTCAAGCGATTCTCCTGCCTTAGCCTCCCCAGTAGTTGGGATTACACGCACCTGCCACCACACCTGGCTAATTTTTGTATTGTTAGTAGAGTCTGGGTTACACCATGTTGGCCAGGCTGATCTTGAACCCCTGACTTCAGGTGATCTGCCTGCCTTAGCCTCCCAAAGTGCTGGGATTACAGGCATGAGCCACCGTGCCTGGCCACAATTTTAGGGTTAAGGAAGGCAATACATCTACCCCTTGTCCCCTGAACTTTAGGAAAGAGTTGGGAGGCCAAGGCTGACTGGTTTTTTACTTGGTGTAAACTACTCAGGCAGCTGGAAGTCTATGTGAACAGCATTCCAGCCACACCCCACTCCCGCTTCATGACATCACCTCCCTGAATGGCCTTGGCTGGTCATGCTAGCTGATCTTTTTATTGATTGATTGATTGAAATGGAGTCTTGAACTCCTGGGCTCAAGTGATGCTCCTGTCTCTGCCTCCCAAAGTGTTGAGATTACAAGTGTGAGCCACTGCACCCAGCTGTAGTTTATCTTTTAAAATACTTTCTCATTTGTTGGGTGTGTTAAAACCAGCAGTGACTAAGGTTTAACACTTCACTCCACTTGAAGATTCCAGTAAGAAAGAGAAGAGAGAGATTTTGTATATACTTTTCCATAGTTACAGTGCACTGAGGGTTACTTTCAACTTCGGTAGGAAGAAAAGAAGTTTATAGATAGATTTAAAACTCTTCAAAAAAGTATTTTTATGGTTTTAATGTTCTTCCTGTGTATTGTGTTCTAATTGGGCCTCCCCATATTTCTTTTTCAGACCCAGTGGCTTATTGGCTCAGGAACGCAAGCTTTGCCGAGATCTAGTCCATAGCAACAAAAAGGAACAGGAGTTTCGTTCCATTTTCCAGCACATACAATCAGCTCAGTCTCAGCGTAGCCCCTCAGAACTGTTTGCCCAACATATAGTGACCATTGTTCACCATGTTAAAGGTGAGTCCAGACCCTGGCCTGCTTCAGGCTCGTGTTCCACACTTAGAAGAAGGATGAATGATGGGTGGATAAGGAGTTTTGGGGGACCTTGTATCTCATCTAAAGGGCCTTTGAAGCTAGGGGCTGGCTTGAAGGAAATTCCATTCAAGAAGCAGTTTCCATATTTTAATTGCAGAGCTTAGCATTTTGAAATGCTAGTAACCTGTGACCAAGAGAACAGGTGAAATCCTTAACACAAAGATTTAAAATGGTTGAAAACTGAGAAGCCAATAGCAAAATGACTTTTCTAGCATCTCTGTCTTCTCCCCTCTAAGTGATCTCTTATGGACCTTCTGGTGTGAATTTCTTCCCCAAAGTATTCTATCATCCCCCTGGGCAAATGGGGTTGGGCAAGTTAGGGAATGACTAAGAGAAGTGATGGAGAAGCTGGGTTGGGCCAGTTGCAGGTTCCATCTGAATATAAACTCAAGCAAGAGTTGGTGCTGTGCTTCTGAGGAGAATAAGCTTCAAGTTTCTCTGTCCTAAGACATGGGAGCTACAGTGGAAATCTAGTGCCCAATATGGGACCGTGTTTGAACCAGCCATTTTTCCTTCCTCTTCTCAGTATGTTTGTTGTGTGGATTTAACTACTTTAGGTGCATCTCTGTGGTTACGGGTTCCTGCAAAAGAGTTAAAACATTGTGTCTGCCTTTGGTAACATAATGTGTTTCTTTGTTTCTTTTTTTTTTTTTTTTTTTTTTTTTGAGACGGAGTCTTGCTCTGTTGCCCAGGCTGGAGTGCAGTGGCGGGATCTCAGCTCACTGCAAATTCGGCCTCCTGGGTTCACGACATTCTTCTGCCTCAGCCTCCGGAGTAGCTGGGACTACAGGCGCCCGCCACCATGCCCACTAGTTTTTTGTATTTTTAGTAGAGACGGGGTTTCACCGTGTTAGCCAGGATGGTCTCGATCTCTTGACCTCGTGATCTGCCCACCTCGGCCTCCGAAAGTGGTGGGATTATAGGCTTGAGCCACCATGCCTGGCCCATAATGTGTTTCTTTTAATCCCAACAGAGCATCACTTTGGGTCCTCAGGAATGACATTACATGAACGCTTTACTAAATACCTAAAGAGAGGAACTGAGCAGGAGGCAGCCAAAAACAAGAAAAGCCCAGAGATACACAGGTAAGGACCATGGCCTTATACTGGAGGTTGTAATAAAAGACTTTGTATCAGACATTAAACTCACCTTGTTAAATTCTGCTGCTAATGCACCTTTAATACAAAATTTACAGTAACATCCTTCAGACTCTAAGAGAGCTATAGGCATTTATATTTGAGAGTGTACAGGACATGCTTTGGGACAACAGTCTCTCACATTGGGCCTGAGGAAAACAGCTCTCTTGACATAGATTAACTCCTATATTCTTGGAAGCTGGCAAATGTTGCCTGAAATTACTGTGAGTTTCTGTAGGTAGAGTAAATGCTAGTTTCTTTTCTTGTCTTTTTTTTTTTTTTTTTTGAGATGGAGTGTTGCTCTGCCACCCAGGCTGGAGTGCAGTGATGCAATCTCGGCTCACTGCAACCTCTGCCTCCCAGGTTCAAGCAATTCTCATGCCTTAGCCTCCCAAGTACCTGGGATTACAAACGTGTGCCACCATGCCCAGCTGATTTTTGTATTTTTAGTAGAGACAGGGTTTCACCATGTTGGCCAGTCTGGTCTTGAACTCTCAACCTCAGGTGACCTGCCCGCCTCAGCCTCCCAAAGTGCTGGGATTACAGGCGTGAGCCACTGCGCCCAGCCTAATGCTAGTTTCTTTAGGTAAGCCTGTATATTAATATTTCATGGTAGTTTAATCATGGGTAGTTGGATTCTTCTGGAAGAATTTGCCTGGGGGCTAGAGGCGGGAGCTTGTAGGATTATCTCACAGAATTTTAAAGCCCAGCAGGTTTAAAGACTATTACATTTGGTTGTGGGAGTCAGTTCAGTGGATAGGGACTAGAAACAAAGTTGGCCTTATCTTTGAGGCTATGGGTGAGTCCATCTTTCTGTGTGTAGCAAAACCAGGAGAGAACAAAAACCTCTAACTTCTGTTACACTGTGGGAACCTGGGACTGTGTGTGTGTGTGTGTGTGTGTGTGTGTGTGTGTGTGTCTGCCTATGGGAGAGTATAAGTATATAAGAGTAAAAGTAATAGATACATAAGTCATGAAACGTAAGGAAAAATAATGCCTGTGAATCTATTAGCCAACTTAAGAGCTAGAATATTACCAGTATCATATTCACACAATGGAATACTATATCGTTTTGTATTTTCAATTTTAGGAGAATAGACATTTCCCCCAGTACATTCAGAAAACATGGTTTGGCTCATGATGAAATGAAAAGTCCCCGGGAACCTGGCTACAAGGTGAACTGTTGATTTGATCAGTAATTCCAACAAAATGAGTGCGTTGGGCATGAACTTGACAGAAATGTGTTTGTTTAAATTACTCTCTACTTAAGTTTGTGTTTTTCTTTTAAGGATGGGCATAATTCTAAAAATGAACTACAAAGGGTTAATTTTTATTAAATGTATCAACAACCTTTGTGAAGTGGTTAGAATATGGTAAATGACCCCAAAGTCTATTGAGGTGAGCTTGAGAAAAAAAAGAGAGGAGTTTTGGAACAAGTGCCCATGATGAGAGAAGAAACTTTTTGTGATATTTTTCTGCTTGTAAGTATTATCAAATCAACTGTATACATGCACTATTTCCAACCATGATTTCAGAAAGACATGCATGTCAGAGAAGAGTGAAATATTCATGTCTTAACTTAAGTAGACTGTTTTTAAACAGCTGGTCCAGTTTTTTTTCCTAACATTGTACCATATCTATCATCTGTCAATTACTGTTACTTTAAAGCTAAAGATTACTTTGATGGCCCAGCTACATTTGCAATGATGTGCACGTAAACACTGTTAAGAGGTTAAAGCTTGTATACAATCTGTTACTGTGAAATAACTAAATTGGGCTTTAAAAAAATCTTAGTATTTATTGATCTTCATTCACATATACAGTTGAAATTTAAAATAACAGATGGTTATTCCAATGCTGCTGAAACCTTTTCTAAAAAATACTTGTTTTGTTGGTTGAATGTGATGAGAGGCGCTTCTGGGCAGTCTCTCTTCTCTCCCACCCGTCTTTCCTCCTCCGAGTACCCCTTCTCCAGCTTTGTACTAGCCATGTAAAACCCAAGGTTTTCTTTAAAACATCAGAAGAGATCTCGTCCTCCATGCCCCAAAAAAGCCAACTCATTGGAGGTGTTACCCCTGGGAGCAGTGTTGCATTTGTCTTTTTGTCTTTTTTTGCTCTTTGGAGGATGCAGAGGCCCAGTTCCCTCTGTTAGGAAACAAATTAAGTGATAAAACAATAAACGGCCGGGCAAGGTGGCTCAAGCCTGTAATCCCAGCACTTTGGGAGGCCGAGGTGGGTGGATCACCTGAGGTCGAGAGTTTGACACCAGCCTGACCTACATGGTGAAACCCCGTCTCTACTAAAAATACAAAATTAGCCGGGTGTGGTAGTGCATGCCTGTAATCCCAGCTACCTGGGAGGCTGAGGCAGGAGAATCACTTGAACCTGGGAGGTGGAGGTTGCAATGAGCCAAGATCCCGCCATTGTACTCCAGCCAGGGCAACAAGAGTGAAACTCTGTCTCAAAAAAAAAAAAGGAAAAAAAAAAAAAAGAATAAACCTAGTTTCTGCCACTCCTGCTGTTAAACTTTTTTTTTTAAAAGTTTAGTAGTTCACATATGTAAACTATTAATGCAGAATGAACTGCTCATTTCTTCCTCCCTGAGTTACCTCCATGAGACAAATCCTAGTGTGGGATGTCCCGGAACTACCATGCACCTTTGCCCCACCGAGTTTCCCAAGAATTGTTGAAAGCCTTTGCTGCAGTGGTCTGAGCAGGTGTGCTGTTGCTGCTGCAAAACATACCTTCATAGCTGAACTGCTTAGGAAGCCAGCAGAGAAGTTTTTTCCTTCCTTCCTTCCTTCCTTCCTTCCTTCCCTCCTCCCTTCCTTCCTCCCTCCCTTCCTTCTTCCCTCCCTTCCTCCCTTTCTCCCTGTTTCTTTGGTTTCTTTCCCCCTTCCCCTTCCTTTCCCTTTCCTTTCACCTGATAATACCAGTTTATGAATTCCCCATAGTTTTTGATATTCCCTTTCTAGAGAAATTTGTCAGTATAACTCAGGGTTTTGAAGGCTGCTTAAGTCTTCCATTGTCTCTCTTTGGACTCAGTACTCAGAGATAATTCCAAGTGGAGGATAAGCCATGGGTGGATACTACAGTATAGGTAGGGGAAGGTGAGCTTTTCTACTCTTAGTGGTGGCTAATCCTGAGCCAGCCCAACCACCTACTTTTCCAGAGCTAATTTTAGCCTTCTCAACTTTTTTTTTTTTTTTTTTTTTTTTTTTTTTTTTTTTTGAGAGATAGTCTTGTTCTATTGGCCAGGATGGAGTGCAGTGGTGCGATCTCAGCTCACTGCAACCTCCACCTCCTGGGTTTAAGCGATTCTTCTGCTTTAGCCTCCCTAGTAGCTGGGATTACAGGCACACGCCACCTTGCTCGGCTGATTTTTGTATTTTTAGTAGAGAACAGGGTTTTGGTTGTTGCCCATGCTGGTCTTGAACTCCTGAGCTCAAGTGATCCGCCTGCCTCGGCCTCCCAAAGTTCTGGGATTACAGGCGTGAGCCACTGCACCTGGCCAGCCTTCTCAACTTCTAAACTAGCCAGAGTCATTACTGGGCCAGAAAGGAAACAAAGTGAGATCAATGCATAGCATTTTCAGAAGGCCAGCATCATTGTTTTGGAGGACTGGCGTGGGTTCTGTGAGGGATCCTTATGGAGTAACTTCTGTGGGACATCCTGCATCCCTTCCAAGCTTGGGTGAGATGCCTCACATTTCCCAGTGCTTCCTCTGCACCCCTCCATTGGAGTAAAAACCACAGTTTGTGGGATGGTTGAGTTGACAGCTCTGAATCCCAGAAACCTTAATTTTGGCTTATCTTTTGATAGGCTGAGGGAAAATACAAAGATGATCCTGTTGATCTCCGCCTTGATATTGAACGTCGTAAAAAACATAAGGAGAGAGATCTTAAACGAGGTAAATCGAGAGAATCAGTGGATTCCCGAGACTCCAGTCACTCAAGGGAAAGGTCAGCTGAAAAAACAGAGAAAACTCATAAAGGATCAAAGAAACAGAAGTACGTAAGCCCCTGTTACCCCTTCCAGACTCTTAAGTTTCTTGTCTGTCCCCTTTGGGCTATACACCAGAACTTTCAAATCAGAGGAGTTTAGGGTTAGTAATTATAGCAACCTGTTTCTTCTTTTAATCCATGTAAATGTCAGGTAGGGTCCCTAGTTTGAAAACAATTTCTACATCAAAATAGTGTGATCTTTGTCCAAAGAAGGCTTCATGAGAGAAGTTAATCTGTTAAATTGACCACAGGGATGGTGTGGAGAATCATTAGAATCATTTGGGAATTCCTTTTGCAGTTTTAGATGTACCTTTTTCATCACACATTTTCATGGGGAAGTTGTATTTTAGAAATGGCCCAAAGTCATTGTCAAGTAATAACACTGTTTAGTCAAAGAAACAGGGTGGAACTAGATAGTACATGATTGTTGATCTTAAGTGCCTTTTAAACTAGTTTTACAGACAGTTCCAAGAGAGGTGTTCCAGGTACTCCTTAAACAAAGGTGGCATTGTTGAACTTTGTGTGGCAACATTCATGCCTATGTCCTGATGTTTCTGTTTACGTTTTTGAATGTTCCATGACTTTTTAATCATGTGTCACGAAAAGTAGCACAGTTGAAGCCCCATACCTTCTGGTAAGAAGCAACACTTCTGCTGATTTTGAACTTTAGCTGGCAAGCATTTTTTTTTTTTTTTTTTTTTTGAGATGGAGTCTTGCTCTGTTGCCTAGGCTAGAGTGCAGTGGCGCAATCTCAGCTCACTGCAACCTCCGCCTCGCGGGTTCAAGCAATTCTCCTGCCTCAGCCTCCTGAGTAGCTGGGATTACAGGTGCCCACTACCACGCCCAGCTAATTTTTTGTATTTAGAGATGGAGTTTCACCATGTTGGCCAGTCTGGTCTTGAACTCCCGACCTCATGATTCACCCACCTCGGCCTCCCAAAGTGCTAGGATTACAGGCATGAGCCACCATGCCTGGCCGCGTTTTTATATCAGTTTTTCATAACCCCTTGAGATAAATTGAACAGTTGGTGTGATATCCATTTTGCCCATTTGAAAGATAAGCCAAGCTTAGAATAATGTGCCTTACGATCACAAGTATTGGCCGGGTGTAGTGGCTCATGCCTGTAATCCCAGCACTTTGGGAGGCCGAGGCAGGAAGATCACGTGGTCAGGAGTTCAAGACCAGCCTGGCCAATATCGTGAAACCCTGTCTCTACTGAAAAAAAAAAAAAATTAGCCGGGCATGGTGGCGTGCGCCTGTAATCCCAGCTACTCGGGAGGCTAAGGCAGGAGAATCGCTTGAACCTGGGAGGAGGAGGTTGCACTGAGCCGAGTTCTCAGCACTGCATTCCAGCCTAGGCGACAGAGTGAGACTTCATCTCAAAAAAAAAAAAAAAAAAAAATCACAAGTATCAGCTGACCTCAAACACGGATCTTTTGTTATACTTTGTCTCCCATTCCAATGTGTTACTTATGCATTAGGAGCCTTGGCAGCTTTTGGGGCCGCCCATAGATAAAGAACCTGCGAATCCTCAGCAGGGAATGGAAGTGGTAGTACAGTAGTGCCTGGGCCGCCACTTAGAAGTGGAACATGAACCCCTCAAGCATTTCAGAGTTGAGTCTGAATTACTAACTCTGATTTCCTCTCCCTGGAACACATGCCTACCTCTGACTTGCGATGTGACTTTGAACAAGTCCCCTGCAAACCCCGGTATTCTGTGATTTATTTATTTTTATTTTTTATTTTTTTGGACGATCTTGCTCTGTCACCCAGGCTGGAGTGCAGTGGCACGATCATAGCTCACGGCATCCTTGAACTCCTGGGTTCAAGTGATCCTCCTGCTTCAGCCTTCCAACTAGGCTGAGCTAGGAGTACAGGTATGCACCATGATGCCCGGCTAATTTTTAAAAATTTTTTGTAGAGACGAGGGCTTGCTATGTTTCCCATGCTGGTCTTGAACTCTTGGCCTCAAGTGATTCCCACCCACCTCCTTGGCCTCCCAAAGCATGGGATTACAGGCATGAGCTACCACACCTGGCCCGTTTTGAGACAGGGTCTTGCTGTGTCGCCCAGGCTGGAGCGCAGTGATGCAATCACTGGCCTACTGTGGCTTTGACCTCCTGGGCTCAAGTGATCTACCCATCTCAGCCTCACAGTCAGCTGGGACTACAGGTGTACACCATCATGCCTGGCTAATTTTGTATTTCTTGTAGAGTTGAGGTTTTGCCATGTTGCCCAGGATGGTCTAGAACTCCTGGGCTCAAGCAATCTGCCTGCCTTGGCCCTCTGAAGTGCTGGGATTACAGGCATGAGCCACTGTGCCCAGCCAGAACTTTTTTTATATAACTGAAGAATGACTTACCCAGGTGACACAGCTAATAAGAGACAATGCTGGCCGGATGCGGTGGCTCACGCCTGTAATCCCAGCACTTTGGGAGGCTGAGGTGGGTGGAGCATGAGGTCAGAAGATTGAGACCATCCTGGCCAACATGGTGAAACCCTGTCTCTACTAAAAATACAAAAATTAGCCGGGCATGGTGGTGGGTGCCTGTAATCCCCACTGCTCAGGAGGCTGAGGCGGGAGAATCGTTTAAACCCAGGAGGTGGAGGTTGCAGTGAGCCGAGATCGCACGACTGCACTCCAGCCTGGCGACAGAGTGAGACTCCATCTCAACAACAACAAAAAAAGACAATGCAAAGACTCAAATTTGAGGCCTTTTGAGAGTCTTTTTTTTTTGTTTTGTTTTGTTTTTGAGGTAGAGTCTCGCTCTGTCACCCAGGCTGGAGTGCAATGATATGATCTCGGCTCACTGCAACCTCTGCCTCCTGGGTTCAAGTGATTCTCCTGTCTCAGCCTCCTGAGTAGCTGGGTAGCTGGGATTACAGATGCTTTCCACCACACCCAGCTAATTTTTGTATTTTTAGTAGAGATGGGGTTTCGCCATGTTGGCCAGGCTGGTCTCGAACTCCTGACCTCAAGTGATCCAGCCGCCTTGGCCTCCCAAAGTGCTGGGATTACAGGAGAGAGCCACTACGCCCGGCCAGAGACTCTTATTTTTGAAAACCTCTTGAAATAGCACGGATGTTTAGTGGGGTCAGAGTTGAAGTTACATGAATCCTATCACAGTAACTTAGATTTCCCCTTTGTATGAATAAGTGTGTGTGGGTGAGGAGCAGGGAGCATGATGCCTTTCATAATGGAAGACTGAGGGAGGGAAGGACAATGATAGGTTACTGACATTTGGCTGGCTCTGCTACTCCTCCACTCCTGGGATCCTGGCCTTGCTGCCCCCTAGAGGTATTCAGTAACCTCCACTATCACATGGCAGGGCTGGTACTGACTTTAGTACATAGATAATGACTCATCGTATTAAGCTAATTTGCCCTAGTCTGTAATTTCCCCTAGATGAAGGAAAGGGAAGGGAAATAACTCTGGGAGAGTTGCGCCAGATCCTAGGCTTAGTCACACAACCTGTTTGAGCTCAGTGGGAGGTAATATGTGGAGTCGTGGTATAATTAGTCAGAGCTAGGTTAGAATCCAGACTCTGCTCGCTTCTCTCACCTGAGCCTCCTACCTGTAAAATGAGGGAAATAATACTGAGTTGTATTGTCCTTTACTGCATGCCAGCTATGTTGGTGTAAAGTGTTTAAACACAGTGTTTATTTAGAGAACCCTGTAAGACAGGTAGCATTCCTGTAAGAAATAAAAGTAATAGAACGCACTAACAGATGATAATATACAAAGCTATTTATCTGGCCCAGTACCAGATACTTTGGAGCTCTCAATATAGTGTTAATTTCCTTCTCCCTTATTAATTCATGCCTGTATCTTAGACTGAGCTCCTGGAGGCCATGGACTGTGTTTTGTTCCTGCTTCTATGTATGTCATATGTTTATCACAGACTCAGACATAGATGTGTCACTGAACATGACTGACAGAATTGAGAGGAAGTATCTTGGGTGGGTAGGTTGGGGGTGAGCTGGCTTTATAAGGTTACTCATCATCAGTTTCTTCCATCACAGGCATACTTTTGATTGCCCTGTGCTTATCCATGAGGCCCCAGCCAAGCAGTGTCCCTTAGAAAGATGATTGATCACCCTGGCTCTTCTCTTTTCACAGGAAGCATCGGAGAGCAAGAGACAGGTCCAGATCCTCCTCCTCTTCCTCCCAGTCATCTCACTCCTACAAAGCAGAAGAGTACACTGAAGAGACAGAGGAAAGAGAGGAGAGCACCACGGGCTTTGACAAATCAAGACTGGGGACCAAAGACTTTGTGGGTCCAAGTGAAAGAGGAGGTGGCAGAGCTCGAGGAACCTTTGTAAGACCTTCCCCTCTCCCCCTTTCTCTGAGACCCTTGCTCCTACCAGCTTTGATCACGTTTCATCAGAATACCAGTTTTGTTGCCTTTGACATAAGTAATCCAATCCAAAGACCCTGGAATCTTTGGTTCTCCTTCCCACATTTCCTGGCCTTTCCATTTTTTGTTACTTTTCTGTTCATAATCACTTAGCTAGAAAGCCTCTTATGGCTTCTGGTCTCAGAACTTCCCCCACTTAACCTTGACTACTGCTGTTTATAGGGAGGCCCTTGGGGCAGGTTTGTCCTCTGTGTAGGCTGCAGACTTGAGATGAGCAGAAAGGGAATGGCTGGAAACCAGCTGACCAGCATATGACTGGAAGACAGCTGTCTATTCCACACCAGAAAAATGTTTGAACAAAAAGCAGGGGGGTTTGTTCCCCATTCCTGGCATGATCCTTTGTTCTTTTTCCCTCATTTATTGCAATAGCAGTTTCGAGCCAGAGGAAGAGGCTGGGGCAGAGGCAACTACTCTGGGAACAATAACAACAACAGCAACAACGATTTTCAAAAAAGAAACCGGGAAGAGGAGTGGGACCCAGAGTACACACCCAAAAGCAAGAAGTATTACTTGGTATGTGTCTGGGGATAACCAGGAAGGGTTAGAGGGCCTTTGACACACAGAGTAGCTGATACCAAGCCTTAATTAGTTTGTCCAAAACTGCGATTAAATGTACGTGCAGGATTATTGCACTGGGGCATGTGTACTTGCATAGTGCTAACTAGATGGGTGTCCTCTAGAGAGGCAGTCCTGGTCTTCAAAGGGTTTATCACTGAAGATGTTTGTGGATTCCAAGATAAGCAAGAAGCATTGGTCTTGTCTTTTTAGTCTATGAACTTGTTTTACTGCTCACCCACCACCAACCTCAGCCTCCCTCATTTCTGTGGATACAGCCATAACCCTTCCCTGATGCCGCTGTCCCTCTCTGCCACTCCTTCATGCAAGAATGACAAGAAAGACCGCTCAGGATCTCTTTGAGGAAAGGGATGTCTCTCCAAAATGAAATGCCAGTGGGGCTTCTCTCATCTAGGCTGTTGATCATTCCTGTGCACTCTGGGCCTCCCTCAGATTAATACTTTTATAGGCTGAAGTACCTGGCCTTGAGTGAGCTCTCTTGGCCTTGATCTGTAACAGCAGACTAAGATCCAAGCTGGTGTGAGTGTTATAACTAAGGTAAAGGAGCAGCTGAATCTCCATCACTTGCCAAAATGGCTGGAATGGATCTGTATTGTCAGTTGGACAGCTAGGAAACAGGTTGTGTGTGGATGGCTATGCGTGGCCACCATCCCTTTTCTAGGGTTGCTGCTGCTGGAAGCTGCTTTGAGGCTACTAGAGGACCTTTGAACTTATCTCTAGGGAATTGTAGTTGGCTGGGCCCGGGTTAGGTGCTGGAGTGGGACTGCTGTAGGGAAAAGATTAAAGGCCCTCTCCCTTGCTCCTATCTGCCACCTGAGAGAGTATTGCCAGCCTGATTCGTTTAGTGTGAACAAGCAGCCATGGTCAGAAGAAGCTGACACCTGCTGAGCTGAGCTCCAACAGCCTAAGACCCTAGCTTTTGTGGGGGGGTGGTTTAGACTCTGAAGTCATGGGGCTGATAAGGTAATGACTGCTGGTTTTCAAAATGCTTTCTCCTTCATTGTTTGATTGGATCCCTCCTTCTGTCTCATGAGATTGTCAGAGCAAGGATTGTTTGAAATGTAGGTTAATCCTTTCCTTGAACTAAGTGAAAAAGAAAAAATGAAATGTAGGTTAAGTGTTTTTCCTACCCCGTCACACTGCCTCCTTGCATAAAACAGGGGAGATACAAAATGAGAGTGTGGAGGTGGAGGATCAGGAAAGCCCCAGCCCCAACATTGGATTCTGAGCATTTGGAGTGCAGTGGTATGATCTTGGCTCACTGCAGCCTCTGCCTCCTGGATTCAAGCAGTTCTCCTGCGTCAGCTTCCTGAGTAGCTGGGACTACAGGCGCACACCCCCATGCCTGGCTAATTTTTTTTTTTTTTTTTTTTTTTGTATTTTAGTAGAGACGGGGTTTTCACCGTATAGCCCAGGCTGGTCTCGAAATTCTGAGCTCAGACAATCTGCCTGCCTCGGCCTCCCAAAGTGCTAGGATTACAGGCATGAGCCACTGCACCCAGCCGCATTGCCTCCTTTCTTAGCTGCCTAACAACCCAGTTCACATGGAGTTGCACGTTTTGGTGTGATTGGCTTTCTCAAACCCACCCTTTGAGAGAGGATATACTAAATCATATGGAGTTGCTTAAAGTTCCTAAGCTTTAAGCACGTTTGCAGAGTGGGAGGTGATAATGATAGGGTAGATAGGAGAATTAAATGAGATAGTACATAAATGTCTTACTTCAGTGCTCAGTGACGTTTTTATTTTCTTTAAACTATTAAGGGTTCTTGCTCAGTGAATCATCATCATTGTCAATCATCGTTACAATGCCCAAGCTGTTACCTTAAAATTCCTAAATCACCCAACTGATATTCTCATGGATCTGAACCACTGGCATTTTTGGAGTGGGGGACAGGGAGAAGTGCAGAAAAGGATCAAAAGGCTGGGTTAGGGCACAGGTTCTTTTGGGAAAGGCACATTTGGGTGCGTGCAGAGAAGAGAGCTCTGGCCACATCTTGTTCACTCTGGCACTGATGGCAATTTTCTTTCCCCTCAGCATGATGACCGTGAAGGCGAAGGCAGTGACAAGTGGGTGAGCCGGGGCCGGGGCCGAGGAGCCTTTCCTCGGGGTCGGGGCCGGTTCATGTTCCGGAAATCAAGTACCAGCCCCAAGTGGGCCCATGACAAGTTCAGTGGGGAGGAAGGGGAGATTGAAGACGACGAGAGTGGGACAGAGAACCGAGAAGAGAAGGACAATATACAGCCCACAACCGAGTAGGGGCCACCCTTGACGGGATTCCTGCCCAGGGGAGAGAGGCGCTGGGAAGATGGCTGGTGAGGAGCTTAACAGAGGAACCTCAAGAAGATTCTGAAAATCCTACCCCCACCCCCCACCAGCCGCACAGATTGTACTACCGCGAGAGGCATCCCTGGCGCTGTCTCCCACTGGACAGAGGAGGCTGGCCATGGGGCCCAGGGGTCAGGCCCAGCTTTTGAGCAGAATACAACGCATTGGGCTTTAGCTGTTTTTCTCATTTGTTGGTGTGTGGGGTGGGGGCAGGGGTAGGGCGGGAGAGCGATGCTTGGATTTTTGTTTCCTATTAGAAACCAACAGTTTTGTTCTAATTTCATTTCATTTGGAGCTAAGATGACTAATTTGATGATTTTCGATCTCTTTTCCCCTGTCCTGATTTTAAAAGCCCCCTCCTTTTTTTTTTTTTTTTTCTTTTTTTAGGCATATGTAGTAATATTAGAAACATTTAATTTGGGAAACTTTGATTCTTGAAAGAGAAAACAAAAGCATGTGAATAAACTTTGAAGTGTTCACCTCAGTTTGGGACCAAACTGCTTGGATCTTTGTAAAAACCGGTTTTGTATGTCAAGGAGGAGTTTAAGGCCTTTCCGACCACCTTGTGTTCCCCTTTTCTGCGCAGCCATGTATCACGTGGAGTTGCTCCTTACCACACCTCACGTGCCCCTGAGCCCTATTTCCTGATTTCTTCTGGGCTGGACTTCCCCGTTCTCCACCAGCAGCTCCAGTATCCCAAACTTTCTAGTCCTGCTGATCCTCCCAGCAACGGGGTGGAAACTGGAGGGCAGTGTCTGGTCTGTTTTCTAAGAAACTTATGAATTCTATTATCTTTACAAATATGAGAAAATTTTTTCAATATTTTTTATTAATCTTTTTATAAAATGAAAAGAAACTCCTATGATCGATTAAGGAAGGTGGTTATGGCTGGGTGGTTCAGGGGTTTTTTTGGGTTTCTTTTTTTTTTTCTTTGTCTTTTTAACCTTAAGCTGTTTAAGTTGAAGCATTCTCAGATGTTTGGGGGGAAACATCCTCTTAAAATGGGTCCTTGTGCTTGCCTTCTGGGGAGGCGGTCCTGAGCAGGTGAATCATAAGGCATTTATGCATATGTTATATGCGGACTGCACCCACCTCTCCCCCCCAGCCTTTGCCTCTTGCGTTGTTGTGCTGCTTTCCCCTTACTTTGCTACATTTCTATAGTTAAGTTGGTTTTACTTGAATGATTCATGTTTAGGGGGAAAATGAAAATCTCCCTTAAAATTTGTTTCAACTCCTCCTGCAAATAAAATAAATGAAGTGGCAGATGTAAACGGGTTCTGTTCATTGTCATCCTGAGTGTGTGTGTGTGTTGAGGGTGGTAGATAACTTCCCACGGCAGTTTCAGAAAACCTGAAAGACAAAGGGCCTGTGGGGCCTTGCGCAGGCTGCTGGAGTCCCAGACAGACACAGTCCTTCCTGGGAGGAGCATTGTGTACCTTGGACACCCCAGGAGAAACAGATTTTTTCCACTGGTGTCATAGGCAAGGACTTTGGCTTCCTTCATCATGGTGGTGGGGCAGGGATCAAGGGATGTGGTTAGTAGGCTCAGCCTTCTACCTGAAAGAGCCTATCCCACATGGACTGGCCATAGGGTGGGCCCTAACCTTCAGACTCCTGCCGGCTGGGGACTCAACTGTGAGCAGAAATCTTGGAAGCTGGTAAAATTCATTCTCCCGGCCTAACTCCCAGGGAAAACCTGGAGGTGTTTTCTGAAACCAAACTAGACCTCTGGCCCCAAAGCAGGGGTCTTTGCTGTGTCCTTCCTATATGGGGGTAGAGAGTGGGTACGGGGCCAGAGAGGAGTACGCCTTGAAGGAAAGCAGACTGGAAGTGTCCACTCAAAGCTATTGCTGGTACAAGGGCAGCCACTTCATTCACTCAAGGCCGGTTTAGAGCGGTTGCTACTTGCTGGGGGGCCCCACCCTGGTATGTGCCTCTCCCCACCTTTTCCCCTCAAGCCAAAAGCTTGTGAGCTGGGGAAGGGTGGGCCTGGAAAGGCTCTGTGCAAATTGTAGCTGGGAGCCTCCGGGCAAAAGCTGAGGGAAAGGGAGAGGCGGCTGGCCTAAAATTTAGGTGGGCGGAAGAACCTGTGACGGAGCTGTGACCGCTGCACAGGCCAGAGACCCTGGAGTCCTCCTCACCCCGGGGTTGGGGGCCGGACCTGCTGAGCCGGGCCGCCCCCTCTCCACACCCACTCCCAGCACCTGGCCCGACCTATCGGCTGGCGGCTACGCCTCCTTTACCCTACTGTCTTGCCTCAGGTCGCACCCTGCGCGGGCCCAGTACTCGGCCGTCAGAGGGAGCTGCCAGGCTCTGGAGGGCGCCCCGGAAACCATGGGTAAGTGCGGAGGCTTTGAGGTGGCCTCTCTCTGCAACCGTGGACATAGCAAGAGCCCACACCACCCCCCGACCCCCGCTGCCCTCTACGGTGCTTGGGGACACGCCCGCCCTAGCCAGGCTGCCCGGCTGGGCCTTTCTGAGCCGCACGCCGGCCCCGTCTTCCGCCCGCAGAAGTCCTCGTCCTGGCCGGATACCGCGCGCAGAAGGAGGACGAGCTGAGTCTGGCGCCCGGGGACGTGGTCCGGCAGGTGCGCTGGGTGCCCGCGCGGGGCTGGCTTCGCGGAGAGTTTGGGGGCCGCTATGGCCTCTTCCCCGAGCGCCTGGTGCAGGTGAGGCCGAGCCAGGGGCGGGCTGTGGGGTCTCAGCGCGCGCCCCCCGGGAGCTGAGAGCGCCTTCCCCGTGCCCTGATTCCCAGGAGATCCCAGAGACCCTGCGGGGCTCCGGAGAGGCGCGGAGGCCGCGCTGTGCGCGCCGCCGAGGTGAGCGCAAGGGCGGGGACGGGCGCCGGTGGGCGGGTGCACGGAGCCAGTGCGACCCCGGCGTCTCCGGCTCTTAGTGACGGGCGCGGCTCTGGGCGGGACCTCGGGGCCGCCCTGCGGTCTGTGATTGGTTCTCGAGTGCAATGCTCCGCCCTGGGGCGGGGCTGGAGGGACCAAAGGCTACGTGCGCGCCTTGCGCTTCCCCCAGCTCCTCTGACTGGGGCGTCCGACTGGAGCTCAGCCGCGCTTGTCCGGTGCTAGGTCATCCTGCCAAACACCCGAGGCCCCAAAGATGGTGCAAAGTGAACTTCAGCTACAGCCCAGAGCAGGCGGACGAGCTGAAGCTGCAAGCTGGGGAGATCGTGGAAATGATAAAGGAGGTGAGGGGTGAGGTGATGGGACCGTTTGGGGGAGGATGATGGAACGCGCCTCCCTAGTGAGCGGGGTGGGAAGTGAGGGTGTGGACGGTGGGAATGGCGACGGTGCAGATACGGGGAAGCGCGGGAGGGAAGGAGGGAGGAAGGGGCGCTTGGGCAGAACCAAGGGTGGCAGATTATCCTAGGGACTCTTGGGGCAGAACCAGACGCCTCTGCGTCCTCCCCTCTCCCCAGATTGAGGACGGCTGGTGGCTGGGGAAGAAGAACGGGCAGCTGGGAGCCTTCCCATCCAACTTTGTGGAATTGCTGGACAGTGGGCCCCCAAGTGAGACCTCGACTCTGTGACCCTGTGACTCGCAATCTCCAATGACCCTCCCAGTGGCATGAGCCTGTGATTCACATATCCTGACCCTGTGACCCCTCTGACCCTCTCCCATGACCTAACCTGTGAATTAGCACCCTCCCTAACCTCACTGTCCCCCACTAGGCCTTGGTAACCCAGACATGCCTTCAGTCAGCCCTGGTCCCCAGCGGCCTCCCAAGGTAAGTTGGCTCAGAGTAGGCACAGAGGTGGTGAGTTCCTCTTGGGGTGGTTGGAGGCTCATCTAGTTCCTCCCTGCCCCTTCCCCCACTAGCTGAGCAGCCTGGCCTATGACAGCCCTCCAGACTACCTGCAGACAGGTGAGCACCCATCCAAAGGGTCCCCCACTCCCTCAGCCACTCCCAAGGTTGTGACTTGGTGGGCCAGCTAGGCTGATGGAGGTGGGGGCTGCTGATGGATGGGGGAGGCTTGGCTTCAGAGGACAGTGGACTGACCTCTTCCCAGTCTCCCACCCTGAGGTCTACAGGGTCCTGTTTGACTACCAGCCTGAGGCCCCAGACGAGTTGGCGCTGCGGAGGGGGGACGTGGTAAAAGTACTCAGCAAGGTGTGAGACGAACAGGGTGGGGGGGCCCAGGGAAGCCGGTGTTGAGAAAGGGTAGACCTGCACATGTACCCCCTGAATCTAAAATAAACGTTGAAATTATATCCATAAGAAGGAGTGGGACCCCGGAAAGGACCTTGGGGGACCTGGCTCACCTCCCCACTGGCGTGTTTCTTTTCCAGACCACAGAGGATAAGGGCTGGTGGGAAGGAGAGTGTCAAGGACGAAGAGGAGTTTTTCCAGACAACTTTGTACTCCCACCACCCCCAGTGAGTACAGAGCCAAGACACTCAGGTGGCAGGGGCAGGCTATTTTGGACAAAGGTGGGGATCATGGGCACTCTCCGGACCTAGCTGGAGGGTCACTAAATGAGGGTGGACCTAGACATGTGGGGGCTCCTTTTGGATTCTAATACCGGTTGAGTATCGCTTATCCAAAAGGCTTGGGACCAGAAGTGTTTCGGATTTGGGAATTTTTGCATATACATGAGATAGCTGCCGGGTACGGTGGCTCACGCCTGTAATCCCAGCACTTTTGGGAGGCCGAGGCGGGTGGATCACAAAGTCAGGAGTTCAAGACTAGCCTGGCCAACATGGTGAAACCCCATCTTTACTAAAAATACAAAAATTAGCTGGGCGTGGTGGCATGCATGTGTAATCCCAGCTACTCAGGAGGCGGAGGTTGCAGTGAGCCGAGATTGTGCCATTGCACTCCAGCCTAGGCAACAAGAGCAAGACTCTATCTCAAAAAGAAAAAAAAAAAAAGATAGCTTGGGAATGGGACCCCAACCTAAACACGAAATTCATTTATGTTTCATATACACCTTAAGCCATAGCCTGAAGGTGATTTTGTGCAGTAGTTTTAATAATTTTGTGCATGAAACAAATTTTGACTGAGACCTGTCACATGAGTTAGGTCAGGTGTGGAATTTTCCACTTAAGGCGTTATGTTGGTACTCAGAAAGTTTCAGATTTTGGAGCATTTTAGATTTTTTTTTTTTTTTTCTTGAAGACAGAGTCTCGCTCTATTGCACAGACTAGAGTGCAGCGGCAGGATCGCCACTCACTGCAACCTCCCCCTCTCAGGTTCAAGCGACTCTCCTGCCTCAGCCTCCAGAGTAGCTGGGATTACACGTGCATGCCACCACATCCAGCTAATTTTTGTATTTTTAGTAGAGACGGGATTTTGCCATGTTGGCCAAGCTGGTCTCGAACTTCTGTCCTCAAGTGATCCACTCCCAAAGTGCTGGGATTATAGGTGTGAGCCACCACGCCTGGCCTGCATTTTGGATTTCTGATTTTTAGATTAAGGATGCTCAACCTTTACTTCTTTTCGGCATAGATCAAGAAGCTGGTCCCACGGAAAGTGGTATCTCGGGAATCAGGTGAGTGCCCGGGGAGCCTGGGATTGGGGGGTGTTCTCTGGGAGACCCACCAGTCCAGTTGCTTATAAACACCCACAGCACCCCAGTGGTCCAGTATGCCCCTATAGGAGCCCCCTCACCTGTGGGTCAAAAGCTGGGTAGGAATGTACGTGAATCAATGTGTGGGTCAGTTTGTGTGTGTGTTAATATGTCAGTGTTGCTCTGTGTGTCTTGAGAATGTGGCTATTGGTGGGTATAGATTTGTTTCATTTTGTAAGGAAACATATGAATATGTCTGTTCATATATAAGACTGTGTATGTTCATGTGTCTTATGTGTCAGTGAATAGCTCTCTGTGTGTCTGTGGGATGTCTTTTTATTTATCTTTTTTTATTTATTTTTTTGAGACGGAGTCTCACTCTGTCGCCCAGACTGGAGTGCAGTGGCTCAATCTCGGCTCACTGCAAGCTCCACCTCCTGGGTTCACACCATTCTTCTGCCTCAGCCTCCCAAGTAGCTGGGACTACAGGCGCCCGCCACCACGCTCAGCTAATTTTTTGTATTTTTAATAGAGACGGGGTTTCACCATGTTAGCCAGGATGGTCTCAATCTCCTGACCTCGTGATCCACCCGCCTCAGCCTCCCAAAGTGCTGGGACTACAAGCGTGAGCCACTGCGCCCAGCCTTATTTATCTTTTAATGTAATATTTGATACATGTCAAAAGTATATATAACACATATGTTATAAAATTTAACACCCACGGGCCAGGCACAGTGGTTCATGCCTGTAATCTCAGCACTTTGGGAGGCCAAGTCAAGTGGATCACCTGAGGTTAGGAGTTCAAGACCAGCCTGGCCAACATGGCAAAACCTTGTCTCTACTATAAAAATACAAAAATTAGCCAGGCGTGGTAGGCATGCCTGTAATCCCAGCTATTTGGGAGGCTGAGGCAGGAGAATCACTTGAACCAGGGAGGGGGAGGTTGCAGTGAGCTGAGATCATGCCACTGTATGCCAGCGTAGGTGAGAGTGAGACTCTGTCTCAAAAAAAAAAAAAAAATTAACACCCACGAACACCCATGGTATGTCACCTAAACCTAAGGACTAGAACATTGCCTGTTGTTTGTGTCCTCCTCCTCTTTCCTATTCTACCACTTCCCTCACCCCAAAGGTAACCACTGTCTTCAATTTTATGTTTATGGTTCCCCCAAGTTTTTAAGTTTTCTTACAAAAGTATGTGTCTAAACACTGTATCACTAAATTCATTTTTGTTTTTGAGCTTCATAAAAATGGTAGCATGTTTATAGTCTTCTGAGACTTGCTGTTTTTTTTGGTTTGTTTGTTTTTTTTTTTTTATGGAGACAGAGTCTCTCTCTGTTGCCCAGGCTGGAGTGCAGTGGCACAGTCTCCCCTCACTGCAACCTCTGCCTCCCAGGTTCAAGCGATTCTCCTGCCTCTGCCTCCCAAGTAGCTGGGACTACAGGCACCCACCACCATGCCCGGCTAATATTTTGTATTTTAGTAGAAACGGGGTTTCACTGTGTTGCCCAGGCTGGTCTTGAACTCCTGAGCTCAGGCAATCCGCTTGCCTTGGCCTCCCAAAGTGCTAGGATTACAAGCGTGAGCCACCGTGCCTGGCTGAGATTTGCTGTTTTTTGTTGTTATTGTTTGTTTGTTTGTTTGATTGTTTTTAGACGGAGTCTGCACTGTCGCCCAGGCTGGAATGCAGTGGCGCAATCTGGGCTCACTGCAAGCTCTGCCTCCCGGGTTCACGCCATTCTCCTGCCTCAGCCTCCCGAGTAGCTGGGACTACAGGCGCCTGCCATCACGCCCAGCTAATTTTTTGTATTTTTAGTAGAGATGGGGTTTCACCGTGTTAGCCAGGATGGTCTCAATCTCCTGACCTCACGATCCGCCCGCCTTGGCCTCCCAAAGTGCTGGGATTACAGGCATGAGCCATCGTGCCCGGCCTAAAACCTTTAAAATGTTGCTTTTTATATTAGTGCTTTTATTCATGTAGTAGTGATTTTAATGAGTGATACAATTATACCTTTTTCCCTATGGACAATGAGTTGTTCCAGCATCATTTATTATTTTCTACATGTGAGTTTTATACAATTTGGGGGGTTTCTTTTTTTTTTGAGAAAGGGTCATTGGGTCTTTGTTGCCCTGGTTAGAGTACAGTGGCAATTGTAGCTCATTGCAGCTTCAACCTCCTGGGCTTAAGCGATTCTTTCACCTCAGCCTCTCTTGTAGCTGGTACTACAGGTACAAGCCACCATGTGCAGCTAATCTTTTAATCTTTTTGTAGAGATGGGGTCTCACTGTGTTGCCCAGGCTGGTCTCGAACTCCTGGGCTCAAGCAATTCTCCTGTCTTGGCCTCCCAAAGTGCTGGGATTAGAGGTGTCAGCCACGGTGCCTGGCTTAGTTTTATACATAAAACTATAATTTTCTTTTTTTTTAAATTTTTTTTGAGACAGAGTCTTGCTTTGTCACTCAGGCTGGAGTGCAGTGGTGAGATCTCGGCTCACTGCAAGCTCCGCCTCCCGGGTTCATGCCATTCTGCTGCCTCAGCCTCCCGAGTTGCTGGGACTACAGACGCCCGCTACCACGCCCGGCTAATTTTTTGTATTTTTAGTAGAGACGGGTTTCACCATGTTAGCCAGGATGGTCTTGATCTCCTGACCTCATGATCCGTCCGCCTTGGCCTCCCAAAGTGCTGGGATTACAGGCGTGAGCCACCGCACACGGCCATAAGACCATAATTTTCATAAGATTTATTCCCAGATATTCTTAGGTATCTCAGAGTTTTTATTGTGTCTTTTAAAAAATAGACATTCTTCTGTTTATTGCAGGAATACAGAAATGCATTGATTTTTGTATATTGTTTTTATAGCCAGCCATGGTGCTAAACTCTGATTATTTCCAGCAATTCATTTGTAGGTTCTTACAAGTTTCCTGTGAAGACAGACATATCATTTGTGAATAATAATTTTTGTGTCATTCTCTTCACTCCTGCCTTTTAATTTCATTTTGTTAATTTATTGTAGTTATTAGGATCTCTCATACAATATTAAATAGAAGTAGTGATGGTGAACATCATTGTCATGTTCCTGATTTTGAATCTAGTTTTCCCTTTTCTTCTTTTTACTGTCTTTTGAGACAGAGTCGCATTCTGTCACCTAGGTTGGAGTGCAGTGGCGCGATCTCAGCTCACTGCAACCTCCATCTCCCGGGTTCAAGCAATTCTCCTGCTGCAGCCTCCCAAGTAGCTGGGACTACAGGTGTGCACCACCACATCCAGCTAAATTTTTTTGTATTTTTAGTAGAGACAGGGTTTCACCATGTTGGCCAGGCTGGTCTCGAACTCCTGACTTTGTGGTCTGCCCGGCTTGGCCTCCCAAAGTGCTGGGATTACAGATGTGAGCCACCACACCTGGCCTATCTGGTGGATCTTATATAAGATGGGAATGGGCCAGGCTTGGTGGCTTACGCCTGTAATCCCAGCACTTTGGGAGGCTGAGGCGGGTGGATCATGGGGTCAAGAGACGGAGACCATCTTGGCTAACACGGTGAAACCCCGTCTCTACTAAAAATACAAAAAATTAGCCAGGCATGGTGGCACATGCCTGTAGTCCCAGCTACTCGGGAAGCTGAGACAGGAGAATTGCTTGTTCACCCAGGAGGCAGAGGTTGCAGTGAGCCGAGATCGCGTCACTGCACTCCAGCCTGGGTGACAGAGTGAGACTCTGTCTCACAATAAATAAATAAATAAATAAATAAATAAGATGGGAATCATCTTTCCTTGCAAGCTGGTAAAACTTGTCTGTAAATTCATCTTGCCATATTTTTTTTCATTATGGGATTATTTTAAACAACTTCTTCAATTTCTTTAATAGTTAAAGAAAAGTCAGGGTAAAATTCTTGAATCAATTGTGGAGTTACGTGTTTTTAACTATTTTATGTAAGTTTTCTAATTATTTGCATAAAGTTGTTCATAGTATACTCTTTTATTTTGGAGAGACAGGGTCTTGCTGTGTTGCCTAGGCTGGAGTGTGGTGGCACAATGGGAGCTCACAGCAGCCTCAAACCTCAAGTGATCCTCCCACTTCAGCCTCCCGAGTAGCTAGGACTATAGGTGTGCACCACCACACCTGGCTAGTTTTTAAGTTTATTGTAAAGAAAAGGTCTTGCTATGTTGCCCAGGCTGATATTGAACTCCTGTGCTCAAGTGATCCTCCTGCCTTGGCCTCCCAAAATACTGGGATTACAGTTGTGAGGCACTTCACTCAGCTGTTTTTGTTATCTTTTTAATGACAACTGTCCTAGTGGGTATGAAGTGGTATCTCATTGTGGCTTTGATTTGCATTTCTCTGATGGCTAATGATGCTGAACATATTTTCTTTTTTTTTTTTTTTTTTTTGAGACGGAGTCTCGCTCTGTCACCCAGGCTGGAGTGCAGTGGTGCGATCTTGGCTCACTGCAAGCTCTGCCTCCCGGGTTCACGCCATTCTCCTGCCTCAGCCTCTCCGAGTAGCTGGGACTACAGGCGCCCGCCACCACACCCAGCTAATTTTTTGTATTTTTAGTAGAGACGGGGTTTCACTGTGTTAGCCAGGATGGTCTCGATCTCCTGACCTCGTGATTCACCCGCTTTGGCCTCCCAAAGTGCTGGGATTACAAGCGTGAGCCACCGCGCCCGGCCCGATGCTGAGCATATTTTCATGTGCTTATTTCTTTTGGAGAAATGTCTGTTTGGATCCTTTGCCCATTTAAAAAATTGGATTATTTGTCTTTTTACTATTGAGGAAGAGTTCTCTATATATTCTAGATAAAAGTCCCTAATCATATATATGCGTATATATATATATGGTTTGCAATATTTTCTCCCATTCTTTTTTTTTTTTTTTTAGTCTTGCTCTGTCACCCAGGCTGGAGTGCAGTGGCATGATCTCAGCTCACTGTAACCTCTGCCTCCTGGGTTCAAGCGATTTTCCTGCCTCAGCCTCCCAAGTAGCTAGGATGACAGGCGTGCGCCACCACACCCGGCTAATTTTTTGTATTTTTAGTAGAGATGGGGTTTTGCCATGTTTCCCAGGTGGTCTTGAACTCCTGACCTTGTGATCCACCCACCTCGGCCTCCCAAAGTTTTTCTCTCATTCTTTAGGTTGTCTTTTCACTTTCTTCGATGGTGTCCCTTGATGTACAAAAGTTTTAAATTTTGATGAAGTCCCATTTATCTATTTTTTTGGTTGGCTGTGCTTTTGAACCAATGTCAAATCCCAAGATTACACTCCAAATTGAGCTGCCTTCAACTTAGCCAGTTAAGCTGCTGATCCTCACAGTTTGCCCTACCCTGCAGAACATCCATGTGGACCAAGCTGAGGGGCCTGGGATGAAAACGGCCCTAGGCAAGAACATTATCAAGCATACAAAATGCTCTGCAAATTATCCCAGCACTTTGGGAGGCTGAGGCGGGCAGATTGCTTGAGGTCAGGAGTTTGAGAACAGCCTGACCAGCATGGCGAAACCCTGTCTCTACCAAAAAATACAAAAATTAGCAGGGCGTGGTGGCGGGCACCTGTCATCCCAACTATCTGGGAGGCTGAGGCACAAGAATCGCTTGAACCTGTGAGGTGGAGGTTGTAGTGAGCCAAGATCACGCCACTGCACTCCAGCCTAGGTGACAGAGCGAGACTCTGTCTCAAAAAAAAAAATCCTTCGCAAATTATCTCATGCCTTTGGATAATTTCCAGAGCATTGAAATGGTTGTTGGATTTTTCTTTTTCTTTTGCGGGGGGAAGGAGTCTCGCTCTGTCTCCCAGGCTGGAGTGTAATGGCATGATCTCAGCTCACTGCAACCCCTGCCTCCTGGGTTCAAGCGATTCTCCCGCCTTAGCCTTCTGAGTAGCTGGGATTACAGGCACCCAACATCATGCCCGGCTAATTTTTTTATTTTTGTAGAGAGGGGGTTTCACCATGTTGGCCAGGCTGGTCTCGAACTCCTGACCTCAGGTGATCCGCCCACCTCGGCCTCCCAAAGTGCTGGGATTACAGGCGTGAACCACTGCACCCGGCCTGTTGGATCATTTTTGTCCAGCTTCATAGTTGCCTTGTGAAGAGAGGATTTGTCCACCACCTCATTCAGCCAGAGCCAAATCCTGCTTCTGTCATTCCTCCCTCCTAACATTGCTGTCACGCTGTTCATTCCTTGTCTCACTGCACCTCTAGTTTACAAATTCTCTAGCCTTTTGGCTCTGTTTACTCTGCTCTGTAACCCTGTACCAGTAACATAAGCAATATACATGTAAATAAGTGGATTTATGTTGCATTTCTTTTTCAAGAATGCTATTTTTCATCTCTAGTAATTCCATTTTCTGTGTGATAATTTTCCAAACCTGCATGGTTATTCCTGATTGTCCTTTGTTGCATGCACATCCTGAACTTCTTCAAATGTTTTATACGTATCTATGCAGTGTTCTCTACCTGACAGTTCCACTATCTGTTGTGTGTTGTGTCTGCTGACTCCATTCTTGGTGACCTGCCCTCTAGCGTGTTTTATGACCTTTATTTATGAGCTGATAGCTGGATTTTAATCTGTGGGACTCTTGCAGGCCTTAGTAGAAGAAGACTTCTTCCAGCGAGAATTTGCTTTTATTTTTTGTTTTGTTTTGTTTTGTTTTGAGATGAAGTCTCGCTCTGTCGCCTAGGCTGGAGTGCAATGATGCGATCTCAGCTCACTGCAACCTCCTCCTTCCGGGTTCAAGCAATTCTCGTGCTTCAGCCTCCCCAGTAGCTGGGATTACAGGCACGCGCCACCACGCCTGGCTAATTTTTGTAGTTTTAGTAGAGATGAGGTTTCACCATGTTGGCCAGGCTGGTCTCGAACTCCTGACCTCAGGTGATCCACTTGCCTCGGTCTCCCAAAGTGTTGGGATTACAGGCGTGAGCCACCGCGCCTGGCCGAGAATTTGCTTTTACTTCTCCCAGTAGCCAGAGAACACCACCCACCAGAAGCTGCTTCGGTCCTCCTGAAGAAAGGTAGCACTGCTGTGTGGTACTGAGCTTGGGGCCTGTGGTGAGGTGAGGGAGCAGAGCCCAAGGCCCTGGCTTCACATCACAGGGCCCAGGCTCAGTAGCCACAGAGCAGAGCTGCCCTCCCTCCCTCCGCCTTTCTGGCTTCAGTTCTCTCTCTTTTTTTTTTTTTTTTTGGAGACTGAGTTTTGCTCTTGTTACCCAGGCTGGAGTGCAATGGCGTGATTTGGCTCACTGCAATCTCCGCCTCCCAGGTTCAAGTGATTCTCCTGCCTCAGCCCCCCACGTAGCTGGGACTGAAAGCACTGGGATTACAGGCGTGAGCCACTGGGAGTGCTGGGATTACAGGTGTGAGCCACTGCACCCAGTCCAGTCCTCTCTTTTGTAGACCTCCTTTACCTCTTTTAAGTCCAATGGTGCCTCAAAATTGTGTCCTCAGCAGGATATAATTGCTTCCTAGTGGGAGCACCCTACAGAGCACCTAATCAGCCATACTGTAAGAATGTAAGAAGTCAAAGTTAACATTTACTGAGCTTTGACCATCTGGCTGCCAAACAGTCTTCTAAGCACCTCGCATGTATTAAGTCACTCAGACCTCACAACCACCCTACAAGGTGTGTGTTAGTTGTCCATGTTTTATGAATGAGGACATTGAGGCATAGATCACTTAGCAAGTTCTCATACAACTAGCAAGGAGTGGAGCTGAAATTCAGAGCCTGGTGTCTGGCTGTGGGATCCATGCCCCCAACCACTGTCAGATTTGTGGATTTGTATACGTATCTGCGTGTGATTATATGTAGGAGTTAACATCAGCACTTGTGCACATGCCAGAGTGGCTGTTTTTCTATGGATCTGAATGTCACTGTGTGTAACTGCCTTCAAGTGATGCTGATGTCACCTTAGTGTGCCCTTCTCTGGCCACCCCATTTAAAATGGTTCCTTCCTCTGCCTAGTGTTTTTTTGTTTTGTTTTTTTGAGACGGAGTTTAACTCTTGTCGCCCAGGCTGGAGTCCAGTGGCGCGATCTTGGCTCACTGTAACCTCTGCCCTCCCAGGTTCAAGCGATTTTCCTGCCTCAGCCTCCGGAGTAGCTGGGATTACAGGCGCACGCCACCATGCCTGGCTAATTTTTGTATTTTTAGTAGAGACGGGGTTTCACCATGTTGACCAGGCTGGTCCTGAACTCCTGACCTCAAGTGATCTGCCTACCTTGGACTCTCAAAGTGCCGGGATTACAGGTGTGGGCCACCGCGCCTAGCCCCTTCTGCCTAGTCTTGTCAGTCACGCTTAATAACTCTCTAACACACTATGTATTTTACTCCTTGTATTTATATCTGCTTCCCCAATAGAACACAAGTTCAGTCTGGCTGCTGTGGGAAGAACACACTCTAGGTGGGATGGGTACAGCCAAATCCCAGGTTGGAGGCTGTTGGAATGTCCAGGTGAAGGTGGTGGTGACTTGATCTAGAGCACTTAGTGGTGGAGGTGGTGACAAGTGATTGACTTCAGGAAATATTTGGACAGTAGTGTGGACAGGATTTGCTGATGGTTTGGATGTGTCTCATAAGGAAATAAAAGGAGTCATTTGTCATCCAAACAAGTGGGTAAATGAGCCAGATGGGGACTGTGGGGAAAGGGGTAGGTTCAAGGGGCATGGGTTTGGGAAGCAAGAGATTGGTTTGGGATATGTTAAGAGTGTGATGCCCATCAGCTCTCCAAGTGTAAATATTGAGAGGGAAGTCAGATATGAGTCTGGAGTCAGAGAGGAAGGAGCTAGAGATGAAAATTTGGGAGTCATTGACTTATTGATGAAAATTAAACCCATAAGACTGGGTGAGATCTCTTAGAGAGTAAATGAGAGAGAATATAAAGAATTCTGAGAGTGGGCTGGGCGCGATGGCTCACACCTGTAATGCCAGCACTTTGGGAGGCCTGAGGCAGGCTGGGTCACTTGAGGTCAGGAGTTCGAGACCAGCCTGGCCAACATGGTGAAACCCCGTCTCTACTAAAAATACAAAAATTGGCCGGGCGCAGTGGCTCACACCTGTAATCCCAGCACTTTGGGAGGCCAAGGCAGGTGGATCACGAGATCAGGAGATGAGACCATCATGGCTAACACGGTGAAACCCCATCTCTACTAAAAATACAAAAAGAAATTAGCCGGGTGTGGTGGAGGGCACCTGTAGTCTCAGCTATTCGGGAGGCTGAGGCAGAAGAATGGCGTGAACCAGGGAGGCAGAGCTTGCAGTGAGCCGAGATCGCACCACTGGGCGACAGAAGCAAGACTCCATCTCAAATAATAATAATAATAATAATAATAATAATAATAATAATAATACAAAAATTAGCCGGGTGCAGTGGCGCATAGTCAAACAAGATTAACCTCCTGCCCATAGTCCCCTGCACACAGCACAAGACAGGGCTAGCGACTGTCAGATGGATGAGTGCTCCACTCCTCTCTTCCCAGCTCCTATTAAGGAACCAAAAAAGTTGATGCCCAAAACATCCCTCCCCACAGTCA
This sequence comes from Homo sapiens, assembly GCF_000001405.40. Taxonomy (NCBI): domain Eukaryota; kingdom Metazoa; phylum Chordata; class Mammalia; order Primates; family Hominidae; genus Homo; species Homo sapiens. The sequence goes on from NC_000001.11 coordinate 36,319,125, forward strand.
AGAAGCTAGCAACAGCCACCACTGGGCCCAGCAAAGCCAAGTAAGGAGCAGGATGGGGTTGGGGGAAGGAGGAGGGTAGGAGGCAACGCCCCTCCCTGTGCCCCACCCTGAGGGCCTGATGAAGATATGTTCCAGGACATCTCGGACACCCAGCAGGGACAGTCAGAAGCTCACCTCCCGAGACTCAGGCAAGGGCTGCCTTCCTCCAGTGCGGGGAGGACTGGAGGACAGGGATGGGGTGGCTGTGCGGAGGGACAGAGGTGGGAAGAGACTGAGGGTCAGAGTAGGCTTGGGTCCCTGAGGTTCTGCTCTCTTAGGCCCCAATGGTGGCTTCCAAAGTGGGGGTTCGTATCACCCTGGCCGAAAGCGATCCAAAACCCAGACTCCCCAGCAACGCTCTGTGTCCAGTCAGGTGAGGGGCGGGAGACATGGGAGAGTGGGGATGCTGGGCAGAGGCTGGTTCCCAGCTGTGGTGTGCACGGGTGAAGTCTCCCAGGCCAAGGGGAACCAGACTCAACCTCAGCTGAGACTTCACCTCCCATCACGGCAGGAGGAAGAGCACAGCAGCCCGGTAAAGGCCCCCTCTGTGAAGAGAACCCCCATGCCGGACAAGACTGCCACCCCAGAGAGGCCCCCAGCTCCAGAGAACGCCCCCAGCTCCAAGAAGATCCCGGCTCCTGACAAAGTCCCCTCCCCAGAGAAGACCCTCACTCTAGGGGACAAGGCCTCTATCCCAGGGAACTCCACCTCGGGGAAGATCCCAGCTCCTGACAAAGTCCCCACCCCAGAGAAGATGGTGACTCCGGAGGACAAGGCTTCTATCCCAGAGAACTCCATCATCCCAGAGGAGACCCTGACTGTGGACAAACCCTCCACTCCAGAGAGGGTCTTTTCAGTGGAAGAGTCCCCTGCCCTAGAAGCCCCACCTATGGATAAAGTCCCTAATCCAAAGATGGCCCCTCTGGGGGATGAGGCCCCCACTCTAGAAAAGGTCTTGACCCCAGAGCTTTCTGAAGAAGAGGTGTCCACCAGAGATGACATTCAATTCCATCACTTCTCTTCGGAGGAAGCCCTGCAGAAGGTCAAGTACTTTGTAGCCAAAGAGGATCCATCATCCCAGGAGGAGGCCCACACGCCAGAGGCACCCCCACCCCAGCCTCCTTCCTCAGAGAGGTGCCTGGGAGAGATGAAATGTACCCTAGTTAGAGGGGACAGCTCCCCACGCCAGGCTGAGTTGAAGTCTGGGCCAGCATCCAGGCCTGCCCTTGAGAAGCCCCACCCCCACGAAGAGGCTACAACCCTTCCAGAGGAGGCACCTTCCAATGACGAGAGGACCCCTGAAGAGGAGGCGCCCCCCAACGAGCAGAGGCCTCTGAGAGAGGAGGTGCTCCCCAAAGAGGGAGTGGCTTCCAAAGAGGAGGTGACCCTGAAAGAGGAATTGCCCCCTAAAGAGGAAGTGGCTCCAAAAGAGGAGGTGCCCCCCATAGAAAGAGCCTTTGCCCAAAAAACACGTCCTATCAAGCCGCCTCCAGACTCCCAAGAGACGCTCGCGCTCCCCTCGCTGGTCCCGCAAAACTACACGGAAAACAAGAATGAAGGAGTTGATGTAACGTCGCTGAGGGGCGAGGTGGAGTCTCTAAGGAGGGCGCTGGAGCTGATGGAGGTGCAGCTGGAGTGAGTGGGCAGTGGCGGGGGTTGTGGAAGGTAGGGTTCCCCCTAGCCCTCACCTGCGCAGCCCCTCACCTCCAGCCCTCACCTGCCCAGCCCCTCACCTCCGCCTCGGCCCGCAGGAGGAAGCTGACCGACATCTGGGAGGAGCTGAAGAGCGAGAAGGAGCAGCGCCGGCGGCTGGAGGTGAGGCGCGGGTCCCGGCGGGAGGGGGCTGACGGCGAGTGGCCCCCTGACAAAGTCTCCACCTCACTCCCGACCAGGTCCAGGTGATGCAGGGGACCCAGAAGTCCCAGACCCCGCGCGTCATCCACACGCAGACGCAGACCTACTGAGGGTGGGCCTGGGAAGGGACCGCGGCCTGACCTGGCTGGGGCCACCCACGTCCTTGCACACGACTTTGGGAAACGCGAGAAAGTAAACTCTGCCTAGCACGGCGCCACGCCGGTCTGGTCGCTGGGGGCGGGGCCTGCGCGGGGGCAGGGCCTGGGCCTCCGCATTCCTGACGGTCCCTCCCAGGCACATCTGGCCAACATGTGGCTCCCATTACCGTTCCCAAGGCCTGCGCGCGGCTATTTTTATCCACCGGATGGTGAGGGGCGGGGGAGGGTGTCTCCTTCGGACTCCAGCCGCGCACTGGAGAAATGGCGGGCAGGAGGGGCCCAGGCGGGGTCGGGCTCTTGACGCCCGGCCTAGATTCCGGAATCCAGCTGTGCGCCGGGGAGGAGCCGGGCGGGCCTTCTCGCCAGCTCGGACCCCTCCCAGCTGGCCTCCCTGTCCGCTCAGAGGGACTCCTGCCCTCTCGCTTGAACGCACCTCGGCGCAGACGTGAAGTCCACCGTCCAGCCCAAGCACGCATGCTTACACCGGGGCTAGCAGCACCTTAGCCTCGAGGTCAGGGTCCTGAGGCCTGGTGTGTGTGTCATTGCAGTGTATGAACCCAGGGCACTGTGGGGACAGGGCGACGTGTGTCCAGGCGTTTGCCGGTAAGGAATGCGTTTTGAATAAGGAATGCGCGCGCGCTTGCTCTGTGTGTGAGGCTGGGTGCAGGCCTGTGGGCTTCTGCTTTTCTGCTGGCTGTGAAGTGAATGCGGGCAGGTGTGCTGTATCGTCGGGTTGGTGGGTGGGGGTGGTGCAGCTAGGGTAAGGGAGTCAAGCTGGGCCTCAGTCCTGGGGCCCCTGCGTGGCAGGAGCCTGGGGGTCGCTGGGGGCAGGAGTAACAGAGGGAGAGACTGAGTCACTGAGAATGCAGCTTTCTTTCATTTGGTCACTTCACCTCTTCATCGACCCCAGAGAGGGAGTGGGGACCCTGCATGCTGCCCCCTCCCCGCCCCCGGGGTCTTCTGGCAGGACTGGGGAAGGGAGCCTCTCAGGGGGTGGCGGTCCACGCCCAGTAGCACCTGGGAGCTGTGGGGGCCGAGGCAGTCCGAAGGTGTGGGGTAGCTCTGAGCTCATGTGCAGGTCCGGTACCCCGAGCGCCTTGCAGCGGGAGCCGGGGCCCATCAGTAATAGTGCATGCGGCCCAGGGTGCCCGTGGCCGTGGGGCTGGGCCCCAGCGTGCCTGTGCCCAGCAGGTCCGGCTGCCCGGTGCGCCAGATCTCCCGCAGGATCCGTTCGCGCTCCTCCAGCCGCTGCGCCCGCTCCAGCTCCTCCGCCGACGTGAAGACGTTGACGTTGAGGGGCCCGTCCGGCTCTGCGGACAGCTCGGGGCCCGGCAGCGTGTCGTCGGGGCCCAGCCGAGTCACCGTGTCCTCCTCGTCCTCGTCGTCGTCCTCGGGCTCCAGGGTGCTGCTGCGGGGGTCCCGGCGCTGAGCCGGGCCCCGGGGCCGCGGGCGGGGCGCCCACGAGATGCTGATGACGAGCAGGCAGAGGGTGAGCAGCAGGCCGAAGCAGACGCCCAGCACGAAGTAGAGGCCGAAGCTCTCGGGGTTGGCTGCGGGGCACAGGGCGGGGGTCACGGAGAGGCCCGGACGGGTGGGGGTTGTCCCACTTCCGAAAGACCCCAGGTTCTAGGTGTGGGGGCGAGGCCTGTAACCCCTACTCGAAGGGCATTAGGGAACCGCCAGCGGGCAAGAGGGCGGGGAGCGGGGCGGAGGGGACGGACAAGGCGCTGGGGAGGGAAGGGGATGGTGGTCAGGGAAGGGTTCAGGCCCCCAGTCTTCCGGCGCCCGCCCTCACCGCGGATGTGCGCGTAGGCAGCCAGGCTGTTGCTGAGCAACTCCATGTCCCTTCGCGGGGCATCCATGCTGCTCTGGGGGGCAGCTCCCCTACCAGCCTGCGAGGTCAGCAAAGTCAGATCCTTCTCCCAGCCTGGAGCCCACCCCGACCCCTTCCGCGGGCAGCTCCTCTCCCGGGAGCCGCGGGCCCAGGTTCCACCCTGGAGAGAGCGCTTCCCTAACTTCGTGGCGGCCCGGGGCCCTGTCGGGGGGAACCCCTCTCCCGGGCGCGGACGCCCCTCCAGTCCTGGGAGCAGCGCCGGGGACCGCGGGAGGCCCCGCCCCCTGGTGAGGTCCCCAGCTGAGGCCCGGTTCCGCCGTCCCGGGGCGGGATGGAGGATAGGGACGCTGAGCCTCCACGCCCCAGGCGGGCTCCGGGAAGGGAAGCTGCCTCTCTCCTCGCCCGGCCGCCCCGCGGGGACCCACCGGCCCGGGGCCAGGCCCACTCACCGTCAGCGCCCCGCTTCCCGGCTGCCCGGCCCCAGCGCGTCCCGCGGCCGCATACACTGGGTCCGGCCGCCCCCGCCCGCTCGGGTCCCGCCGCCCCTCCGGCCCCGCTGGGCTCCCAGGCCGCGGCAGCACGGGCGGGACACGGACCGAGGGACCAGCCGGCGGAAAGTTTCCTCCGAGGAAAGAGGAGGGACGGGGCGGGGCGGGGCGGGCGGGGAGGCGGGGAGGAAAAGGGCTGGGAGAGGAAGGGGAGAGGAGCGGGCAGCCGGGAGGAGGGAGAGCCCGGCCCGCGGGCCGTCCGTCCCCCACAGGAAACCGCCGGGGAGGCCGCGGCAGGGACCCGCCCCCAGGCCACTAACAGCAACAACAGAGAGGCTGGAGCTCTGCCTGCGTGCGGGCCAAGGGCTAAACCTTGGACAGGTTCTTTCACTTACTCCGCCTGACAACCCTGCGACGTGATACCATTATCCCCACTTCGCAGATCAAATAAACGGAGTCTTGGAGAGATTGAATTGACTTTACCAAAACCGTCAGGATTTGAATCTGCTGCTCTCTGATCCTAAAGCCTGAGCTAGAAACCACCGCTCCCCCTCCTAGGAGGCCCCTTCCAGGCAAAGCTGCTTCTCTTCCCCAGACCCATGCTGGACTGGAAGGGAGGGGACTGTCCACCCCTCCTTCCAGGGCCCAGGCTTGAATGTGTCCCCTGGCCGAGCTCTGGTCTAGTCACGCAGGGTTAATGATTGTTGGACTCCAGCTTTGAGCCAGGGCCCGGCCAGCAGTCTCGCAGACCCCAGCGTGGGGCCTCTGTGCCTGCGAGCTCCTGCGCTCTTGTGCACCAAGCAGCTTGTGGCGGCTTGTGGCAGATCCCACCCCATCCCGTCCCCCACCCCAAGGCTAAACCTGCCTGTGCTCACACACGCATTTCCCACCTGGGCTTGTGCATGCAATGTGGTGTGTGATCAGTGTGTGTGGCGGGGGGCTTCCTTCTGCCCTGTCTCCACGGGGCCCCCCCATCATGGACCTCCCCTCCCTTGCTGGAGCTAGAATGAGGGGGAGGCCGCCTTGGCGGGAGCCTTAGAGAGGAGGAGGAAAGGGGGAGAGGAAATTGCAGACATAGCTGAAGGCGCTGCCTGAGGCCTGTGGGCCAGCGACCCTCTCCCTGTCCGGGCTGCAGACCCCTACTCCCCCAGTCCCGAGACTGGGTTCAAGTAGAGGGCAGATCTAGATGGGGGAGGACTAGGACTGACTCCTATGGGGATGGAAAAGGGACTCCTGGGTGTCTTTGTGACTGTTTAGTGTGTTCTGTGAATGTGCGGGCAGGTATTTTTGCCCACATCTGTATATTTGTCTATTAATGTGATGTATTTGAGTATTGTTGTGGGGGCGGGTATGTCTGTATATAAATCTGTGCAGCCACTAGTCAACAAATACTGTGTATGCCTAGCACTTCCTAGTCTAGTCCACAGCATCTGTGGGTTTAACCAACTTTGCATCAAAAATATTCAAAACCAAAATTGCATCTGTGCTGAACATGTACAGACTTTTTTTCTTATCATTATTTCCTAAACAATAGATATATTTAATTTTTTTTCTTTGAGACAGGGTCTCACTCTGTCACCCAGGCTGGAGTACAGAGGTGCTATCTCAGCTCATTCACAACCTTTACCTCCTGGGCTCAAGTGAGCCTCCCATCTCATTCTCCCAAGTAGCTGGGAGGGACCACAGGCGTGCACCACCATGCCTGGCTAATTTTTGTAGAGATGGGGTTTTGCCATGTTGCCCAGGCTGGTCTTGAACTCCTGGGCTCAAGTGATCCACCCACCTCAGCCTCCCAAAGTGCTGGGATTACAAGTGTGAGCCATCATGCCGGCCAATAGTGTATTTTCATAGCGGTTACATTATATTAGATATTATAAGTAATCAAGAGATGATTTAAAGTATACAGGAGGATGTGTATAGGTTAAATGCAAATACTGAACCAATTTATTTTACATCAAGGACTTGAGGATCCTTGGATTTTGGTGTCTATGGGAGGGAGGTCATGGAGCCAATCCCCTGAGAATACTGAGGGACAGTTTTTTTTTTGTTGTTTGTTTTTGTTTTTGAGACGGAGTCTCGCTCTGTCACCCAGGCTGGAGTGCAGTGGCGCGATCTCGGCTCACTGCAAGCTCTGCCTCCCAGGTTCATGCCATTCTCCTGCCTCAGCTTCCCAAGTAGCTGGGACTACAGGCGCCTGCCACCACGCCTGGCTAATTTTTTGTATTTTTAGTAGAGACCGGGTTTCACCATGTTAGCCAGGATGGTCTCGATCTGCTGACCTCGTGATCCACCTGCCTTGACCTCCCAAAGTGCAGGGATTACGGGCGTGAGCCACCGCGCCCAGCCCTGAGGAATAGTTTTAATGGGGATTTAACAATAAACAGAACAGACACAAATCCTTGCCCTCATGGAGCTGACACTAAATTGGAGAAACAATAGAAGATAATCTCAGATGCTTCTAAGTGCTGGGGGGCATGACAGGATAGGGTAATGCGATGGACAACACCTGGGAGTGGCTCTCACAGGGACATCCACAGTGAGACCTGAATCCTAAGGAGGAGGCAGCTGTGCCAGGATCTGGGGAGAGTGTCTGGGCAGGAGTAAGAACATGCTTGGGATACCTCCCTCCAAGGGAAGAAAGCCACGCAGATGGTGTGTGGGTGCAGGGGAGAGTGGCAGGGGCTGCCCGTGCAGGGACTCGATGGCCTTGTTGATGAGCTTTTTCTTTCTTTCTTTCTTTTTTTTTTTTTTGAGACGGAGTTTCACTCTTGTTGCCCAGGCTGGAGTACAAAGGCGCGATCTCTGCTCACTGCAACCTCTGTCTCCCGGATTCGAGTGATTCTCCTGCCTCAGCCTCCCGAGTAGCTGGGATTACAGGCATGCACAACCACACCCTGCTAATTTTGTATTTTTAGTAGAGATGGGGTTTCTCCATGTTGGTCAGGCTGGTCTCGAACTTCTGACCTCAGGTGATCTGCCCACCTTGGCCTCCAAAGTGCTGGAATTACAGGTGTGAGCCACCGTGCCCGGCCAGGAGCTTGGTTTTTAATGTAAGTGTGGTGGGGAGCTCCTGGAGCGTTGAGCAGGGGAGTGTCATGGCCCTGTGACACATTTTGGAAAGATCCCTGTGGTGGCTCAGTGTAGGGTGGGCCACTGTGGGCAAGAAGGGGAGCAGGGAGGGTGGTGAGTAGGCTGGCAGCTGTCCAAGCCAGTGAGGGCGGGGCCGGTGGAGAGGCGAGAGGGCTCAGACTCAGGTGGTGTTCTGAAGGGAGTTCCTGCACTGGACTTGAATGTGAGGGAGAGAGGAGTTTAGAACACTTTCATACTGGGCTGGGGCACCTGAGGAAAGCCCATGTGGGGAAGCAGGTTTGGGGGTAGTCAGTTTCACTGTAGATAGGTTAGACTTGAAATGTCCATTAGATATCCAGGTGCAGGTGTTGGCAATGCAAGTAGAACCCCCAGGAATCTGGCTGAAAATGATATTTGAGAGTCCTTACCACATAAGATGGATTTACCACCCCAGAAGTGGATGAGACCGAACATCTGGGGTAAGGGGGCAGAGAGAGAAGGGTCTGAAGCTCGAGCCCATTGAGGGGTCTCCTGGAGGTGAAGTCAGCAAGGAGAACCAGGCCAGAACAGGGATGTGATCAGCCATGTGTGATTGGGCTGAGAGGTGAAGATGAGGCCAGAATTTGCCCACTGCCTTGGCCGAGATTTGAAGACCATCAGCAATATTGAGTTTCTGTGGGTTGTATTCCTGTTTCTTCAAGGGGTGTATGTCAGTGACTGTTTGCACAGGTAGCTTATTTATGTGCAGCATTGCTGGGAGTGCATGAGCATGTTTAATGCCTGCCATCCACGGGAATATCGGTGTGTGCTACAGTGTGCTTGTATGACTACGTGTGTTGTGTGCCTCAGTGCCTCAGTTCATGTGGCACAGACCTGTGTCTGTGAGAGTCCACATGTGTGCTCCTCTATGTGCAGTCTAAAATTTTGGATCTGTTTCTGTCAAGCTGTTTCCATGCACCTCTGTGCTACGCAGCTCTCTGTATCTCTGCCTGCAGGCAAAAGTATGTTTGTGTCTGGGTTGGTATGTGACATATGTGTTTGGAGTGGGTCAGGTATGACTCAGCCCTAGTGGAGCAGGATGAGGGTTGAGATGATGGTTGCTGGTTGCTTCAGAGAGAGGGACGCACATTAACCAGAGTGCTGTCTTCTCCAGGGGCTTGCCGTGGCCAAGCCAGGCCAGGTGGGAGAAGCGGCAGCCTTGCCCTGGAGGGTTTTGAGAAGCACTGCTCCTGGAGGCCCTGGGGAAGGTCCCTGAAACCTTTGGCCAATGTGGCTGTCCCCATGGTCCACATGCCCTCCCCACCCCCTGCCTAGCTGCTTGACTGCCTGCTGCTCCCCAGCCCACCAGCCTGTCCGTGGGTCAGCCCAGCCACCCGCTTCGGATCTCTGCACGTGTGTCACCTGCTGTTCTGGCCCTCATCCCAACTATCCACCTGCCCATCTCCTCCCTACCTCCTCGCTGCCTATCTGCCCAGGACTTATCTGCTGTCTGCTCACCTGCCTGCTTGTTGACTGCTTCTCTGCCCTCCTATCTGCCTGTGAGACTAGAGATTTGTCACCTTGGAAAGCACGGAGAGTACTGCTAAGATGAAACACAGGAAGGACAGGCCTTGATGGAAGGTTGGGGGGCCGAGAGATCCAGAGCCTATGGGAGGGGACTTGTGAGTGCTGGCATATTCAGGACCCAGTGCAAACCCAAGCACAGCTCTGCTCCCGGCCCCAGTGGCCAAACTGAAGGCTTGCCCTGGCTATTCTGCCGTTGACATGGGCCTCACCCTACCACGGGGATAGGTCTTGGATGGAGGGAAGAGGGAGACTCACCGGGGGCCTCCTGAGTCCTTTGAGTGTCCCCATGACCCCAGCACCTGGGACAGCTGCTGGAAAGAGGGTACTGGCAAAAATTTGCTAAATGGACAATCATAGGCCCAGTGTGGTGGCTCACGTCTGTAATCCCAGCACTTTGGGAGGCCGAGGTGTGCAGATCACTGAAGTCCAGGAGTTTGAGACCAGCCTGGGCAACATGGCGAAACCCCATTTCTACAGAAAACTACAAAAATTAGCTGGACACGGTAGCACACACCTATAGTTCCTGCTACTCAGGAGGCTAAGGTGGGAGGATCGCTTGAGCCCAGGAGATCAAGGCTATGGTGAGCCGTGATCGTGCCACTGTACTCCAGCCTGGATGACAGAGGAAGACCCTGTCTCAAAACAAACAAAACAACAGCAACAACAAGAAAACAATAATAGGGACATTGAGTACCCTTTCTGGCACCTGGCACTCTGCCAAATGCTATGCACACTCCGCCCTTCAGTCTTCCCAGGAACCCTGTGCAGTTTGTAGCGTGGCTCACATTTGCCAAGAAGGAAGTGAGGCTCAGCGAGGTTAAGCAGTGCCTGTGGAGTCACATGGCTGCAAGTAGTGGCCTGGACTGGACTGCAGAGCCCATGCTCCCCACCGCTTTCCATGGGGCAACTCTAGGCCATCATTCTCCACCCCTCAGACCCAAAGCTGCCTTTTCATAATGCTTGCTGTTGCTCCCTTTATGCTCCTGAAATGAAATTTATGGCTAATATGCCAGCCTTTACATCTAATTAAAAATCATCCAATGGTTTTTTTGTCCTTATTAATATATAAGAAATAAAAGGTAATGATAATGTGTTTGTGAAGTGCCCAGTTGCTGGGGAGGTCACAGCTCTGTGTACAGACTGATGCTCGGGTGTGGTGGTGTCAACGTCTGAAACGATGAATTTGGTAAAGTTCTGAACACAATGAAGTGCACGTTTCCTTCTCTTTACACAGTAGTTGCATTCCTGGAAAATTCAATGTATAGTAGAATGCATACACTCTTTGTGTTTATATGCAAAATGGAGTTAGAGCCTTGGCTCTGGTAATGAAAAACAAGCCTTTCACTTATGTTGTGCAGGATGTAGAATCTGCCTTCCTTCCAGGGCTGTCTGGAGTCCCTGGCGCCACCCTTGTAACTGCCAGTCATTGTGATGACCAGTCCCCTCATCCCTTCCCCCACAGTGGCCACAACAGGAAAGATTCCCGCCCTTATTCATGGAGCTCAGCGTTTGAACAGGGGAGACGGGCATGATCAATAATTGGATATATGTCAGGTTGTGATGAACACAATGAAAAAAAAAATGAGTAAGGGGTTAGAGAAGTCCAGGTGGACAGGTGAGGGAAGGCCTCTCTGAGGAGGTGGTATTCTGAGCAGACACCTGAATGAGGCAGGGAGTCATGGAAATACCTGGGAGAAGAGCCTTCGAGAAAGAATAACCAGTGCAGAGTGTTAGGGTCACCCCGACCAGTTCCCCTCCTTTCGCATAGGTCTTACAATACAGTCCTTTGTGACCTCCGCACAGCTCCCCCAGGGCTAAAGGCAACCCCCACTGCCGCCCTGCACTGACCCTTCCAGTAACTGTTTGTCCAGAAGACTTCAGCTGAACTGGCAAACAGTTCCAGGATGCGGTCAGAACACCTGCTAACCAAAGCTGGCAAAAACATCACCAGGATGCAGTCAAGACACCTGCACCCCCAACTCGGTTCACACACCCCGACCCAGTTCCTCGCCCTGTAAAGCCCTGCTGCAGTCTGTAAGCAAGGCTGCCTCCTCTGCCTGTCAAGGAACAGCCTGGCAGGACAAATAAAAATTGCTTGCCTGTCTTTGGGTCTACTCGTCGTTTCTCTTGGCTAACCTTTTATTTTGGTGCCAAAACCCAGGAAGGTGGTAGAGTTCGGCCTCCCTTTCTCTCTCTTTCCTAACCACCACCCCCACTTCCCTTGGCTGAACTCCCCCTTCCCAAACCTGCCAAAGACCCAGAGGACTTCTGGGACCCTCCCATTGTTGGTGACTTCATCCATCACTATAGTCTGCAAAGGGGTGAGTAAGAGAGACCCTTGCCATCTACCCGGGACCCTTGACCGTCTCTGTCTTCCCAAAAGACCCAGTGCTGGGCCAAGGGCTCCCTCCGGCCTCTAGGCCTCCGACTCCTCTGTTTCAGGGACGCCTGACTGGGTGGTTGCCTTCTGTATACTAAACAAGGCCCACAGGACTGGGGACGTCCTCTCCCCCGGTCCTTGCCACCGGCAGTCTCTCTCCTTCCTCAACCATCTCCTCCATTCACCATGGGAGCCTATCAATCTACTCTGTCTAAAGCAACCCCCCTGGGGTCACTTGTGCAACCTTGAGACTCTCAGTTTTTGTGCAAAAGTTTGTCCCAAGAGGCTTATTTTCTATTGTGATACGGCTTGGCCACAATATAAATTAGACATAGGCTCCCAGTGGCTTGAAAATGGTACTTTCTATTTCAATATACTCAGGGACTTAGACAATTTTTGCCATTGCGATGGAAAATGGTCTGAAATTCCTTATGTTCAGGCTTTCGTCACCCTCTGTAACCGCTCTTCACTTTGCCAATCCTTCTCCGATTTCCAAATCCTCCTCACCCGCTCTAAGCCCAATTTACTCTCAGCAGACCCCCCCTTCACAGCAAGCGACAACTCCTCCTTTGACCCCGCCGGCTTTCCACCTCCCTGGCAACATCATAATCCTCCATCAGATCATCACGATCCTCCACCATACACTCCCGCTCCTGCCTTATCTCTTTCCCCTCCCCTCTCTAACCACCCAGCTTCTGAATCTGATTCCTCCCCATCTCTCCACCTCATACCCGCTCTCGAACTGAGCACGTCCAACAACCAGTCTCCATACTTCCCCTCCGAGAGGTTGCCAGAGTTGAAGGAATCATTCGTGTCCACGTTCCCTTCTCCCTCTCTGACCTTTCCCAAATTGAAAAACATCTCGGGTCGTTTTCCTCCAATCCCGACACTTATATTAAAGACTTCAAATACCTTACCCAATCTTAAGAACTCACTTGGCATGATCTCTATATTGTCCTCTCTTCCACTATCTTCCCAGAAGAGAAGGAAAAAGTGTGGCTCACATCTCAGGCACATGCTAATGATCTTCAAGCAAGGCTTCAAGGATAGCCCCCATTTCTTTGGGCAAGCCCTACCCCAAGACCTTGCCTCGTTAAACCTATCCCCCAGCCTCCTTCTCCAGTATGTAGATGACCTCCTTCTCTGCAGCTGCTCCCTAAAAGACTCCCATGTCCACACTGCCACCTTTCTCAATTTTCTTGCTGTTAAAGGCTATAGAGTGTCCCCATCCAAAGCACAGCTTTCCACCCCTAGTGTGACCTACCTAGAAGTTCAACTCTCTACCGGGTCCCAAGCCATGACCCCAGCATGAGCAGCCTTAATGGGCAACCTATCTCCATGTTCCTCAAAAAGTGAAATTCTTTCCTTCCGAGGGCTAGCAGGCTTTTTCAGAATATGGATCCTCAACTTTGCCCTCTTAGCTCACCCCCTCTATGAAGCAGCCAAAGGCCCCCTAAAGGAGCACCTAAATCCCTACGACAACATAGCCCCTAGCTTCCACAAACTTAAAACCGCCCTTATAATCGCTCCAGCCCTATGTTTGCCTGATATTTCCCAGCCCTTCACCCTCTACACAACTGAAAGCCAAGGAATAGCCCTTGGCATACTTGGCCAACCAGAACGAAGTCCTCCATCTTTTGCCCCCATAGCCTAGCTTTCCAAACAGCTGGACAATACCATTTGAGGATGGCCAACCTGCCTCAGAGCTCTAGCGGCAGCTGCCACCCTGGCCATAGAAAGTAAAAAGCTAACATTCGGTCAAGATACCACCATCCACAGTCCACATAATCTATAAGACCTCCTTTCCTCCCAAGCATTAAGCATTCTCCCCCGTCCCACATCCAGCTTTTTCATGCCCTATTTCTTGACAACCCCGAGTTCTGTCCTGCCAAAAGTTCCCCCCTTTAACCCCGCATCTCTAATTCCATTATCTTCCTTGCCTCCTTCCCACTCCTGTACTGAAATTCTAGACCACCTGCAACCACACTTCCCTAACATCTCCTCTGAGCCTCCTATTGACCAACTATTGGTCAATATAATGACCAACTATACCCAGATGGCTCCTCTTCCGGAGCCACCGGCTCTCCCAAAATTGCTAGGTATGCAGTAGTTACCTTAAACCAAGTAATTGAGGCTAAGCCCCTACCCCTAGGAACCTCCTCCCAAAAAGCAGATCTCATAGCTCTCACCAGACCCCTTACCCTCTCCAAAGGCAAATGAGTCAACATTTACACAGACTCCAAATATGCCTATCACATCCTCCATTCTCATGCCGCCATCTGGCAAGAGAGAGGATTCCTTACTGCCCAAGGAACCCCCATCACTAACGGCCCCCTTATTTACCAACTTCTTCAGGCCTCACACCTCCCAACTAAAGCAGGAGTTATGCACTTTTGAGGACATCAAACAGGATCAGATGAAATCTCAAGAAATAACAGAAAGGCCGATAAGGCAGGAAAAGAAGACTCCCTTTCTTCTGTCCCTGCCCCCCTCCTCCTTGTTACCCCAGCAATCCAACCCAACCCAAGTACTCTCCCACCGAAAAGGCTTCACTACTACAGCAAGGAGCCTCCCTTCAAGAGGATTAATCAAAAATCAAGAGTTCGTCCTCCCCCAAGAGGAGACCAAGGAAATTCTGACTTTTTTTTTTTTTTTTTTAGACGGAGTCTTGCTGTGTCGCCCAGGCTGGAGTGCAGTGGTGCGATCTCGGCTCACTGCAACCTCTGCCTCCCAGGTTCACGCCATTCTCCCGCCTCAGCCTGCCAAGTAGCTGAGACCACAAGCACCCGCCACCACACTCGGCTAATTTTTTGTATTTTTAGTAGAGACCGGGTTTCACCATGTTAACCAGGATGGTCTCGATCTCCTGACCTCGTGATCCGCCCGCCTCAGCCTCCCAAAGTGCTGGGATTACCCGCGTGAGCCACCGCGCCCGGCCTAATTCTGACATCTCTTCACCAATCCTTCCATATTGGTGCGCACCCCCTGTACCTGCTCTTTCGCCCTTATTTCTCCTCCCCCCGTATATTCACCTCACTAAGAGACATAACCTCAAACTGTCCTATATGCTCTGTTACTTCCTCCCAAGGGGCCTTCCGCTCTCCCTCCATCCCTACACATCAGCTCAGAGGAACACTTCTAGGGGAGGACTGGCAAGTGGACTTCACCCACATGCCTCCCGTCAAAAAAAACCCAAATATCTTCTTAGCCTCATGGACACCTTCTCAGATTGGGTAGAAGCATTTCCTACCCCGTCGAAAAAAGCTGCAGAAGTCTCTCAAATTCTTATAACAGAAATCATCCCTAGACTTGGTCTCTCTCGGTCCATACAATCAGACAATGGCCCTAGCTTTATCTCCCAAATCACCCAACAAGTCTCCCAGTCCCTTGGGATCCAGTGGCGCCTCCATATCCCATACCGAACCCAGTCATCCAGAAAAGTCGAAAGGGCAAATGGAATTCTCAAGACTCAGTTAACCAAAATAACTCACTCTTGAAGTCAAAAAACCACGGACCTCCCTTTTACCCATAGCACTGGCCCGCATCAGAGCCAGTCCAAAAGCCCCCTCCTTCCTCAGTCCCTTTCAAGTAATGTATGGACACCCTTTCCTCTTACAAAACATACCCCCACTAACTCTCACCTCCCAATACTCTCCCTCATCCGTCATCTCTTCCGCGAGCAAGCTGACCAGGCCCTCCCAAAACCCCACCAAGGTCCCGCCGACCAAACTCTCCTCCCAGGAGAGTATACTTCCTAAAAACCGTCACTCCAACAAACTTTAAACCAAAGTGGGAAGGCCCTTTCCAAGTTCTTCTCACTACCCCCACTGCAGCCAAGCTGTCAGGACGTAACTCTTGGTACCATCTTTCCAGGTTAAAAAGGGCTCCTGCAACTGACCTGCCACCGACTGTTCCCTGTAAATACTGTAACCAGCTGTTCCCTGTAAATACTCCAGCACCCTCCTTGGACCAACCTGACTCAGCCTTACACCCATCCCAGAAGACGCCAACCCACCCCCTCCGCCAAGAAACATAACAGATAAGTTACCACCCCTTACTGTTAAATATCGAAACCCTCATTAATGGGAATCATTTACTGCACTGCCCTTATAGGAGTTGCCTTACTTACTCTGCTCTTTGCCGTAGGAAGAGATACTGTAACACCCCCAGGGTGGAACTCTAGCTTCATAATCCTCCTCATAGCAGAATAAAGGCCACTAATAAGTGACTGCCCCTCCTAAATGTCCTGCCTTTGCCCTGTCTTGCCACTTCACTCTCTTTCTTACCCAGAACAACCCACCCTCACAGCACTCCTTAACTGGGTAACTGATCTCACCTTCCAAAGAGCCCTATTCGTGAGTTTAGCCCAGGTGAGACCAATTTCTTCACCTTCACTCTTATCCTTTGCCTGCTTACTCCTCCTTCCCTTCTCCTCCTCACTACGACTCCATCTACAACGAACCATCCAACAGGCACACACAATACTTAATCAAACCAATCCTGACCTCGCACGTAACTGCTGGTTTTGTGTCCATTCCTCAGAAACCACATCAAAAATTGCCTTCCTGGTCCCACTTAAAGATTGGACCCTTACCAACCTGACACTCCATCCTCACTATCGAAGCTTCGGAGGGGTAAATGCACTTAAAAGTTATAAAACCAACCTCACCCGCTACACCTCCAGGAGCAAACTTATCTTAGGGACACTTACATCTGATGCCAAATTAGACCAACAGGCACCCCTTTGTATACAGCACGACCTTCCCTCAGGAACCCCTTTAGGCACTCTCCCCACCGGCTCATGTAACTACACCCTACAACTCAGCCCACCTGCTGGTATCCAGCCGCTAACAGTATACAATCCCACTCAAATACTCAAAATTTCTGGTCCCCCAAAAATACAAACCACTAATCTCAACACAATAAACTCAGGTTTCTGCATCAATCCACACAAACCCTGTATGATAATTGCAGGATGGACTCCATGCCCTAGCCCCCGCCCAGCCTCCAACTGTCCACAACTCAGGTAGCCAGAGCCCCCACTGGGGAAAAACTTTTAGTGGACACATAATATTTCCTCCTACACTGGGAAAACAAAACAGTAGGGCTAGCCAACTAACCTCAACCCATCCCTTCCAACCACTCACCGGGGCGGCCCTGTCTTCCTCTCTCTCCGCTTGGCGATCAGAAAACAAGATCCTAAAGCCCCTCTTTGCCAAAGACCTCCAATTTTGCCTTCCTAGCCAGGGCATATTCTTTCTCTGTGGCACTTCCACCTAGCTCTGCTTACCCACTAACTGGACAGGAACCTGCACGCTAGTCTTCCTTAGTCCAAAAATAGACATAGCCCCTGGGGATAGACCCTTACCCTTCCAAATTCAAACATTATCCCGCAGACGCTGAGCCATACAGCTTATACCCCTGCTAATAGGGTTAGGCATTATGGCAGCTGCAAGAACTAGAGTCGCAGGAATTGCAACCTCTACCTATTACTACAAATCCCTATCCAAGGACCTCTCTGATAACACTGATGACCTAGCATCCACTGTATCAACCCTCCAGGCCCAACTAGACTCCCTAGCCGCAGTAGGTCTTCAAAGCCGCAGGGGCCTCGATTTACTTACCGCAGAAAAAGGAGGTATCTGCGTCTTCCTAGATGAAGAATGCTGCTTCTATTTCAGTCAGGCCTGGTTCAAGATGCAGTTAAAAAATTAAAGGACCGGGCTCAAAAATCAGGGAAAACAGTTCTTCCCCCTGGCCCTCCTGGCCCCTATGGCCCTTCAGCTCCTGGGCCTCCTGGCTACTCCCACTCCTTGGACCTGTCATAATCATTCTCCTTCTAATCTTTGGGTCCTGCCTCTTATGTCTCTTTACCCAGTGTTTTCTTAATTTTTTATTTATTTTATTTTATTTTATTTTTTTGAGGCAGAGTCTCGCTCTGGCACCCAGGCTGGAGTGCAGTGGCGCAATCTCTGCCCACTGCAAGCTCCGCCTCCTGGGTTCACACCATTCTCCTGCCTCAGCCTCCCAGGTAGCTGGGACTACAGGTGCCCGCCACTATGTCTGGCTAATTTTTTGTATATTTAGTAGAGACGGGGCTTCACCGCGTTAGCCAGGATGGTCTCGATCTCCTGACCTCGTGATCCACCTGCCTCGGCCTCCCAAAGTGTTGGGATTACAGGCGTGAGCCACGGCGCCCGGTCTCTTTACCCAGTTTTTACAGAAGCGCATCCGAGCCTTCATCCACAGAACCATACAAGACATGATGCTACTCCAAGAATACCAACAATTTCAAAGCCAGAACCCAAACCAACCCCTACCTTCCAGCCTCTCCCCCTAACCACCGCTCCCTCTCAGCTAGAAGCAGCCTGATGAGAACAACGCCCCCTTTTCTATCAACTATTAAAAGCTGGAATGTTAGGGTCACCCCGACCAGACT
The DNA here is from genome assembly GCF_000001405.40 of Homo sapiens. NCBI lineage: Eukaryota > Metazoa > Chordata > Mammalia > Primates > Hominidae > Homo > Homo sapiens. The sequence continues at coordinate 36,336,952 of NC_000001.11, forward strand.
GTTCTCCTCCTTTCGCAAAGGTCTTACAATACAGTCCTTTGTGACCTCCGCATAGCTCCCCCAGGGCTAAAGGCAAACCCCCCGCCACAACTGACCCTTCGAGAGTAACTGTTTGTCCAGAAGACTTCAGCTGAACTGGCAGACAGTTCCAAGATGCGGTCAGAACACCTGCTAACCAAAGCTGGCAAAACTATCTCCAGGACGCAGTCAAGACACCTGCACCCCCAACTCGGTTCACACACCCCGACCCAGTTCCTCGCCCTGTAAAGCCCTGCTGCAGTCTGTAAGTGGGGCTGCCTCCTCTGCCTGTCAAGGAGCAGCCTGGCAGGACGAATAAAAATTGCTTACCTGACTTTGAGCCTACTCATCCTTTCTCTCGGCTAACCTTACACAGAGGCCGTGCGGTGGAAGCATGCTTGGCTTGTTCAGGATCAGGGGGCCCAAGCAGCAGGAATAGAGTGAGGGGTGAAGGGCTGAGAAGGTGGGGAGGTACCCAAGTGTGCAGACTCATGGTGTAGAGCCTTACAAGCCACACAGACCTTTGGATTTTCTCCTGCATGGAGGGTAAGCCATCAGAGGGTTGTAAACAGAAGAGGGACACAGTCAGGTTTTTAAAGGCTCACTCTGGCTACCACGTGGTGCCTGGACTGTGGCAGGGGAAGAGTGGGAGACCAGGAGGCCAGAGATGGAGGCTTAGGGTGGTTGCAGTGGAGCTGTGACAAATGGTCAGATTCTGCCCGTGTTCTGAAGGTAGGGCCAGCCAACAGGAGTAGCAGTGGATTGGACATGGGGTGTGAGAGAGAAGGATGAGAGGGAGGGAGGGAAGGAGGGACGGAGGGACAGAGAAAGTCAGGCCAACTTGGCTTCAGAGCCTGAACAATCCAGCCACCAAGACCATTCCTCACTCCCTTTCCACTTCTGCTAGTTTGACAGGTCCAGCCAGTGTCCCTGGCTCTTCCCAGGGACACTGGAGACCAGGGTGGCCAAAGGGGATGCCAGCTTCGCAGTTCTCATTTGGTTTGACCTTTCAGGAGCACGCGAGTGGTCAGTGTGGCCGCACTGGTCCCACCCATCCTTCTGGTACTTTCTTTTTCCTTTGCTGCCACAGGGCTCATAGTGAAACCTGTGAGGAACAGCGATCCAAGAAGTTCACTTTTGTTTTCGTTAAATTGACCAACTCACAGCCAAGAAACAGTTTAGATCAATACACCAAACTGTTCAGGAGTGCCAGAGTGTACAGGCCCAGACCCAGGTGCTGAGGAGGTAAGGGTGAGCAAAACGAAGCCCCTGCCTGTAGGGCGCTTGCTGTCTAGTGTTTTGCTGAATGTAAGAGTGACACGTGTAGGTGTCCAGGAGGTATCTGTGCCCTGAACAGAGGCTTAATGGGTGGCGGGACAGGAGTGAGGCTGAACATAGAGACAAGGTCCAGAGCTGAGAGTGGCACTGGTGGGCTGGGAGCAGGGGCACCTCCCAGCAGAGCATCCAGGATGGGTAAGGCATGGGCCAAATGTAATGGGCAAAATCTTTGGACAGCTGGCTGCTGGGGCAGGTGTGGAACTGTGAGGTGGAGGAGTGAGGGGCCTGGGGCTGTGCTCTGAAGCACTGCAGAGGATCAGAGCCTTCTCACATCTTGGAGGTGCCCCTCTTGGTCTGTGGACCCTTGACTGGGAAGGGGCTCTGCCTGCACAGATCTTGTTCCTTGAGTGGCCTGGGTATGGGCTCCTGGACACAGAAGTGTGTCCGCGTGGGTGCTGTGGTGTGCCGGGGGAGGGGCCAGCCTACCTCTAGCTTCATTGCTAGAATGAAGTGCAATCTGCAAAGTCTAAATTTTTTTTCTTTTTTGAGATGGAGTCTCACTCCATTGCCCAGGCTTGGAGTGCAGTGGCGTGATCTCGGCTCACTGCAACCTCCACCTCCCGGGTTCAAGCAATTCTCTGCCCCAGCCTCCTGAATAGCTGGGATTACAGGCACCTGCCACCATGCCTGGCTAATTTTTGTATTTTTGGTAGAGACAGGGTTTCACCATCTTGGCCAGGCTGGTCTTGAACTCCTGACCTCATGATCCACCCGCTTCGGCCTCCCAAAGTGCTAGGATGACAGGCATGAACCACCGTGCCCGGCCCAAAGTCTAAATTTAAGCAAAGGAAGGAAGGAAAGAAAGGAAGGAAGGAAGCCCTTGGCTTCCTATTGAGGAGAGGGAGGGGGAGGGTGGAGCAGGAAGAGGCCTGGCTGGGCCTTCTCCTTCCCTGGCTGCCCTGGATGGGCACATGGGCAGTCTGTCTGGGGCAGCAGGCTCCCCTACCCCAGATGGAGTTCAGCAGAGAGGATCAATACCCTTCAGCTGCTGTGGTGCTGGGATGCCCCGCTGCCTCCTGCATGCAAGGTCAGAGGGTGAGCCAAGCCAAGCAGGGAGCTCTCACTTGGGCAGTGGGCAGATGCACAGGTCTCAAGAGACTGCTGGGCACTTCAGGTTCCCCTCCCCCGCCAAGACAGTGGTGCCAGGTGCCACCCGCTGGCTGCGGGGAGCAGGGAGGGGGCACACTCAGAGCTGCAGGAAGCCAGTTGGGAATCCTGCACCACTCAGCTGGGATGGAGAGGGATGGGGCTGGGTCGGGGCTGGAGAGGCCGAGATGTAGGCAGGGAAGGCAAGAAGGCAGGAGACGCAGGCCACAGTGGTTCCAGATCAGGAAGTTTTATTGCTGACATGCAGGAAGAGTCCCCATGTAGTACAAAAATATGTCTTTATACAAACTTTTTTGTGACTTTTTCCGTTTCTTTACAATAGGACTTCTCTCAGTGTGTGACACCCAGTGAGGGCTGACCCATCCTCCTCTCCTTTGCTTCACCAGGAATGTCATCAGACACATGGCTTGACCTTGGAAGGGCCCAGTCTGTCTGACAGGGCTTTGCAGACCCGGCGGCTATTGCTTTGAAAAGGAGGAGAAAGACCACGCACGGGCAGCAGCCTGGAGGGACCCGGTGGGCTGCTGAGAGGGGGCTCCGCTGCGACGGGCCCTGGCCCAGCTTCAGGCCCTCACAGGAGGACAGTCAAGGGCTGGGAGCCCTAGGCCGGACTGCATTTCCGCTCCCGCAGGAGACTTTCTATGAAATAAATATAGAAAAGAGGGCATCCCCCAGCCCCACAGCACAAGACCCTGGCCCTCAGCGCTGGACAGCTGAGACAGACGCAGGCTCGCTGCTCAGGGGGAGTAAGTGCTGGGCTCCAGTAGGCTCCCACAGGCCCACTGAGGCAGAGGCATGAGTCGCCCAAGTGCTGGATGGGGCATGGGGAGAAAGGGGCGTGGGCAGCCCTGCTACTGCTGGCAAGAGGTGGCCCCATTTTTTCCAGATGGGGAAACTGAGGCACAAGGAGGTTTGGGAACTTGCCCAAGGTCACTCACAGTGAGTCAGCTTTTTAGGGGGAGGAGAGCGGCTCACACTCTGGGAAACACAGTCACCTCCCCACTGGGGAGCAGGGCCAGGCAGGAGGGGCCTCAGGGCCCATGACTGCCTGGAGGGGACACTCAGCCTCTCTGAGGACATATGGGGGGTAGGCCTCTGGGGAAGGGTCTTTGCTTGGCATCAGGCAGGGCCAAGTCCAGTAAGGGCAAGGGGAGGGGGCATTCTGGTGAGAACAGCATTTCTGGCAAGACGGGCATCCACTTCAAAATCTCGGCTCAAAAGGGCAGCAGGGCTGTTCTCAAGCCAGGCAGGCAGGGTCCCCCAATCCCTACAATTCTCCTGAGTCCCTCACCACCATGGAGGACCCTTGCTAGGGTCTACCGGGAGAGTCACCACATCTATTATGAGGCAAGGGCACTGGGATATGTTCCCACCATCCCCTAAACACAAGAGTAGGCTAGGGGAGCGTGCAGGCAGCCCCCGCTCACGGCCAGGCCTGCAGCCCAACCCATGGGCCCCTTCGCACTGGGAGTCCACGTGAGCTCAGTACCACGGGGAAGGATAGAGAAGGGAACAGGTTAACGCGCGTGTACAGCACCTCAGAGAAGCCACTGAGACGGGAGAGAAAGAGCCAGGTCTAGAAAGGCCTCCCATCACCGGCAGCAGAGAGGGACTGGTGGGCTGAAAGGGGACAGGGACTGGCAGGAGGGGCTTCCCTGCCTGGGGGTGAGGAGGGAGCTCACGTGTGGGCTGTGGATTCCTTGCTGTCCAGCCAGGCTGGGGGCAGGGAGTGGCCATGGACTGAGCCACCTAGAGATGGGAGAGAAGTTGGTATGGTAAAAAAATAAATATATTTGAGTTCGGTTTAAGATGAGGTGAAGGTTTTCCAAAGCTTGGACTGAGGGGCCTGGATCAGAAAGAGAGGGACGGAAAGAGGCTGTGGCAGGGGCCTGGGAGAGCAGGGAGGAGGGGAAGCTCGCTCTGGGGCCTGCAGCGAGCTGCACTTTCAGCTTATTTGGACTGTGGGGAGCAGCGCCCCAGGTCAGTTGGTGGCCGCTGGGGAAGGCCCTGGAGTGGGGTGAGCAGGCTCCCTCCTCCCTCTTGCTCAGTCCAGAGACAGCATGGTTAAAGAGACAGAGGTAGATTAAAACATCGTGATTAAAAGCAGATTAGTTATCTAGGCTTCTCAGATTTAAAAACCAAACAATCGAGCAATCATCCCAAAAGGTAGCTTCGTGGTACCTCTGCTGACCCCACGTGTGACCTGGGCTGTCCCTGTCCCTGCCCTGTCCCTATTGTGGCCCGGGAGAGTCCAGCACTACAGGGCCCAGCCCTGACAGCCACGCCTTTGGCTGGGGCTGGAAGAAGTGGCAGCAGTGCTGGTGGCCCCGGCTGAGGCTGTTATTTCCGCAGGTAGCGCTGCGCCAGGATGGCCGTGTCCAAGGAGGTCATGGGCTGTGCGTCGTGGCCCAGCCGTCGCACCGGTGGTGCGCTGCCGAACTGCCGCTTGGGTACCCAGCTCCGGGCGTCATGGATGGAGCTCTTCTCCTCGGCCAGCAGCAGCTGCTGACGCATGTAGTTCTCAAACTCGTACTGGGAGCACTCCTCCGTCACCTTCGCCTTTGAGGCGGGGAGGGTGGGAAGGAGACAAAGATAAACCCAGATGAAGGCAGCGCAGCAGACAGGAGGGCAGGCAAGAGTGCTGGCAGCCTGGCTCCTGCAGTCACCCTTCCAGGCACCACACCCTCAGGCCTCAAGGCCGGGGGTGGGAGTGGCGCTGAGGGTGGGTCCCTGACCCCCTCCAGCCAACCTCAACTCCCCTTGCAGGCCGCCCTGCGGACCCGGGACTGACGCAGACTCATGCTTCCTAACTCACTGGCTGCGTGAGAGGTCACTTTACCTCAGAAGCCTTAGCTGTCTGGCCCCTCGCAAAGGTTCTCTGAGCCCTGAGGCGGCTAATGCACGTCAAGAGGTACGAGCAAGCCCTGGGCTGGGGGCGCAGCACCTGGAGGAGCCACATACGCAGGGCCCCATGCTGAGCTCCCTGGGATGGTCTAGGCAGATGGTAACAGAAGCTGAAGTGGTGTCCCCGTGCCAGTCACCACAGGAGACAGCAGGGCTTCCGGATGAGACTTGGGTTCAAGGCTTAGCTCCACTACTTCTAAGCTGTGTGGCTTTGGGAAAGTCCTCTCTAACCCTGTTTCCTCTTCTGTAACATGGGGCTAAGAACACAGGCCACGCAGGCCCGCAGTGAGGGCTGAATGAGGTGCCCTCGGGGTAGGCACTCACTGCGGGCTAGTGATGATGATTTTAGCCAAACAGCTAAAGGGTGGAAGCTGGAGGTGGGTAGGGATTGGAACTCTCTTTCCTCGGGGGCCAGGAGGCTCTGGGAGGCTCTCCCAGGCACGGCCCCTCCTGGTCCTACCTGCACACTGCTCACTGTGGAGCTCCAAGGTGGGCCAGGGAGGGAAGGTCCTTCCAATATCCAGGGCCCAGCAATGCTGTTGCTCGGCCAAGCCCTGCCCTCCAGGGGGCACCCTAAGATCACCTGCCCTCTGCTGCCTGGTGCCCAAGTCTCTGCCCCCACCCTAGGCCCAACACTTTCTCCAGTGCAGGGAATGGGGAGGAAAGAAATAGGGAGAAATGAATCATCTGAAAAATGAAAAGCAGGAAGGGTGAGAGAGAACTCTGAGTCAGGGGGCAGAGAAATGTGACTTGGGCAGCAGGAGGAAGCTGAGAGGGCTGGCCTGGGCCACTTGGGCACTGGCTCCAGCTCGGCTGTCTCACAGGTCTCTCTGGCCAAAGATCTCCAGCTACACCAAGCCCAAGGCAGGCCCCAGGCAGCTCAGGCTGAGGACTGAAGTCTCCCTTTCCCACCCCAAGGCTGGGGAAGAAGACCAAGGAAACTCTGTGGCCTGCGGGTAGCTGCCACCTCTGCCCTTGCCCTGCCTGCCCCCAGAAGCCTGTCCCTTGGGGCTGGGTAATGGCCCATCTGCCCTCCCCAACTCACCTCCTGGGAGCTATCCGCATTGCTCATTTGGTCATCAATGTCAGGAACCACTTGCAAAGGCCCACTCAGAGATGACAGGGACTGCCTGCAGGGAGGCAGACAGGTCAGGCTGGCCCCAGAGAGACCAGGTCCATTGATCCCAGACTTAACTGGAGTCAGACACACCTGGGTTGTGTTCCTGCCATGAGAGACTGCTTCTCTGAGCCTCAGTTTTCTTATCCCATAAAGGGGGACAATTTCTCCCTTACAGGTGGTGGTGAGAACTCAGTGAGGCAATGCCCATGCCCCGCTGGCAGGGCCTGGGTAACTATGGCAGCCCATAGTTGCTCAACCTTCAGTTCTGCCTATGCCCTCCCAATCTTGTCCATGCAGAGAATCTGGAAATCTGACTCTAACTGGCAGAGAAGCAGGCTGACTACTGGCTGCTTTTCTGGGTAGGATGGGCAGAGGCCCTGAGGACGCAGCCTTGTGCCCGGTCAAGTGCCTGTCCACTTACCATGATGCAATGATGGCACTGAGGGCCTCCAGGACGTCGGCGGCGGCCAGGCGCTGCTGGGGGTCAAGGACCAGCAGCTTCCGGATGAGACACACGGTGTTCTCAGAAACCCGTCCATCCCTGAGGCAGGGAGTTGGGGAGGAGGGCTCAGTGGGTGGTGCTGGGTCTGTGGCCAGGATGCCCAGGCTCACTGTGCCGTTTCCCTGCCTTAAGCCCATCAGGCTGGCTGCCCCCCCCACCCCCCGGGAGGCAGGACTCACTCAGGAATGGTATACTCGGCAGCCTTGATCTTGCGGAAGAGCTCCTGCGGGATGCTGTCGTAGAAGGGGAACTGGCCATACAGCATGGTGAAGAGCACCACGCCCAGGGCCCACATGTCACTGGGCTTGCCACGGTACGGCCGGCCTACGGGCACACACATACCACACTGTCTTCAGGCCACAGCACCACCGTGGCTCACCAGCCTGGAATCCCACCTGGGACCCTCCACCTGCCACCCTCACTTCCAGTCCCCCCAGAGTCGTCCTCTGAGCTCCTGCCCGTGCTCCCCGCTCCCCTGTTCCTCAGGATGCACCTCTCCTGCCCCAAGGAGAGGGCTCACTCAGCACCTGCTCACAGCACCTGCCCCGCCCGGCCAGATGGCGAGCCCCTGGGAGCCAGGCATGGGTCTGCAGCCCCAGCACCCAGCACAGCAGCTCACAAGCAGGGGGTCAAGAACACTGGCACAGCAGATAACTAGCTGGCTCCAGATGAGCTGGCCGCTCCTCCTGTCACCGTCCCCACACCCCACCTGCCTCCTTCACAGCCCGGATGACTACTTGCAGGTCCCCTCCTTTGTCTACTTGTGACTCCCCGTCTCCCCTCTAGAAGGGAAGTTCTCAGGTGCAGGTGCCTCCCTGCGGTGTTCACTGCTGAGCCCCAGTGCCCAGCACGGACCCAAGTATTTGCTAAATGAAGGATGGCCACTTAATTCACCTCTCTGTGAGAGTTTCCTCATCTGTAAAGCGAAAAGGAGCAGGCATCTAACGGAGCACCCGCTTTAGGACAGCATGGGAAGAAACACTTTTATTTCACTAACTGTGCTCCACAGCTTGAGGACACTGAGGCCCAGTGATCTGCTCTGTCCAGGGCCACATGGCTGCTCAGTGGGCCCACATCTGACTGTCAGGCTCTGCTGCTTGCCTCCTTTCAGGGCAACCTGTCCACCCACCCAGCAGCAATACAGCCATTGTCTGACCCACTCCCCCAAATGCAAAATATGAAGACCACTGGAGCATTTGAAAGCTCTTGGCCCTGCCCACTCCCTGCGATGCACCCTCTGGTATACCAGCAGGCTGTGGCAGCCTGGACCCCAGAACACAACTCCGTTCTCCGTGGGTGTGGAAGAGACGCTGCCAGGCACCCTAGCGTCACCTCCCTGGGCAACCAGGGCCCAGTGAAGGGCAAGCAGTTTAACCGGGAGAGGGTGTGCCATGTGTGCATGGCAGTGCCATTACAGGCCTCAGCCTGCGTCTTCAGAAGGTACCACGGCACCTTCAGGATGGCACTGCCGCCTACAACAGAGGGCTGTTGTGGGGAATAAGCACCTGCCCTGGCTGGTATAGCAGGTAGTTCTGTGGAAGATGAGCTTCTCCCAAGCTCTTTCCAGGCTGTGTCATCCTAGGCTCTTTCCAGCGCCCGGTGCCAAAGAGCAGCTGCGGTGACTGTGTGGCTGACCCCATGGCTGACTCAAGGACAGCCCCCTTTTCCTAGAACTTGCTCCACCAAGTGGGGTTGCCAGTACAGAATCTATTACTTGTACCACCATTCTTAGCTCTGTATGGTTCCAAAAAAGGTGCTGCCTCTCCTCCCGTGGCTGGAAGATGCTTCCTGTTGAGCTGTCCTGCTGGCTTAGGCAGGAAGGATCTGCTTCCAGGACCTGTGTAGGGTTCCCTCAGCCCGAGCCTCTGTCCTGACCTGGAGGTATGAATGGCCCCTCCCCAGACAAACTCGCTGGGAGCCTGACCTGGGCAGGCGACCTTCCCTGGGCTTTGGCTTCTGAGGGGACACTGTACCCACAAGCTTCCCTTTCAGCAACGATCATGCCAAACACTAGGTTAAGGGCATTACATATATATATATATATATATATATTTTTTTTTTTTTTTTTTCCTGAGACAGAGTCTTGCTCTGTTGCCCAGGCTGGAGTGCAGTGGTGAGATCTCGGCTCACTGCAAGCTCCGCCTCCCAGGTTCACGCCATTCTCCTGCCTCAGCCTCCCGAGTAGCTGGGACTATAGGCACCCGCCACCACGCCCGGCTAATTTTTTTTATTTTTAGTAGAAACAGGGTTTCACTGAGTTAACGAGGATGGTCTCGATCTCCTGACCTCGTGATTTGCCCGCCTCGGCCTCCCAAAATGTTGGGATTACAGGCATGAGCCACCGCGCCTGGCTGGTTAAGGGCATTATTTAATCCCTCAAGTACTACTACTGCCATCCCTATTTTACAGATGAGAAAATGGAGGCTCAGAGAGGTCTGTAACTTCCCCCAAATTCACATGGTTATTAGCCAGACTATCACCTCCATGAGGGCCAGACCAGGCCTGCCTTTTCACAGCTCCATGCCCCATGCCCATGCTGGGCACATGGAGAATAAATGAAAGGGCAGACCTGGGTCGGAAACCCACATGGTAGGGCTGGTACTTCAGCTTCTAACCCAGGAGGGAGGAGGCTGAAGTCAGAAGGAGATTGGAGGCCGTGATCACACAGCTGGTTCAACAGCAAGGCCAGAATGAGAACCCAGGTCTCTGGTCTCCCAGTCGAGGATTCTCTCTGATTCAGTCAGATTCCTTTGTTTCATCCTCCAAGACTGGCACGAGTCTGGAAGAACCAGAAGGATAGGCTGCTGGCAACAGCAGGGAGGGCCACAGAGCCTCAGACTGCAAATGAAGGCCACTCTAGGCTGGTGCTGCAAGAGAGGAGTCCCATCCAGGGCTAGCCCACAGCCTGAGCCCTGCAAACAGGCACAGCCCCACTCACAGGCTGGGTGGAAGGAGGAGCCTGGCTCTATCTCCTATGGGGATGCTTTGGGGATTACTGTAGAGGGTGCCAGACTGTGCTGGGCCATGGGGGTGGTGCCCCAGGAGTTAGGGTATACCCCTGGCACCCAGTTCCCTCTAGCAGAGGCTGTAGTGACTCTAACCAAAACCCCCAGGTCTGGGGAATGGTGCTACTGTCTTTGCACACGGGCAGCCCTGGGGACAGGCCTGGCTCTCCAGCAGAAGCGGCAGCTGGGGGAGCCTCCGAGGGAGTTGTAAGTGCTTGTATTACAGCAGCCTGCTCACCAGGATGTGTGTGAAGAGCTGGGACGAGGCTGGCTCGGCCACTGCACGGAAAGGGCGCACTCATGTGTGGGGTGGGGATGAAGGATCTTGGAGACAACCCCAAGTTCTCCATGTTGGAGGGATGGGAGCTGGTGTAAGCCCCGGTTCCCTAAAGGATTTGGGCCAAGGACAAGGGGGAAAGAGAAAGCAACAGAGTCGACAGTGAAAGAGTTGCGAGAATGGGCTTTAGTGGGAGGCAGCCCTGGGGCTGCGCCTCCATTTTCCAGTTTACTATTTATTAGCTACGACTTTGGACAAGAGATGTCATCTCTCTGAGCCTCAATTTCCTCATCTGTGAAAAAAGGACTTAAGATAGATATTGGCCTCACAGGGTAGCTGTGTGGTTTAAACAGATAACGCGAGTCACGCTCAGCACAGTGTCTGGAACTTGGAAATCAGATCAGTGGGCAGTAACTTTATGAGTTTTTTTTTTTCTTTTTTTTTTTTTGAGATGGAGTCTCGCTCTGTTGCCCAGGCTGGAGTGCAGTGGCACAATCTCGGCTCACTGCAACCTCCACCTCCTGGGTTCAAGCGATTCTCCTGCCTTAGCCTCCTGAGTAGCTTGGATTACAGGCAACCGCCACCACGCCCGGCTAATTTCTGTATTTTTAGTAGAGACAGGGTTTCACCATATTGGCCAGGCTGGTCTCGAACTCCTGACCTTATGATCCCGCCACAGCCTCCCAAAGTGTTGGGATTACAGGCATGAGCCACTGCACCCGGCCTGTGAGTTACTTATTTGTTTCGTGTATTATCTGTCTCATCCCCACTAGAAAGTCAGCTCCATGAAGGCAGCAATGTTTGTCTACTTTGTTCCCTGTTGTCTCCAAAGTGTCTAGAACAGAGCTTTGGGCCTGGGTGGCCCTCAGCAAACAGTAACAGAATGAATGAACACAGACAAGGAGAGAGGGCTCTGAAACACAAACTCACAGCAGCACACTCAGTTAAGAACTGTTCAATGGCTTCCACTCGCACTTGAAGTAAAGGATGACATCTCTTACTGAGGCCTATGTCAGGCCTTGCCTGATCTGGCCCCTGCGCACCTCTCTGGCTTCCCCTTGAACCAGGCTCACTTTCTGAGCAGCCTGCAATTGCTCCAACGTGCTGTGCTGCCTCTGGGACCCTCAGCCTCAGCCTAGTCACACATACCCAGGGAATTCCTAGTTTCCCTTAAGATCATAGCTCAACTGTCACACCTTGTGGGGAAAGTCCTCCAAGCACCCTTCATCCACTCTCACAGCAATCCCGTTCCTCCCTAGCACTAACCTCAGAGGAATTAAACATGCATTCATGTTATCATTACGTCTTCCACCTCCAACAGACCAAACATTTTGTATGGGGAGGGACAGTACTGGTCTGGGCCCCCAGTGAAGCCCCAGCACCTTGCCCAGGGCCTGCCCACAAATTTGCTGAGTGGACTGTCACAGAGCCTGGCTGTATTGAGCTTAGAGGCCCAATGTCTGGCACACACACGTACCGCTGAGCACGTCGGGACTGATGTAGGCAGGGCTCCCTCTCTGGTCCTTCAGCAGGTCCCCCTCGCTCACCAGATGCTTCCCGAGGCAGAAGTTGGTGATGGTTATCCGATGTGTCCTAGGAGTGGGAGACAGAGTGAACAAACCTCAGTGTCTATAGCAACAGGCACAAGACACGCAGGCAGGACACACCTCACTGGGCCAACACCCAATCCTGAACAGTAGGAGGTAGGCTTCTCGTCAGAGGGTGAAGCAGCTGCCCCGACCCCCTCTCCAGGGAGCAGAGCAGAGGAATCAGGCCCCAGACTTTTCTGGCCACCAGCCGAGCTGTCCCAGCAGGGATCGGCTTCTCTCCCAGGTATCTGAGTGTTGCACAGGCCATCCCTGGACCTGCTGCCCGGGCTGAATCTCGGGGTACAGCTTAGGGCTTAGAACAACTTTCAGAGATTTCTCAAAAACAGCCTCACGTAATATTCTAGACTGGGAGTGACCTGAGATTTAGTTCAATTTCCTCATTCACACATGAGGAAAAGGAAGTCCAGCAGAGGTGAGTGACTCCACCTTGGAAGGTGACCCAAGGGCTGGCCCCGAGCCACCTCCGAACCACGGAATATGTCAGTTCTCACTTGGCCCCACAACCACTGCAGAGGAAGAAACTGACAGTGGCCAATGAGGGGGATTTTCTCACGGTCCTGTTTCAGATGATACAACAAAGGCACAGGGAAGTGAAAGGACTTGGCCAAGGTCATGCAGCTGGTGAGCAGAAGAGCAGGATCCAAGACCAGGTCTGCAGGGCCCCAGAGCTGCACACACAACTGACAGCTGCCTCATGCCCAGATGTGTCCCTGGGCAGGGCCCCAGGCCCCGAATGACTTTTCCTTCTGTTCCATCAAAGCTGACTCATCCCTTACCTCGTACTTGTGACTCTGCCCTGGCTAGAACATCACAGACCCTCCCTCTGAAAGGCGTGGGGCAGGGCAGCTTTGGGCTCTGATCCTTTGGAGAAAACTCACATGTGGACAAAAGGAAGTGCCCCGAGAGGACCCTTACACCTTACACCACACTGGGGGCTGGGAGGGTGGGCAGGCCCTGTCTAAGAGGCCTGGGAAAGGTTTCCTGGCCCACTGGGGCAGGCAGTGAGGAAGGATGCCTCTCTACCCAACTGCCCTGCTCCTGTGTCGGCTGGCTGGGTGGAGAAGCTAGGGGGAGAAGCTGGGAGGACAACAGGAAGGAGAGCTCCATGGGGGCCTTGGGCTGCCTCTCCCTACAATCAGCTCTCAGAGGCAGAGGGCATGTGTGGCTGCTGGCGGATTTCCCCGGGAGCCGCATCCAGGCGGCTCTGAGAGCCCTCGGTGATCTCGGGGAATTCTGCTGGCAAAGGGCTCGATGCAAAACAAAGGCCAGCCCGTCCTCTGGATTCCCCACGGAAACGCCAACTCCAGCGCCTATACAGGTCCGCCCTGTCAGCTGCCATAGGAGTCTGACTGGTGGCCCGCAGGCGGCTAGAGCCTGATCGCACAGGTGAAGGGTCACTGCAAAGGGTCACTTGCACGTCAAGGAGTGGGCTGCTCTAGCTCTGAAGCTCCAGTGCCGCTGCCCTGAATATGGGGCTGCTCGGGCCTCTTGTCCAGAAGGTTCCCACAGAGCAGAGGCACTGTGGGTTTTCTCCCCTGGTCAGAGATGGCCGCGGAAGCTGCAAATGCATCCTGTGGGTCTCTGAGGCTCAAGACGCTGAGAGGAGGACAGCTCAGGAGAAAGTACGGTGGGTTTGGGAGCCAGGTTCCTAGTCCTGGCTCTGCCACTTCCTTGCTCTGTGAATCTCTTGCTAAACCTCAATTTCCTCATGCGTACAACAGTGAAATCCCAGCACCAAACTCCAGAACTGGGTTAGGATTCAGCAAGATAAGATAATCTCATGGAGGGCACTTAGCCCAATGCCTGGCAAATAGTAGAAGCTGGTGTCCTCTCATCTCCGATGGTTGGCACACCTGGTAGGAAAAGACTCTGTCTTGGAGGCGGTAGGGGAGAGGTGCCATGGTGTGACAACAGGCCCCGGAGAGCACATGCCAGTGTGGCTGAGCTTTCAACTCAACACTGCTGGTGGGACTTTCCCACCCTCTGCCAGGGCACGGGCAGGCACAGCTGAGGCTCTGCAGGGCTGAGCGGCAGGCGCACTGGAGTCTCTCCACAGGAAGTGGCACGGGCAGCTCCAAGTCCTCCTGAGGTTTGGCAACACTCCCCTGCCCTGCCACCACCACCCAAGTGGGGGGTGCATGGCTCCCCGGGAGTCCCAGACCCCCTAGTCTGGTCCTGACAGGAGGGGGCAATGGCAGAGTGGGACGGAGGGAGGGGACGTGTGTCAGTAGGATCGGCTCTGAGTGAGTCACGCTTTAGCTATGGCCCTCTGGGCTGCCACAGTGTTTTTCTCCTTTTCTAGGAACTTGGTATGTTGCTTGCCTACCAAAAAGAAAGGAGGAAGGAAAAAGACCCCACAGCACCTCACATAACCCCAGAAGAGGATTTCGAATTTCGATCCTTTTAAAATCCAAAGCGGGGTGAACTTGTTGTTGCAGCTGCCTTGCCAACACCTCCCCCTGTCTGCTCCTTGAGAGCTCTCTGCTCTGCTGAGAAGGCCTCCAGCTGGTCCGCCTACTGCTCCAGTGGAGTTATAGCCTGGCATGATGGGTGGGAAGGGGCTGGAGTGGGCTGGAGCTCCTTCAGGTCAACTGAACGAGGTGAGAGTGGGGCCCCAGAGCGGAGGGTGTGCCAGAGGACACACACGGAGCAGTGAGTCTCTCTGCACCACACTACCCTGCCACTCTGGAGCGCCCATGACTCAAGTAAAAGGCAGCCAGAACCTCTGTCTGCCCTGAGACACAAAAAGGGGGATTTATCAGATTCAGGAAGTACAACCAGGACACTGGGTATGAGTGAGGCATTGGCATTCTGCACCCTGAGGAGCACGCACTCACACTCACAGCAGAGCTGCTACAGCCACGCCGGCGTATGCAGGGAGGTGCGACCCCTCGACTACACTCCCAGGACCAAGGGGCCCTGGGGAAGTGAGAGTTGGAAGCAAATCCCCCAGTGACACAAAGGGCCAGGAGTGCTGGTGTGGTTAGCAGGCATGAGCCCGGCAAGTTCCCATGACAACCCTGGGATGTTCATTTACAGCCAATGAATGGCTGCTGTGGAAGGTCTGGGAGCTCTCTAGTCCAGCTGGAGGGCACATGGGCTCTGCAGCCAGATGGATTTAGGTGCCCAAAAAATATGCTCTCTCTTTGTGAACAGTAAGCCTGTAGTCCACAGCAGGATGGGACTGGCCCAAGGCCCCAGAGAGGGCCAGGGGAAGGGGCAGGACCCAATTTCCCAACTTTATGACAACTGGCTCTCCACAGCCCAGGGCTGGTTTGCTCGGGGCTCCCCACCACCTCCTCTCATGATGCAGAGCTATGGCTGGGGGACCGCTGGGCCCTCACCAGGGGTGTCCTCGTTGGCCACTCAACATGCAGCAGGCCTCATCTCCAGAGATGTGAGCCCATGGGTCCTGTTCTCCTGTCTCTCAGCGACAGGCTCTCCAGTCCTGGCTACATTAGCACTGGGGTGTGCCCGTGATGCGCCAAACCCCATCATATTACGCAGCCTCACACCCACTGATTTGCATCTCAGGCCAATCTTCCCAGGAAGCCAGGATGACCTTCACTTTCACAGATGAGGAAATGGAAGCTCAGAGAAGTGCTTGGTACCTCAATATATGAATTCAATCAGTAAGTACCCAGAGGACCACACTCTCACGGTCTCCAAGATAACGAAGAAGTGGCACTGGGAAGTGAGCCAGGTCTGACCCCCATGTCAGTGCTGCTTCCGTCCTCCTCAACTCACTCACTCAGCCAGTCCAGGGTTCAAGCAGCTCTGGAATTTCCTGTTTCCCTCCCTTCCCCCTGCAGAGCATAGCAGGGCAAGGTTCTCATCCCTTCACTTTCTCAGCCTGGCAAATCCCAACTCATCCTTCACGAATTGACTCAGGTGGCAGCCACTGTCCCTCCACATGTCCCTTGCCCTCTGCACGCCAGTCCTCCACACATGATACCATCTTCTGGTCAGTACACCATCAGATGGTGGGCTCCAGAGGGTAGTGGGAACCACTGAGCGTTTCTGTCTGCAGCCCCAGCACCAGGTGGTGCTAGTCGAAGGATGGAGAATGCTTAGCAGCTGAGGTGCACAGCATCGTCCCGATGGCCTCTCAGGCTGGAGCTATGGGATCTGGAACCCCCAGCAGTAATTCCCCATCAGTTGAGATGGGGCACAAGGCAATGCCCCCTCCCCGGAGGCCAACCTCCAGGCAGCTTCTTTTCCTCTGACCACTGTGGCTTTGGCCTCTTTAGAGGACAGTGGGCCTCGGGCCCTTCCTGGGCTGGGCTGGCCACATCATGGAATGAATCACCCACCACAACACTTCTGCTGTGAGATTCAGGCTGCCTTTGTAAGCCCTTCAACCTGCTCAATGCCGAGTTGAGAGGTGACAGAGGGGAGCTCAGAAATAATGGGTGGGGGCGGAGTGGGGGAGATGTGCCCTTCTCAGCCCTGCATTTCAAGGATCATGGTAGCCCACAGAGTGGGCCCACTTCCTGCTGGTCCTGGGTTCCTACATGGTTGGTGGTCCCTCTAACATGGTGAGACAGTGGTAGCACTGTCCCAGATCACTCCAAAGAGGCCCAGGACCCTCTGTCGAGGCGGGATGACAACCTGAAACCAGGGCCGTGCTTGGTGTCCCTCTGCTGCTGGTTCACCCCAACAAGGGTGGGCCGCCAGATCCCCTCCAAGTCTAAGGCATGCTCTCCTTGCTGCTGAGAGAGCTGGTGGCATTTTACAGGTAACCACTCACAGCTGCATCCCTCTCCAGGAGGCCCTCTTAGCCAAAAGAAGCTGCCTTGCCTAAGAGAATGCCCCTCCCTAAGGACAGCAGACATTCAGTGACTGATTGCTGTGGGGGCACAAAGGCCAAGCGCGGGCCATCTGCAGGCCATCCCACTCTCGAGTTTTTCAGGCTGAGGCCCTGCTGGGACTTCACTGCGGTTCAGCTTCTCCCTCTGCCTAATTCCACCCCCTCACCCTGAGAGCACTTCACAGTAAACCTTCTGCACGTAAACCTCAGAGTCTGTTTCCTGAGGAAATTGACCTATGGCAAGGCATCATTTTGCTCGTTCCTTCACCCCATTTGTCCATTCAAAAAATATATATATTTTTGTAGAGATGGGGTCTTCATTATGTTGCCCAGGCTGGTCTCAAACTCCTGGGCTCAAGTGATCCTCCCGCCTCAGCCTCCCAAAGTGCTGGGATTACAGGCGGGAGCCACCGCACCTGACCATTTAGTCCATTTTTATAGTAATTTTATGAGTACCCACTAGGAGCCAGGTGTGACAAATAAATGGACAAGGGAGATCTAAAGTTCTTCCCAGAGCTCCCTTTCTGTGGCTCAAAACTCCCAGTCTCAGCAAGCCCCCAATTCCCATGTTCATCCCATCCCGAGCCCTGGGATTCCTGGAGGAAGTGGGTTGTTTTGAGTCGGAATCCTCATGAGGACACTTCAGGGCACTGGAGAGTTGCAATGTGTAGCCTGCCCCAGCCCCGGGGTAACTGTATGGATGTAGAGACAGGGATCTTACCTCTTGTTGAGCACCATGTTCCCCAGCTTCAGGTCTCTGTGCACGATATTTTTCTGTAAAACAACAGGCGTATGGTTTACATTGTCAATGTGAGAGGTGGGGTCAGGGCCCACCCTGTAAGATGGGGGCTCTCCAGGTGTTCGAGAAGGCAGGAAAAATTCTATGATGTGTCTCTTTAGGCTCCAAGCACAGGCAGATCAGGACAGTTCTAAGTTCGCGTGACCTGCGCGTCTGGATGGGGAATGAATGTGCACCTAGTCAGTGTCTCCCCATCTGTGGCAGCTTCTTTAGCTCTTTCTCCCCTCAGGGCAGTGGCTGGTGGCGAAAGTCACTCATTTTTTCCCCTCCATTAGACATTCCATGGACAGGATGGATCTGGGGGTCGGGGAGGAGCTGTCATGGCTTTGTGACTAAGTACCACAGGCTCGGCCCACAGAAGCGGCACACCGGGAAGAGGCTCAGGCTCTCCTATCCTTTGTCCCAGCGTGCCTGACACCTCTAATCCTACAAAAAGCTCAGATGTGCTGTAGTTGCTTGGGTGGGTATCTCACTGTCATCACTACATGGGGGTGGACACCAGGCCTCTTAACTGATGGGGAATTAACACAGTTGGCTGTGGTAATTACCACAGCTGGGCTGCAGGTCAGCCCTCACCAGGAAGGTGGCCTGCAGGGTGGCACTGTGCCTCACCCTGTGCACCTGCCATTCAGTCACTCTTCTTTTGGACACTCCCAGCTGCAAAGCACACCTGGGTGCACAGGACAGAGCTGCCTTCTGCTCAGCAGCAGCAAGAAAGGTGGCTTTCTGTGGCCAGAAGGCGCAGCAGCAGGGTGTGGCCTCACCTGGTGCAGGGCCTCCACCACGCGGACCACGTCGTAGAAGATTACCACAGTCTCCCTCTCGCTGAGCCTCTTCTCCTTGATGACGTAGTGCTGCAGGTTGATGAGGTCAGCGGTCTTATCGCTGAAGTCATGAGCACAGAGGCAGTCCAGGACGAGGCAGATGCGCTTCTTCATCTTCTTAACCATCCGGCTGGATTCTGTGTCCTCAACGATTTCACAGGTGCGGTCCTGGGAGGCAAGGGGGTAGCGCAGGGCTTGGCTGTGAACTTGGCAGGGCCAAGGCCAGGGCCTGGGACTCTCCTCTGGAGTGGGACACTCAAACCAGTGAGGGAGCCTGGAATTAGCCTGCATGTGCGGGCCAGAGAGGACTGAGGCCTGGGCAGCCTAGACCATGGGGCAGGTCAGCACTGTGCAGCCTCTTGTGTGCCAAATGCCAGGACCAGCAAGAGGCTGAAGCTAAAACATCTCAGGTGAAGGCTTAATGCTTTGATCATAATGCAAAGGATTCAGATCAGGTCTGGGCATTTAGAGCCCAAGGGCCCTCTTAGCCCAGTGCTCAAGCAGCAAAAATGGGAATCCATGGCACCCAGATTCCAGTAATCACCAACAGAACCCCCTTTTGATATCTAAGATGGCGGAAGTTAGAAAGAGGTCAATCTTGGCAGGCTCCAGAGGCCATACAGGTTCTGTGTATCCAGGACACCTGTTTTCCTCAAGTGCCTTCCTGCTTTCCTCTTTTCTCAGAAAAGAGGACTGTCGGGATGCAGTACTCCCGACAGTCACATGATGGCTAAGAGTGACTCTGACCTCAGACTGCTGGGTTCAGGCCCCAGCCACCTTGTCTTAGCTGTGGGACCTGGGGCAGTCTGCTTACCCTCTCCAGGTCTCTAGTTCCTCATCGGTAAAAGGGAGCTAGTAATCTTTCCCCCACAGCCCAAGAGAAGTAAATAAGACAATCCATGTCCTGTGCTTAGGTCATGCACTGCCAGGGCTCAGTAAGTGGGTACTGCCACCAATGTTGTGGCTGCGAGATGGACACAATGGTAGCAAACTCTAGACCCATTTTCCTTGCTGAAAGGTATTTCGAGTAAGACAAAAAACAGGGGGACTTCATCTGACCAGCTTGAGGAAGTCCTTGGTGTCATGCGGGGTAGACTGACTGTCCCCTCTGGGGAACTCCTGAAGGACTGAATATCCACATTTCTTCTTTTTCTTTTTTTTTTTTTTTTTTTTTTTGTGAGACGGAGTCTCACTCTGTTGCCCAGGCTGGAGTGCAGTGTCACGCTCTCGGCTCACTGCAAGCTCTGCCTCCCAGGTTCATGCCATTCTCCTGCCTCAGCCTCCCGAGTAGCTGGGAATACAGGTGCCCACCACCATGCCCGGCTAATTTTTTGTACTTTTAGTAGAGATGGGGTTTCACCGTGTTAGCCAGTATGGTCTCAATCTCCTGACCTCATGATCCGCCCGCCTTAGCCTCCCAAAGTGCTGGGTTTACAGGCATAAGCTACCTCGCCCGGCCTCCACATTTCTTCTTAAGAGCAGGACCACACCTCATATTTGCTTTTCCTAGCACAGTGTCTGGCACACAAACAGTACACTAGAAACACTTCTGATCACCCAGGTTCTCTCATCCAAAATGACATGAACTAAGGCCAAGCTTCTGAAGATATCACAGACAAAATACCAAGAAACCACAATCACCCTCAATTTGATTTCATGTTTATGGGGATACTCTAATTTTTGGAGTTGCCTAAAAATACTCTGAGTCACCTCTAATTGCAAATCTAAGAACAAAGACCTTGCTGGGGTGTATACATGGGGATGGGAAGTGTTTTCCCTTTGTTTTATTTTAGGAACTCAAGCTGACAAGGAGTTTTTATGCCTGAACAGCAATGATGATGACAGTGTTCCAGCAGCAGCTCAGTGCTTGACACAATCTCATTCATCGTCCCAACCACCAATGGAGGTAGGTACTGTTATCACTATCCCCATTTTATAGATGGGGAATCTGAGGCCTAGAGACCTTAAGTGACTTGCCCAAGGTCATACTAGCTGAATCCAGGACTGTCAGCATCAAAATGTGACTGCTCTCTCTGGCACTGTGTGCCTCTCAAACAGCAGGTCTGTCTTAGCAAGAGCTGGTCCTGGCCAGCAAACGGCTGAGGGCTCAGTGGATGCTCAGCTGAGGAATGGGGCTGTTCCCAAGCCTGTGAAGGAGGCCTCCCAGTCATTCTGAACCCAACTCTTCATTTCTGGAGATACAACTTCAGTGCTGCCCCAAGAATGGTTCTTGTCAGGTACACACTGTTAATCAATACCTTTCCTAAGGGATCTGACCACCTGTTCTTCTGCCTGCTCAGGCATTTCAGTTTGTCCAGTAAATGTCTCAAAAAAAAAAATTTTAAAAAAAAGGACAAGGGGGCCCTTTTGAGATGGAGTCTCGCTCTGTCACCCAGGCTGGAGTTCAGTGGCACAATCTTGGCTCACTGCAACCTCCACCTCCCGGGCTCAAGCGATTCTCCTGCCTCAGCCTCCCGAGTAGCTGGGACTACAGGTGTGCGCCGCCATGCCCAGCTAATTTTTGTATTTTTAGTGGAGACGGGGTTTCACCTTGTTGGCCAGGATGGTCTCGATCTCCTGACCTTGTGATCTGCCCACCTCGGCTTCCCACGTTGCTGGGATTACAGTTGTGAGCCACCGTGCCTGGCCTGGGCCCGGGTGTCTTTAAGTGACTTCTTGCTTTCCTCTTTTCTCGGAAAAGTGGCTCTTCAAAGAAAGCCTGGCTGCTGTTAAGATGCAAACTGTGTGCATTCCTGGCTAGGCTATAACCATCCCCACAGGAGCACAGCTAGTGTGGCCCAGCCTGACTTCCAGCCCAGCCCATCTCACCCACCCTGGAAGTCCTGATGTACCTAGCATGGCAGGGACACCCAAGGGTCACGTGAGCTGCTCGTATGGCTGTGGCCCCAGCAAGTGGCAGCCCACAGAGCCAGCCAGAGGTGAGCGCGAAGGGTGAGGGGGAAGGCCGCTCACCTGGAAGAGGCCGTGGTGGTGCACCACGCCATCCTGCGTGTGCAGGAGAGACAGCAGTGAGTACTCGGTGTGCAGCAGCATCTTGCCCTGCCGCTCTTCCTGGCTCTCTATGCCTTGGTCCCCCCTCTCCTCCAGGGTCAGGATCTTTAGGAAAGCATAAAAATAAAACCAAAACCAGAACACCTCACTTTACACAGCAGAACAACCAGAACGGGGGAAGCAGGGGGCTTTTTACCACATGACATTTGTGCACAATGCACACACAAACACACCAAGTGAAATCGTTTTTCTTAATATGATGGTGATGTAATTTATGCACAGACAAAACTCTTTAAATCAGAAGTTGTTCTGAGGGAGACTGTGAACTTGATTGCTTCTCGGGAAGAAATGGCGCTACTCTTGTTCACAATGACGCAGGTGTGAAGGTGGAGGAGGGAGGAGTGGGTTGGCATGACAGGCCCTGTTCCTGAGGCACCCTCACCCCCATGTCTCACTTACCTTCAGCTGATAGAAGTCATCCGTGCCATCTTTCCTCGCCAAACACTGCACTATGCTTGGCACCGGTGAGTTGCCCAGACGGGGACCTACGGCACAGAGAGCTGCTGGTCTACTTTTCAGAAGCCCTGGCTGTCACGACGCCAGGTCACCACGTGGTCTTTTACTAGACCTTCTATTCAGGAGGGCACCATAGCTCATGTGTACTGGACTGACCCTCCAAGGTCTCCTGGTGGAGAGTTTTCAAGGTCTCCCCTCCAAAAATAGAGGGGTATGTGTGCTCTGCCTGGAGCACATCCAGCTTTTGCAAACACATTTCCCAAAGAGAGGTTTTCAACCCTGGGTGCACGCTGGAATGTCTAGTGAGCATCTATTAAAAACAAGAGATCCAGGCTGGGTGTGGTGGCTCACACCTGTAATCCCAACACTTTGGGAGGCTGAGGTGGGAGGACTGCTTGAGCCCAGGAGTTTGAGACCAGCCTGGGCAACACAGTGAGACTTCTTCTCTACAAAAAATAAAATATTGGCTGAGCATGGTGGAGCATACCTGTAGACCCAGCTACTTGGAAGGCTGAGGTGGGAGGATCGTTTGAGCCCAGGAGGCTGAGGCTGCAGTGAACTGTGTTTGTGCCACTGCACTCCAGCCAGGGCAACAGAACAAAGCCCTGCCTCAAAAAAATCAACAAAACCCAAGAGATCCTGGATCCCCTGAAGAGCAACTTCAGGGTGAGGATCCAGGAAACTAGAGCCGCAACAGGTTCCCTGGAGATTCTGATACAGCCATCTGGCCCCTGTCCAAGTGCCAGCTTTGGGGACTTTCTGTACTTCTGGAGATGCACAGTGCTCACTGTCCCGTGACAGCACCTTGCCCAAGCTTTGAGAGTGGAAATCTGATGTCACAGTGCCACTGCTGCGTGAAAAACTCTTAACGAAGCTCCGCTGCTCTTGGTTTTCCTTTTTACCAGTGCAATGTTCACAGACCCACTGCTCTTAACATACCACCCAAACTCCTTTGTCTGGCCCCCAAGGCCTTGCATGATTCAGTTCCCGCCCACCTTTCTAACAGGATGTTCCATTCCCTGTCCCATGCCACACTCCAGCTCCTAATGTTGGGCTCCTAGTTCCCAACATGGTAAGCCCTTTCCTGCTGCTGGGCCTCTGCAGTGCTGTTTCTTCTGTCTGCAATGTTCTTCCCCAGCTTTCCCCACAGTTGCTGCTTCTCCTCCTCAGGTGTCAGCTCATATGGTGTTTCCTCATAAACAGGCCTTTCTTGCCTGCCCTACCTACGGGCCCTTCTCATCTCACGTCATCGTGGAACTTCCTTCAAGGCACTTGCACCACCGGTGATGACTGGTGAGTTGTTTACTCTGTTTCTCTGTGAGGGCAGGAACTTGTCTTATTCACTGCTGCATGCCTGGCAAACAGCACAGGCCTGGCAAACAGCACAGGCCTGGCACGTAGTAGGTACACACCATTAAGTATGTACTGAATGACTGGAGCTGGAACTATCCTGAGCCTGTAAGTCCAAAATGCTGTCCCAAAGTAAAACTCACGCCCAGTCTCTGGCTGCAACCCTGACTATAAGCAATTTGGACTGCTGGTCCTTATGCATCATGCAGAAATGCTTTGCTGCTCCTCTGGCCAACTGCCAACACCTGTGCCAGGATTTCTGTGCCAATTTAAATAAATTTGGGGGGCTATACAAAATGCTTTGTGAAATTATGCCATCCAAGAATGGCATAAAGCAGTGCCTTGGATGATAGATCTTGGGTTTTCATTTTATTTTATTTTATTTTATTTTATTTTATTTTATTTTTTTAGAGAGAGAGTCTCGCACCGTTGCCTAGGCTGGAATGCAGTGGCGTGATCACGACTCACTGTAACCTCAAACTCCTGGGCTCAAGTAATCCTCCTGCCTCAGCCTCCCAAGTAGCTAGGACTACAGGCATGTGACACCACACCCAATTAATTTTTATATTTTTCTAGTAGAGATGGGATCTCACTATGTTGCCCAAGCTTGCAAAGTCTTGAACTCTTAGCCACAAGTGATCCTCTCACCTCAGCCTCGAAAAGTGCTGGGATTACATAAGTGAGCTATTGCACCTGGCCAGAGCTTGGGTTCTAATGCAGCTAATGACTTCTAATGGGTGTGCTTCCTGTGAGCACGTCACCATTCTAGGGGCACACATAGGATTCTCTGGGGGGAGAGTCGGAGCCTAGCTATTGGCTAAGGCTGATCTAAGGCTGGTATGGCTAAAACACTGACAGCCCCTGGTACAGAGTGACCCAAGGCTTGGGTCTTCCACTGATATAAACATATTCTGTTTCAAGTAGTGAAGCTAGGGACCAAGCCTGGGGCAGGGCAGGACCACACACTGCTGTGGGTGGGCCACCTCACTCTGATGTCTGTAGGTCAGATCATGCGAGCCAATGTGCCCTGCCCCTGCCTCCCAGCCCACCCATTTTTCCCAAAGGTCAGAGGCTTACCAAGGATGAATGGTCCAGCTCTCTTTGCATTATTTCCAGAAATCCCACTTCCTAGAGCCTTGGCCCTGGCCGACGTTTCCCCAGCTCCTCTGTCTGATGCTCTCCGCTTCATTCTCAGCTCTAGACAAGACAGAAAGACCCCTTCTCACTGAGTAAGTCAGCGAGTTTCCTTATGCTAACCCAGCCTGCAGGCCTTTGACTTGGGATGCATCACACAGCTGCCGCTGCTGCCTCCAACTCCTCCTGCTACCAGGGGAGCATCCAAGGCTCCAAGTGACAAAGAACCACAGCTCCTTTACTTGGGATTAATTAGATGCTAAAGGTGGACATCCTTTAAGGCAGCATATACAGGGTACAGAGGCGGGGAGCCAACACACCACCACCAAGTGGCCAGTTAAATTCAGAGAGGAGAAAACTGGGCTTTGTGCAGATGCTAATGCCAAACAGAGCCCCAAGAGACTACCACAGAGACAGAGAGGAGAGCCAGCCCCATCCAGCTGAACCCCAGCCCTGAGGTGAGCAACTGTTCCCAAAGTGAGACCTGCCCTCCAAATACCTACAGCCTAATGACCCGAGGTGCCCATTCCTGGCCCGTATCTGGACAGTGGGCCCCAGGAATGGGATGCTTGTTACACGAGGCCTGGGGGCTTCTTATGCCCACGGAGTTTGATGACTACAGCCCTGAGAACCCCTCTCCCCATCTTTCCTTGACTCTCTGGTCCTCTCAGATGAAAGAACCCCCCAAAGTTGTCAATGGCAGGGTTTACTTTCTCTTCCCTCATAAACTCAAACTTTTCCTGAATTACTTTTCAGAAAAAGAAAATTCATTGTGTATTTAAGAGTCAGTTAAAGAACACTACTGAAGATCACTGAGCACTCTGATTTGCCTGATAATCCCGAGATCCTCCTGCGTAAAAATGAAAGGCGGACATTGGGGCCAGAGGCTAAAAGACACCTCTGGACACAGATTTAAAAATAACAGATAAAAACACAAAAGAGGAGTTGTCTCTTCCAGCTCTCCAAAGTCAAACACCTTGGCAAAGCAGGATCCGGGGGGGACAAGGAAACAGATGTGTACAGACGAGTTCCACATGGGGAAGGTCAGGGTCACAGGATGCCCAGTGTGGGTGCAGGGCTCCGGGAAAATTTCCCTAAGGATACAGGAGTGGGCCAGGCAAGGGGCAAGGACCTTCATGGTAGGAGGGCCTCAGTGAGCAAACATGCCCAGGTAAGAAATGGCATGCAAGCCACCAACGCCAGGTAGTTTGTGTTGCTGAAGCATCCAACGCGAGGCAGGGAGTGGTGAGAGGTGGCCCAGGATAGAGGCCTGACACCCACCTTAGGAGTGTAGCCTTTACCCTTCCATAATGGACTCAAAAACACAGAACTCCAGCCTGTTCCTGTATTTTTCTTCATATAAAAGTAACTGATGTTCTCTGCAGAAACATTAGAAAATACGCATGTGCAAAAATAAGAAAATAAGGTACCCATGACCTTACCTCCCAGATATAACTGCTGTTAACATTCAAGCATGTTTTTCCTGTGTGTGACTGTGTGTATGCTTATATAAAGTTTTATTATTACAAACATGTGGACCACACTGTAATGCTATTTTATGTTTCCTTTTTTCCCACCTAAAATACATTAAGGGAGGTCTGGCGCATTGACTCCATGCTTTTAATCCCAACACTTAGGGAGGCCGAGGTGGGTGGATCACCTGAAGTCAGGAGTTCAAGGCCAGCCTGGCCAACATGGTGAAACCCCGTCTCTACTAAAAATACAGAAATTAGCTGGTCCTGGTGGTGCACACCTGTAATCCCACCTACTTGGTGGCTGAGGCACGAGAATCGCTTGAACCCAGGACACGGAGTCTACAGTGAGCTGAGATCACGCCACTGCACTTCAGCCTGGGCAACAGAGTAAGACTCTGTCTCAAAAAAAAAATTAGCTGGGCATGATGGTGGGCGCCTGTCTCGGGAGGCTGAGGCAGGAAAATCGCTTGAACTGGGGAGGCGGAGGTTGCATGAGCTGAGATGGCGCCATTGTACTCCAGCCTAGGGGACACAGCAAGACTCCATCTTAAAACAAACAAAAACCATTAAGGATAAATTGTATAGTATGTGAAATACATCTCAATAAAGCTGTAAAAAACAAAACAAAAACCCATTAACATCCCTGCATCACAATATTCTTTTGCAACATCACTTGAGATAGCTACACAGGCTCCTTGGTACAAATATACAGTGATTTCTCTGACCATTCCCTATTTATGGACATCTAGGTTCTTTCCATTTAAAAAGAATTAGCCGGGCGCAGTGGCTCACGCCTGTAATACCAGCACTTTGGGAGGCCGAAGCGGGCGGATCACCAGGTCAGGAGAGCGAGACCATCCTGGCTAACACTGTGAAACCCCGTCTCTACTAAAAATACAAAAAAAAAAAAAAATTAGCTGAGCATGGTGGCGGGCCCCTGTAGTCCCAGCTACTTGGAAGGCTGAGGCAGGAGAATAGTGTGAACCTGGGAGGCGGAGCTTGCAGTGAGCCCAGATCACACCACTGCACTCCAGCCTGGGTGACAGAGTGAGACTCTGTCTCAAAAAAAAAAAAAAAAAGAATTAATAGTCACGCACATACAAGTATACATCTTGTCAGCCAAGCGCGGTGGCTCACACCTGTAATCCCAGCACTTTGGGAGGCCAAGGAGGGAAGATCACGAGGTCAGGAGATCGAGACCATCCTGGTTAACACGGTGAAACCCTGTCTCTACTAAAAATACAAAAAATTAGCCGGGTGTGGTGGTGGGCACCTGTAGTCCCAGCTACTCGGGAGGCTGAGGCAGGAGAATAGTGTGAACCCAGGAGGCGGAGCTTGCAGTGAGCTGAGATCGCACCACTGTACTCCAGCCTGGGTGACAGAGCAAGACTCCGTCTCAAAAGAAAAAACAACAACAACAACAAAAATATACATCTTGTCATACTTATCTGTCTCCCTCTGGATAAATTCCAAGAAGCAGAATTGCAGAGTCAAGTGGGGCACATTTAAAAAAAATCCCCATTAGGCTAATACAAGGGGGACATGTTTTTAAGGTATTTGACAGATGCTGCCAGGCTGCTTCCAGGATGGCTGTGCCAATTTACAGTCCAGTGAGTTCCAGAACTTACACCAGGACTGAGTTATTTCCTTACTCTTATAAATGGCTAATTGGGTGGCCAACAAAAAGCATAGCATTTTAAAATCCGTAATTCTTTCATTATTTCTGAGGTTGAATTTGTTTCATATGCTTACTGGCTGTGTCTATTATTTCTTTTATGAATTTCCTTTATATTCTTTTTCTATTTTTTACTGCTATGTATTAGTGTTACTGATTTTTAGAAACTCTTTCTATGTAAGGATGTAACTGACATATAGCTTTTTCATCTTTTTTTTTTAATTAAAAAAATAAAAAGAAATGGTTAAGGGCTGGGTGCGGTGGCTCATGCCTGTAATCCCAGCACTTTGGGAGGCTGAGGCGGGAGGATTGCTTGAGCCCAGGAGTTCGAGACCAGCCTGGGCAACGTTGCGAGACCCATCTCAATAAAATTAATATAACATTTACATTTTTTAAATTAAAATTAAAAATAAGGTTGACTTTTTATGTAGTTAAATATTTCTGTCTTTTCCTTTAGTTTGTTTTTGCTGATACTCCTGGAAGCCGTCTCCTACTCTGAGGACAGGTGTGTCTTCACCAGTAAGGTGAAATCCTCACATGCTATTGTTTTGGTCCTTATTCTTTTTTTTTTTTTTTTTTTTGAGACGGAGTCTCGCTCTTGTTGCCCAGGCTGGAGTGCAATGGCATGATCTTGGCTCACCGCAACCTCCGCCTCCCAGGTTCAAGTGATTCTCCTGCTCAGCCTCCCAAGTAGCTGGGATTACAGGCATGTGCCACCACACCCACCTAATTTTGTATTTTTAGTAGAGATGGGGTTCTTCCATGTTGGTCAGGCTGGTCTCGAACTCCCGACCTCAGGCGATACGCCCGCCTCGGCCTCCCAAAGTGTTGGGATTACAGGCATGAGCACCGCGCCCGGCCTGTTTTGGCCCTTATTCTAAACCCTAGGAGACTGACTATATGTGGTGCACCAGAAAGTAAGAGGGATGATCCATTGCACTGCAGGTCTAATCTACCAGGCTCCCAATTTGTTTTCAGAGCTGTGCCACTGGGGAGCACAGCCATGACTTAATTTTGAGAATAACTAGGATTGTGTAACTCACTGAGCCCCAACAGTCCCCAGATGGAGCAGAAGCCACAGTTAGGCTTGGCTGGGCCTTCTGCCAAAGAGGCTCATGCTGGAAGCAGATTCAGTGTCATTCACATAAAAGCAGAGAAGGGTAAAACTGCTTCTAGAAATATCTTTAAAAGCTGGGCAGTAATGTGTCTGGCACTGTGTTCCTGCTCTTTGCTTGCCTAACTCCTACGCATCCTTCTCAATCTAAGTATCACTTCCTCAGAGAAGTCTTCCTTGATAACCTCATGACCAGTGGGTCCCAGTTAGTCTCACTCATGGTGGTCTGTAATTTTCCTCCATAGTACTTTCCAGATTTTGTAACTATGTATTTATTTGTGTTTATATGCTTAATGTCTGCCCCCCTCCACCAGAAAAATTCCACCACAACTAAAAATTTCACAAGGAAAAACAAATGTATAAACATATATATAAAACCACTGCAGCCCACTGCCAGGCCCAGCAGATACTCCATGAGTGAACGGATACCTTCCCTCCAGCTGGTGACAGTCATTGCCAGGGTCGGCGGCCCTGGGCCTGTCCTGCGCTGCCCACTGCCTCCAATAGTAAGTTGGTATCACCACCCTTCTGATCCTGTTCTCTGTCTTCCCGGGAGCAGTAAGCCACCTCTTTCTTTCCCAGGTCCCTGGAGACCACCATGGAGGCGCGTAACATCTGTGTAGACGCTGCCTACGCGCCTACGCACAGGCATGGTCTAGACAACAGTTTGCAGGGAGCAGCTGCAGCACAGACAATCAGTGGGCTCAGCCTGACCCGCCCCTCCCCCATCTCAGGATTCGACTCAAGCAAATGGCGTGGGAACTGCTCCAAGACACAGGCCGACAGAAGGATGGCAACAGACGCGCAGGGAGATGAAAAAGATGCTTGTGGGGGAAGAGGGAGCAAGGCTGCCTCCCTTCCTGCCACCCCTTCATGCTACCCAGAGTTGACTGAAGCAAAGGAAGCGTCATGAAGAGGCAGGCCCAGAAAACCGGAAGCTGCTGCAGGCTTACTAGTAGGGTGAGCAAAGACACAGCTCCCAGGGACAGACCCCCCTTTCCCTGCCCCATCCTCCAATCATCTGGCTGTGCGTCCCTCCAGAGACACGCCTGCAAGTGGTCCACAAACACTCCTCTAGAGGGCCTGCTCAGAGGGATCCCGGCTTCACAGTGAGATCTGTGATGATGCCCCAGCTACTCTGGTCTCAGGAAGACTGGGAGCCCAGGTCCCCCCAGACACCTGGTCCTCAGGCTGGGGTGCATGGTCCACTACTCGGTGCCCCAGGAACTCAACAGTCCTTGCTTAGCAGTCTCCGGAGCTTTGAATCTGTTAACTCTTCTACATTCTTCTTCTTCTTTTTTTTTTTTTTTTGAGACAGAGTCTTGCTCTGTTGCCCAGGCTGGAGTGCAATGGCGCAATCTCTGCTCACTGCAACCTCTGCCTCCCGGGCTCAAGTGATTCTTCTGCTTCAGCCTCCCAAGTACCTGAGATTACAGGCATCTACCACCACACCCAGCTAATTTTTTTTTTTTTTTTTTGTATTTTTAGTAGAGACAGGGTTTCACCATGTTGGCCAGGCTGGTCTTGAACTCCTGACCTTAGGTAATCCGCCTGCCTTGGCCTCCCAAAGTGCTGGGATTACAGACATGAGCCACCACACCTGGCCAACTCTTCTACATTCTATCCTCACAAGTCAGCACCAGTCCCCTTAGAACCTGAACTCAACAGGAAGCTCAGAGAGGCAACAATGAGGGTGAGGGGAGGAGGCCAGGAAAGAGCAAGAGAGCCCAGCTGGCACTCCGCCGTCCGCAGGCTGTAGCTGTGCCTGATTCTGAAAGCAGGGGGTTCCATTGCTTTGCCAAGCCTGGGGAGCAACTGTGGGCCTCAGTGTGAGAGGGCCTCACCTGTGGGACAGCTCCCACTGCGTGGCCTGAGTAGGGGGTACCTGATCTTACTCTGTCAATTTGGGGCTAAAGTCATCTCACCCTAAAGCTACCAGGCAACGTGAGCCCAGATCTCCCAGCAAGGCAGTGAAAGCCAAGCCATCAGAGCCACATAAGGGTTCCAAGGCTGAAGATGCCCGGAGTCCAGTGGTATAGTGTGACCAGGTCCAGGAAAGCTGGCAGGGATAGCTCTACCCCATGGTTCCACCTGGTAGACACACCAATCTCCATAGGGATGAGGGGTACAAAGATGGCACTGAGCAGATGAAACGCCACCACTGATCTCCCCAGCTCAGTCTGTCCTCATGTCTACCCAACTACAAAGGAGCTGAAGCCTGGCCAAGGCATGGAGGGTCCCCCACTCTACACTGAGAAGCATCCCCACAGGCAGCCACATAGGAGCGCACACATGCTGGCAATTACCTACTTGACATACAGTAAGGGACTGTCCAGGATGAAGAGTCCGCCAGCCTCCCTGAATGGGTCTGTGGTCATGCTCCAGTTGGAGGTGAAGTGTGGGTGGTGGGGAGGAGTCTGGAATTCAGACCTGGTGCCTCCAGCTTAAGATCTCTTGGAGCAGGATTGCGGGAGGAGAGCAGAGCACATATATTGTGCTGTAAAACTTTTACTGCCGAAGGACATAGCTTCTGGGTGTGTGCACTGGTCAAAACAATTGAACAGCACAGTTAAAAGACATGTGAAATCACTGTGTGTAAATATACCTATATTTTTTAAAAGGCAAGCTGCAATCTTAACCAACTGGTCAAAGTTACTATCACCAATAACAGAACAAACTGGCATCACACACCTCCTAACATGATGCCCTTAATAAACATGTACTACTCATGCTATATATATATTTTTTTTCGAGACAGGGTCTTGCTCTGTCACCCAGACTGGAGTGCAGCTTCCACCTGCCAGGCCCAAGTGATTCTCCCACCTCAGCCTCCTGGGTAGCTGAGACTACTGGCACACATTACCATACCTGGCTAATTTTTAAAATGTTTTGTAGAGAGGAGGTCTTGCTATGTTGCATAGGCTGGTCTCGAACTCCTGGGCTAAAGTGATCCTTCCACCTTGGCCTCCCAAAGTGCTAGGATTACAGGCGTGAGCCACCACCCCCAATCTACTCATGCTATTTTTTTTTCCAAAAATGTATAATTTGAATCTAATCATGAAACAAACCCAAATTGAAGGACATTCACAATAGGCCTGTATGTTTCAAAAACATCCATGTCAGACAGTTAAAGAAAAGCTGAAGAATGATTCTAGATTAAAGGAGACTAAAGACATACAACAAAGAAATACAATGGGTGATCTGGGAGAAAAAAGGTATAAAAGACATGATTGGACAACTGGTAAAATCTGAATATAGACTGTTTATTAGATAATAGTATTGTATCAGTTAAATTTCCTGAACTTGCAAATTGCATTGTGGTTCTACAGGAGAATGCCCTTGTTCTTAGGTGATACATACTCAAGTGTTTTGGGGTGAAGGGTCATGAAGTCTGTAACTTACTCTCAGGTCCCCCGAGGCAGAGGAGAAAATCCAGCCTGCTCGAATAGCTCCCAAGACCTGATTCACAGGTTCAGAGGGACCTGTGGCTTGTGGGTACACAGCCCACAGTGGCAGAACTTGCAGTCTCATATATGTTGGGCAGAGCCAGCCTGGCATGAACAGGAATTCAGTCTTTTATGGCCCCCTCTCTTCAACACTGTGCTATTATCAAAGAATTGGTTGGGGGGGCGGGGCCTCCATGCAATCTCCAGGCCTGCCACCTGGTGGTGTCTTTCTGTAGTGCAGCTTCACAGGGTTTTTCTGCACCAGGTGCAGGATGGTGGGGCCCTGCTCTCCTCAGGCTGATCAGGAAGGATGCACTCCATGGGAAGAGCTCACCTCAGCCACCTGTGTAAGTGGGGCTGGGCAATCAGATCCCAGGAGGCTGCCGTCTCTCTGCCTGCTGTGGAGGTCCTCCAAGGGCTCCATGCTCTTCAGGAAGAACCCCAATTCCTCAGTGAGCCTAAGCAGACCTAGAATACTTCTCCAGCCTCACTGCCTTTATATGCACCCTAAATCCAGCCACACCAAATGACACAATCCCGAGTATGCCATGAACACCCCTGCCCCGCCCAACTCTCCCTGGTTGGCACATCCTTCTCCCTTGGTCCTCACTGAAATGTCACCTGCTGCAGAAAGTCTTCACAGAAGGCCTCCTGCCAAAGCTGGCTGCTCCTCCTCCAACCCCCAGAGCACCTGAGTACACCTCCGTCCCCTCCCACTGTGCTGCAACCATTGGTTTATCTGTCTGACTCCCCCATCTCAGGCTGTGGGCTCCCTTGAGGGAGCAACTCCAATCCACCGCTGCCTCCCTGCACCCAGCCCACTGCCTGGCGCAAAGCTGGAAGAGAACACAGTGTGGGGCTGTTTGCTGGGCATCTATAAGGCACCATGGTCCCTGCTGGGGCAGGAGACAGAGGCAGTTGAATAAAGAGGTACAAGGTGTGATTCACAGGAAAACTCTGTCCAAGGAGGGGCCAGTGGCTGGAGTGGGACCCTGAAGAAAGTACAGATGGTCAGACTAGCCAGTATCTGCCAAGTCATGGCTGGAGACAGGGTGCCACAGCTGTAGGTAACTGGGGCTGCACTGGATAGTCTGTCCAGGAAAAGTCCCATGTCAGAAATGCATGAGGCAGAATGGGGACTAGGCTGGCTGATTACCGGGGGTTTTGCTTAGACAGCATTTGCTGCTGGAGAGCAACCCCTACTGAAGAATTAAAACTGTTCATAACATGCCTGCAGCTGTGCAGAAGCCCTCACTGATGAAGGGATGGACCAGGCCCTGTGCGGGAGAATCCCCCAAATCCAGCCAAACGATCTGCTTTCCTGCGGCAAGATGTGGGGAGTGTGTGAGTGGCAGCCTGGCCTGTCCCTTCACACTGGTGACAGGTCCTCCAGGCCACTCCAGGTTTGTGGTGTGAAAGTCCTTCTGCTGGTCAGAAAAATTCCAACCACTTGCGCTTCTCTGAAAAGAGAACTTCTGGCCTAACCATGCATTTATCTGACTACACCTGGGGTGAAATGACAACACTCTAGGTGAGTGATGTGAAATCTGAATGCGCGATGCAACTGAGGTCACCACCCACGCTCTGCAGACCACCCGTGCACACTAGGTGGCTGCCAGGTCTCTTGTAGATTCCTGCGCACCTCTCTGGGTGGTGAATTTCAGACTTAAAACCTGCAAGGGCGGCTCACACTCTCAGATTAACTATCAGAACTAATTTTTACACATGGCTTTATAGTTTACAAAGCATTTGTGAATATAATGATCCCTCAATATCCATGGGGGATTGGTTCCAGGACCTCTGACAGATACCAAAATCCAAGGGTGCTCAAGTCCCTAATATAAGATAATGTAGTATTTGCATATAACCTGTGCATATACTCCCGTACTACACTTTTTTTTTTTTTTTTGATGGAGTCTTGCTCTGTCACCCAGGCTGGAGTGCAGTGGCAAGATGTCGGCTCACTGCAACCTCCGCCTCCTGGGTTCAAGTGGTTCTCATGCCCCAGGCTCCTGAGTAGCTGGGATTACACGTGCATGCCACCATGCCAAGTTAATTTTTGTATTTTTAGTAGAGATAGGGTTTCACCATATTGACCAGGCTGTTCTCAGAACTCCTGGACCTCAAGTGATCTGTCCACCTGGGCCTCCCAAAGTGCTGGGATTACAGGCGTGAGCCACCACACCCAGCCCCATATACTTTAAATCATCTCTAGATTTATAATACCTAATGCAACGGAAATGCTGTGTAGTTACTATACTGTATTAAGAAATAATGACAAGAAGGGCCGGGCGTGGTGGCTCACGCCTGTAATCCCAGCACTTTGGGAGGCTGAGGCGGGTGGATCATGAGGTCAGGAGATCGAGACCATCCTGGCTAACATGGTGAAACCCCGCTTCTACTAAAAATACAAAAAATTAGCCGGGCGTGCTGGTGGGCGCCTGTAGTGCCAGCTACTCGGGAGGCTGAGGCAGGAGAATGGCGTGAACCCAGGAGGCGGAGCTTGCAGTGGGCCGAGATCAGATTGCACCACTGCACTCCAGCCTGGGTGACAGAGCGAGACTCCATCTCAAAAAAAAGAAATAATGACAAGAAAAAACAGTCTGGCTGGGTGCCATGGGTCATGCCTGTGTAATCACAGATCATGTGATCCTGCCACTGTACTCCAGCCTGCGTGACAGAGCAAGACCCTGTCTCCAAAAAAAAAAAAAAAAAAAAAAAAAAAGGACTGCGTGCGGTGGCTCAAACCTGTAATCCCAGCACTTTAGGAGGCCGAGGCGGGCAAATCACCTGAGGTCAGGAGTTCGAGACCAGCCTGGCCAACATGGTGAAACCCCATCTCTACCAAAAATACAAAAAAATTAGCAGGGCGTGGCAGTGTTTGCCTGTAGTCCCAGCTACTTGGGAGGCTGAGGCAGGAGAATTGCTTGAACCTGGAGGTGAAGGTTGCAGTGAGCCGAGATCACGCCACTGCACTCCAGCCTGGGTGACAGAGCAAGACTCCGTCTCAAAAAAAGAAAGAAAGAAAAAAATGTCTGTACATGTTTAGTCCAGACACAAGCATCCTTCTTTGTTCCTGAACATTTTTGATCCGCAGTTGGTTGAATCCACAGACGTAGAACCCACGGATGTGGAGGGCTGGTACATAATGATAACTGATCACCTCCCCACAACACACACACACAACACAAAATTTTCTAGAAAAAGAAATTGAGCCCGGGCACGGTGGCTCATGCCTGTTACCCCAGCATTTTGGGAGGCTGAGGTGGGAGGATCACTTGAGCCCAGGAGTTCAAAGCTGGCACAGCTGGTAGACCCAGCTACTTGGGAGTTTTAGCTTGCTTAGTTTGGAGGACTGCTTGAGCGCAGGAGTTTGAGGCTGCGTGAGCCATGACAGCACCACTCTAGCCTGGGGGACAGAGTGAGACCTTGTCTCAAAAAAAAAAAAAAAAAAAAAAAAAGAAAGAAAGAAAAAGAAAAAAGAAATTGAGACTCAGAGCTGCCTGAAGTCACCTGGCTAGCTGTTGGAAGAGGTGGGATATAAACACAGCTTTTTCAATGCTGAATCCCATATTCTTTTTCCCTGACTGCACTGCTTCCTCAACTGCCCCTTCTCCACCCAATGTCTGCATGGTTCCAGGCATGCCAAGCACAGACTTACTTATAAACAATCATTCTCCTGGAACCAGGGTGCTGTCAAGCCAGAAAGCTGCAGGTGAGCAGGGAGGGAGAGAGGTCATGCTTCCCTCAGAATGAGGCATTTCAGGGGCTGCCGAGCGGGGCCTCTCTGGAGAAAAGGGCTGAGTCAGAGGTGGGTTACTGAGATATCCCTCCACCAGCCAACAGGCAGCATCCCCCACCCTTCCCTGACACAAACACTCTGGGCGCCACCCCTGATGCACTTAATACTCACATGTAGATGCTTCTACCAGGGATACCTACAGACCTGCTCTCCATCCACAAAGGCAGTCCAGGAAACCCAGAGGAATTCACAGCTCAGAGAACCAAGGGTTTCAAGCCATGGACAAGTTACGCAAATGCCAACTGGGATAGCAAGATGGATTTGGGGGTCATGGAGGTCCGGGCTCAAATTTCAACTTCTGACACTCACTTATTTTGTGACTCTACACTAGTCACCTACCCTTCAGGGGCCTCAGTTTCCTCATCTGTAAAACAGAGATGGTAATATGCCTTCACAGGACAGCTGAATGATGCTGTGGCTGGCGGTGTCACCAGGTCTTTGCTGGGTGAAGGGTGGGTGCTCCCTGCTCCGTGCTGAGGCCGCTTCCCTGTGGCAAGTCTCTGCAGGTATGTCTTTTTTTCATTATCATTTGATGGGCACCCACCGCTTGCCAGAAACCATTCCCAGTGTTTCCCAGATTCTCTCTTTAACTCGCACCACTTTCTGATGTGGATTCTCCCCTTCTATTATTGAAAAAGCAAAGCCTAAAGACTGTGGCCCAGGTTGAGGCTCTGGTGAGGGCTTTTCCACTGAGTCTGAATGACAGCCATCCCTGAAGAAGGCATGCACCCTCTCCCCGGGAGCTTGGTGGCTATGAGCAATCTCCTTAGGAACCCATTGGAAGCCATTTGCTTTGTGCTCAGGACAGATGCTGACAGGCTGGGGAGGCGGATAGAGAGGAGGATTAGTAATCCCTCGATTTCAGCCAGGACTCCCTGACGACAAAGATTCATGCATGTGCTGTCATCTTCACTGCTCCAAAACAGAGCGATGATTTTGTTCATTTTTAAAACGCAGGACATGTATAGCTCCAATTTGTCAAGAATACATAATATCACATCATTTAATGCATAATATCACATCTCCAAATGCTGCACTTTATTGCCTTGGGGGTTATAAGTGAACTGGCTGCTTCTAACCAGAGCTCTCTTTGTATAGGATGACCCCACCCCCTGAGGCCTGCTCTGCTCCCAGCCTGTGGGAGAGTACCTGCTGCAGCCAGAGAGGAAGTGACTCAGCCCAGTGGGAAGTGGGAGGGGCGGTCAGCAAGAGGGCCCTGCGCCCAGCCTGCTCCCCCAGCACATCCTCTGCCACCGCTGCCTTTCCTCAGCAGGACTCCAATGTGCTGAGCACAGCAGGCCTGGGGGCCAGGCAGGGCCTGAAAGTCCAGGGTCTGCAGCTTGGTGACCTAGCTCTAGTCTCCTCCAGGAAGCAAGGTTCATGAGTTAGCCCCACATAAGGAGACTGCGTAATCAGTGACATCCCTCCTCACCCCACTGCCCCGAGGAAGTCCCCACTGGGCTTTTCTGTGACCTCCTTTGGAGGCTGCAAAGAAAGCCTAGAAGCTAAAGGCCCCTGGCCAAGGGGGTGCATCCCAGAGAAATTCTGGAAGAAAAGTCTCAGGGCTGTGCACACAGAGGTAGAGAGAAGCTTTCTCTGCAGGCTCTCCTGGGGAAAAAATACATGGAGTTAGAGACCGGTCCCCATAGCCCTGAACCAGACCGGCTGCTCCTGGGAGCAAAGGGCTTCACCAGCAGTCACACTGAGAGCCACCAGAGCAGAATCCAGGGCAGCATTGCCAGCCCTGCCACCAGCTCTCCCCTCCCAAGGGCCTCCGGAAGCAGCTGATGTGACAACAAATAATCTGTCACTGTGTGTGGGTGTCAGAGGAGGAAGGGACAGACTTACAAGCTCTTTCTCTGGGCCGTACTGGCTTGGCCTCTCCATCCAGAGAGGTAGCCTGGGAAAGCAGCCAAGCACCCTGGCTTAGGGATGTTTGCGGTGGCCCCTTGGCTCTTCAGGGTGCCTTCTGCCATGCGCAGTGACGGCAGACTGAGTCACTGGCAGGTCTTCCCTGTCATACTGGCCTGCTCTGGCTCATTTGGACTAGAAGAGGAGATTGCAACAAGGGAGGTCCTGGCATGGGCATGTGACTAAGAGTCCCTTCAGCTCCAACCATCAGTTGTTGCTTTGTGCAGTGACTCAGTCCTGGAATAAGGCCTGCCATGGGGTCCCATGTGGAGTTCAAGTTCTTACCACCCATGATAGCCCAAATCAGGCAAGGAGAAAGCAGCAAGCAACCGCAGAACAACTGGTTGATTCTAAAAGCCACCATTCTGTCCACTGTGTGACCTGGACACATGCTTCTCTGCTCTGCAGTCTTCTCATCTGGAGGACAGGGACAGCGCTACTCCCAAAAAGGGTTCCCTTCAGGATTGCCAGGGCCCAGTACATAGGAGGCACTAGACGCTTAACTTAGAAATGTTACGTTTCCTGGCCAGGTGTGATGGCTCACGTCTATCATCCCAGCACTTTAGGAGGCCGAGGCAGGTTGATCACCTGAGGTCAGGAGTTTGAGACCAGCATGGCCAACACGGTGAAACCCCATTTCTACTAAAAATACAAAAATTAGCTGGGCATGGTGGTGGGTGCCTATAATCCCAGCTACTCAGGAGGCTGAGGCAGGAGAATCGCTTGAACCCAGGAGGTGGAGGCTGCAGTGAGCCGAGATCATGCCACTGCACTCCAGCCTGGGTGACAGAGCGAGACTCTGTCTCAAAAAAAAAAAAAGAGAAATGTTATGTTTCCTTCTTTCTATCCCAGATTTCCAGAGTGATAGAGAGGAAAGCCCAGCCAGGCCAGACCTAGGTGCTGCGCTTCTCTTTATACTGTTTTCAACAGCAAAAATCACCACAATTATCCTGTGAGAAAGGCAGTCTGGACTGGGGCCAGCAAACTGCCTTTCCTTAACTGCCTCTGTTAAAAATTAAATTAAATTTCATAACTTTAGGCCAGGCGCGGTGGCTCACGCCTGTAATCCCAGCACTTTGGGAGGCTGAGGCGGGTGGATCACCTGAGGTCAGGAGTTTGAGACCAGCCTGGCCAACATGGCAAAACCCTGTCTCTACTAAAAATAACAAAAATTAGCTGGGCGTGGTGGTGCTTGCCTATAATCCCAGTGACTAGGGAGGCTGAGGCAGGAGAATCATTTGAACCCCAGAGGCGTAGGCTGCAGTGCGCTGAGATCGCGCCATTGCACTCCAGCCTGGGCAACAAGAGCAAAACTCCATCTCAAAAAAAAAAAAAAATTCACGACTTTGACAGCGAGCAATACAATTCACTTTCTGAAGTTTGACTGAATGTTGAGGGCTATGGCTGCTCAGAGGGGCAACAGGCTGCCTGGTATGATTAGAAAAGCCAAGAGCAGGCGATCCCTTCAGAGTGCCCCTCTGTTGGCTTCACCTGCTCTGAATCACCAAGAGCTGGACACGGCAGATCACGAGGGCCAGCAGCCACCAGTGAAAGACTATGTCCATGCATTGAGGGCGTGTTCATTACCTGTCTGCTTATATGTAGGTCTCGAGAAGGGTCTGGTCCACCTCAGGCCTCCCAGGCTCTGCACAAGCCCAGAAGGTATGCAGAAAAAAGGTGTGAAACCATAGCCAACAAAGAAAAAGAAAATGTACCTGCCTTGGGCCCAGCAATGCCAGTTCCGGGGATGGATCCTGCAGATATACTCACACAGGTTCACAAAGATAATGTGCTCAACAAAAGTCCCTATAGAGCCACGTGTAGCAGCAAAAAACAAAACCATAAAAATCAACACACACACACACATGCCCCCAAGGCAGGAAACTATCTAAATGGCCATCCAGAGAGGACTGGTTAACTAATTATGTTCAGCTAGACAATGGATACTATGCAGCCTTTCCGACTAGGTCCACACCTGCTGATAAAGATGTCTATGTTACCAAAATAAGCACACTGCAGGAATATATGTACAACATAATCCTACTTGGGTTAAAAAAGATTATACACACTTTTGAATACGCATAGGCAACTTCTAGAAGAAATTTTTTTTTTTTTTTTTGAGATGGAGTGCAGTGGTACAATCTCGGCTCATTGTAACTATCACCTCCCCGGTTCAAGCAATACTCTGCCTCAGCCTCCCGAGTAGCTGGGATTATAGGTGCTCACCACCACACCTGGCTTTTTGTATTTTTAGTAGAGACGGGGTTTCACCATCTTGGCTAGGCTGGTCTTGAACTCCTAACCTCATGATCCACTCGCCTCGGCCTCCCAAAGTGCTGGGATTACTGGCATGAGCCACCGTGCCCAGCCTAGAAGAAATTTAAGTGGACACCTCCAGTCAATAGAACTAAGGGCCCAAGGAGGGGAGGGAGAGCTTTATTTTATATTCTCCCATATTATTTAACTATTGTACCATAAACTATTAAACTAACAATACTTTTTTAAAATCTAAAGATTTTCTGAACCCATTAGAATTATTAAGAGTAGTAGTGGAGCCAGGCGTGGTGGCTCACGCCTGTAATCCCAGCACTTTGGGAGGCTGAGGTGGCATATCATGAGGTCAGGAGTTCAAGACCAGCCTGGCCAACATGGTAAAACCCCATCTCTACTAAAAATACAAAAATTAGCCGGGTGTGGTGGCACTCGCCTGTAGTCCCAGCTACTCGGGAGGCTGAGGCAGGAGAATTGCTTGAACCTGGGAGGCGGAGGTTGCAGTGAGCCAAGACCATGCCATTGCACTCCAGCCTGGGCAACAGAGTGAGACTCCGTCTCAAAAAAAAAAAAAAAAAAAAAAAAAGTAGTAGTGGAATCAGGGGAGGCTGAGCCTCAGAGAAGGCAGACTTGAGAGAGTATGGCCTGGGAAGAGGTGTAAGCATAAGTGCCCTGGATGTGTGAGCTTGTGTGCCAATGCAATGGTGCAGCAAAAGAGTGAGAGGCAGAAGGACAAAGACAACACCCCTGCAGCTCTCCAGATAGGCTGCAAACATGCCTATAAGGAACTTCCTGCCTGCCCCCTGGCATCCATAAGGGCTGAAAACTGGCTCAGGATGCCTCTTTTGGTACACTCACAGGTTCACTGCCAAGAGCTCACCTGGGCCTTGCTGGAGCTGGCCCCTGGGTCCTGCCTGCCTGCCATGCACTAGGCTGAACGTGGTAGAGGCTATAAAGCCCTGTGTCTCATGACTACCTTAAGGGCAAGAATTGTTATGCCCATTTTACAGAGGAGGAAGCTGGGGTTGGAGACAGGAAGTGACTTGTTCAAGGTCACTCACTTCAGGTTCTGAAGCCACATCTGATCTGAGCCTAGGCCCTTAACTGCATGGTTGCAAGTCTCCTTGCCCACTACCCATAGGGCAGGTCAGGGAGGGACCTGTCTCAAGGCAGTGGCAGTTTCCATTTTTCAGGCAAAAAAAGGGACTGGTTCAGCTTTGGGGCTGGCTCTATGAGTCCAAGATTCTATGTGGGCTGGACTCCCTGGGACCAGAGCCTAGCCAGGATGGAGGAAGGGAACATGGGCTTTAGAGTCACACAAATGTGAGTTGGAAATCCCAGCTCTGCCCTTACTGGCTGTGTAATAGTAGACAGTCTTTTTACCCCGCTCTGAGCCTGAGTGTTCTCTGTAAAATAAGAGACAACCCTTACTTCCTTAGATTCAATAACGTATTGCAGTATTACAAAGGACCTGGGAGGTGGTGGGGCTTTTTTTCTTTTTTTTTTGAGACGGAGTCTTGCTCTGTCACCAGGCTGGAGTGCAGTGACACGATCTTGGCTCACTGCAACCTCCGCCTCCTGGGTTCAAGCGATTCTCCTGCCTCAGCCTCCTGAGTAGCTGGGACTACAGCCGTGCGCCACCACGCCTGGCTAATTTTTTGTATTTTAGTAGAGATGTGGTTTCACCATGTTGGCCAGGATGGTCTCGATCTCCTGAACTCGTGATCTGCCCGCCTCGGCCTCCCGAAGTGTTGAGATTACAGGCGTGAGCCACCGTGCCAGCCGGGCCTCCTTTTTTTGCTGGTTTCCTTCCTGTTTTTTCAGAAGGGACCACTCCAGGAGTCAGAAAAGAACACACACTATGAAACTTACCCCAAACTCAGTAATGCTGGAAGCGCCATACTTATTGCAAAAAGTAGCAGGACTCTTGCTCCCCAGGGTTGGCAGATGCCAGCAACAGGATTCCAAAAGCCCCACGGAATGCTGGGCTACACCAGGCCCAAGGTCCCCAAGGCGCTGAACCGAGCTTCTCCCTAGAAGCACTGCTGTCCCCTCAACACACCTCACATCAGCTCTGCCCCAGAGAGAAATGACAAGCACATCAGTCCTGCTCTTGCCAATTCCCACTACAATGACCAGTCCACTCTCTCTTCCTTCTGGACCCTTGCATCCAGACTTCCTAAAGGCTGAAGATCTTCTATCTCTTTTGCCAAGTAGGTGGCAGTGTGTAAACATATTTAGAGGGGACAGCTTTATTCTGCATGCCAAGACCCCTTCTCAGTTTTTCTACCTCTGGTGCTTTCCAACAACTAGAGTTCCTTTGAAACCGTCAGGCCTGTAGACTGCTAAGTTCTGGGGAGCCTGAACTCACACCCAAGACTGACTGTCATGGCCAGGAGAGAATGAACACCGTTGGGTTGTAGCCTCTTTTTTTTTTTTTTTTGAAACGGAGTCTCGCTCTCTCACCCAGGCTGGAGGGCAGTCACTGCAAGCTCCGCCTCCTGGGTTCACGCCATTCCCTGCCTCAGCCTCCCGAGTAGCTGGGACTACAGGTGCCCACCACCACGTCCGGCTAATTTTTTGTATTTTTAGTAGATACAGGGTTTTACCGTGTTAGCCAGGATGGTCTTGATCTCCTGACCTCGTGATCTGCCTGCCTCGGCCTCCTAAAGTGCTGGGATTACAGGTGTGAGCCACCGCGCCCGGCCTGGGTTGTAGCCTCTTTAGGGAGTGGGAACACCTGTGTTCCCCTCAGGACGTACGACCTCAACCCAAAAGAACAGATTCACTTGCTGGGGGAAAAATAAGGCTGCCCCAATTTATTAAAAGGAGACCTAGAAATTCTTTAACAATAATAATAATAAAGGATAGTCTTTGAGGCAGCAATTCACTTCTAGAAATTTATCCTGCAGATGATACCTAAGGTGGGCAAAATCATATGTATGAAGAAAGTCACTTCAGCAGAAGTGTTTAGAGAGTAGAATGCAGAAAATAACCCAAGTGTTTGTTAGCAGAGAGCTTGTTGAATAAATTACACTCACAGTGGGACACATCATAGCCACAAATGACCCAGACCTGCATGTGCCAAAGTGGAACTATCTCTAAGATAGTAAGTAAATCACAGCAAGCAATTGCATCCTTTCCCCTCTAGGATCTTGATTACAGAGCCTGGGAGGATATGCGGGGGCTGCTGTGGGCCCTCGACTACCTTCGAGGTCAGAGTCTCACCTGAGCAGGTGGAGGAGAAAGAAGTGCTCTTGTTTCAGATCATTTTCTCGTTTACTTTCTTTACACCACAAACCCAAGGACAAATCATGTAAAAAAATCTCCCAAATTCCAAAGGGCCTGTTTGAAGGCCCGCCCACCAGCACACCCCTCACTATAGTCCAATCCAGCTGAGGGACAGCTTCTGGCTCCCTTAGAACTTCAAGGGTCAAGGACACTGGGCAGCTTTCTCTCCCTTCCCTGAAGGTTCTGAGCAAGTCCTGGGTGGCCTCTGGCAGATATCAGTCCTTCCTGAGAAGAAGGACTGAATCTGCTGAGCCAGCTTCAGGCAGCAAATCCAATTTCCAGACCTCTCTCTAGATAAGATCTCCAGGGGGCACTGAGAAAGCCTCTCTCCCCTGAGGGTCTCTGCTGTTCAGGACCCCATCAGTGGGCTGTAGTATGCTGAATCGGGGTGGATATTGCCAGAGGGAAGGGTTGCTCTTAGGGCTATTGGAAGGCTGAAGATTTATCGCTTTATAGATGTGAAACATGAAGAGGTTCACCTCCCTGGTTAAATCTGGGCAGAGGAAAGGTGAAGGAAGGAAAGCTGCCCTTCTCCCAGGTGCTGATTCAGGCGAAAGCA
Source organism: Homo sapiens (assembly GCF_000001405.40). Taxonomy (NCBI): domain Eukaryota; kingdom Metazoa; phylum Chordata; class Mammalia; order Primates; family Hominidae; genus Homo; species Homo sapiens. The sequence continues at coordinate 36,380,822 of NC_000001.11, forward strand.
AAGGGAAGCCTGGCCCAAGTCCAGACAGGGGTCTACAAGACCTTCCAACTGATCCTCTCCCGAGAGGGTGTGCCCAGGGTTTACTGAACGAAGCTGGCAGATTTCACTGGCCATTATCTTCTCCTTGAGCCATCCCTATCTCTGCACTATCATTCACTCTGTCACCCAAACCAAGGACCTCAAGGTTACCTGTCACCATTCCTCCTCCCTCTGGCATCACTTCCAAACACTCCCAGAGTCCAGTTGATTTCCCCCCAAACAGCTCATCTCTGCTCTTCTTCTCAACCCTATTGCCTCTGCCCTGATCCAAGCCCCTCTCAGCCCTTGCTGGGATTACTGCAACAGCCTCCTATGGGGACTCCAACCTCTCCCCAACCCACTCCATCCTCCAAAGCAGATGCAGGTCTAATGGTATGTTTCCTCCACTTAATGCAAGGCATCCATCACCAACAGAATACAAAATTCAAGCATCTGCGCCCTAGTGCCTGCCTACCTCTCAGGCACATCCTGCAGTCAGTCCCTTCACACTCTGGGCTAGAACTCCTGTGGTTCCTAAAGTGCCACACAAATTACCACATATCCGTGCTTGTGCCAGGCTGCTCCCCCTGCCTGGAGGGCTTCATAGACCCCCAGAAAACTCTATTCATTCTTCACGATCCAATTCAAGTTCTTTTTTTGAGACAGGGTCTCACTCTGTTGTCCAGGCTCGAGTGCAGTGGTGTGATTACAGCTTACTGGGAGTTGGGAACTCCCAGGTTCAAGTGATCCTCCCACTTCAGCCTTCCAAGTAGCTGGAACTACAGGTACATGCCACCACGCTTAACTAATTTTTTTCTTTTTTAATTTTTGTAGAGATGGGGTCCCACTATGTTGGCCAGGCTGGTCTTCAATTTCTGGGCTCAAGCGATCCTCCTGCCTCGGCCTCCCAAAGTGTTGGGATTACAGGTGTGAGCTGCTGTGCCCAGTCCCAGTTCAAGTTCTAAGGGCTCTCTGAAGTTCTCCCCAGTCTCCTCCTCATCCTAGAGCTCGATCACTTCTTCCACTGGGTTCCCCCACATGCTATAGACTTCTGTGAGAGACTTGCCAAACTGTGCACATGTTAACTGGTTAGGAGCCTGCCCCTAGATCACAACCTCCTCCATGGTAGGGCCTGCCTCTCCATCCTCCTCCTGCCCCCAGGACCCAGCAGAGCCCCAGCCACACATGGGAGCTCATGTATGTGGAATCAGGGCTCTGTATTTTGAGCTACCACACTCATCAGTGTGTGTGATGCCTCTTGATGCTGCTTATTCAGGTACCAGACTAGGGTTGCTAGCAGGGACACACAGAGAAGAAATTCTAAATACATTTACTCCCATGTATACTTTTTTTTTTTTGAGACAGGGTCTCACTGTGTCACCTAAACTGGAATGCAGTGGTGCAATCTCGGCTCACTGCACCCTTGATCTCCTGGGCTCAAGAGATCCTTCCACCTCAGCCTCCCTAGTAGCTGGGACTACAGGTGCGTATGACCATGCCCAGCTAATTTTTGTATTTTTTGTAGAGACGGGTTTCGCCATGTTGCCCAGACTGGTCTTGAACTCCTAGGCTCAAGCGATCTGCCCATCTCGGCCTCCCAAAGTGCAGGGATTACAGGCGTTAGCCACCGCGCCTGGCCAACCCATGTATACTTTAAAGTACTATTTTTTTCTCAGCAGTCCTACTTCTATTTTTAAAAATAGTTCTTTTAAAGAGCCAAACTGAATCATCTGCATGGCTCCCATACAGACTGGGTAAACTCCCCTTAGATTTTCTTTTCAGAAAGAATAAAATAAAACTCTGTGATCTTGTGATCCCTCAGGACACTTCTGACAGCTCAATGGGACATAGTTCTAGTTGCCATGAATTGCTGCAACTAATTCCTAAAAGTTCTTTCCTGTAGCCTGTAATAAGAGCTAACATTTACTACTCAGTGTCTGTTAAGTACTCATCCTGTAACATCTTACTTACTCCTCACAACTGCCCTATTACGAAGGTACTCTTATTGTCCCCATTTTACAGATGAGAAAGCTGTGGTGGAGAGAATAAGTAATCCCTAGTGACCAGCAGGGATAGAAGTAGAACACAGATCTGTCTGATGGCAGAGCCAAATAAGCTTTTTTTTTGAGACAGAGTTTCGCTCTTGTTGCCCAGGCTGGAGTGCAATGATGCAATTTTGGTTCACCGCAACCTCCGCCTCCCAGGTTCAAGAGATTCTCCTGTCTCAGCCTCCTGAGTAGCTGGGATTACAAGCATGCACCACCACGTCCGGCTAATTTTGTATTTTTAGTAGAGAAGGGGTTTCTCCATGTTAGACTGGTCTTGAACTCCTGACCTCAGGTGATCTGCCCACTTCGGCCTCCTAAAGTGCTGGGATTACAGGCGTGAGCCATCATACCCGGCCTCAAATAACCTCTTAACTATTACAATCTACTGCCTTCCCCAAAGGTCAGATTAAAAGCACAAGTTAGCAAACACAGCACCCTTTACAACTGGCCTTCTGAGAGGGCAGTCTTATCTCTCCAGCTGCTCAAGCAACCTACAATCCCAGGAAGAGAGGGGCACATGTGCCAGGCACTTCTGCGCCAGGCAGAGAAGCCCAGGCCAATGCAGGAGCTTGCCATCTGGCACTGGTTGCACATGGTGCTTCCTCAGCAAAGATCCATCGCCCCAGCACCAACTCTCCTCTCTCAGAAGCCTAGGTTTGTCTCCGAAGAGTTCTCCAGCCCTTCAGTCGCTCCTGTCCTCCTCCTTCCCTCCTCTACTGGGACTCCAGTGAAATCTTTCTAAAATATGTAACCAATCATGTCATTCCTCTGCTTCAGACCTTTTCACTTGCTCCCGGCTGCCCTGGGCATGATATCTCAAATTGCTAATATGGCATTCTTTCATGAACCTATACTGCTTCACTTGCACCATATCAACTTCCATACCACTAGATTGAACAATCTGAGATTTCTGGAATAAACTATGAGTTTATTTGTCTATCTCGCTCTCAAAGTATTCATTCTCACCTGGCTAAGCCTCCCCTCCTCTCCTTTTAGACTCAGCTCCAGCATCACTTCTGCCAAGCCTTTTCATGGCACACTCCCGTCCCCACCCCACCCCCAAGGCTGAGCTCACAGCTTTCTCCCTTTCTCCACTGGGCTCCCACAGTACTCTCTTGCTGCTGCTATTAGCTTCTTCTTCTTCTTTTTTTTTTTTTTTTGAGACAGAGTCTCACTCTGTTACTCAGGCTGGAGTGCACTGGCTTGATCTCGGCTCACTGCAACCTCTGCCTCATAGGTTCAAGCAATTCTCCTGCCTCAGCCTCCCGAGTAGCTGGGATTACAGGCCTGTGCCACCATGCCCAGCTAATTTTTCTATTTTCAGTAGAGATGGGGTTTCACCATGTTAGCCAGGCTGGTCTCGAACTCCTGACCTCAGGTGATCCGCCCGCCTCGGCTTCCCAAAGTGTTGGGATTACAGGCATGAGCCACGGCGCCCAGCCACTACTAGCTTCTTTAGACCACATTTCAACCATTTGTTTACAGGTCAATTTCCCTTAATTAGACTGTATGCTCCTTGAAATAAAAATAGATAACATTTATTGAATTCTTATTACGTGGCAAACATGGTTGTATGTTTTACATGTTAACTTTTTACTCTTCATAATATCTCTCTCTGTTATCATCCTTGTTTTATAGACGAAGACACTGAGGCACAGGGAGACTAAGCAATGTGCCCAGGTACACACAGCTGGAAAGTTGCTGAGCCAGAATTTGAACTCAGGAAGTCTGGCTCCAAAGCCTACTCTTAACCACTATGCTGTCTAGCACTTGCCTCTAGGCAAGGACTCTTGTTGTGGTCATGTGAGAAATGAATGAATGAATGAATGAGGACTGTCTAGATTAACCCAACCAACAACTTGCACAGCACGGCCATTAGGAAGCACTAAAGGAGCTCACAGGCACTGTTTACAAACAAGATTATTTTGGCCCTACAATTACACATTCTGCTCTTCCTTATCTCACGCAAAACTACTCAAAGAGGGAAAGGCGCCCAGCCCAGTATGCCTACCCTCTTCCCCACTGGTTCTCAAAACCAAAGCAAAGCCAACCGGTTTCCTCCAGTGACTTAAAACAGAGCAAAGTCTATCCTGCCACACAGAGGGCGGCTGTCATCTCTTCCTTCCGCTAACAAAAGGGCTTCAAACCTGGGGATTGGGGTGGGCAGAAAACTCGGCATCAGGAATCCGAATGTCCCTACCTAACTGGCTGGAAGGCGGGGCCAAGTGGCGTGGGAATGGGCGGGCCTGACCGGCTCGGCAGGTGAAACACTGACCACAGCAAGCTCTCCTTGGAAAAGGCCGGCCAAACGTGGCCTTGGCAAGCAGGTAGCTGTGACTCGTACCTGAACGCCGCCCGGGATATGAAAATTCCCCAGCAGCGGTAGCGCCCGTGCCAGAGTGAGGGCTCTTGGAGGAAGCCCTGGCTGGCCCTCCCTGGGGACTCGTTCTAACTATCAAGTCACCCTCGGGATTAGGAGGGAAACACGGAGAGGCAGAAGGTGTCTTTTTGGAAAGATCTGGCTGGATTCACACGCCGGTTGCTTCACTCACTGGCTGGGTGACTCTAGGCAAAGCTGGCAGTGCCCACTTCCCAGAGCTGCGGCGGGGACTGAAGCTCCCGCGGCCTCCCGGTACCCGGCGCGAGGCAGCCCTCGCCCCTGCCGCCGGGGAAGGGCAGAGCCCCAGCGGAGGAGGGGGCATTCGCCGGGGCCATTTCTGCTGCACTCAGATGGCTTCAGGCTGTCACTCCGATTCCACCGCCGCGGCCGCCGGGGCCCGCCCCGCCTACCCGCAACCCCCACCCGGCTCCCCGCTCCTGGACCCCTGCCCTCACCTTCGCCGGGTGGTCAGAGCTATTCGCCCATAGTCCGTAGCCCAGAGCCGGGGCTGCTCGGCTCTCCCTCCCGGGGGGCCGGGGCCGGGCTGGAGGCGTGCGAGCCTCTCACCGCCGCCTCCCAGCGCAGCCACCCGAGCCGCCGCCGCCGCCGCCGCCGCCTCCCTCCATGGCTGCGGCGCCGCCACCTGACAACGGAAGTGACGCACCGCCCCCCTCCTCCCCAGCCTTAGCCGCGGCCCCGCCCCCCCGGGCCCCGCCCTCCGCCTGCGTCTCCAGCCCCACGGCTTTCGGATTGGGGCGCCATCTTGACGATGGGCGGAAGACTTCAGGCAAGAGGCCAGAGTCCGATTGAGGATTGGTTCAGGGTGGGGTCTGGGCGAAACCTGTTACACGATTGGAGGCCGAGGCTCTAATGGGGCGGTACTTACTGCTGATCTATATCTGCGGCGAGGCTGGGACGGAGGCACCGCCCCGCCCGACCCCACAGAACCTCGCGGGCCCTACACTCCCCCTGCCGAGGTTGAAGTCCCCAGCGGTTGGAAGATCGGCCAATTGTAGTGTATTTATCAGAAAAGTGACTCATCCTTGATCCTCATTTCCCGGTTTGTGGAACTCTGTGAGGAAAGCCCTGCAGTTAGGCTCAATAAAAGACAGAAATTCCTGTCGCAGCGCTCATAATTCATTTCCCTCTAGGTCTGTCGCCTTTGTAGAAACCCCGAGGATGGCAACCTTCAACCTGGAGATCCCTGAAGCCTTGACCAGGGAGGTTTACAGTGAAGCGTTCCTATTAGCGACTACAGCTATCTAACCTCAGTTCCTCCTGCTGCAGTTTCGGTCCCTTTCTCCTCCTCCTCCAGCAACCACGCCCTCCATGAATCAGCTTCTTGCACCAGCAGATGAGCCCTTTAAAGGGATTGCATCAGGCAAGTGACTCACTGGGGCCCTCTAAGAGCCTGGCTTCCCTCCCTTGGCATGCAGAAGCAGCTAGAAGGGCTCAGTGGCAGCAGCACCAGCGGCCGTAGCCCCACTCCCTTGTCCCAGAGGTGTGAGTCAGGGTGTTTGCTGCTTATGATGTCTAACTCTTGGCTGTCTTTCCAGCTGTCCCCTGGGTCACTCTATATCCATGTGTGGGCACACGTGTCTAAGCTTGTGTGCACTGCTGGGTTTTCCTAGGGTGTGTGGCCACTTGTGTGTATGTGCATTTGTCATCTCCACATAGGCAGTGCCAGGACACAAGAGCTGATATGAGTGAAGTCTGGCTGCCTCTACCTGTGTCCTTTGTCTCTGAATGCCTGGTGCCCACTGAGCTGCTGATAGGGCTGACTAACAAGAGTAATCAGGACAGCTCCCACCGTTGTGCCACACTCTGCATGGAGCACTTGAGACAGTATTAGGTAGGAGGCTGTTTACAGCTGAGGAAGCCAGTGCTCAGAGAAGGAAATTAATGTGCCCAAACACACACAGCTAATAATGGCAGGGCTAGGATTCAAATCAAGTCTGATGGATTCCAAAAAACTTGGCTTTGAATCCCTGCTGCATCACTTACAAGCTGGGTGACTATGTGCAAATTGCCCAATCTTCCCCTTCTGTCCAAACAGGGATAACGCTTGGGGGATCACTGTGAGGACTCGGAGTTATAGAAACAGCTTTTTGCAAGACCCAGCGAGCACTCATACTCATCTCAGTTGAAGGGCTTCAATGAGGTGGGTGACCAAAAGACAGGCATAAAGAAGGCCCCAGCCCAGCAAGCTCCACTCTCTGACAAAACAAAAAGCCTAGGGATTCCGGAAGCCCTGACTCTGACAAAAATGAGTTCTGGGTTTTCCAGAGCTCTAATTATCAGCTAGATGAATCACTCTGCGCTGACACCACCATTCCTACCCCCAGGAGACTCTCAGCTGATTGAAAATCCAGGATTTTAACAAAGGAGAGGAGGAGGAACAGAAAGCTAGGAGGAGAAGAAGTAATGAATAGAAACCAAAGGTGCCAGCCAGAGGAAATGAGAAACTGTCATCAGGACACTACCATGAGGAGAACGCTGGGACACACACACACACACACACACACACTCACACTCACGCTGACATACTCTTGCTGGCTCTCCAACTCTAGGCTTACGGCAGACGGTGCTGCCATAACAAAGTGACGCCTGTCACAACAGCATGAGATGGTGGCTTGACAAGGTATAGGCAGATCTGCCTATCACAGAAGGAGGGAAAGAGACCTTCAACCCCCAGGGGCTTCCTCAGGCTTCTGAACCCTCGTCTCCATTACTGGTTGGCTCTGGCTTCTCTTTGTCACCAAATCGCAAGGCCTAAATCTGGCAAATTTTGAGTGTCAGACCTACACCCTGTGGCTAGGTACCACCACTGTGGTGAACAAAGGCACCTCTTATACTCTGTCATCAGTATGATGCCAAGAGTGCTGGGAAACAGAATAGCACAGCAGTTAAGATCATTGAGTTGGAGTCACACAGACCTGAGTTCAAATCCCCATTCTGTTGTTCACCTTGAGCAGGCCACATAACTTCCTTGAGCCGGTTTGCTCAAATGTAAAATGGTGCTATTAATATATGGGGTTTTTATAATGATATAATAAGATTACTTTCAGGGCTGGGCGCAGTGGCTCACTCCTGTAATCCCAGCACTTTGGGAGGCCGAGGTGGGTGGATTGTCTGAGGTCAGGAGTTCGAGACCAGCCTGGCTAACATGGCAAAACCCCGTCTCTACTGAAAATACAAAAATTAGCTGGACGTGGTGGCTGGTGCCTGTAATCCCAGCTACTTGAGAGGCTGAGCAGGGGGAATCACTTGAACCTGGGAGGCAGAGGTCGCAGTGAGCCAAGATCGCACCATTGCACTCCAGCTCAGGCAACAAGAGTGAAACCCCATGTCAAAAAAAAAAAAAAAAGGATTATTTTCATTCCACAAGATTGATGGAGTGCCCACTATGTGCAGAGCACTGAGCTAGATGCTGGAGATTCGGCATAACCAGACAACAGCTCTGCCCTTGTGGAGCATCAGAGCACCCAGCACAGGGCAAGTAGTAAAATTCAACAAAGAGTAGCTATTTTTCATTTATTTTATTTTAGAGACGGGGTCTTGCTGTTGCCTAGGCTGGAGTGCAGTGGCACAATCACAGCTCACTGCACCCTCAAACTCCCAGGCTCAAGAGATCCTCCCACCTCAGCCTCCTGAGTAGCTGGGACTTACAGGTGTGTCCCACCATATCCTGCTAATTTTTAAAAAAATTTTTATAGAGACAGGGTCTCACTGTGTTGCCAGGGCTGGTCTTGAACTCCTGGGCTCAAGTGATCCTCCCACCTCAGCCTCCCAAAGTGCTGGGATTATAGGTGTGAACCACTGCACCTGGCCAGTAGCTATTTTTCATGACCATTATGGTGCCCATCTTGGCACTCTGCCTCTAACTTAGCCATGGGACCTGGGGAGAGCCCCTTTCCCTCTCTGAGCCTCAGTTTCCTCAGCTGTAAAATGACAGAGTTGGACTGGGTCAGTAGCAGCAGTTCCCAACTTTCCCACCTTCAAAGCCTTTTTTAGTCTTTTTCCCTCTGCCTCCACACTATCCAGAATCTGGTGGGACAGTAACACTTTGCATTGTTTTTCATCTTTTCCTTGGTGTTCTCCCTCCTTCTCTTACACAGATAAGTTACTCTGTATTCATTACTTCGGGAAACAAATGATACAACAGAATGCAGGGCCTATTTTTAGCTTCTGAATTCCAAAAGCTTAGCTTTCAGGGAGGAATGGACAGAATTTCTGTGCAGACACACATTTAGAAAACTATAACGGGGATCTGGGAGTCTGAGATTGAGGAGGGGGGTCCCTGAGAAGAGAGAAGCTTCTCCTCAGTCTTGTAACTGGGAATATCATCTGGGTCCAAGGGATTGAGAAGCAGAGAGGAGCTGTGCTCCTTTTCCTGGGTGGGGCACCAGGGAAGTCACAAAACCCTCTGGAGAAATGGCTGCATGCTGCATTTTGGACAAACAGGGCCTAACTCACCTAAGACTCAAGAATTTCCTAGGCCTAACATGGCCTGGGGAAAGCAGAAAAACAAAACAAAACAAAACAAAACTCTGCACACCTGAGAGGGGTATGGGTTACACTTGGAGGGGTCTTTTGGTGGGGGGATGGGGAGCAACTCAGCAGCAACCTTCATGGGCTGATGACAAAAGGTCACAACCAGATGAGAACATCTCAGTGGATGCTAGTGTGACTGGATGACCAAATCAGACTATGCTTCCCATGCTTTGGCACCTTGAAAGGAAGAGCCCTAGAATTCCAACAGAATGCCAAGGAAAATGGGGGAACTGTGAATTGACCGCAATTAACTTTCTGCCACTCTGGCTGAGTAGGGCAAAATACAGGAATTCAAGTGAGTTAAAGAAAATTCAAGTTCTGTTTCTTGCACACCAGAAACTGGAACCAGCTACACTCTGTCCACAGGCCTTGTGTCATATGCCCCACCCCCTCCCATTTCTCCACTCTCATCTGCCTCCCTCTCCCCCAATAGCCACAGTGTTACTATTATTGTCCCAAATCCCCAAGCTTTCCCATCCCAGGACCTTTGCACAGGCAGTTTCCTCTGCCTTGTCCTGGCTTTTTAAATGACAGGCTTCTTCTCAGTTTAACTACTTTCCTGCTGGGTGGGGTGGCTCAAGCCCTTAATCCCAGTGACTGGGGCCAAGGCAGGAGGATTGCTTGAGGCCAGAAGTTTGAGACCAGCCTGGACAACATAGTGATACCCTGTCTCTTAGGGAAAAAAAAAAAAGTTACGAAATTAAGACACCACAGGTGTGTGGTGGCATGCACCTGTAGTTCCAGCTACTTGGAAGGCTGAGGCTTGAGCCCAGGAGTTCAAAGCTGCAGTGAGCCATGATCGCACCACTGCTCTCTTGCCTGGGCAACAGAGCAAGACTCCCTGTCTAAAAAAAAAAGATTTCACTTCCTCAGACTACATTTTCCAAAATAAAACTACCTGTTATTGTCTCTCAAAAGGCCCTGTTTATTTCCTTCAGGGCACCTGTAAATATTTTTACTTTTTTAGTTTATCTGTTTCCCTCACTAGAATGTTCACTTCCTGAGGCAAGACCCTTGTTCATCTTGATGTTCCCCAGTTGCTACCACTGTGCCTGGTACATAGCTGGTGCTCAAGAATGACCTGTGGAATGGCTGACCAGTGGCAGTTGGGGAGTTCCTGGCTTCCCACAGGCTGGTGGGCACTGGGCTCTCTCAACCCCTTCCTGGGCCCCTGATAGCCTTTTCCAGCAAGCCAAGACCAGATTACAAAAGACCCACCTTTGGGGTTTAAAGTCTCAGCTGTGCTCTAACCGAGGGGCTTGGCAAAAATGTGTCTCTGCAGGGCCTGGTTCCCCTCATTATCATCTGTCTTCCCAAGACCTTGCCTAGGAATGACAGAGGGCCACTGGGGTCTGGCACATGACACTTAAGGAACATGTCTTGAGCCTGTCTTCTCAGCAACCCACACTAGCCTTACTGCTTCCCTTGCTGCTCTGCTGAGGACGGAGAAGCCCTTGGTGTGCCATCACAGCCTCAGAGCTCGACCTTTCCTGCATCCCTAAGCCGAACCCCCAGCTAAGCCCTCTTCCATTTCTCACACACGGGCACACATGTGGGAGAGGTCTGCAAGGGAAGCTGCTGTGGGACTCCCACCAGTTCCTCATCTCTCTCCCCACTTGCGAGGGTATGGTGACGTTCCCACAGCGAAGGCCTTCCCTCTGCACCTGCCCTCTGGTTTCTCTTTCCAGCAGTCACTTTGTGGTGTCAGTCAGTCCTCTTAACTCCAGTTGTCAGAGGGGCCGGAAAATTCAGAAGTTTTCTCTGCTAGGACCCTCCGTTCTCCCTGAAGGCAAAGGGCAGAGTTAAGGGGATTCTAGACCTGTAGGCAATAAAATAAATACAGTATGCAAAAGAATCACGGTGGATGGGTGGATGTGAATGCAGATTCCTGGGTGCTAGACTCCAATTCAAGCTTGGGTAAGGAGGAGCCAGGTAAGTGCATTTCCTACACACATCCCAGTTGGTCCTGATGAGGTGGTCTGCAGACAACACCTGACACAGACTGAACTCGAATGTGAATGCAGTGCCCTTGGGCTGCTAACGTCCACATGAACATTCCTCTCAAATCTCCCTCAAGAATGGTAGCATCTTAAGGTCAGGGGCCCTGCTTTATTCAAAACTCTCTGCCACAGCAGTTCTCAAGCTGGATTTCATCTTTGGTTTTTTTTTTTTTTTTTTTTTTTTTGAGACAGTCTCACTCTGTTGCCCAGGCTACAGTGCCATGGCGTGATCTTGGCTCACTGCAACCTCTGCCTCCTGGGTTCAAGCAATTCTTGTGCCTCAGCCTCCTGGGTAGCTGGGACTACAAGCGCATGCCACCACGCCCGGCTAATTGTTCTATTTTCAGTAGAGATGGTGTTTCACCATGTTGGCCAGGCTGGTCACAAACTCCTGGCCTCAAGTGATCCATCAGCCTCAGCCTCCCAAAATACTGAGATTACAGGCGTGAACCACTGTGTTCAGCCTCATCTTTGTTTTCTTTGACCACCTCCCCCACTAGGATATAAGCTCCGATGCAAAAAGGTTCAAATCTCACCTGATAATGTGTGCTTGGCCAGACCCGGTGGCTCATGCCTGTAATCCTACCACTCAGGGAGGCTGAGGCAGGAGGATGGCTTGAGACCAGGAATTCAAGACAGCATGGGCAACATAGTGAGACCTTGTCTCTGTTGAAAACAAAACAAAACAAAAAGATGATGTGTGCTTAGCAGAAGGCCTTGGCACATGGCAGGTGTGGTGTGGATATCTGATGAGTTCAAACTCTCTGGATCCACAGGAGAAAGTCACTTTCTTTCTTTTTTTTTTTTTCCTGAGATGGAGTCTCCGTCTGTTGCCCAGGCTGGAGTGCAGTGGTGCGATCTCGGCTCACTGCAACCTCCACCTCCTGGTTCAATTCAAGCGATTCTCCCACCTCAGCCTCCTGAGGAGCTGGGATTACAGGTGTGTACCACCACGCCCGGCTAATTTTTTTTGTATTTTTAGTAGAGACGGGGTTTCACCATGTTGGCCAGGCTGGTCTCGAACTCCTGACCTCAAGTGAGCCACTTTCACTAAGACGGTTGTTTGCCTGTGGCAGGCCTAGAATGACAACAAGGCAGCTACTACAAGGACGTGGGTTCTAACCCTGAGAACCCAATAACTCTCAGATTAGAGATGGAATTCCTGCTCCCACAGGTGCAGGAATGTGTGTGCCGAGCTCCCACACCCCAGGGGAGGAGGGCCCAGGATACTGCAACCTCTCTGCTTCAGGAAACAGCAACAAGACTAACAGCCTCTTCAACAAGGACTCTGAATAGAAAAGCCATTTTCCACCTGACCAGACTGAAGTACTCTCCTACCATTCTAAAACTGCTACATATTAGAATTGCCTGGGAAATTAAAAAAACTCATAGCCCTCAGACCATACCCCATACCAATGAAATATGAATCTGTGAGGGTGGGACAGGTGATTCCAACGTGCAGCCAAGCTTGAGTCTGCCCCCGACTACACAGGACGGCCTGGGAGCGCAGCACACAGAAGGGAAAGCCTGGGGCACGGACCTGTTTGTATCCAAGTTGGGTTTCATGAGAAAATGAACACAACTGCATGAGAAATGGAGACACTTAGAGGTGGCTCAGGCTGAGCATGTTTAATTATCCTCACTGGGAGAGTTGAAAACTACTTGACAGGTTCCATAATCAATAAGTCAGAGATTCAGATCATCAAAAAGGGGGATTGTCACCTACCCCAAGGCCACATATAGGATTCTGGGTCCCAGAGTGAGTCTGGGAGGTGGAACCCTGTGAAAGGCAGCTTTGACAGGTGGTGTCTGTTGGACACCAGCTTCTGGCCTGGCCCTGCTTTCTTCTCGGGTACCAGACAGGGTGTGAGGGCAGGGAACTAGCTCCGGAGATCACTGGAGGACTCCGAGTTGGGGCCAGGGCTTGCTGAGGGCCTCACTTACAGTTTTTTGGGGGAAATTCCCACCGGCCTTGGCCCTTGCCACCAAAGTTTCGCACCCGATGGATAATCTGCAGCTGCTGCTCAATGGTCGAGGTGATGTTCACGTCATCTGGGATGTGGACGTAGCGGACATTGCGGCCTGTCACAAAGAGGTCATCCAGCTTGACCTGATGCCCCCAACGGTCCGTGTAGGTGACTTTGGCCAGGCGGATGTTCATGAAAGCATCGACATTGTCTATGCGTCCGTGGGCCACGCTCTCATCCCGCAGGTCCACAGTGGTTACCCGGCCCTGGAGGCCCTGCAGTAGGATGATCAGGCTGTTCTCAGAGATGGTCCGCTCCTTCACTGAATGGCTCACCGCCATTCTTCCACACCAGCTGCCTGCTTGCTGTGGACAGGAGCACACAGATGGCAGCTATAGCAGGGTAGGGGGTACAGTTGCCAACTCACCTCCACCAGGTTCTCAAACAAAATTCCCAGCACAGACCACCTCTGCAATTTTTGTATCTGTGGACACAGATGCTTCCCGCACATGTCTCATAGAATCCTCACACCAACTTGCAAGCCAAGGATTACTTATGCTCATTTTATGAATGAGAAAAATATGGCTAGGATGGCCAGGCGCGGTGGGATACACCTGTGGTACTAGCTACTCAGGAGACTGAGGTAGGAGCTTCACTTGAGCCCAAGAGCTCTGCTGACCTGCTTGGGCAACATAGCAAGACCCCAACTCTGATTTTTTAAAAAAACCTACAAGAAGGCTGGGCATGGTGGCTCACGCCTGTAATCCCAGCACTTCGAGAGGCTGAGGCAGGCAGATCACGAGGTCAGGAGATTGAGACCATCCTGGCTAACATGGTGAAACCCCGTCTCTACTAAAAATGCAAAAAAAATTAGCCGAGTGTGGTGACAGCGGGCGCCTGTAGTCCCAGCTACTCGGGAGGCTGAGGCAGGAGAATAGCGTGAACCTAAGAGGCGGAGCTTGCAGTAAGCCAAGATCGCGGCAGAGTGACTCCGTCTCAAAAAAAAGAAAAACCTATAAGAAAACGGTGAGCATTGGCCGGGCGCGGTGGCTCACGACTACAATCCCAGCACTTTGGGAGACTGAGGCGGGTGGATCACCTGAGGTCAGGAGTTCGAGACCAGCCTGGCTAACACGGTGAAACCCTGTTTCTACTAAAAATACAAAAAATTAGCCAAGCGTGGTGGCACATGCCTGTAATCTCAGCTACTCGGGAGGGTGAGGCAGGAGAATTGCTTGAACCCAGGAGGCAGAGGTTGCAATGAGCCAAGATTGCGCCATTGCACTCCAGCCTGGGCAACAAGAGCAAGACTCTGTCTCAAAAAATAAAGAAAATGGTGAGCATTTCTATTGGGTCAGAGACAAGAAAAGGATGCCTTTTATGGCTTCTAATCAACAGTAAAATGTAGGTAATGGTCAATGCAATGTTCAAAAAACGATTACGGAAAGAAGGGAAAGAATTTAGAGAAACAATAATTATAAAGGAAGATCACTGTCCTTGTTGGTCAATTATAAATTATATGATTATCTACATTGAGAATGCAAGACAAATTATTAGGACTAACAACAAAAGTCTGTATCATTCCTAATAATACATTAATTTTAAAAAATCAATAACTTTAAAAAAAGAAAAATATGGCTAGGAGAGGTAACTTGCCCAAGGTCACAGTAAATAAGTGGAATTGCTGGAATTCAAATCCGTAGCCACAGGCCGGGCGTGGTGGCTCCCCGCTGTAATCCCAGCACTTTGGGAGGCCAAGGTGGGTGGATCACTGGGGCTAGGAATTCAAGACCAGCCTGGCCAATATGGTGAAACCCCATCTCTACTAAAAATACAAAAATTAGTCGGGCATGGTGGTGAGCACCTATAATCACAGCTGCTCCGGAGGTTGAGGCAGGAGAATCGCTTGAATCCGGGAGGTGGAGGCTGCAGTGAGCCAAGATCACGCCACTGCACTCCAGCCTGGGTAACAGAGAGACTCTGTCTCAAAAAAAAAAAAAAAGAAAATCCATAGCCGTCTGGCTCCAAACCTCACACCAGGTGTGCATTAGAATCATCTGGTGAGTTTTTAACCCAACCTCCCCACCCCAGAGATTCTGATTCGTTTGGTTAGAGGGGTGGGCCCAGGTATCCTATTTTGTAAAAGCTCCCGGCTGGGCGCGGTGGCTCACGCCTGTAATCCCAGCACTTTGGGAGACCGAGGCGGGCGGATCATGAGGTCAGGAGATCAAGACCATCCTGGCTAACATGGTGAAACCCCCATCTCTACTAAAAATACAAAAAAATTAGCCAGGCGTGGTGGCGGGCGCCTGTAGTCCCAGCTACTCGGGGGGCTGAGGCAGGAGAATGGCGTGAACCTGGGAGACAGAGCTTGCAGTGAGCTGCAAGTGGAGTGCCACTGCACTCCAGCCTGGGCAGCAGAGTGACTCCATCTCAAAAAAAAAAAAAAAAAAAAAAAAAAGAAAGCTCCCCAGATAACTCCAAAGTGCTGAGGGGTACTGGTTAGAAATGCGCAATCTCAGGTCTCTCCCCAAGCCTGTTCTGAGATAAAATCCACTCCTTCACTGAGTGGCTCACTGCCATCTTCCACGCTGGCTGGAAACAGACTGCATTTTAACATGACCCCCTACGTGAATTAGATACACGTTAAGGTTTGAGAATCATTGGTTGACACCAGTAGTTCTCAAACATTAGTGTGTATCAGAATCATCTGAGGGGCTTGTTAACTCAGCTTGCTGGGCCCCACTCCCAGTTTGACTCAGGTCTGAGGTGAGGCCCAGAGATAAAGTCATTTTGAACATGTTCCCAGGTGATGCTGATGCTGCTGGTCAGGGGCCCACACTCTGGGAACTATTGGTCTACACCATGCAGCTGTTATGTAAGTAGAAATTAAGGTAATGAGGCCGGGTGCAAGGGCTCACGCCTGTAATCCCAGGATTTTGGGAGGCCAAGGCGAGTGGATCACCTGAGGTCAGGAGTTCAAGACCCGCCTGGCCAACATGGTGAAACCCAGTATCTACCAAAAATACAAAAATTACCTGGGCATGGGCGCACCTGTAATCTCAGCTACTTGGGAGGCTGAAGCAGGAGAATCGCTTGAACCCAGGAGGCAGAGGTTACAGTGAGCCAAGATTGTGCCACTGCACACCAGCCTGGGTGACACAGCGAGACTCTCAGAAAAAAAAAAAGAAAATAAATCTGGATAATGAATTGGGGAAAAAAACCCCCAACCGGTATTATATAAGGTACATAGGTTTTGAAGGTAGAGAAACCTAGGTTGGAATCCCCACTCCACCCCTAATTATGAAAACCTAGAAAAGTTAATGTCTCTGAACCTGTTTCCACATTTATTAAACTACAGGAGAAACAAAGCTACCAGAATCACACTCCACTAAAGGTACTCTCCTTTGATTTCAACATGCCCTGATAATGTATTAGTGCACTATGTCTTACCTATCCCTTATTTTCAGACCTGAGTTAAAGGGGGTGGAACGCTCTCTCTTTACGACCTCACTCAGCATCCCGTCCAGGGCTGTGCATTGTGGCACTGAGCGTGGCAAGCCAGACTAGGCCAGTGACGAGGGGGCCTGGGAGCTAGGTCCCTGGGCATGGCCTAACGACCAGCCACCCGGCTGCAGCCTGATGAATCTGCGATCAAGCAAAGGTATGGGGCTGCTGCTGCGACTGCAAAGAGCAGTCACCGGACCTCGAGTCAGGCCCGGGTTCTAGAACAGGCTTTGCCACCTCCTAGGAGGGCGATCACTTAGCAAACCACTTAGCTTCTCCAAGCTAGCTAAGCTACCGGTAAAACGGGATGAGCACCGCTTACTCAGAGCAGCGGGAGCGGGTCTGGGGAAAGGAGCTATACTCGGTAAATGGGGAAGAAAACGCTTCCTGGGCTCCGGCACCTCCTTCCGGAGGTCCTGGCATCCCCCGCATTCCGCCCCGGGGCTCCCTGCACCGCCGACCCGGACCCACCACGCGACATTCCTTCCGCTTTCCCCGTCTGGGTCGCCGCCGAAGCTAGCGGGCGCCTGGACTGGCTGCCTCCCGCCGGCTGCAGCAGGACGGAGAAACCATGCCGGCGACCGGGCCGCTCTGTCCTCCGGGCGCAGAGTGCGTCAGTGCTCTGCAAGTCACCGCGTCACGGAGAAACTACAATCCCCAGAATGCTTCGCGGCGCGGGGCTCGTGCTCCGCAAATCCCGGCCTGCGTCATTGGAGTCTCTTTCACTAGAGTCGTTCATTCATTCCGCACGCATTCATTGAACCGGCGACCTGGGCCAGGCTCCTTCCCAGGCTCCGGCATGGAGCAGTGACCAAGATCAAGTGGCTCCCTGAGCTGATGGCGCTGCAGGGGAGAGAGTCTTAAGAAAACAAAGAAGAAAAATAGGGAAAAATTTCTTCAGAAGATTAAAGGTGTGATGTGATGGTGACAAGGTGGTCTTTTATTGGATTGTCAGGGGTGCCCTGAGAAGGTGACATTTGAGTTGAGATTAGTGACATGAAGCCAAGCTTGTGAAAACTATGGGAGGAGCATTGCAATTAGCGGGAACAGTTTGTTAAGTAAAATTTATAGGAGGCAGGGCCGGGTGCAGAGGCCCACACCTGTAATCCCAGCACTTTGGAGGACAAGGCGGAAGGATCACTGGAGCCCAGGAGTTCGAGACCAGTCTGGGCAACAATGGGGAGACCCTGTCTCTACAAAAAATAGAAAAAATTAGCCCACCGTGGTGGCGTACACCTCTGGTCCCACCTACTTGGGAGGCTGAGGCAGGAGAATTGCTTGAATCCAGGAAGTGGAGGCTGCAGTGAGCTCAGAAAGTAACACTTCATTCCAGCCTGGGCAACAGAGCAAGACTCCGTCTCAAAAAAAAAAAAAAATTGGAGGCCATTGGTTTGAACAGGGCTCCTGCACCAAGCCCAACAGAACCAAAATGGAGTCACTCATGCTAAAGTTCTACATCACCAAGTGGAAACTAAGTTGTTTATCTGATATTCCGATAAATCAGAAGAGTGAGAGATAGCTAGATCTCCAAACCATCCTGTTTTAGCTGGCAGGATAAGGAAGTCCCCTCTGCTTTAGCCTTCAAAGTTACAAGGAAAGTAACTTTGAAACAACCAATCTTTTTGTTTTCTGTTTCTGCTTTCCTCAGCCCTTTTCTGGCTGTAAAACCAATCTCCTCTGCTCAGCTCATTTGAACACTCATTCCATTTTATAGAATGAAGTGTTGCCCGATTCTAGAGTTGCAAATAAAAGTCAGATTTAACAAATTTGGCAAAAAAAAGTCAAATCACCAATTAAAAGTTAAATTTTTTCTTTTCACAGTTCATGCAAAGAACCTGGGGGAAATGACCTTGACAATTTAGGAACACAGGAAAGGCCAGGGAAGCTGGGGAGAGTGGTATAACAAGAGGCCAGAGAGGAAGCAGGAACCAGAGCATATAGGGCTTTGTGAGCCAAGGTAAGGAGTTTAGATTTCATGGTTAGGAGTGCAGCCTCCGGATACAGTGCCTAGGTTCAAATCTACTCCTGGCTAATTGTGACTTTGGGCAAGTTAGTATCTTCTCTGTGCCTCAGTCTTCTCATCTAGTACTAGAAGTGCTATGACAGGCTATTGAAAGGGAGCGAAGTGATTTGATTTACTTGTAGAGACAGGTTCTCACCCTGTCATCCAGGCTGGAGTGCAGTGGTGTGATCATAGCTCACTGCAGCCTCAACTACCTGGGCTCAAGTGATCCTCCTACCCAAGCCTCAAGAATAGCTGGGACTACAGGCACACGCCACTGTGCCCCACCTGATTTACATTTTTTAAAAGTCACTCTGTATAGCCTTGGAAAAATTACTTTCTTCCTCAGCCTCAATTTGCTTGTTATGAAAACAAAAAATTAGGCCTTTCTCAGAGAACTGTAAGATTTAAGTGACCTTCATTAATGTGTGAAAGCATCTGGCACAGAGAAGAAGCTCAGTAAATTAGGCTTCTTGGCTGGGGGTGGTGGCTCACACCTGTAATCCCAACACTTTGGGAGGCCAAGGCAAGAGGACTGTTTAAGCTCAGGAGTTTGAGACCAGCCTGGGCAACATAGTGAGACCCCATCTCTAAATTTTTTTTTGTTTTTGAGATGGAGTTTCACTCTTGTTGCCCAGGCTGGAGTGCAATGGCCTGATCTCGGCTTACAACCTCCGCCTCCCGGGTTGAAGCAATTCTCCTGCCTCAGCCTCCCAAGTAGCTGGGATTACAGGTGTGCACCACCACACCCGGCTAATTTTTGTATTTTTAGTAGTGACGGGGTTTCTCCATGTCGGTCAGGCTGGTGTCGAACTCCCTACCTCAGGTGATCTGCCCACCTCGGCCTCCCAAAGTGCTGGGATTACAGGCGTGAGCCACCGAGCCCGGCCAAAAATGTTTTAAGAAATTAGCTGGGTGTGGCCGGGCGCGGTGGCTCACGCCTGTAATCCCAGCACTTTGGGAGGCCGAGGCGGGCGGATCACGAGGTCAGGAGATGGAGACCATCCTGGCTAACATGGTGAAACCCTGTCTCTACTAAAAATACAAAAAATTAGCTGGACGTGGCGGCGGGCGTCTGTAGTCCCAGCTACTCGGGAGGCTGAGGCAGGAGAATGGCGTGAACCTGGGAGGCCGAGCTTGCAGTGAGCTGAGATCGCGCCACTGCACTCCGGCCTGGGCGACAGAGCGAGACTCCGTCTCAAAAAAAAAAAAAAAATTTAGCTGGGTGTAATGGGTGCACCTATAGTCCCAGCTGTCACAAGAACCTTAGGGTGTCACTCTGCCATCTGGAAACCTCTGTGGCTAGCAGCGCCTGTGCTTGACTTTTGCTTGTGCCTGCTGGGCTCGTTCTGCCTGCTCAGTCTGGCAGGCTGGGCTCAGCTTGCACTACGGGCTCGGATCCCACGCCTGCCAAAGGCGTGCCAGGTGTGGAGCAGTGAGGGATGTGTGAGCGAGTGAGCACAGGGTCCGACCACTGCACACAGCCAGATAGGCCGGCTGCTGCAGCGGGTGGGCAGCTCCAAGGGCCAGCACTGGCAGCTCCAGGCGCCGGCACAGGCTTTGGCTCTGTGCAAGGCTGCGGCTGGACCAGACATACCGTAAGTGGCTTCTGCTGTGGGCACCAGCATCTGGACAAGGGGAACACAGTGGTGGCCGAAAGCTCAGAGACACCAGGAACCACAGAGCCACAAAGAGGGTGTTACAGTGTGTCACAGCCCTGGCTTGTGGAGCCCGGAGGTCTGGGCCCCAAGAAGGGCTGCAGCTCTTCACCACACGAGGAGCAGGGGCGGGGCATCTTGGGGGGCGGGGGCGTGTTTCAGTCCATATGTGTTACAGCTCTTTCAGTCCTACCGCTCAGTGCTGCCCTGCTCTGGCCCGTGGTTCCTGGGCTGGCTAGGCCCAGCCACCGCTTCCTGTCATGTGGCACAGCTACCCGCTGGTGGAGGGTGGGCCCCCGGAAGGGTCACCACTCTTCACTCCTGCAGTCTGGGAGTGTGTCACCACCCGCAGCTCAGCGAGCTGGCCAGGAATATGTTATACTCCTTTTACTCCCGCTGTTTGGCAGGTCCCAAGTTCTTGTTTCGCATCCAGGAAGAATGAGGTTATGTGGATAACTGGAGGGTAAGCAAGCTGGAGGGAGCTTTATTGAGTGATAGAACAGCTCTCGGGAGACCTGAAGTGGGTGGCTCCTTTCCGCAAGCAGGTCCTGTGGAGTGTCTGAGACTGGCTGAGTCTGGGGTTTTCATGTGCGAAGAATGGAGGAAGTGCATGCTGGTTGGCCCATGGGTGGCCATGGGTGGGCCTGGAAAAAGTACCATCCAATTGGCTGGAAGGCATCAATGAAGTTCTTACTCCTGTCCTGGGTTCCACCTGGAACTGGCAGCCCCACCCCCAGGCTTCAGGCCACCCCTGGCTTGAAGGTGGGGCTTCACTGGGCATCTGCCCCTTCTGCCTAGGAACCTGATTGCCTCCTGGCACTATTAACGTGCTGTCTGCTGGTGCCCAGATTGCCTGTGCTGGTGGGAGCCTGCAGGCCTGCACCAAGCCACCCTCAGTCCCCTGGCCTCCATCACATGCTTATTGGCACCCAAAGTCTGGGGGGGTGCTGAGGCAGCGGGGGTTGGTGTGTCAGTGTCGCCCACAGTGCACGCACATCAAGCTGGGTCACAACAGTGCCCGGGCTTAGCCACAACTTTGCTCTGCACTGGAGTGGGCGCCAAGAGTGGGGAGACTCCAGGGAGTGGGAGCAAGCACTTCTGAGCCTGCGGGGGCAGGGGCTTTCTGGGCCCTCAAGAGCACAGGGATGCCCGGGTCTGGAGCCATGGCTGGGTTGCTGCAGCTGTGCCCAGGAGTGAGGGCTCCATGCCCCGTCAACTTGGTAGGGTGTGGGGCTCCTGCTGGCATCATCTGTTTCTGGCCCCTGCTGGCTCCACAGAGCACGTAGCCCCAGCTGCACCTCTGCCTGGCATGAAGTGGTTGAAGCTGGCTGCTCCAGATGGGCCGCTGCTGCCATCACAGCTACGTGGGAGGCTGTGGCTGGAGGATCTCTTGAGCCCTGGAGGTTGAGGCTGCAGTGAGCTATGACTGTGCCACTGCACAGTGCACTCCAGCCTGGGTGACAAAGACCCTGTCTCAAAAAAAAACAAAAAACAAACAAAAAAAAGAGGCTTCTTTCATTCCTTCACTCTCTCATTCATTGATTTCCATCTCTCCTAGGAGGCTTCCCTTTTTATCAGCAATCACAGTTGGGCTCTTCTTATTCTAAAAATAAAATTGTCTTTCTCCTCCATGCAATCTACTGTTTTCTTACTTTCCACAGTCAAACTTCTCAAAAGGCCCTTATGCCAGCCTTTCCGCAAGTATGATCACTTTTCCAGCTATCTATGTGAGACTGGATTTGCTTCTCTTCTTTTAAATATTCAGTCTCCATAGAGACTGTCAAAAGTTGCCAATGCCGACTATATTGCAAGTTTTCATGGCTGGGTGTTGGGATTTTTCAGTGAGCGAGAATTGTGCCGCAGATAAACCTCATTGTTGATAATACTGCTACTTACATAAGTTTTAAACTTATGTTAGTGAGTTTATGTTTATATATATATATATACACACACACACACACACACTTTTTTTTTTTTTGAGACAGAGTCTTGCTCTGTTGCCCAGGCTAGTGCAGTGGTGTGATCTTGGCTCACTGCAATCTCCATCTCCCAGGTTCAAGTGATTCTTCTGCCTCAGCTCCCTAAGTAGCAGGGATTACAGGTGCGTACCACTATGCCTGGCTAATTTTTGTATTTTTAGTAGAGACAGGGTTTTACCATGTTGGCCAGGCTGGTCTCGACCTCCTGACTTCAGGTGATCCACCTGCCTCGGCCTCCCAAAGCACTAGGATTACAGGCATGAGCCACTGTACCCAGCCTATATTTTTTATATATATATATATATATATATATATATATATATATATATATATGTAAATGTATGTTAGTGAGCTTATATATTTTATGTATATACAAATGTATGTTAGTGAGTTTATATATTTTATATATATACAAATGTATGTTAGTGCATTTATATATTTTATATATAAATGTGTTAGTGAGTTTATATATTTTATATATACAAATTTATGTTAATGAGTTTATATTTTTATATATAAATTTATGTTAGTAAGTTAATATATTTTATATAAAATTTATGTTAGTGAGTTTATATAGTTTATAAATTTATGTTAGTGAGTTTATGTAACTTATATACATACATATTTATGTTAGTGAGTTAATGTGAGTTTATATAATTTATATATATAAATTTGTTAGTAAGTTTATATATTATGTATATACAAATTTATGTTAGTGAGTTTATATATTTTATATATATAGAAATTTATGTTAGCGAGTTTATGTTAGTGAGTTTATATAATTTATATATATAAATTTATGCTAGTGAGTTTACATATTTTATTTTATTTATTTATTTGTTTATTTATTTATTTATTTATTTTTTTGAGACGGAGTCTCGCTCTGTCGCTCAGGCTGGATGGAGTGCAGTGGCGCCATCTCGGCTCACTGCAAGCTCCGCCTCCTGGGTTCACGCCATTGTCCTGCCTCAGCCTCCCGAGTAGCTGGGACTGCAGGCGCCGGCCACCAGGGCCGGCTAATTTTTTTTTAATTTTTAGTAGAGACGGGGTTTCACCGTGTTAATCAGGATGGTCTCGACCTTCTGACCTCGTGATCCACCCGCCTCGGCCTCCCAAAGTGCTGGGATTACAGGCGTGAGCCACCGCGCCCGGCCAACATATTTTATATATATATATATAAATTTATGTTAGTGAGTTTATACATTTTATATATATATAAACTAATGCTGGTGAGTTTATATATTTTATACATGTATATATATAAATTTGTGAGTTTATTATATATTTTATATATAAAATATGTTAGTTTATATATTTATATATAATGTAAATTTATGTTCATGAGTTAATTTCTGAATGAATTAATATTACATTTTTATTTTAATTTCCAATATGACAGAAAATACATATAACCCACATAATCTGTCAATCATTTTGAAGAGTATGTAGAGGTTCCAAGACCAAGAAGAAGTTTGAGAACTGCTGCTGTACAGTGAGGCTTCCACTTTCTTTCTTTTTTTTTTTTTTTTTTTGAGACGGAGTCTGGCTCTGTCGCCCAGGCTGGAGTGCAGTGGCGGGATCTCGGCTCACTGCAAGCTCCGCCTCCCAGGTTCACGCCATTCTTCTGCCTCAGCCTCCGAGTAGTTGGGACTACAGGCGCCTGTCGCTACACCCAGCTAATTTTTTGTATTTTTAGTAGAGACAGGGTTTCACCGTGTTAGCCAGGATGGTCTCCATCTCCTGACTTCGTAATCAGGTCCGCCTTGGCCTTCCAAAGTGCTGGGATTACAGGCGTGAGCCACTGCGCCCGGCCGAGGCTTCCACTTTCTCACACCAATGGCTCTGCTTACTGGAACCTGGTTTCTACTCCCAAGACCCCAATAACTTTTTCAGCAAAGGTTGCTAATGATATCCCTGTTCCTAAAACCCATATCCCCTCTTGTAGTCCTCGCTTCTGGCATCCCCCTCAGTGCTCGAGCATTCTGATCACCCTCCTCCTTGGTATTTTGTTTTTTCTGGGCATTGTGTCATTTATCTTCACCCATTTCTCTGATTGCTTCTTTTCCATTTATCTCTTTCTCTCTTTTTAAGCCCACTTCATTCTCCTGTCCCCTAACGTGCGTGTTTCCTCTGGGGCTGTATTTCCTCTACCTGAGGGTAGCTGTCTTGAGCTGTCTCCTCCCATGCTGTTGAGTCCGGGTCTGTGCCCCAGCCCACACTGCTCTCTGGATCTCCATTTTCCCATGTCTTACACTGCTTATTCCCCAGATGTCTTACTGCTACTCAAAACCCAGTAGGTCTATTGAGAAAAATTCATCAAGTCCCTTCCAAATCAGTTCCTGCTCTGAATTTTTCCATTTCTGCAGTTGCTACCACCATTTTTCAGCTACCTAAGTTGGGCACCTTGAGTAACCTTGATAACTTCTATAATTTTTTCTTCCTTGCCTTTTTTTTTTTTTTTTTTTTTTTTTGAGACAAGTTATTGTTCTGTCACCCAGGCTGGAGTGCAGGGGCATGATCTTGGCTCACTGCAACCTCCACCTCCCAGGCTCAAGTGATCCTCCCACCTCAGCCTCCAGAGTAGCTGGGACTACAGGCATGCACCACCACACCTGGCTAATTTTTTTTGTATTTTTAGTAGAGACAGGGTTTCACCACATTGCCCAGGCTGGTCTCAAACTCCTGAGCTCAAGAGGTCCTCCTGCCTCAGCCTCCCAAAGTGTTGGGATTACAGGCATGAGCCACCTCACCCAGCTGATAACTTCTATAATTTCTTGATTCCCCCACACCTGTCACAATCACTCAGTCACTAGCCCTGCAAATTCTTTGAAGTATCTCTGCCATCATTTACTTACTTTTTTTTTTTTTTTTTTTTTTTTAATAGAGACAGGGTCTTGCTCAGCTGCACAGCCCAGAGTACAGTGGAGTGATCATAGCTCACTGCCGTCTCCAACTCCTGGACTTAAATGATTCTCCCTTCTCAGACTCCTGAGTAGCTGGTACTGTAAGTGCACACCATCATGCCTGGCTAATTTTGAGATGGGGGTTTTGCTTTTGTCACTCGGGCTGGAGTGCAATGGCGCAATCTCGGCTCAGTGCAACCTCTGCCTCCTGGGTTCAAGCAATTCTCCTGCCTAAGCCTCCACCTCCCGAGTAGCTGGGATTACAGGTATGAGCCACCACACCCAGCTAATTTTGTATTTTTTAGTAGAGATGGGGTTTCTCCATGCTGGTCAGGCTGGTCTTGAACCCCTGACCTCAGGTGATCCACCCGCCTTGGCCTCCCGAAGTGCTGAGATTACAGGCATGAGCCACCACGCCTGGCCTTAATTTATTATCAAAACCATCTCACTGGTCTTTGTGTTGCTTACAATTTTTTGCCAACAGATTCAAAACGCAGTTCTGATTCTATCATTTACCTGCTAAGAACACTTTCAATTTACTAGCAGAATAGATTCTAATGCTGACATTTAAGTAAGCCCTCCATAATTTGATTT
Source organism: Homo sapiens (assembly GCF_000001405.40). NCBI lineage: Eukaryota > Metazoa > Chordata > Mammalia > Primates > Hominidae > Homo > Homo sapiens. Next base: position 36,406,432 of record NC_000001.11, read on the forward strand.
TATCTTCTAGCTGGATCTCTGTTAGGTTCTCTGCCCAAACTCCCCAGTCTTCCTCCCTTCCTTCCTTCCTGCCTTCCTTCCTTCCTTCCTTCTTTCCCTTCCTTCCTTCTTTCCCTCCCTTCCTTCCTGCCTGCCTTCCTTCCTTCCCTTCCTTCCTTCCTGCCTTCCTTCCTTCTTTCCCTCCCTTCCTTCCTGCCTTCCTTCCTTCCTTCTTTCCCTCCCTTCCTTCCTTCCCTTCCCTTCCCCTTCCTTCCTTCCTCTTTCTTTCTTTCCTTCCTTCCTTCCTTCCTTCTTTCCTTCCTTCCTTCCTTCTCTCTCTCTCTCTCTTCTTTCTTTCTTCTGAGACAGAGTCTTGCTCTGTCGCCCAACTTGGAGTGCAGTGGTGTGATCTCAGCTCACTGCAACCTCCACCTCCTGGGTTCAAGCGATTCCCTGCCTCAGCCTCCCAAGTAGCTGGGATTACAGGCACCCACCACCATGGCTGGCTAATTTTTGTATTCTTAGTAGAGACGGGGTTTCACCATCTTGGCTAGGCTGGTTTCAAACTCCTGACCTCGTGATCTGTCTGCCTCGGCCTCCCAAAATGCTGGGATTCAGTGTTTCTTAAAGTGTGGTAGGAGAATGGGTTGCCTTAACACTATCTGGAATGCTTGTTAACCCAATCCCAGACCTATGGAATCGGAAGTAGGGCCTATGCATTTGCACATCTAACAATGTGCACTAAAATTTGATACCCGCTGGCCTACTCTCTAGTCAGACTCAGCCACTCAGCAATCCACAGAGGAACCCGACACTCTCGCCTCTGCCTTTGCTACCTGAGCTGGGAGCGATGTCTCTCTTCTGACCCCTATAGCATATTGCTCACACCTTTCCTAGTTTGCTTGTTGCATGCAGATTCACCATAGTTGTTTACATAAATCTTTTTTTTTTTTTCTTTTTTTGAGACAGGGTCTCACTGTCGCCCAGGCTGAAGTGCAGTGGCGTGATCACGGCTCATGGCAGCCTCAACCTCTCCAACCTCTCGGGCTCAAGCGATACTTCCACCTCCACCTCCTGCGTAGCTGGGACTACAGGCACGTAACACTATGCCCAGCTAATACATAAATCATACCTCCTCTGCTAGTCTCCTGAATGTTGGGTCAGAGAGAAGACCTTAGGAGGCCCAGATGCTTCACACTGTAAACTGCAGTGGTATGAGGAACACTAGTTTTATGAATGTGATGAAAAAGTGATCAGGATCTAAATGAAGATGGTCAGTTGCAGTGGGAATGGAAAGGAGGGATGAATGTTAAAGACCCATGAAAAGAGCCAGTCAGAATCCTTGGAGGCTGATCACATCTGGAATGTGGGTGGAAGGAGGAGGAATCAATTTTAACACTGAGGCTGAGCACGGTGGCTCATGCCTGTAATTCTAGCACTCTGGGAGGATGACATGGGCGGATTGCTTGAGCCCAGGGGGCTGAGACCAGCCTGGACAACATGGCAAAACCCCATCTCTACAAAAGTTTAAAAAACTAGCCAATTAGCTGGGTGTCCCTGCTACTCAGGAGGCTGAGGTGGGAGGATCACTTGATGGAGCCCAGGAGGTCGAGGCTGCAGTGAGCCGAGATTGCGCCACTGCACTACAGCCTGGGCAACATAGTGAGACTCTGTCTCAAAAAAAAAAAAAAATTGCCGGGCCTGGTGGCTCATGCCTATAATCCCAGCAGTTTGGGAGGCCGAGGCGGGCGGATCACAAGGTCAGGGGTTTGAGACCAGTCTGACCAATATGGTGAAACCCTGTCTTTGCTAAAAATACAAAAATTAGCCAGGTGTGGTGGCGGTGTAGTCCCAGCTACTCAGGAGACTGAGGCAGGAGAATCCTTGAACTTGGGAGGCAGAGGTTGCAGTGAGCCAAGATCACGCCACTGCACTCCAGCCTGGGTGACAGAGAGAGACACTGTCTCAAAAAAAGAAAAAAAAAATTAACACTGGGTATCCAGAGAGATTGTTAGTAATAAGAGGGGCAGAGTTGGGGTTGCTGCTTGTGGAGGAGATCTCACTGTTTGGCTACTCAGCAACTGAACTCCTTCCCTATGTTTGGGGAAATCTGACATTCTATGGACTTCAGTGGGAGAATCTCATCACAACAGATGATTTAAAGGCCAGATATTGTCTTTGATTCTTGTCTGCTATGATGTGGGCTTGTGACATAAATTCAAGTATTATCAGAGTTTACATCGGGAGCAAGTGACACAAACCAGCAGGAACTGTTCAGGCTCTGTCCTGGTGTATGCGTCATCCAGAGCTGCATTCCTGATGGTGGTTCCAGTGCTGGAATTATTCCCTCCACTGCCCACACTTCCTTGGTTCCTGGACATTTTCTGATGGTTCTCCCATCTTCCTGACAACTCTTGAGTTGCCTGATGTCCTTTCAGTAAATTCCTTTTCTATTGAAATAGCTAGAACTGGTTTCATTTTTTTGTAGCCAAAACCCTAACTAGTACAAGGTGCACTTGAAATGAGTTCATTCCAGGAGCCTTGAATTTCTCTGTTTTTTTTTTTTTTTTTTTTTTTTTTTTTTTCTGAGACAGAGTCTCTCTCTGTCACCCAGGCTGCAGTGCAGTGGCGTGATCTTGGCTCAGTGTAACCTCCACCTCCCAGGTTCAAGCAGTTCTCCTGCCTCAGCCTCCAACGTACCTGGCATTACAGGAGTAGACCATTACACCCAGCTAATTTTTATATTTTTAGTAGAGACAGGGTTTTGTCATGTTGGCCAGGCTGCTCTCGACCTCCTGACCTCAGGTGATCTGCCTGCCTCTGCCTCTTAAAGTGCTGGGATTACAGGCGTGAGCCACCACGCCCGGCCTGTCTAGTCTCTCTCTTTTTTTTTTTTTGAGACAGAGTCTCACTCTGTCGCCCAGGCTGGAGTGTAGTGGCACGATCTCGGCTCACTGAAACCTCTGCCTTCTGGGTTTAAGCAATTCTCCTGCCTCAGCCTCCCGAGTAGCTGGGATTACAAGCACCCGCCACTGTGCCTGGCTAATTTTGTATTTTTAGTAGAGATGGAGTTTCACCATCTTGGCCAGACTGGTCTTGAACTCCTGAACTCGTGATCCACCCACCTCAGCCTCCCAAAGTGCTGGGATTACAGGCATGAACAACCGTGCCCAGCCTCTCTGTTCTCTTTAGGTGAGCTCTGTTGTGGTTCTGTTTCCAATTGTCAGAGGATCACAAAATCCTGAGAGTTAGGGTCGACTCCCAGGTCACCTGCTCCAATTTACCACCCAGTACCAACATACCCTTTATGACATTCTGTGATGCTCCCCCCTAACCTCTATCTGAACCACTCCAGTGACAGCAACTCGCTTCTTTGCCAGCTGATCTACTTCACGGTCAGGAAGCTTTTGGTAACTTCTACCCATGTGCTTCCAGTTTTTTAAAACCTTTTTTTTTTTTGTATTTTTATTGAATTTACAAAAATGTCTGTCCAGTTATGACAGTAAAATGGGAAACCACAATGACAAACGGTGGCATGAAAAACAACACACACCCATCAGGAATTATATCAAACACTTTCCTTTTTATTCATTCAGAAGGGAATCCAATGCACAAATGTCAAATGTGAGCATTGTCATTTTTTTTGTTGTTCTAAGAAGGGAGAAAGACACTTATTCTGGCAGCTGCTTCTAGTTCTTTTCTATGGAAAACTGTCCTATTTTGTATTATATTTAATTAATAAATTTTCAAGGTTTTTTTTTTTTTTTTTTTTTTTTTTTTTTTTGAGATGGAGTCTCATTCTGTCACCCAGGCTACAGTGCAGTGGCACAATCTTGGCTTACTGCAACCTCCACTTCCTGGGTTCAAGCAATCCTCCTGCCTCAGCCTCCCCAGTAGCTGGGATTACAGGTGTATGCCACCACACTTGGCTAATTTTTGTGTTTTTAGTAGAGATGGGGTTTCATCATGTTGGCTAGGCTGGTCTTGAACTCCTGACCTCAGGTGATCCGCCTGCTTCAGCCTCCCAAAGTGCTGGGATTCCAGGCATGAACCACCATGCCTGACCTCTTCATGCCTTTTGAAAGTGAAGTAAATGTACTAAATCAATGAAAATGACTGCATTTTCAGACACCGGAGTGTGAGGTGATGTGGACCATCCATGGAAAGAGAGCCTGCAGCACAGGTGGGCATGGGATGACAACACAGAGGTTAAGGGTTGAAGGTAGTGACATTTTTGAAAAATAAGTGATGCAGAATAACTCTCAGAAGGGGTGTAAACCCTGCCGGGCACATCAGACATTGGGATCAGCAATGGGATGAGAATAAGGAATAGGCTGAGGATGAGAAATGGAGTGAGAGTGAGAGGTAAGGCGAAGGAGTGGGAAAGGAATGGGAAAGACAGCCAAGGATGAAATAATGATCCTCTGCCATTGACTTGGCTATTTTGACAGACTTTATAAAATGGCTGTGTTGAACTCTGTATCATACAGAGCAGTCCTCAATCAGAAGGCACTGAGGGAGAGAGAGGATGTATGGTCAGAAAGTGATGTGATTAGACCGGGCGCAGTGGCTCACGCCTGTAATCCCAGCACTTTGGGAGGCCGAGGCAGGTGGATCACGAGGTCAGGAGATTGAGACCATCCAGATTAACACGGTGAAACCCCCTCTCTACTAAAAATACAAAAAATCAGCCGGGTGTGGTGGCGGGCGCCTGTAGTCCCAGCTACTCAGGAGGCTGAGGCAGGAGAATGGCGTGAACCTGGGAGGTGGAGCTTGCAGTGAGCCGAGATCGCGCCACTGCACTCCAGCCTGGGCGACAGAGTGAGACTGCTTCTCAAAAAAAAAAAAAAAAAAAAGAAAGTGTTGTGATTAGAGCCACAGAGGTGAACGGTTGAGAGAGTTTTAGGAAGAAAAGGGTGTTTAGCAGGGCCAAGAGCTTTCAAAAAGCCAAGAAGCCAAGCGTGGTGACTTATGCCTATAATCCCAGCACTTTGGAAGGCCTAGGCGGGAGGATCACTTGAGCCCAGGAGTTTGGAGGCTCAGTGAGCTATGATTGTGCCATTGCACTCCAGCCTGAGCAACAGAGTGAGACCCTGTTTCAAAAACAAAACAGAAAACCAAAAAGCCAAGGAGCATGGTGATGAGAAAAGGCTATTGGATCTATTAATAGCAATGTTGGCACCTGGAGACCTGAGAGTTGAGATCTGTGCAGTGCAGTGCTGGCCCCATAGCCGAGAAGCTGATGAGTACGTGGTGAGGAACAGAGGAGAATGGCTAGAACAATGAAGATGGAGAGAAGCAGCCCCTGGAGAAGTAGGGGCCGAAGGAGTACCTGTGTTACCAGTTGAGGGTAACCAGTACTGGTTGAGGGTAACAGGTTGAGGTAACCTGACTGAATTGTCCAGGTTCTTGGCATTTTGAACAAAGAATTGGACAAAATGCACAAAGAAAGCAACGAGAGAAGAAGCAAAACAGAAGTACAGATTTATTGAAACAAAAGTACACTCCACAGAGTGGGAGTAGGCTCGAGCAAGCAGCAAGAGCCCTGGTTACAGAATTTTCTGGGGTTTAAATATGCTCTAGAGGTTTCCCATTGGTTACTTGGTTACACCCTATGTAAATGAAACCTGCCCCACGACCAGTCAGATTGGTTGTGGGAGGGGACCAATCAGAGGTACTTTCCATTTTTCATCTGTGAGGCAGTGGAAAGGGGGGGTTGCAAAGGGAGTAGCTTCTGATCCTTTCCTTACTTGGGCGTGGAGAGGTGGGGTTTTCGTTTTGATTCAGTTCTAGGAAGGCAGCGCAAATTGGCCTTAGGTTCTTGTCTCCTGCCTCCTGCCTCAGCTGGGCACGTTTGTACAGGAGGAGGAGAGCCTTAGCAGCCACTCAGATAAACACCTGAAGCAGAATATACTTGAGGTAGGGAGGAAAGATGAGGGACACATGCAATATTAATCAATATAAAACAAATATTAGCTTCTTGTCAGTTGTAACCTAAGCTGAGAGGTCTTGAGGATATCTAGAAAACTGGGGTCAAATGTCCTTTGCTGACACGGGGCCCCCTGCTGGGAAACCTGCTGGCCTCAGTGTTTCAAAAGGAAGTGAGGGAGCTCTATAAAGAAAATGAAGGACACAGTGATCTGAGGTGATTGTGCACATCTAGGCCCTGCGGCCTGCCTCTTGCACTGCTGGCACTGCTGGCACTGCTGGCACTGCTGGTGGTGTGTGGCTCCATCGGGCCTAATGCAATTGAGGTTTTTTTTTTTTTTTTTTTTGAGACAGAGTCTCGCTCTGTCCCCCAGGCTGGAGTGTAGTGGTACCATCTCAGCTCACTGCAAACTCTGCCTCCCGGGTTCAAGCGATTCTCCTGCCTAAGCCTCCGCTTCCCAAGTAGCTAGGATTATAGGCATGTTCCATCACACCTGGCTGATTTTTGTATTTTTAGTAGAGACAGAGTTTCACCATGTTGGCCACGCTGGTCTCGAACTCCTGACCTCAGGTGATCCACCTGCCTTGGCCTCTCAAAGTGCTGGGATTACAGGCGTGAGCCACCACACCTGGCCATGCAGTTGAGTTTTCATGCTGTCTTAGGAACTAACAGAGAAGGTAATGTTATTTTTGTCAGCAGAGGCACCACTGGCCAGAAACAAAAAGAATCTAGAATGTACACATGTATGGAGGTGGTGGTGGTGAAGTGTTAAGGTAATCAAATAATCAAAAACAATTTCCATTGACCCTTGGAATGAATCTTGACATTCTCACTTGCAAAGGGGTAAGTTATGATCTGAGAATTTACTTCACACCAAATCAGGAAGCTATGCAGGGAAGATTCAATGTGGAGGTTTCCTTATCCCAAGCCTGTCCTGTAATTCTCTCTACTGTCACCTGTCCAGGAATTTAGCAGCTGAAAAGGAGTTATCCAAGGCATAATTTGGAGAGAATAAGAGGTAGGTAGAGGTAGTATTAGTTTTCTGATTTTAATTTTGGTCTTTAAGATTAGGTATTATGCTAAATACATATTTTCTAAAATTTGCATTTCTCTTTCTATGGTTTCCTGTAGCTTGAGATGGTTCCAAAATGGACAGTGTGGCTCTATACTGAATGTAATCCAGAGTGACAGACCAGATGGTTATAGACTAGATGGATGTGGATGAGGGAATCTGATCCACTTTAGATCTGGGCATCTCCAGGATCTGGTTATGCTGAAGCCTGTTTCTCTCTTATTGGGATATCTGAGGGAAGAATTTAAAAATTCTTAGAAGGGCTGGGTGCAGTTGCTGACGCCTGTAATCCCAGCACTTTGGGAGGCCGAGGCAGGTGGATCACCTGAGGTCAGGAGTTCGAGACCAGCCTGGCCAACATGACAAAACCCTATATCTACTAAGAAAATACAAAAATTAGCCAGGCATGGTGGTGCATGCCTGTAATCTCAGCTACTTGGGAGGCTGAGGCAGGAGAATTGCTTAAACCCAGGAGGTGGAGGTTGCAGTGAGCTGAGATTGTGCCACTGCACTCCATCCTGGGCGACACAGCAAGACTCTGTCTAAAAACAAAAAATTGTTAGAAGGCTGGGCGTGGTGGCTCACGCCTGTAATCCCAGCACCTTTGGAGGCTGAGGCAGGAGAATCGCTTGAGACCAGGAGTTTGAGATCAGCGTGGGCAACATAGTGAGACCAGGTGTGATGGCACGTGCCTGTAGTCCCAGCTACTTGGGAGGCTGAAGTGGGAGGATCGCTTGAGGAGGTCGAGGCTGCAGGGAGCTGTGATTGTGCCACTACACTCCAGCCTGGGTGACAGAATGAGACCTTGTTTCAAAAATAAATAAAAATTGTTAGATACTCACGGGGACTACATGGTGAAATGGGCCCATAGACTGTTCTTTTGGATAAACGTAGACATTGATCCTTCTGCTGTTAAAGCTTGAAACTTGTATTTGTTTTATCTAAGTTCCTTTCTCAGGAAAGGACCTTCAGGCCCCTAAAAAATGGGATCAGAGAACTGAAACTTACCAGATGGGGGCACCAGATGCCCCCTTGCCCCTCCCTAGTTCTTATTTTGTTACACATTGTTACATTTCTTCCTTGCTATGTAAACCCCTAGCTTTAGTCGATCAGGGAGATGGATTTGAGACTGAGCTCCCATCTTCTCTGCAGCACCTGATTAAAGCCTTCTTCCTTGAAAATACTTATCTCAGAGATTGGCTTTCTGTGCGGTGAGCAGCAGGACCTAGACCAAACGCCTGGTGTTTCGGGAACAATGGGATGACTTTCTTCTTAGAATTCAGAGATAAATACATTTTCCTTCTTTTTTCTTCCTCCTTTGCTCTGGATTTTTATTACTTCTTTCTTCTGGGAGCCATTAAAGTCCTTTGGTTTTTGGCTTTTCTGCAGCATTGCTTTACTTAATCAACAGGGCATTCTAACACCCTAAGAACAAGAGTGGGGTGGTTTGAAACTTAGTTGAGAAGAGGCTACAGTCACAGAAGAGCTGAAAGAGAGCAGATATACCCCAAAGCAGCGGGGGGAGGGCAGCCTGGGTAAGACTCCCATTCTCAGGTCCCACCTGGGGCAGGGCCCAGGAAGCTATAAACTCAGGAACTTATCTGTGCAAGCTGAGTTTGAATTCTTTTTCTTTTTTAATAGATGAGGGACCCGAGGCTTGGTGAGGGTTAGTGGTCTAAGATGACATGGTGAATTGGGGGCGGGGATGGGGCCAGAGTGCAGTGTTGTGATTCTGACCATATGCCTTCCCCTTAAGTTCACTGGGCATTGGTGGATTACATGCTTATGCCCCTTTGCCATGGTTTTAAATGAATATGTGTGCTTTTAGTACTTTGTCCACATTTTAGGCAGAAAATAAAATCTTTTTAGAATCTTTATTTATTTTTATTGAGATGGGGTCTCATTCTGTCACCCAGGCTAGAGTACAGTGGCACAGTCATGGCTCACTGCAGCCTCGACCTCCTACTTTTTATCTACTTTACCTCCTACTGACTCCCATGCTTTCTCTGGAAGTCCTGAACCACCATGCAAATAAACTTGTTTTTCTTTTTTTTTTTTTGAGACGGAGTCTTGCTCTGTCGCCTAGGCTGGAGTGCAGTGGCGCGATCTCGGCTCACTGCAAGCTCCGCCTCCCAGGTTCACGCCATTCTCCTGCCTCAGTCTCCTGAGTAGCTGGGACTACAGGCACCCGCCACCACACCCAGCTAATTTTTTGTATTTGTAGTAGAGACGGGGTTTCACCGCGTTAGCCAGATGGTCTCGATCTCCTGACCTTGTGATCCGCCCACCTCGGCCTCCCGAAGTGCTGGGATTACAGGCGTCAGTCACTGTGCCCGGCCATAAACTTGTTTTTCTTAATATCTGTGCAAGTCTAGAGACATGAAACTCACAGATTGCCTCATCATGGAGCTGTCATACCAGAGATCTGCATCTTGTTTATTTACTGATAGGACAGATACGTTTGAAATCACCAGCATCGCTCTGGGATAGGTGGAGGGAGGAGGCTGCGGCTGCTTCTCGGCACCTCACGGCCCACCTCCAAGGCCCTGGGACACACTCAGAGCAGTGACATTCTGATATGTGACAGCAAGGTGGGAGCCGGACTCAAAACAGGTCAGAACCTTCCCATTCATCTGTCACCCAGTCAGGCCCCCCTGAATGGTGGCCAGATTGCTGAAAAGAGACTAAAACGAAAGGCACTTTGTACATCTGATGCAACAGGTGTTTTATAGCACAATATGCTTCTCCTCCCCAACAGACTTTTCGTGAGTATGTGGAGGGGGAGGGTGTCTTTATAGGTAAGGAAGTGTAACTTTAATGGGTAGGGAGCAATTAACATTTATTTGGTGATTTATATTCTTTTTTTTTTTTTTAATTGAGACAGAGTTTCGCTCTTGTTGCCCAGGCTGGAGTGCAATGGCATGATCTTGGCTCACTGCAACCTCTACCTCCTGGGTTCAAGCGATTCTCCTGCCTCAGCCTCCTGAGTAGCTGGGATTACAGGCATGCGCTACCAGGCCTGGCTAATTTTGTATTTTTAGTAGAGACAGGGTTTCTCTATGTTGGTCAGGCTGGTCTCGAACTCCTGACCTCAACTGATCTGCCCGCCTCGGCCTCCCAAAGTGCTGGGGATTACAGGCATGAGCCACCATGCCCAGCCCTTGGTGATTTACATTCTGTATCTAAACCCTTTGCCTTTGGAAAAGCCAAAGGGCAGCTTCCATTACATTCTAGAATGATGTTCACCTTGGTCCGTCCCAGGTGTGAGGGGATGGAGAGGTTCCTGTAGTTGGCCCAATCTCAGGCAATGTCCAGCTCAACTTAGTTTCTCTCCAGCCCTCTGCCATTCTGGATATTCCTTCCATAGGATTGAATGGGTCTGAACCTGCCAGTTACTCAGTCCTGGGAAGGAGCCTATGGCAGAGGGCTGCTGCGCCTTTCTGAAGCAGTAAGGGCAGCCCTGGCTGGAGACATTTTACATGGATTCCAGTGAGACTTGGCCTCCTGCTGCATCCTGCAAAGTCTGCTCCCGCCCAGGGAAGCGGCTCAGCTAGAATGCAGAAGGGAAAGGTGCATACCACACGTGCCTCCCATGCACCCAATCTAGGGTGCTGTTTGGTGACTCACGGTGATGCAGAGGAGACCGATGTCACAGTGCATCCTGCCGGGTATCTTTTTTTTTTTTGAGACATAATCTCGCTCTGTCACCCAGGCTGGAGTGCAGTGGCGCGATCTAGGCTCACTGGAAGCTCTGCCTACCAGGTTCATGCTATTCTCCTGCCTCAGCCTCCAGAGTAGCTGAGACTACAGGCATCTGCCACCATACCCAACTAATTTTTTTTGTATTTTTAGTAGAGATGGGGTTTCACTGTGTTAGCCAGGATGGTCTCGATCTTCTGATCTCGTGATCCGCCCACCTCAGCCTTCCAAAGTGCTGGGATTATAGGCCTGAGCCACTGTGCCCGGCCTATGCTGGGTGTCTTTAGAAGGCAAAGCACACTCAGGGGTAGAGGAAGACCCTGGGGGTAAGGAGTACATGTCATGCTGAAAAGAAGAAAATATTCTCTTGGTATACATGTCAGTATGGGATAAACTGACACCGCATGGATAGACGGACGTGCGGGAAGTACAGATGCTGGCATGTCCTGCCTGGGGCCAGCTGAGTGTTCCCTGTCACGGCCTTGCTTACTCTTCCTCTGAGGTTACAGTTCCTAGTGAGCCATGGAGAAGAGGGTCTTTTACACTGAGCCCTCACTGTTTATGGCAACTGCCTCGAACAGTCATTGATTTCAAGCTTGCCTACAGGCAGAATGTATCCCAGAAAGCCAAGGATTTTGTTAATGTTTACAGGCCTTTGTAGATCCCCACAGGAAAGCTGAAATAGTAATCCTGAAAATGACAGTAGGGGTGACCCCTTACCCACTCTGGGGCTCAAACCTATGGCTCAGGAGGCTTTTGGTGGCTGCCACAGAATTAAGAATAAAATGGGAAAGGTCAAGTTTAAAAGTCAGAATATATTTCACTGAAAATATGTGTATGTGTGTGCCTTCAAGAGTGAGTGCTCCTCAAGGGAGACTCACACAGTTCCTTACAACATAAATAAGAAATAGACGTAATGGCTTCACTCAGTAGAAAACTAGCAGCATCATTCTGGGCCATGGGGCATTCCCCAGGGGTCACCATCCAGCAGCCTCTCCCTGGGGGCAGAGGACGCCTGGTCAGAACAGCTATAACTCATCCATCATGGCGAGCAAATCGTCCCCTTTGCTGGTGCTCAGCCTTGGCTGCTCCGTGATCTCAAACTCCCCCATGATTCGAGCCAGCTCCTCGCTCCGTTGCTGGTCCTATGAGGGAAATGAGAGGTAAAAGGGCATGAAGAGGCTGTGCTGGCAGGCCGCCTCTTTGTGCACTAGGCACTTAGTTTTTTGTCCCATGACTGATATGTTTCAGTTGCGCACCTGTTTGTCAGAAAAGGGATTGTAGTTACAGGCTGATCAGAGAGAAGAAGAGGGTCTATATATTTTTTTTCTTAATCAACATGTATGTGACCAAGCATCCCTGGCTGCTACAGAATAGCAGATGGGTATAGTTAAGAAACAACTTTAATTTGAGCAGGGGGAATGACAATACAGCACTTAACAGCTATATTGTAGTCTGAATCCTGCTTGAAAAAGAGGGTCTCTGAAGTTCAACGTTATATAAGATGAGGAAAGGAGGAAGGGAGGCTGGGTACGGTGGCTCACCTTTGTAATCCCAGCACTTTGGGAGGCCAAGGCGGGTGGATCACTTGAGGTCAGGAGTTTAAGACCAGCCTGGCCAACTTGGTGAAATCCCACCTCTACTAAAAATACAAAAAAAAAAAAAAAATTAGCTGGGCATATTGGCGGGCACCTGTAATCCCAACTACTCGGCAGGCTGAGGCATGAGAATTGCTTAAACCTGGGAGGTGGAAGTTGCGGTAAGCTGAGATCAAGCCACTGCACTTCACCTGGGTGACAGAGCGAGACCCTGTCTCAAGAAAAAAAAAAAAAGATGAGGAAGCGAATACGATTGGACCCTGTGTTATCCCCTGTACGTACCTGGGTGGCTTGTATGTTGATAACTTCATAGGATAACTCTTCTGGCCTGGTTAGCGCTGCTTGTCTGGATGAGATGGTAAAGAAAATGGGTGCAACATTAGGGTTCTTTCCCTGCCAGCATGGCAAACTGGCTCTTGATCAGTTGGCAACCTATTTTTTCTGCCTCATCTGCCATTTCTCTTAAACTTTCTACCCCATCTCCCACCAATGTACCCTACGACCTAGAAAGTCAAGTTCTTTTATCTCTCTGTGACTTTGCACATTATAAGCCCTGCCAAGAATGTTTCTTCCCTTCCTCTGCTTGGCAAACTCCAAGACCTAGATCAAATGCCAGCTCCTTCAATCTGCCAGTGCAAAGTCAGTCACTGTCCTCAATTAGCGCATTCATGACACAGCACTGAAATAACTTATATCTGTACACGTTCACTCTCCCACTAAGCTGAGAGCTTCCTGAGGACAGGCTCTAGGTCTTACATCTTTGCATTCCCAGGACTTTACATAGTACCTGTCACACAGAATTAAACAAAAGAAGTTATTAATAGTTCAATGAAAGGTGACACTCACGCCAAATACTTGGTTTTGAGGAGGATCACATGAGATAATGCATGCAAAAGTGCTCTGTAAACTGTAAAGCACTATAAATCACCGTGGGTGATTTACTATTGCTGTTGGTTTTGGGTTATACTGTCTAATACAGGGAAATCAAGCTCCAACCTCACTCTGGTTTCTTAACACACTGTCTTAATCTGGTCATCCTGGCTTCTAACACTGCTTATTCAGCTGTTCTCTGATAAGTAAAACATTATAACTCTTTTTTTGTTTTGTTTATTATCATTTTTTAGAGACAGGGTGTTGCTCTCTCTCCTAGGCTGGAATGCAGTGGCATGATCACAGCTTGCTTAACCTTAAATTCCTGGGCTCAGACGATCCTTCTGCCTCAACCTCGTGGGTAGCTGGGACTACAGGTGCGCACCATCACACCGTCTCTTTTTTTTTTTTTTTTGAGACAGAGTCTTGCTGTGTCTCCCAGACTGGAGTGCAATGGTGCAGTCTTGGCTCACTGCAACCTCTGCCTCCCGGGTTCAAGTGATTTTCCTGCCTCAGCCTCCCGAGTAGCTGGGACTACAGGTGCGTGCCACCACACCCAGCTAATTTTTTTTTTTTTTTTGTAGAGACGGGGTTTCACCATGTTAGCCAGGATGGCCTCGACCTCCTGACCTTGTGATCCGCCTGCCTTGGCCTCCCAAAGTGCTGGGACTACGGGCGTGAGCCACTGCACCCGGCCCCATCTCTTTTTTTGAATGACTCTGGAAGATTCAGGCCATTTCATCCTGGTGGGCTATTTAGATTATTAAATTTGTTGGTATTTTATTTGTGATATTTACACAAATATTTATAAGTGCCACTGGTTTGTAATAGTCATTTTGTGTTCTTGTCATGCTTGGGATTTTTATATGTCTTTAACGAAACAGGTTTAAAACATACTCCTCTTCTTCATCGGTGGTAAAGAGATTCAACCGGAATCCGGGCTCAGGGCCACTGGGTTTCTTAATCTCCATCCCTCCCATCAGCCTGGCCAAGAAATTCAGCTCTTCTTTAGCAAGAGGGTTTGGAGCAATGCTTTCCTGCAGAAACAGTTGCATGATTTTTAGCCACATGAAGGCAATCACATTTCCTGCTAAAACCTCAGAGACACAGGTAGGTATTATAAAATAAGGTAGAACAATTGCTATTTAAATTATTTCTGGGTCCAAATAAAGTGTAGAAAGCAGCCTTAACCAAAAGAAAAACAATCACGTCAGTAGCAGAGGGAATGTAGCAACTTTGCAAACCAGAGATTTTCATACTTTCCGCAAGAGTGGAAGCCCCAGGGATCCACGTTTCTCCTCTCACTACCTTCCTCCTTGAAGAAGTGTATGGCTTCCTTTCCTGTCAATCGGTTTCCCTCAGCATTTACAAGTCGCCTCAGTCCAGTCTCCTTCCAGAGGCGCTGCCACACTGCCCTCAGGTGGTGACGGCCGGGAACACACCCTCGAGTCCATTCCCTCCTCTCACAGTCCTCATCCTGCCTCATCCTGTACCCCTCTTCCTTGTAGCCTGGCCTCCCCTGTTCTGCCTCTCCCCTCACTCCACCACCAGTTACCTAAATGCAGTTTTTGTCTCATTTCTCCCTGGCTTGAAACAAAGCCCTCTGCCTCCTGTCGAAAGAACAAAGCCCAAATTGTTTACCACCCTTCCTGGTCAGGCCCCAGGGTCCTGTCCAGGCGAGTCTCTGCCAGCAAGCCTCCATGATACTGTGATCCGTTACGTAAGCCTCGTGGGAGACACCGCCATCCTCCTCCCGGGAACACTCTTGCCCCTCTGTCACCTTGGTCCGTGTGCCCATTTCTCCCTCTCTGCTGTTTCATAGTTTACCTACTCTAGAGCCCCACTTCAATATCCCCGCCTCTGAAATGCCTTCTTGATCCCTGTGATCCCTGTCCACTGGACAGACATGAATTCCTCTGGCACAGCACTTTGTGCAGGATCCCCAGCCAGCCCTTCCTCCACCTCATTTGAGTTGTTTCTTTCACCGTCTTTCCCAGGGTACCACAGGCCCCTTCAAGATGGGACCACATCTACGTCAGCTTCGTGTCCCTGGGTCCCCAGCCCATAGAAGCAGTTTAATAAATGTTTGCTGAATAATTTAATATTCTGTGATCTCTCCTACAGCTAGCTGGGAGCTAGTTCAGCGAAAACTTCTAAGGATGGAATTCAGAGAAACTAAAACCCCCCACTCTGACTTAGCTACCACGGTGCTATAGAGGGAAACATTAAAAAGAAATGTTTTAATGATCAGAATACACACGAGTGCTGATGTCAGCAATCACGGACCTAATGGCACTGGTACTACGCTACTGCATATGTCCTGGTGTGTGGTTCCTCTTAATTATGGTGGCCGAGCCAAGCCTAAAATTACCTAATTAGTGAGATCACTGGAAGTCTCCATGAAAAGCTACAATTAAAACCTGTGTACTCGTAAGGTGGAATGGAGAAGATTGCACACAACAGGGGAAATGTTGGCTAGATCCGAAATCTAAAGCGTTCTCACCTCTCTTTATGTAGACTTCCGTATCTAGAGAGAAGCTGTGAGGGTAGGCAAGGAAGGCAGAAGCTCACCTGGGTCCATGAGGCTAAGTTCTTTGATGATCCAGACACATGAGTTTCCACAGGCTGATTCACGCTGTACCTGGTGTGTCAACAGAAAATGGTGACATTATCCAGCCCCTTTCCACGGACTTCTCTCTAACTCGTAAGCATAGTTTGTAGCTTTTATTCTGAGACATTAAATAGCATCCAGAAAGGTGCTGTGGGTACAGAATGCAACTGAGTGTGTGTTAACCATTCACATTTCACTTCTTCCTAAAGAAAAACACCTGGGGAGGCTGGGTGGCAATGCCTCCTCTTGTGAAGAGTAACACGCATCACTGAAAATATATGCAGCTTTACAGAACGGATAAGTCTTTCTGGATTTCCACTGCAACACAGATTTTGGCTAGTTCTCTTGCATGGCTATTGAACATCATGTATCTTTTCATTCTGTTGAGTTGCCTTATGTTTGGCGTTCCTGGGTGCCCTTTGAAATGTCAGGCCTCTGTATGCAGTGTACCTAAGGGGAAATTACTCCTATTGTCGGCAGGGATTTTCATAGCAGAAGTCTGGCTGTTTCTCTTTTTTTTTTTTTAAATGAAGTGACCTCCCTTGGACTTGAATTCACTCAGAGAAGAATTTGCTTACATGTTAGTTCCCAGTTTCAGGACTCGGTCTCCATAAAGTTCAAAAGAACCTTCTTTGGGTGCAGGGACATAGTTTCCACCATGCTTGAATTCTATCCTCTTCACTTCTTCACCTTTGTTGTTGAACATTCTACAATACAAAGTATGACATGATGGAATGTTCTCCAAGCTTAGGTAGTCCTGGAGGCTTCTTTATTCTTTGTACTACAGAACAAAAAAGGAATACATGCTCTCCTTCAAGATAAAGGTGCTGGTTGTAATAATAATAATAATAATACAATAATAATATTTATTGAGCATATGTATGTGCCAATTGCTTTGTAAGCACGTTAGAGCACTATTATCTTATTCATCCACACAGTAACCATTTAACAGATGAGGAAATTAGTCCTGGGGAACTGGGTAACTTGCCTCAAGTCCCTCTACTAAGTGACAAGGTGGGGATTAGAACCTGACTTTTTCAATAGCTGTTTTACTGAAGAAAGAGAAGGGCTGGGCAGACTGTGAGTGGCTTGGCAGTGCGGCATTCCGTGTGCGGCCCATGTGCTGATTTCCTAGCACCCCAAACATAGCTCTGATCATTGTTGGGAATTCACCTGATGAGTCCTGGAACTTCAGTTCCCCAAGGAACAGGCCCGGACACCGGCAACACAAAGCGACCGTTATTATTCTGAACTTTGTCCTTTAGAAACATGGATACCTGGAAAAAAATACATTTATTGTCATTTTTCTTGGTATATTTTCATAGACATCAATATTCTGAGGGTGGAAAGTGCGTAATGGTTTGGGAACATGACCTATGAGTTTATAACAATAAGAAGGGAGAGGCTGGGCGCAGTGGATCATGCCTGTAATCCCAGCACTTTGAGAGGCTGAGGCAGGCGGATCATGAGGTCAGGAGATAGAGACTATCCTGGCTAACACGGTGAAACCCTGTCTCTACTAAAAATACAAAAAATTAGCCGGGCGTGGTGGTGGGCACCTGCAGTCTCAGCTACTCAGGAGGCTGAGGCAGGAGAATTGCTTGAACCTGGAAGGCAGAGGTTGCAGTGAGCCAAGATCGTGCCATTGCACTCCAGCCTGGGCGACAGAGTAAGACTTCATCTCAAAAAAATAAAAAAATAAAAAAAAGAAGGGAGAAAAAATTACACTTGCAGAGTTAACTGTATTTTAACAAACAGAACTATTTTTTTTTTTGAGATAGGGACTCACTTTGTCACCCAGGCTGGAGTGCAGTGGCACGATCTTGCCTCACTGCCACCTCAGCCCCGCCAGCTCACGCGATTCTCCCGTCATAGCCCCCAAGTAGCTGGGACCACAGGTGTGAGCCACTGTGCCCAGCTAATTTTTATATTTTTTTGTAGAGATGGGTTTTCGCCATGTTGGCCAGGCTCAAAATCCTAAGCCCAAGTGATCTGCCTGCCTCGGCCTCCCAAAGTGCTGGGATTACAGGCGTGAGCCACCGTGCTCGGCTACAAACAGAACTACTTTTGAGCAGCGCAGCAAACCTTCCAGGTGAGTCCTATTACCCCCATTTTAAAGACGAGAAAGCTAAAGTAGAGAGTGAAGTGACTTGCCCAAAGAGAGCTAAGAGGCAGGGCCAGGATTCAAAACCAAAGGTGACTCCAAATTCCACCCGTATGCCTTGGTTCCCTGCCTACTTTCCATGCAGCTGCAGGCCTTGAGCTGTAAGAACCTCATATGGCCACTTTCTACATGAGGCAGCTCAGAGGTTAAGATGCCTCCTCAAGGTCAGCCAGCTGGTAAGGGGCAGAGCTGAGGATTCAAACTCCTGTGATTCTGACTTTGGAGCCCGAACCTTATCCACATGCTGGACTAGAAAGAAGGATGGGGCTGGGGCAGGGGGATCCAGCTGACATTTAAGTTTGAGGATCTTTTAGGTGACTGAAAACACATTACACTTATTCCTTCTCCTGGGTTCGTGTACTCTGTATAGAGGTTTCGGTCACTCACAGATTAAATCTCATAAAGATAGTAGCAGTTAATCAGTTTTACTGGGTCTTGGCTTCCTTATCTGTAAAATAAGAGATGAGCTTGAAGATCTTTTCAACTCTAATATTCTATAAGGTTATATTAGTAATATAATCAAGAATAAGTATCTTAGGCTGGGTGTGGTGGCTTACGCCTGTAATCCTAGCACTTTAGGAGGCTGAGGCGGGTGGATCACCTGAGGTCAGGAGTTCGAGACCAGCCTGGCCAACATGGTGAAACCCTGTGTTTAATAAAAATAAAAAAATTACCAGGGTGTGGTGGCTCATGCCTGTAATCCCAGCTACTCACAAGGACAAGGCACGAGAATCGCTTGAACCCCAGAGGTGGAGGTTGCAGTGAGCCGAGATCATGCCACTGCACTCCAGCCTGGGCAACAGAGCAAGACTCTGTCTCAAAAAAAAAAAAAAAAATGGAAAGAATAAGCATTTGTTGTGTGCAAGGCAGTGAAAATGCAAAGCGATAAGAATGTGTGAGCTGGCAGCTTGGCATACTGATGTTAGACTCTGAAGGCTTAAATACTGGACGGGCCACTTCTGGGTTTTTGGGAAATTACACAACCTTTCTGTGCATCAGTTTTCCCTTTGGTAACCTGGGGGTAATAATAGTAATAATAATAGATAACTCGGTGGGTTACTGTGACAACTAAATCAGACAGTGTATAAAAAGTAAAGCCGGCTGGGTACAGTGGCTCACGCCAGTAATCCCAGCACTTTGGGAGGCTGAGGCGGGAGGATCATGAGGTCAGGAGTTCAAGACCAGCCTGGCCAACATGGTGAAACCCTGTCTCTACTAAAAATACAAAAAATTAGCTGGGTGTGGTGGCATGTGCCTGTAATCTGGCTACTCGGGAGGCTGAGGCAGGAGAATCGCTTGAACCCAGGAGGTGGAGGTTGCATTGAGCTGAGACCTTGTCACTGTATTCCAGCCTGGGCAACAGAGCAAGACTCTATCTGGAAAAAAAAAAAAAAAAGCAAAGGCTGACACATAGACTATGTGCTCAATAAATGGTAGCCAATACTCTTATTATTACAAGTCTATTTGGACACAGGACACAAGCATAAAATGGAGAAAATAACACTTTAAAGCAGGACATGCTACATAGCAGGTGCATAGAAGCTTGCTGAGGAGAATGACTGCTGGCATGCCGGGAGTCTGGGGGGAGGCAGGCGTGACTGTGGGTCTGGAGCTGAGCCTGGAGGAAGAAGGTAGGTGTAGAGACACTTCAGAGATGGAGATGAGCAGGTGTGAGTCACGTTTTCAGGGGAACATGTAAACTGGTTTGGTCAGAGGGTTTGCTGGATGACGTTTAAGACATTTTTAACCTCAAGATTCTGTGACCAAGGGATGTGAGTACAAGAAAGGAGAAAGAAAATTTAGAGGGAGAATTGGGAATATTTATATGTGCTAGAAACTCTGTTAGTTTAATCTTATGAGGTTGACTATGGCATGGTAGATCTGAAATGTACAAATTTAGGTCATGTGTGTGTCTGTGTTTGGCCTGAGACTCTGCCAGTGGCTGGAGAGGACTGTTAGGTCTGTTTGCTTGCTCAGCCCCTCTGCTGGCCTTTTCTTCTCCCTCCACCCTTTCCTTTCCGAGGTGATCTCGTCTCCTCCCATACTCCAGGGCTCACCTCTGAGCTCATGGCTCCCAGATCTCAAGGTCCCACTCCAGCTCCTTCCCTGGCACTGACCCATCCATCCCATTGCCTGTCACACATTTCCATCTATGGGTCCCCTAGGATGTACCTCAAATTCCCCCTGCTCAGAACAGGGCCCATCTTTGTCTCTTCCTCAACCCTTCAGTTGCCAAGCCTTTCCTCTCCACCCCAACTATTGCTCCCTATGCAGGCCTTCACTGTTTTCTGCCTGCCCCACTGCAGAAGCCTCCTGTCTGGTCTCCCTGCCTTCCTTCTCGCCTGCTGTATTTTTTTATTTTAATTTTTTAAGGCAGCATCTTGCTCTGTAGCCCAGGCTGTAGTGCAGTGGTGCGATCTCGGCTCACTGCAACCTCTGCCTCCCGGGTTCAAGTGATTCTCCTACCTCAGCCTCCTGAATAGCCGGGACTACAGGCATGTGCCACCACACCCAGCTAATTTTTGTATTCTTAGTAGGGACGGGGTTTCACCATGTTGGCCAGGCTGGTCTCGAACTCCTGACCTCAAGTGATCTGCCTGCCTCAGCCTCCCAAAGTGCTGGGATTACAGGTGTGTGCCATGGTGCCTGGCCTCTTTTTTTTTTTGAGATGGAGTCTTGCTCTGTCGCCCAGGCTAGAGTACAGTGGCATGATCTCGGCTTACTGCAACCTCTGCTTCCTGGGTTCAAGCGATTCTCCTGCCTCAGCCTCCCGAGTAGCTGGGATTACAGGCGCCCGCCACCATGCCTGGCTAATTTTTGTATTTTTTAGTAGAGATGGGGTTTCACCATCTTGGCCAGGCTGGTCTCGAACTCCTGACCTCATGATCCACCTGCCTTGGCCTCCCAAAGTGTTGGGATTACAGGCGTGAGCCATGGCGCCTGGCCTTTTTTTTTTTTTTTGACACAGAGTCTTGCTCTGTTGCATAGACTGGAGTACAGTGAACATGATCATAGCTTACTGCAGCCTTGAAATCCTAGGCTCAAGGAATCCTCCGGCCTTGGCCTCCCAAAGTGCTTGGATTACAGGTATGAGCCATCACTCCCAGTCAGAATATTATCACGCCCAGCTAATTTTTGTATTTTTAGTAGAGACGGGGTTTCACCATGTTGGCCAGGATGGTCTCGATCTCTTGACCTTGTGATCTGCCCGCCTTGGCCTCCCAAAGTGCTGGGATTACAGGCGTGAGCCACTGCACCCAGCTGAAAGCCTTTTCATTATAATGAATTTTATCTTGTCGGAACTGGGAAATCAATATGGCTGTTTATGTTACTACCAATCCATAAAATAATACCCAAATATGCAGCCCTGATAACAATATGATACAGAATTTTTAATATTTCAAAATTGTTATTTTAAATTTAATGAAAAACTTAATCTTATTTGTACTTTCATATTTTTTATTTTAATCAATGACAGAGATCTTAATTTATATTGATGTTATTATTGCTTCATCCATAGCAAATACAATTCTTCATGAGAGTTAAAAATAAGGCCGGGCGCTGTGGCTCGCGCCTATAATTCCAGCACTTTGGGAGGCCGAGGCGGGTGGATTGCCTGAGGTCAGGAGTTCAAGACCAGTCTGGCCAACGTGGTTAAACCCCGTCTCTACTAAAAATACAAAAAAATTAGCTGGATGTGGCGGTGTGCACCTGTAATCCCAGCTACTCGGGAGGCTGAGGCAGGGGAATTGCTTGAACCAGGGAGGTGGAGGTTGCAGTGAGCTGAGATGGTGCCACTGCACTCCAGCCTGGGCGACAGAGCCAGACTGCATCTCAAAAAAAAAAAAAAAAAAAAAGAAAGAAAAATTTGGCATCAGAATTGAAATCTATTTATCTTCCTTTGTCCATGGAAGGGAAATACAATAAGGCACTAAATACATTGCATTTCTTCCCCTTTTTAAAATTTTATTTTGCCCAGGTACAAAACTCAAAGTTCTCAAAAGGGTATACATAATGGAAAGTCAGTCTCCTTCTCCTGTCCTCCATATAGTTCCCCACTCCTGGAAGGCAACACTGTGCACTGTGAACAGTTTCTTGCATATGCTTCCAGAAGCACTCTCTCTGTATATGCACAAACAAATACATATATGTTACATATGCTGTTTCAGTTAATCCAACAAAATTAGGTATTATAATTTTCATTTTTCAGATGAAGAAACTAAGACTTAAGAGAAGTTATTTTGCCCAAGGTCATGGAGCTAGTCCTATAGTTGGGATTCATTTTCTTAATTAAAAATTGTTTTATTTTGGCTGGGCATGGTGGCTCATGCCTGTAATCCCAGCACTTTGGGAGGCTGAGGCGGGCGGATCGCCTGAGGTCAAGAATTTGAGACCAGCCTGGCTAACATGGTGAAACCCCATCTCTACTAAAAATACAAAAATTAGCCAGGCGTGTTGGCAGGCGCCTGTAATCTCAGCTGT